>NC_000007.14:136881779-137506779 GCF_000001405.40 Homo sapiens | reverse complement strand
TCAGAGCAGTTTTAAGTTTACAGAAAAAGTAAGTAGAAAGTACAGAGAATTCCATATATCCTCTCAACCCTCCCCTACCGCAACCTATCCACACACAGTTCTCCCCTTTATTAACATTTTGCATTAATGTGGTTCATTTGTTACTATTGATGAGCCAATACTGATACGTTATTATTGCCTGAATCCCATAGTGTACGTTAGGATTCACTCTTTTGCCATATAATTCTATGGGCTTTCACAAATGTGTAATGACATGCAGTCATTATTGTATTGTACAGAATATTTCACAAGGAATACCTTGTGTTATGTCTTTTCATTTCTCCCTTCCTCTCCCAAGCCCTTGGCAACCACTGATTATTTTATTGTCAGCATAGTTTTTGCCCTTTCCAGAATTTCACATAATTGGAATTATACATCATGTAGCCTTTCAAATTGCCATCTTTCACTTAGCAATCTTCATTTAAAATACCCCTATGTCTTGTCTTTGCTTTATAGCTCGTTTCTTTTTATTGTTGAATAATACTCCGTTGTCTGGGCATACCACAATTTATCTGTTCACCTACCAAAGGACATATTAGTTGCTTACAAGTTTTGGCAATTATGAATAAAGGTGCTATAAACATCCCTGTGCAGATATTTATGTGGACATAATTTTCAACTCCATTGGGTAAATACCAAGGAGCTGATGCTAGATTGCATGGTAAGAGTATATTTAGTTTTGTGAGAAACTGCCAAGCTGTCTTTCAACGTGGCTGTGCTGTTTTCTATTTCCACCAGCAATGAATGAATGTTCCTATTGCTCCACATCCCCACCAGCATTTGGTGGTGGTGGTTTTTTTTAATTTTAGCCATTCTATTAGGTGTGTAGTGGTATCTTTGTTGTTTAATTTGCAATTCTCTGATGACAGAAAATGTTGAGCATCTTTTGATGACTGTATTTGCTGCCTATATTTTCTTTTTGTCAGATTTTGTTTAGATCTTTTGCCCAGTTTTTTAATTGGCTCTCTTATTGTTGGGTTTTAAGAATTCTATGTATTTTTTGGGTACCAGTCTTTTTTTTTTTTTTTTGCATCTCTTATGGATTCTTTGTTGTAGGCTCCTAGATGTGGATTGCAGAGTTACAGAACATTTAGGAATACTAGTACCTACTGTCAAAGTGCACAAATTTACACTCTGAAACAATTGATTTCATGGCACCCTTGCCAGCATTGAACATTATTTTTTAATCTTATTTTAAAAGAAGTGAATATTCTAATTTGCTTTTATTTACTAAGCTTTCCCCCTGTATTCACTCACAATTTGTATCTAGGGTAATTCTCCTGTTTCAAGACAGAATGAATTAGATATGACATGAACCAACTACAACAGCATAAATGAGATGGTTTCTCTGAGTATTTTCCATTGCTCAGATCTGATTATTGATCTGGTGAGCCTTGCTGAGACAAAGGTTGAGCTTCTCAATGCACGTTCTCTCCAAGAGGTAGGAGAGTATCATAAGGAGAAGGCATCATTATGTCCATGTGGGACAACCAGCTTCCTTCTGTCCTGTGGCCTCAGTCTTTTCTTTTCTTTTCTTTTTTCAGAAATTTGTGCAAAATTTAAGATCAGTTTTCTTTTTGTTTTTTCTTCTATCCCTCCCCCATCCCCCCACCCCCAGAAAGGCCCCAGTGTGGGATGTTCCCCCCCTTTGTCTATGTGTTCTCAATGTTCAGCTCCCACCTATGAGTGAGAACATGCGGTGTTTGGTTTTCTGTCCTTGTGATAGTTTGCTTAGAATGATGGGATACCAGTCTTTTATCAGATACGTGTTTTGCAAAGATTTTCACCCAGTCTGTGGCTAATTTTTCATTTTCTTAACACTCTCTTTTCACAGAGTGGAAGTTTTGATTTTAACGAAGTCTGACTTAACCATTTTTTTCTTTCATGGATCATGCTTTTGGTGTTGTATCTAAAATGTCATTGCCATACCAAGCTTATCTAGCTTTTCTCCTATGTTATTTCTATGTTATTTTCTAGGGAATGGGTTTTTTTTAAAAGGCTATTGGTTTCTTAATACTATGCATAGGTTGATTAAATGATACCAAGTACTTGCATAAACTCTATTGATTATGTTAGTAAATCTAAAATTGATGCTTAAGGAAATGTCAAGTTTTTAAAATGTGTATATACATAGTGTTAACAAGCTTATTCTAAGATGACTATATTTTGATGGTTTACCATATTGTTCAATACCTTTCCTATTTTCTGACTTTTTAATTCTGTGATTATATTTATTGTTCTTTTCAGAAGGTGATAACCTTTTTTAAAAAGCCTCCACAATTCATATATATATTTAAAACTTAAAGCCCAGTCTTTGCAAACACAGTGGTTTCTGAGAAGCTTTTCTCTAAGGTATCACACGTTCTTATAATGATCCTATTGAAGATAGTTTGTTTGTGCTTTGAATAGGTCAATGGCTTCATATGGCTGCAATTCTATTTTAACAGTAATTGCACTGTAACAGCAATGTCACATAATTAAATCTTTTTAAAAAAATGCTGAGCTCTCAGCTCTTTATTTCCACAATGACATCTTGTTGAACACATCATGGTACCTTGCAGAGAACGAATTAACTGCTGTGAGTTTTCTCCCTTTTTATAAATCCCATTATCACTTTCACATGGACTTAGTGTGAAAGGTGGCTCTTTCTGCTTTGGCTCTTAGGGCCTTGGCTTGTGTCATCAAGCAGGCAGCTGTGATTCCCCTCATCTCCTTGTAGGTTTGGTTGATTCTTTTATTTACATGCTTTAGTTTAGACTCTAGAGACTTTGGCACAACACATTATCTGCTATAAAATGTTCTCACATATAGTCTGCTGAAATTGGTTTGGGAATTTATGAAAGGGCAGTACATGTTGATAATAGAATTAAGGGTAAAAATGATGAATTAAATAAGGCTTAGAGGAGTGAATATAGGATGGTTTTTATAGGTAGGACTTAATCTTCACAGTAACCCAGTGGGGTAGATAATATGATCTTTCTCAGTACATTGGGCCTTTACATACTATATTGTAAAAGAACCAAGGGGAAGCTAAGCTCATTGAGCAATAAAAATAATCAAAAGTATCTGGAATCGTAATTTTCCTGAATGTAGTTATTGACCAAGGATAATTAAACATTAAAATGAATGGTATGAGAATATGTACTATAGCAAAACTACCAAATTGATAATATCACAGGCTAGCCAGACTGAAAACTAATACTGTTAAGTAAACACAACATCAAAAATCCTTGGGAAACACCTTTGAATAGCTTGTGCCTCTGATGTCATGAACTTTTCACACCTCAAGTGAGAACGTGGGTTTTGTTTTATGTTTGGTTTGTGTTAACTGTCATTGAGGTCTTCAGTTCAGTATTGGAAATTCTGTTGTAAGAATTTTAATAGCAAAACAAGTCACAGTGATTTTCTGTAATAATCTTGATTAAATTCTAGGTACTCTTGTTATCTCTATTGTCCCAATAATAATTAGCATCTGCTCACAATTGTATAGTTGCATTTCTTTGTAAAGTAAGCAATACTTACTTTAATTCTGTGACCCCTAAATTACAGACAAGGTTATATAGCAAGGCTGTCAGCAGTTTTGATAAGCTTGAGTCATGGTCTATAAGTTCACCTGAATCTGGCCTATCGGAAAAGGAGAGGAATGGGGAGCCTTTAAAAATGACCACATTTCTGCCAAGTATGTTCACGAGAATGTGTCTGACTTCACTGGTAGTTTCTGAGTCTGATGGTTCTGGTCCTTTGTCCAGGCCTGGAGATGTTTCCTCCCTGTTTACAGCCTTTCCCTAGTGCTTGTGAAGCTCTACATATGGGACTCGTGAGTCCATCCTCAGCTGCTGGTCAGCCTGTCACTGGTTTGTGCCTTCACTTCTCTGAGCTCAGTGTTGAAAACTAGTAGAAACTCCATCCTTATGTGCAGCCCAAGTTCAATGGAAAGTAGGAATAGTTCAGAACAGGGGCTCTTGAGTAAGAGAAACCTAGGATGAAAGCTGGTGTTCCGTTTTAGTGGTTGTAATATTTAGGGCATGTTATCTATCTGAGACTCATTTTCCTCATTTTAAAAATAGAAATAATGACATCCATCTCTCAGGATTGTGGCAAAGATTAAATAACACAGTAAAACTGGTATATTATTTATGTGAACGTAGGTTATTTTTTCTCCTTCCTCCTTGCCCTCCCTTCCCCTTTCTCCTCCTCTCCTTCCTTGTTCTTCCTCCTCCTCCATCCTCCTCTCTTTTTCCTCCATTTTCTCTTCCTTCTCCTCCTTTTTCATATCATGTAATCAGTATTATCATTTTCATGTTCATCCATATTTGTTCCACCCCTCCCTAAATTTATCATATGACACAATGCTATGCAACATGACACACAATTATGTATCTTTAATATCACATGGATTTGATCATACTCCCAGATCGCAGGCAATGGAAGTCTGTTCTGGCTTATCTGGCTTTTCCAGAAGTGTGGAGTATGATTCACTCACGTAAGAAAATAAATTACTTCAGCTACTCTGATCCTTCTCTCAATGCTACTTCCTTGAACCCCCAGGCTTAGGCCCTGTATTAGTCCGTTTTCACACTGCTGTCAAAGACATACCTGAGACTGGGGAATTTACAAAGGAAAGAGGTTTAATGGAGAACCAACAGTTCCACATGGCTGGAAAGCCTCACAATCATGGGGGAAGGCAAGGGGGAGCAAGTCACATCTTATGTGAATGGCGACAGGCTAAGAGAGGGCTTGTGCAGGCAAACTCCCATTTTTAAAACCATCAGATCTTGTGAGACCCATTCACTATCATGAGAACAGCATGGGAAAGACCTGCCCCCATGATTCATTCATCTCCCACCAGGTCCCTCCCACAACATGTGGGAATTATGGGAGCTACAAGATGAGATTTGGGTGGGGTCACAGAGCCAAACCATATCAGGCTCCAAGCAGCTGTGCCCAGGAAAAGTGATCCTAGCTCAATTCAGCATCTGGGAGCTCATGTAGTTGGCATGTGTGTTAACCTCAGAGTTCCATCTGTTGTGAATTTTCATTGGCCTCTACGCAATTCAGCACAAAGATGCTGTGCTAAAGGTTGTGCCAGAATGAAATTTGCTTTAGACATCCCTGGGTAGGGCAGTTTAACCTCAGAGTCGGTCTACAAGGGTCTTTTGGCTTTCTTCAACAAATAATTCACTTGAGGAAATTATTTGACTGTCTTTTGCATCATACCAACTGAATCAAGTTTTCTTAAAACTCTACACTGTTGATGGGAATGTAAATTAGTATGGCCACCATGGACAACATAATGGAGCCTCCTCAAAAAAACTAAAGATAGATTAACCATATGATCCAGGAGTCCCACTGCTGGGTATGTGTAGGTACAAAAGAAAGGAATCAGTATATGGAAGAGATATTTGAATGCCTGAGTTTATTACAGCAGTATTCATAATAGTCAAGATGCAGAAGCAACCTAAGTGTCTATCAATGGATGAATGGATAAAGACAATGTGGTATATATACACAATAGATTATTGTTATGCCATAAAAAGAATAAAATTCTGTCGTTTGCAGCAACATGGATGGAACTGGAGGACAGGATGTTAAGTGAAATAATCCAGACACAGAAAGACAAATAGGGCATATTCTGTCTCATATCTAGGGGCTAAAAAAGTCAGTCTCCTGAAGGTAGAGAGTAGAATAGTGATTACCAGAGACTTGGAAGCGTAGGGGTAAGGGGAAGTGAAGAGAGTTTGGTCAATGGGTGTGCAAATACAGGTAGATAGAATAAATAACCTTTATGGTTCTATAGCACAGGTGATAGTAGTTAATAATAATTTATTGTATATTTCAAAATACTAGGAAGAGAAGATTGAGACTGCTTCTAACATAAAGAAGTGATAAATGCTTGAGGTGATAGATTGCTTAATTACCCTGGTTTGATCATTATACATTGTATACACATATCAAAATATCACATGTACCCCATAAACGTGTAAAATTATTATGTATCAATAAAAAATTAACTTAAGAAACAACTCTAGGCACCTTTCATTGTAACCTTTAACAACATTGGTTTATAAAGCTTTGGGCAATTCAGTCTCATATATAGGGTCCCTGAGCTTGATTTATTATCTGGCTGTTTACAATTTGTGGTGAAATCTATGTTTTATAAATTATATTTTGTTATGTTTTATCTTGGTGTATATAGACTTTAAAAGTTTTTTATGAATATAAGAGTATAATTGTGGATTGGTTGCTAGAAGATTTTGAATTTGCTGAGGTTGAATAGTTTTCATTTATGCATTATTTGGCATAAATTTGCATAATAAGTTCAAGTAGTCTAACTTCAAGTATAGAAGACAAAATTAATTAGTGTGACCTGTGGGCATTTTACTTCAAACGTAAAATCCAGAGCATGCACACGTAAAATGTATAATGGATTTCTCAACCAATTAATTTAATCACAGTCTGGATTATGAGACATTTAAACCAACAGGAAATAGGGAAAGAGGGTTAATGGAGGTCAGGTTGAAGCCATAGAAGGGTGCTAGGGCAGGACTTATATTTTGGCTGGAAAGGGGTAATTTGTAGTATAATTTTCTCAGGGCTTAATATCACCAGTAAATTCCACAGTGTAGTTCCTATTACCTGAATTTGTCAAAGCTTCCTCGTTGTTTTAGTCTGCTCTGGCTGCCGTAACAAAATACTATACATTGGATGGCTTAAATAACAGACATTTATTTCTAAAAGATCTGGAGGCAGGAAGTCCAAGCTCAGGATGCCGGCATGGTTGGGTCTGGTGTGGGCTCTCTTTCTTGCTTACAGACGGCTGCCTTCTTGCTATATCCTCAAATTTGTGTGTGTTAGTCCAGGTTCTCTAGAGAAATAGAACCAACTGGATATGTAGATATGTAACAGGACATCTATTATGGGAATTGGCTCATGCAATTATAGTGGCCAAGAAGTCCCACAGGATACCATCTGAAAGTTGGAGGACCAGGAAAGCCAGTGGTGTAAATCAGTGCAAGCCCAAAGACCTGAGAACCAGGGGAGCTGGTGGTATATCTTCCAGTCTGAGAGCCTGATAACTGGAGTGCAGGAGTGGGTATCACTGGTGTAAGTCCTGGAAAGAGAACCAGGAGCCATGATGTCAAAGGGCAGGAGAAGATGGATGTCCAAACTCAAGAAGAAAGAATTCACTTTTATTCCACCTTTTTGTTCTATCCAGGCCCCAAGCAGATTGGATGACACGATGACACTTGCCCACATTGACAAGGGTGGGTCTTCTTTACTCACTCCACTGATACAAATGCTAATCTCTTCTGGAAACACTCTCACAGACACAGCCAGAAATTGTGTTTTACCAGCTATCTGAGTGTCCCTTAGCCAAGTCAAGTTGACACATAAAATTAATCATCACAGTGCGTATATACAATACAGAGGTTTAAATATTAGTAGTAAAATAGGCACCGGTGTACCTGCCACTTAGACTAAGAAATAGAACAAGTACCACCCCTCACTGTTCTACTGGGATAACTACTTTACTCGTTGTATTTGCCATTCTCTTGATAGGTATATATTTACCACCAACGTATGCATCCCTAAACCAGATATTGAGTGGTTTTGAAAAAACTAAGTAGCAGATCTAAATCCCCCTGTGTAAAGAAAAGGTGATGCTTTCACTTTTAGCTTAAGTTTCCCAAGAAAGCTGAAAAGAGTCTCTAGTTCATTGTTGAGCTTCAGTTTTTCTGAGAGTGCACACGGACTCATTCTAAGAGAACTTAGTGGGCAAGGTAATGACTGACTCCTGGGCAGTCCTTGGCAGGTGTTAAGTTGAGTTCTAGCTATCAAATGAATATATTATCACAGGGAATAGGCTTCTTTGAATTTTTCTGCTTCACTATGATCCAACTCTTGCTGTCAGGAATAGGTTCAGGCAGAGCATGTCAGGGGGTAATATAGTGTCAATATATTTTATATAACACTCATTCGTATTGCAAATTCAACTTTATTGGGGCAGATAACCCAGTAGCTTCTTGACAGATCATGGGTCCTTCATTCAACTCTTGCACTTGTTTGATTGTTTGGGTTATCTGTAAAAGTCTTAGAACTTTGAAGGTCTTGTTTCATTGTCTTCCTTACTGTATGGTTGCCTTTGAGAAGTTCAAAAACATTCCAAATTTTAATCCTTTGTATATAATCTGGTTTTTCCTTTCTATAAGCTTGTAGATTCTTCCTTTTGTCCCCAGTACTCTTCAATTTCAAAACAAGATGATGTTATATTGTTCTGTAGTTATTGTGCTTGGCATTTGATGAATCATTTCAGTTTGGAAACTAATGTTTTAGGAAATATTCTTCATTTTGTTTTTTATATTTATTCTCTATTTTCTTTTGTTTTTTGAGACTCGTATTATGGGGATGTTTTTTGAAACTCCTCTTATTGGGACCTCCTGGACTAGGTTTCTAATTTTTTTAGTTTTTCTCTCCTACTTTCTATCTCTTTTTATTTTTGCTCTACTTTTTTAGAGATTTTCTCAACTTTATCTTTTAACTTTTCTAATGAGGTCTCTATTTATTTTATCAAATTTTTATTTTCAAAGGGTTTTGTACTCTTTTATTCTCTGAATGAGGTTCCTCTTTGTTTTCCTTCATATTCTTTGTATCATTTAATATTATAATTTTTCCATTTCTTGGAAATTTCCATTCCATTTTCTCTCAACTCCCTGAGGATATTAAAGATATCATGTTTAAAGTGTTTTTCTTTGCGCAAGTTCATTTTCTATTTTTAAAAAAACTTTTAGATTCAGGGGTATATGTGCAGGTTTATTATACAGGTAAATTTTGTGTCACAGGTGTTTAGTGTGCAGATTATTTCACCACCTAAGTAGTAAGCATAGTACCAGATAGGCAATTTTTTGATTGTCACGTTCCTTCTCTCTACCATCAAGGAGGCCCTGGTGTCTAGTGTTCCCTTCTTTGTGTCCATGGGTACACAAAGGTGGGGAATATTTGTGTCCTACTTATAAGTGAGAATATGTGATACTTATTAAATCGATTTCTGTTCCTGAATTAGTTCGCTGAGGGTAATGGCCTCCAGCTCCATCCATGTTGCTGCAAAGGACATGATCGCATTTTTTTTTAATGGCTATGTAGTATTGCATGGTGTATATGTCCCACATTTTCTTTATCCTCTCTACCCTTGATGGGCATTTAGATTGATTCCATGTCTTTGCTATTGTGACTAGTGCTACAGTGAACATACACGTGCATGTGTCTTTATGTTAGAGTGATTTATGTTCCTTTAGGTATATACCCAATAGTGAGATTGCTGGGTCAAGTGCTAATTCTGTTTGAGTTCTTAGAGTAATTGCCAAACTGCTTTCCACAATGGCTGCAATAATTTACATTCCCATTAGCAGTGTATAAGCACTCCGTTTTCTCCACAACCTCATCAGCATCTGTCATGTTTTGACTTTTTAATAATAGCGATTTGACTGGTGTGAGATGGCATCTCATTGTGGTTTTGACTTGCATTTCTCTAATGATCAGTGATGTTGAACTTTTTTTTCTATGATTGATTGCCGGATATATGTCTTCTTTTGAAAT
Source organism: Homo sapiens (assembly GCF_000001405.40). Classification (NCBI taxonomy): domain Eukaryota; kingdom Metazoa; phylum Chordata; class Mammalia; order Primates; family Hominidae; genus Homo; species Homo sapiens. The sequence continues at coordinate 137,497,146 of NC_000007.14, read as the reverse complement.
ATGTCTGTTCATGTCTTTTGCCCACTTTTTTTTTTTTTGTAAATTTGTTTAAGTTCTTTATAGGTGCTGGATATTACACGTTTGTCAGATGCATTATTTGCAAATATTTTCTTCCATTCTGTAGGTTGTCTGTTTATTCTGTTGATAGTTTCTCTTGCTGTGCAGAAGCTCTTCAGTTTAATTAGGTCTTATTTGTCAGTTTTTGTTGTTTTTGTTGTTGTTGCAATGGCATTTGGTATCTTTGTCATGAAAACTTTGCCAAGTCTTATGTCCAGAATGATATTTCCTAGGTTATCATTCAGGGTTTTTATAGGTCTAGGTTTTACATTTAAGTCTTTAATCCATATTGAGATGATTTTTGTATATAGTATAAGGGAGGGGTCAGTTTCAGTCTCTGCATATGACTAGTCGGTTATTCCAGCACCATTTATTGAATAGGGAGTCCTCTTCCCATTACTTGTTTTTATCGACTTTGTTGAAGATCATATGGTTGTAGGTGTGTGGCACTATTTCTGCACTCTCTATTCTGTTTGATTTGTCTGTGTCTGTTTTTGTACCAGTATCATGTTGTTTTGGTTACTGTAGCCTTGTAGTATAGTTTTGAGTATTGTGATGCCTCCAGCTTTTTTTTTATTATTATTATTTCCTTGGCTATTTGGGATTTTTTTGGTTCATATGATTTTTAAAATAGTTTGTTCTAATTCTGTGAAGAATATCATTGGTAGTTTGATAGGAACAGCATTGAGTCTGTAAATTGCTTTGGGAGGTATGGCCATTTTGGTGATATTGATTCTTCCTATCCATGAGCATGGAATGTTTTTCTATTTGTTTGTGTCATCTCTAATTTCTTTGAGCAGTGTTTTGTAATTGTCATTATAGAGATCTTTCATCTCCCTGGTTAGCTGTATTCCTAGGTATTTTATTTTGTTTGTGGCTATTGTGAATAGGATTGTGTTTTTTATTTTGTTCTCAGTTTGGATGTTGTTGGTGTATAGGAATGCTACTGATTTTTTGTACATTTATTTTGTATCCTGAAACTTTACTGAAGTTGTTTATCAGAAAAAGGAGATTTTGGGCAGAGACTCTAGGGTTCTTTATGTATAGAATCTTATTGTCTGCAAACAGATAGTTTGATTTCCTCTCTTCCTATTTGGGTGCCTTTTATTTCTTTCTCTTGCCTGATTGCTGTGGCTACAACTTCCAGTACTATGTTGAATAGAAGTGGTGAGAGTGAGCATCTTTGTCTTGTTCTGATTTTTAAGGGGAATGCTTCCAGATTTTACCCATTCAGTATGATGTTGGCTTATGGGTTTATCATAGATGACTCTTATTATTTTGAAGCATGTTCCTTCAGTGCTTAGTTTGTTGAGGGTTTTTAACATGAAGGGATGTTGAATTTTGTCAAAAGCCCTTTCTACATCTGTTGAGATGATCATGTAGTTTTGGTCTTTAGTTCTATTTATATGATGTATCACATTTATTGATTCGTGTATGTTGAACCACCTTGCATCGCAGGGATAAAGCCTACTTGACCATGGTAGATTAGCTTTCTGATGTGTTGCTGGATTTGGTTTGCTAGTATTTTGCTGAGGATTTTTGCATTTATGTTAAAGAAGGATTTTTTTTTTTTTTTTTTTTTTTTTTGTCTCTGCCAGGTTTTGGTATCAGGATGGTGCTGGCCTCACCGAGTGAGTTAGGAATGAGCCTCTCCTCCTCAGAGTTTTCTTTCTTTTTTTTTTTTTGTTAAATAGTTTCAGTAGGAATCATACCAGCTCTTCCTTATACATCTGCTAGAATTTGGCTGTGAATTTGTCTAGCCCTGGGCTTTTTCTGGTTGGTAGGCTTTTTATTACTGATTCTGTTTTGGAACTCATTATTGGACTATTCAAGGACTTAATTTCTTCCCGGTTCAATCTTGGGAGGATGTGTATTTCCAGAAATTTACCAACTTTTTCCTGTTTTTCTAGCTTGTGTGCAGAGAGGTATTCATAGTAGTCTTTAAGGGTGTTTTATATTTCTGTGGGGTCAGAAGTGTCACTTCTGATTGTGTTTATTTGGATCTTCTCTCTGTTTTTCTACCATTATGTAATGTTGTTCTTTGTCTTTTTTGATCTGTGATGGTTTAAAGTCTATTTTGTCTGAAATTATGGTAGCAACCCCTGCTTTTTTCTGTTTTCTATCTGCTTGGTAGATGTTTTGTGTGTCATCGCATGTGACCTGGGTCTCTTGAAGACAGCATACCATTGGGTCTTGTGTCATTATCTAACTTGCCATTCTGTGCCTTTGAAATGGGGCATTTAACACATTTACATTCAAAGTTAGCATTAATATGTGTGGATTTGATCCTGTCATTGTGTTGTTAGCTCATTACTGTGCAGATTTGTTTGTGTGATTGCTTTATAGTATCACTGGTCTGGGTATTTAGGCATGTTTTTGTAGTGGCCAGTAATGACCTTTCCTTTCCATATTTAGCACTCCCTTCAGGACCTCTTATAAGGCGGGTCTGGTGGTAATGAATTCTCTTAGCATTTGCTTCTCTGAAAAGGATCTTATTTCTCCTTTGCTTTTGAAGTGTAGTTTGGCTAAATATAGAATTCTTGGTTTGAAATTCTTTTCTTTAAGAATGCTGAATATAGGCCCCTAATCTCTTCTGTCTTGTAGGGTTTCTGTTCTAAGGTCAGCTGTTAGCCTGATGGGGTTTCCTTTGTAGGTGACCTGCCCCTTCTTTCTAGCTTCCTTAAACTTTCTTCCTTTCATTTTTTCCTTGGAGAATCTGATGACTGTGTGTCTTGGTGATGATCTTCTTGTGTAATATTTCACAGGGTTTCTCTTCATTTCCTGAATTTGAACGTTGGCCTCTCTACCAAGGTTGGGGAAATTTTCATGGATGGTGTCCTGAAATGTGTTTTCCAAGTTGCTTGCTTTCTCTTTTTCTCTTTCAGGGATGCTGATAAGTCATAGACTTGGTCTCTTTAAATAATCCCATATTTCTCAGACATTTTGTTCATTCTTCTTCATTTTTTTTTGCTTCATATTTGTCTGAGTTATTCTGGAGGACTGGTCTTCATGCTCTGAGATTCCTCAGCTGGTCAATTCTGCTGTTAATAACTTGCAGTTGTATTCTGAAATTCTTGAGTTTTTTAGCTCTAGCATCTCAATTTAGTTATTTCTTAAAATGGTCATTTCATCTTTCATCTGCTGTATCATTTTATTGTATTCTTTAGAATTTTTGGATTGGGTGTTAACTTTCTCCTGAATCTCGATGATCTTCATTCCTGTCCATATTCTGATTCTATTTCTGTCATTTCAGCTATTTCAGACTGGTTAAGAACCATTGCTGGGGAACTAGTGCAGTCATTTGGAGGTAAGAAGACTCTCTGGCTTTTTGAGTTGCCAGAGTTCTCGCGCTGGTTCTTTTTCATCTTTGTGGGCTGATTTTCCTTCAGTCTTTGAAGTTGCTATCTTTTAGATGTTTTTTTGGTTTTTGTTTGCTTTCATTTTCTTTGGTGTTGTTGGGTGTTTGATTATGGTATAAGGTGGGTTTGGTCAACTGGCTTCATTTCTGGAATATTTTAGGGGGCCAATGCTCAGCTCAACACTCCTGAGCTGTGTGCTTTAACTCTGGTGGGCTCATTTTGGGCCCCCTGCTTTCATCTCTGGCTCCTCAGGGTTAGGAACCTGTTGCCTTGATGGGCAGTGACAGCCAAAGAGCTTCACTGGGTGGTGGAAGTAAGATCTGTGCTCATTTGTACATGCCAGAAGCAACAGCAGTGTGATGACATGCATGCTCATCAGCTGGAGTGGGGCCCTGGTGAGCCAGGGGCTTCCAGCCTCCATACAGGCATTTGCAAGTGGCAGTAATAGTGGGTGCGATGGGGCACTGGCGGGTGTGGGGCTGGTGGTCTCCATGTGTGCATTCACACTGGAGGCAATGGCAACATAGGGCAGGGAGTGGGGCTACTGATCTTCATTTGAGTACTGGTGCTAACAGTGGTGGTACAGCTGGGTGGATGGGGGCAGGTTGCGCTCATGCTGGCAGCAGTGGCACAGTGGGTCGTAGATACGTCCCAGCAGGGAAGGGTAGGCAAGGTCTGCTGGCACACACACACTGGCAAAATGGTATGGGGGTGGCCTTGGATGAGTGCATGCCAGCAAAGTGGTACAGAGGATGCTGCAGTGGTGGGAGGGTGCGGGTGGGCTGATGTGCCTTGGCAGAGGCCACTGGGCTGGAGCTATTTGATTGTCAGGCACAGTCAGCCAGCGCAGGAGCTATTATGCATGTCCCTGGGAGACACCCCAGTTAGGCATCTGCGGCTGCACTGCAAGCAGGAGATGCCAGCATACAGGGGTCACTCAGGTCAGACTGGCCCTGCTCTGTTCAGGTCTGACAGTTTGCCTAAGGCTAAAGTTTCCTAGGGGAGCATGGGACGCCTTGGGGATGGGTATCCCTGGTCATGCTTCACTGTGGACATTGCTGCACCAAACCCTCTGGGCTCCACACTGGCTGGAGCCCTGCCCTTACCACCTCTCTAAGCAACTATCCCTTCCAGCTTAAGTTTCTGTGGGGGTCTTGTGGTCTCCTCCTGCCAGGATTCTATAAGTCCATGGTGAGAGTATGTCATTCCTTCCCTGCTCAACTCACCACTACCCCAGGGGTTACTGAGGGCCAGGAACTGATGAATGGTAGCCCCTGCAGGGTTTCCAGCTTCCTCCCCCTTAAACCCAGCATCTGTGTCCTTTCTCTAGCCATTCTCAATACCTTCCTTCTGAAGATCTGCTTAGAGTGTGCCAGTCTTCCTGATGTCCTGGTCTCTCGATGGCAGATGTTCCTTCTGGCTGTGTCTGTTCAGCTATCTTGCCTGGAGGATCCTGTTTATTTTGATCTTTGGCTTCTGCATTAGAAAAATTTCTCAATTTTCTGATCACTTTTGCCTTTCTCTTCATTATTAAAAGTGGGAAACATAAAAGCTGCCTGGAAGTTCTGAGCTCATGCATAAAGCTTATTGACTTCAAGCTTCGATGTGGGGGAACTGAGTGAACTGTTTCTTGGGAATGATGAATCAGTGCTGTCTTTAGACCTATGGAAGAGGTGCTTCAGCTTTCGATGTCCTAGATATGTCCCATTTCTGGCTTTGCCCTGCTTCATGGGATGATTTGTCTAAAGTGCTAAGGAAAAGGGCTCATCTAGGGATTTCTCTACCCTTTTCTAGACTGTGCTTTGGATTCTTAGAATTCCTGCCCCAACAGCTCCAGACCTGCTTCTAGGATCTGCGTAGGCCTCTTCTTCTGGTCTAGTCTCACAGGAGTCATGTAGAGTGGGCATAGGACTAAGGAAGGCCCTTTGGGGCAGCAGTTTGCATGGGCTTTGGAGAAAGTTTGGGGATGTGGTCTGTAGTATCTGTATACATAAGCACAAGTTCTTTCATGTTTTGAACATCCATGGAGTGGAAAGAGAAGGAGGTCTAACTATGGACCACAAGCACTATGTTTTGTTCTAATACTCCTTGGAGTACAAGAATTATGAGTTTCAGCATCTCATTTAGGTAACTACAAAGGAATATTTATCAGGATAGGAAGATAGAACATATTTCATTTAACAGTTTTGGGGATTAACATTAAACTTATAAATATCTAGAAATATGGAATGCAGGTCTTTATGTTCTTGCCTTGAGCCTTATAAATGTTGGTAGTGGGCCTGTTCTCATGTTAATATATTTCCTCATGGTTTTGTCAGATTCCATTGAGATGAGTTTTCCAATGTTTTTCCTAGAAAGTAAGGTTCTGGCTGCCAGCTTTTGGGGAATTCAGGGTGGGAAGAAAACTGGGGATCACTGCAGTCTTCAGATGATCAATTAATCTTCATTTTCTGTAAGGTAACTGTGCCTTTCCACAATGGGTGGTGGATATCTGGTGATCTAACATCCAGTGCTTCTATCTTAACCACCTCCTTTAACCTCAGCTCCTGAGGCACCCGGTACTGCCAGTTTGCAAGCCTTTTGAGGGTTTTGCAGTAGAAATTATTTTGGTTCATGTCTATACCCACTAGTGGTTTAGGATTTGACTCTCTAAGGGCTCTGAGTCAGTTGCCAATTTTTCATCTACTTCATCTGTTATTTTATCCTTATTTTTGTTGATTTCTTTTAAAAATCTATTTATTGTAGGTTAGTAGTATTTCTGGTGAGAGATTAATATGTGCATGAAATATGCCATCTTATTCTGGAACACAGCTTGTTCTTTTCACTTAGTTAGAACTTGTGAATTCCATTTAATCCCTGCAATAAAAGTTCCATTGTGAAGGTTGAGTATTAACTCATGCTTCCTGGACTTAAACAAAGTCTCTGCTACCAAAATAAGATGAATTGTTGAGCTCAGGGATAGTGACACTGGTGCTCAGGTGATAAGTGCTCTCACTACTCCTAAGTAAAATAGAGGAAATGTCAAGGAAGCTTGGCAGTTGGTTAACCATAGTGTAGAAGGAAGGTGGTAATTTTTGAAAAGTTTCTGCTTTTTCTTCGCCATGTAAAGGCCCAAATGGAAGTGTCAGATTACAATATTTTTCTACTACGTTGTTTTTTTACATGGCAGGAAGAGTAGAAGTTAGTTTTTAGAAAACTGGCATATAACTTACGAAACTACTGCTAGCTAATCCTTGTAGTACTATGCTAAATTAAAAGATAGATGATTGGGTATGTCTGTTTTCTGGCTAAAGATGCTCAAAAGATAGTGAAAAGAGTAAGGGAGAATAAAAATTGATGTTTTGATAATTTATTTTTAAATATAGTGTTGTATTGAGTCTTTACAAAAATCCTGTATGACATCTATTCTAAACACCGTAGTCTTTAAACCAAGGCTCAGAAGAATTGACTAAGTAGCTAAGTTGAGTAATTTGCAAGACCAAAGCAATACTGGGATTTAAACCCAGCAGTGGATGACTGCAAATCCTTTCTACTGCATATTGCCACCTTCTTGGAATAAATTTGACAGTTGTTGGTAATCGTGTTATAAAATTGTGGTAGAGAATGCCCTTTTTTCTTTCTTTTCTCCTCGCAATTAACAGCTAAGTATTGCTCAATCAAAAGCAGTTACTCTTACTTTGCTCCTTGAAGAACAGGCAAAGTTGTTGATTTTATACCCATATTAGAGATGAATGACACATGTTTGAAAACTTCTTTTTAGCTATTCCTCTTGATTCCATATCTTGAATATACAATCTCTAATTGTAGTTTAAAATGTCTGCTATGAAGTACATTGAATTTATACTTGGACCAGACTAACTCCAAACACTGATAATAGAAGGAAATCAGAGGTGTTGATGGGATTCCTGCGTATGTATAAAATATATCTCCTAACTTAAGTAAATGGATAAACATTGATTAAAATCTATTTTCTATTTTTGCACATTTAATATTAAAAGGAAATATTAAGCAAGATTCCAATGTGGATGCTTATGTTAATTATAGCTATATTCCACTTCCAGATTTATTATCTATGTCAAAATTCCAACTTTTCCTCATCATTCCTCAAATATTAGAAATTCTATTCTGCTCTTATCTTGGTGGATCAACTTATTTCCATCTTTATAGTAGGTCTAGCTGAAGATGATTACTCTAATCACTATTTTTAGGAGATCTCCTTATTGAATTTCCCTTCCATTTCCTGCAAAGATGCATGATTGCCATGCTGAAAACTTTTTGATGTTTCTGTTTATCTTTTAAAAGGAGGAGAAATATTCTTTTAGAATGATTATTACTCCCCCAAAGATATGACAGTTACAAGTGCTCCTTATCCTCTACTGACTGTCTTTTGCTTACCTTGTTTCTTGTCTACCCTGGACAGGTGACTTGCACCTGAAAGACAGACTTTCTCTTTTGCATCCAAACAGTCGTTAAGCCCATCTTCCTCCCTCTTTTTATACTCATTTATTGAATATCTACCATTTCTTTACTAGGCATTGGGGAAGTGAAGGTAAACAATCCACACTCACTCACAGGCTTCCATAGTTCCACAAAATCATGGATGCCTTAAAGATTTATGTATGCAGGACTTTAGAAACATAAGGGAATGGGGTGGTGGGATTGATTAGGTCTCCCTAGCAGAAACCAATCTAGGAGGTAACATTGAGATACAAACTCTATTTCTTTTTCTCTAGACCACCTTTACTCCTCTAGCTAAAACGTCAAGTGAGGCTTCATGTTCTTCAGAGAGCCTAAAATCTACCCCTTCACCCAGGCAAGAATTAGCCCCTCTTTCCTATAGTTTTCAAATGACTAAGTTAATACATTTAATACGGCCTGTGTTATACTTATCATTTTTTTGTTTATATATATGCCTTCTCTACTACGTGGAGATTCTTCAAGGTTTTTTATGCATTTTAAATCTTCTTCTGTGTATTATGAATTTTTAAGGCCCTAGTACTTTGTATTTTCAGACAGATTTATGGATGATGGCTTTAAATATACACTCAATGAGTGAACGATTGTAAAAAATTCTTAGAGAACACCACTGTCTTATCATTTGCTTGCTACTTACCAGTTGGTTAATTCAAAATTTTGAAGGTTTTATGTTAGATCATGGATTTAATCGTGTAATTGTACTTTTAAAATGAGAAATTTGTAGATTTTTTTTTAAGTTTTGGAAAGAAGACTATTTTTCAGTATTTCAGGACTCTTGTGATTCTATCTGAAGTAGGTTCTATACACTAAAGCCACTGTGTGTGTTTGACACTACCTAAGTAGGATATTTTATAAGGTGCATAACTTAGTCTTGTCTTATTGTTTTCTGAGGTCCTACTGTTACCACTCTTACATTGGCCATCCTTAAAATTAGTTGGATTTTTTAAGCTTTGCCTCTTCTAGAAGCTGTTTTTTGTTCTTTTCTTTCTAACATTTTATGCCTTTAGTTCTGATATTGGCCACCAGGTAGCAACAGTGCCTTGAGTAGCTCAAGTCTCATAAATAGGAAACTGTTGTAGACAGACAAAAAGATGAAGTTGTCTGCATTCAGGAAGGAAGGAGTAAGTGTCCAGAATCCTCAATGTTTAATTCCCCCGGCACTGCATCCTCATGTTGTCTATTGCAAATGCAAGCATAAATTTAGGCATAAGCATAAAAAATGCAAGCATAATTATCAACTGTCCATGAGCAGCCTCCCTGTTCTGCCAATCCATCGTTACTGCGACAATTCACTTCATCTCAGGGCCAGTGAAACACAATGAGATGAGGGGCAGGTGGCAAGGGGCAACATGGATCATGCTAGGAAAGTGTGTGACAACTGCAAACAAGAAGAGACTGAAATAATAAAAAAGGTGTAGGGAGAAAGTACTTCTTTCTTTTTACGGACATATCTAAAAAACCCATAATATTTATGAGATTGTTTTTTAACCACGAGAAACACATTTATGCTGATATAGAAAAATCAAATATGTTATTTTAGATTTTTCTTCTTCCTTCACCCTTAGCGATACCTCTGGGTATTCTAGTTGTGCGTGGAGACTGTGATTTGGAGACTTGCCGTATGTACATAGACCGCCTACAGGAGGTGAGTTTATTTAGCCAATTTTTTATTCTCCTCAACTTTCCATTTTTGTAAACAATTACCAGCCATATATATTTGCTTCTGAAATGATGCATTTGGAGAGGAAGTGGAAATGTGGTGGCTTTGTCCTTCAAGCATACGCTGTATGTCACCCTCTCCCACTGTCTCTGTTGTTCACTCCTCAGATGGTTGAAATGGGAAAGCATTGACTACAGGGTGCTGTTGCCCTGGTGTGTTCCATAACTATAGCTTGGAACTTGTCATTTTACCAGACACATACCTGTATATTTGAGATGTTCAGAATTTCAACAGGGACTGATAAATAATGAAAGAAAACAGTGATATTTAATGTTTTGTGTCTGACACTTATGTCAGAGACAGCTAGATTTTGTAAACAAAAAAATAAATAAAACTTCTATGGGAAAGAAAAATCCTCTACATCTCATAGGAATTTGTCAGAACACAAAAGAATAATCTATTTTTTTTTCTCAATCTAGTCTTGCTTTAGAGAAACAGAAAGGAAGTGACCCCGTATATGGCACTCCCATAAATGTGAACTGCACCAGCAAAGCCAGGAGACCCAAACTCATCATTACAATTGTTGTTGGTTGTTTTTGCAAAAATTTGAGGGGGAGTCTTAACCGTCTCCATTCCACAAATTGCAAAAAGCATATATGACGATTTCTTTATCATTTTTTTTGATGAAAGATGTATATTAGAGTCACTTTTCTTGGGTGTGGCCTAGACATTTGTATTTTTAAAGCTGTTGGGTTGTCTTGATACCCCTTGATAAGCAATTCTGTCCCAGACAACATGTTATACATAGGTAAATATTGTAAATAAAGTAGACACATACTGTTTAAAATCCCTCTGAGTTGTAACCACTTCACCCTGAATATTTGATTCTGTTTCTCTTGGTAGAAATAAATTCAGGGGAGAGGCACATAGTGATGTGAAAAATTACTGATTTTGAGAAATAGATGACAAATATTGAATACTGATGTGGATGAGAGAAAGATGGTCAACAAATTTTACACTTACGGCTTCATTAAGCTATTTTGACTGAGGATAGCTGCTTAAACAAGTTAAAATACGTGAATTTTTAGTGACTCAGGTCCAATTCTGTTAATATGTTCCCAAACTTCTAGTATCTCATTTCCCAAAATAATGTTTGTATTTTGCTGTGGAATCTCACTCCAGAAACCTGTAATGAAAAAAATGAATCATAATTGGTACCAAACCTTTTTACCTTTTTTTAAAATTAACACATGTAGAGCTTTGTTAACAAGACTTCACAGTAGAATAATATTAATACACGATTGATGAATTGACTTTGTTAAAAACCAACTTAACTAACTTAATAGCATGCTTAATGCACCAATATTCAACTAAAAGTAGGATTTTTAAAAAAGAGGCAACTCAACAAATAAAGAGGAAAAATTTTTAAAACTAATGGAAAGTAATGTGATGAAACCCTGTGGGAAACAGGTGTAAGGACAAAGGTACCCAGGATTGCTGACATCTGTGAATAGAATCACTACACTCATTAGCAAGGAAGCCTAGGAGGCATGACAATGGTGACAAGTTCGTTATAAAACTTTATGAAAGGAGTCAGGCTTTCACAATCTGCCAGTAAAACCTCATTAATTTCAACCCTGTTAATTTGCACTTTGTGATAATGTGGAGGTGGTTGGTGATTTTCTCTTTGTAGTCTATGAAAACCCCTATTTGCTAAGCGACTTATCAGTATAAACAGTTACCATGACAGTATGTATCTGGTCTGAGGTAAAGAAAAGCTTTCTAAGTGTTTAAAGGGATTTCCAAAGCCTTCTTCACAAGCCAAAAGTTTATATGCACATTAAATATAATCCCCATTTATCAGAACAAAATTGCCTGTCTTTTACTTCTGGTCTCCTCTATAGGAGATTGAAATAATAATATAACACTTACTTTAAACACTATGTAGGACTTATAGGTTTCAACAGCTTAATGACCTTCTCTCAGTCCAGCTTGGTTTGATTTTATTATTTCTGGCATTACCTTCTTTATTTAACCTTTATGAATTTGGGTGTGTTCGATACTTTCCAGATGAGCATAGTAATATTAAATTGGGAGTTCAGTTGAGATTGAGTTGTGGGGCAGCTTGTTCAAACTAATTTTAAGGTATGGATTTTTTTTTTCATTTTCTCATTAGGACCTACAGTCAGTTTCTTCTGGCTCCCAGAGAGTTCATTACCAGGTAACAAATAATTGACTCTCCTTGTTTCTTACCTTCTGGCCAAATGAAGTCCATCTTTCAATTAATGTCTTATTTTGATTTAGAGTTCACATCTTCCCTAGGGATAGAGTTCATTCTAAGAATCTAGTGAAAATGGTATTCTGATTCTTTTGCATTTTCCTGATTTTGGACCAGCCTAGTCTAGCACAAATTTAGACTGTGGATTTTCTCCTAGATCATTTAGAAAAGATTATAAAATTGAGTGCTTTCAGTAACAAATACCAGAAAACTCAGCTGAAACTAGCTTAGCAAGGAAAGGGTCTCTTGGTTCACATAAGCAAAAAGTCCAGATCAAGGTGGATTTCTCATCCCATTTGGTCATGGCTCACACTCCACTTTCCTGCTGGTCCTTCTACTTTGTTCTCCTCTTCCTGTCAATTTTACCTCTGGGCTAGATGACTTTGTGGTCCAAGATGACTGCCATTAGCAACCAGGACTATGTTTTTTTCCATCATCTCCTGAAAAAGAGAATTACATGCTTCCTACAACCATCAAGCAACAGTTTTAAAATGTAATCTGAGTGGTTCATCCTGGGTCTTTTGGACAATCTAATAAACCCAGTCTGCATCTCTCTATGGCCCATATAAAGTCTGTAGGAGAACACTCAGTTATTCTTTATCCCAGCAGACTTTGGGGGTGCAGTTTCTTTCCAACTTCCCCATCCCACTTGTGATGCACAGATCTCTTCAGCCATCCTCTTATGCATTAGATTTCTCAGACATGATGTAGATCCTAGTACACAGTATTACTCCCGACTGCAAGGAGCCCAAACAAAGCTCTTTGACTGGTCTCATTAAAGCCCTTTTATCTGAAGGCTCCTTACCCTGCCCTGTTAAGAGGAAAGGTATGTGGGAATCACAGCATGCCAACAATTCTCTCCAAATAAATCTCTTCAAACCCTTCATACTTCCATGTGGGGAGGAATATAACTATGCCTAAATTTATAAATGTGAAAATCCTGGTTTAGCACTTCACTTTGGATTTTTGTGTCTATTTTCCCATGCCTGAAATTTCCAATTTAACATCCTTTAACATAAATAGAAAACACAATAATTTAAAGAAAAACCTATATCTTGTAGCCTTCTAGGTATTCCCCCTACCAATGATACCCTCTGTCCTTGGCTGAAGCAGCATATCTTCAGCCTTAATGACAGGAATGGCCTTTGTGTTCTTATTTGTGTATTTATTTCTCAAACAACGTATCCCACACTTCCAGAGTTCTTTCTTCCATCTGTCTGGCCTTGAAAGGAAGAAAAGTCACTTAGGATATGTTTACATTAAAAACAAAACAAAATGAACTTCTTCTAGACTGTTTTTACCAAACACTAGAAGACAAATTTCCACCAAATTTTTTAGATAGAGCACAACTTTCATCAGAGTGACTATTTGCATATTTACCCAGAGCCACTATCTTGGTGTAAATTTTATTTTAAAAAGCATAGTGCTTTCACAATAGCAAAGACATGGAATCAACCCAAATGCCCATCAACGATAGACTGGATAAAGAAAGTGTGGTACATATATACTATGGAATACTATGCAGCCATAAAAAGGAATGAGATCACGTTCTTTGCACTGACATGGATGGAGCCGGAAGCCATTATCCTCAGCAAACTTATGCAAGAACAGACAACCAAACACCACATGTTGTCACTTACAAGTGGTAGCTAAACAATGAGAACACATGGACACAGAGAGGGGAACAACACACACTAGGGCCTGTTGTAAGGGTGGGAAGAAGGAGAGCATTAGGAATAATAGCTAATACATGCTGGTTTTAATACCTAGGGTATGGGTTGATGGGTGCAGCAAACCACCATGGCACATGTTTACCTATGTAACAAACCTGCATATCCTGCACATGTACCCAAGAACTTAAAATAAAAATTAAAATAAAAAAAGCATAGTCCTTTTAAAGGTAAGAGCTGATCTCTAACAATTGGCAGTAGTAGTTATAAGACTATGAGGATATTGTCTTTAAGAGTTTATACTTTTTCCTCTTGGACATTTTGAACCTTTAAAACTTTATCAAAATATGTTAGATTTATCCTAGCTAGGTTTATGAAACTACTTTTATTTATTATTCCTGGCTTATACGATGTAGTCATTTTTGGTGTGAGAGTTAAAATTGTGGGTATTTTGTACCATATTTTTTTATGCCCTATCTGTAACTATTCATGGAGATCAACGGATGGATAAGATACTACAATATGAGTGAGTTATGTATTGCATGTATTGTTTGGTAATAACACTCAGAAGGATTAATGATATTTTTCTATGTCAAAATATTGCTGCATTATTTTGTTTACTTACAGTCAAGTCAAATCTTGGTGTCAAAACTGCTGCATTATAAATGCCACATCAAAAGGTTTTGTGTGCTGAACATCTAGGATAACGAATGCAGTGATCAGGGATGAGTGTCAGAGGTGTCACCTTTTCCCATATCCTTCCTTAGGACAAGGAAGGCGCAAGAAGAGTGATAAAAATCAGGGGACTTTGAGCATGAAGGAATGGTTGGAACAAAAAAGATCCAAGAAGCCCAGAATTTGCTCATTAAACAGGAAAGAAAAAGAGACTGTGTTAGAACTAACGTGGCCAGAGCACAGGGAGAAGCTAATGAGGAATTTCCTGAGCAGGGCAAGGAGAACTGGTTGAAGCACGAAGCTGGGAGAGATAAACTTTCATGTTTGGCCAAGATCATCAAAGGAGGAATGAGTTGGAGGCATAGGAAATAGAGTTCTGTGTTAGCCGTATTAGTTTTGATATGCCTGTTAGATCCAAGGGGGTTGGTGAGTAGGCAGTTGGGTATACGAATATTAAACCTCATTAAAAAATTCAGGCCCAGAGATAGAAATTTTGGAGTCATCAGCAAATGGATGAATGGTGCTTAAAACTACAAGGCCGGAGGAGATCACTTAGGGAGGAGTTCAGTTAAAGAGGAGGGCCCACTGTTCTATCTATGTTTATTCATGAGTCAAGAAGAGTGCAGGTTCAAGACAGCAACTGGTCAAGAAGAATCATGGAAACTGAGATAAGCAGCAGGGAAGCTGGAAATCAAGGAGAAGGTGGTATCACGAAAGCCAAGAGTGAAATGTATTTCAGAGAGGAAGGAGTAATGGACAGTGTCAAATGCCATTGAGAGGCTGAAAAGATATGGATTGATTTCCGTATTTTTTTCTAGGTGTGTGTATTATAAAACACATGGGATATAGGTGCTATTAATTTTTATGTAGAAAGTGACTGGCAGGAAATTTAATACTAAATCTTTTATTTCTTAGTGCAGAAACTGATTACATCAGAATTCCCTAGTTTGTCCCGGTGGGAGTAAGGAGTGTTATAGGTGAAAAAGAAACATGAACGACGAAATGCCTTAAATGCCTGTTAATGAAGTTTCTTGTCTATGAGATGACATTAAATATGCTTGGAGGATTAACTGTGAAGAGAATAAATTAATACCAGTATGTTTGAAAACTTGAGAAATTCCTGTCAGCTCACTAATTTGCAGCTAGGGTTTTAGCTGACTGTTTTCTAAGACCAGAAAAATCTCAAGAGAAAAGCAGCATTTAGAAAGGTGTACACGTGCCCAAGACACCTTATTAGTGAGCCATGTGGCAGTTTCTCGCCACTTAAGCATTTCATTGCTTTGGTTTCTTCCTTTTCCAAATGCATAGTGAATTGCCAACAAAGCACTGAAGCTCAAAAATGACACCTCATGTTAACCTAACAAGGTATTATGGGTTATACAAGAATGTGTTAGATATTTATAGCCTGTTGAAAATTCCTGCCTACACCATCTCTGAGGTCAAAATTCAAAGGCCCCTCCATCCTAATAGCATTGATGTAACCTGTAACTAATATGTTTTACAAGCAAAATGCATTGCACTTGCAGATTTAGGATATTCTTGAGGTTGCCAAATGAACAAGAATTAACATAAGAATTGGACTCTACCTGCTTATTTGATAAGGGTCCTTTCTGAGGCCACCTACTTTGAGATAATTCCTTCTCTGCTTCCTCCCTCGAAATCATGATATCCCTTCTTAACCCCAAATCACAAAGGTACTAAGGAATAGAGGCAGATGTGCCATTCTAGTGATTTCCAGCTGGGAAGAATTTGCTCCCTGTAGGGGACATTTGGCAAGGTCTGAAGACTTTGAAATCTGTTGGATAAAGGCCAAGGATGCTGTTAAACATCTTAGCGTGCACAGAGAAGCCTCCTACCATGAAGAATTATCCAGCCCCAAATGTCAATAGTGTAGAGCTTGAGGAACCCTGAGTCACTCTGACGGTTCTCAGTACATAAATGAGAACCCCAGATAGGTATAAGACCTAGATGAGGAAATGGAAAGGAGAAAGAGAGAAGAGGAACAAAAGAAAAGGTAGGGATGGAGAACAGAAGGAGGCATTTATAGATGTAGTAGGGTAGAATAAAGAGAGAACTAGGAGCAATTAGAGGGGTTTTTTTGTAGACACCCTGGGTTTCCCCATTTCCCCAGGGTGATTCTTTATGGGGCATTAAATGGTAGGAATTATAACTTGAGATTTTAGTGCATACCATAGGATTCACCTGTAGTTGCAAAAATAGATTCAACCAGGTGATTACTTTCTCTAAGAATTAACTCACTTAAAAATAGTACCAGAATGGTTGGAATATTTAAAAATAGAGAAAACATTATTGAAAAGCCTTTTCATTCTTCAGGGTGGTACAGATGTCTTTCACTTTCATAAGAAAAAAAAAAACAACCTCTTGGTCAGATCGGAGTCTACATTACTTGTTCCTCCTCTGATGTCCTTTGTTCCTACATGCCTGCTCTTCTGGAGGACCAGCCTATGTTGTATTCCATTAA
This sequence comes from Homo sapiens, assembly GCF_000001405.40. Classification (NCBI taxonomy): domain Eukaryota; kingdom Metazoa; phylum Chordata; class Mammalia; order Primates; family Hominidae; genus Homo; species Homo sapiens. The sequence continues at coordinate 137,480,489 of NC_000007.14, read as the reverse complement.
AATTGTGTCTAGTTCTAGGCAAACAGCATTTTCCTATAAATATTTCATTCATCCCCTTTCTCTTTATTCTGGCTGTCCTTATTCATCTCTCTCCTTTCTCTGAAATCTCTTCCTCCTCCATTTGTTTTCTGGAGTCTAGAAGAGTCCTTCAATAGATAGAGTGGGACAAGGTTTAGAGAGTCTTCCTGGGAATTGATTTATCTTGTGTGAGAGAGGACAGTACCAGCTAGAAACTTTGGAGAATGCCATTCCTTTGGACTAGATTAAAGCTGTCAGAAATGGGTCAAATGAGGAATTAAATAAGACTTGCCTAGGGTCAGGTCTGTTGTCTCTTACGAGTGAAGACAGTACTGGAGTTGTCATTATTGCTAATGGAGAACTTTCTCACACAAAGGGACTCTTGAAAATGTTAGAATATTGCTTATTTCTATCTTCTACCCCACTGTCTTCATCTTCGAAATCTGGGTTGAAGAATGGCTATGCCATTTCTGTATTCCTCCACTGTAGGAGTCATGAGTGGTAAAGTAGGTTCGAGATGGAGGGGTTTTAAGATATTAAAATAAATAGTAGCAAACCTATTTGGGGCTGTAGTTAGACAGAGACACATACATACCTATTTGTATGCAACATTATGTTAAAAAAATGGATAGATGGCTTGTATGTGGGAGATGTTGGGGCAGACAGATGAGAATTTTGAATGGGTAATGAGAGAAATTTAAAAGTAAGGTGATTATTGATTGGCCATTATTAAATGAGGCAGGGATTCCCAAGCCATAGAACTTTTGTTTTGTTTCTGTTTATGTCTTTTCTCAATTTTATGAAAGAAAAAGAATTTCATTCACATTGAAGGCATAGTTCAACACTAGGTGAATATTGCTTAATTGGAAAACTTACTAGTGTGTGATGGGGCTGCTGTGCCTTCATTAAATTATGTGTGCATCAGCTATGAGCAATTGCATGTAAATTAAGGGTAACTTTGGCATATGCATGCCAAATAGTGGTTCAGATCATTTTCTCATCAATTTTATATAATTTGTGCCAGTTGGCTTTCAGAAATATATATATATATGAGGAATGTCAGTTTTGTGTTTGTGCATGTGCCTATATTTTTAGCACAAGAAACGTATTTTCCATTAATATATATCATAAGAGAAGATTCACGTATCAGGGATTTTTGAAATGAGCAGTTTTTGCTAATATTATTCATTTAAAGAGCATGTAATTTTAGAAGATTATTATATTTAAAATAGAAAGGAGCATGGTATATCTAAGGTTATGTCATTTGGCCTACATTACAGAGCAATGACAGTTGCATTCATCTAAATCACACCATTTATATGAAGAAAAGTCACAGATCCAAAATGGGCAAGTCAAGTATCTTATCTCTTTGATGAATCATTGATTTGATCATGCAATTTGAGAGGACTGGGGAGACTAGAGGCCCTAAATTACCATTGAAAGCTTTGGATATGATGGTTAGAGGCACAGCTCAGGGAAATATAGCTGCATTCATACAATCCTATTGCTTCAGTATCTACTGTCAGATGCTTTTGAAAGACGCATATTTTTAAGATTGTGTTTTTTCTCTCTATTGGAAAATAGGTCACTGTACATTTATTTAATGTGCAGCATTCACAAATCAAACACACTCTGACCATTTGTGTTCTTGTGTAGTGATGAGAACATCGCCAGGTCCAACCTAGAGCTTCCATGAAGCTAAGGTCTGTCCTGGAACCAATATTCACCCCCTTTCCAGGAGCCATTAGTTTTTCTTACTTCCTATTTCCTTCCAAGTCTAATTCACGGTCCACATTGCACTGCTTTTCACCCTTCTGCAGAGACTAGAGGATGCCCCTGAATCAAGGAATCCTTAATGCCAGGGCTACCCAGTCTACCAGTCTTCCAGACCCTCTGAGAACAGAGAAGGTGTTTACCTGATGTGAGCTGTGTGGATTAGTAACGAGAGTTACTTTAAACACTAATTAGAGAAAATTCAGTAATACCTGTCTATTAACATCACTATCACTCACTTACACTCCAATTATTATTATTTTTTTGAAGTACAAGAGAAAGGTGTATAGATAGACGTGATGCAGGAATTATTTGTACCCTGCGTACGGAAGAAACCCATTCATCTGTGTGGTCATGGTAGGTTAAGAATGTGCGAGCATAAAAAGTTTATGGACTATCGCGGTAAATTGTGAATTCCTGTCTGATATTCTGCTTCTCTTTATTCCTGCTCCATTTTTAACCCATACAATATGCATTTCTCTCTGATATCAAGGTCCTCATGGTATATCTCTTGACTTATATAAGCTATGTGTGTTCTGCAATCTGCCAGGTTTTATAATCTTGGTTTACCTCAGTTTTGATATTGTACGTAATTCTAGACTTCTGTTTGGTTTTTAACTCTCCACCCAATGTAGACCTTTATGGTGCGCATTTTTGTTTTCCTACATTTATACAAAGTTACGCACATAGACATACATGAATACATATGTGGGGATTGTTGTTTAAAAATACAAATGTAGCTGGGCGCAGTGGCTCATGCCTGTGATCTCAGCACTTTGGGAGGCCATCATGGGCAGATCGCTTGAGCCCAGCAGTTTGAGACCAGTCTGGGTAACATGGTGAAACCCCGTCTGTACAAAAAAACAACCCCAAAATTAGCCGGGCGCTGTAGCATGTGCCTGTAGTCCCAGCTACTTGGGCAGCTGAGGTGGGAGGATTGTTTGAGTCCAGGAGGCAGAGGATGCAGTGAGCTGAGATTGCACCACTGCACTCCCGCCTGGGTGACAGGGTGAGACCCTGTCTCAAAAAAAAATAAAAATTACACTAAAAATAAAACTGTGTTTACAATTTGCATGTGCACACTATACATATTATACCACAATTTATTTTTAACAGTAATGTACCATGGAAATTCATCTTGCTAATAGGTGAAACTCTAATTCAGTCTTTAAAAATTATCACTCTATTCCATGGTATATATTTAATGCTGTTTCTATGGATGGCATTTTTAGGTTGTGTAGTATTGTTGCCAATGTTTGCAAAATTCCAATAAACTTTATGGTACTTCAAAAATAAAATCATAACAGAAATGAAAACCATGCAACATGCTAAAAACATATTAAGATTGGCTATATTTGTGTGAAGATTATAAGTTACATAATGCATACAGCAAAGTTACCCAAAATCTGTAATTGGATTTTTCTTCACATGGTTGTAGTCTCGGTTCCTGTGTCTGGGTTGGGGTTGCCTGCCATTCCCATTGATTACCATATTTCTGTGGAATTCTTAGGCAGCAGGGAACACAGTGGTGGGAAGTGGGAAGAGAGCAAGACTGAAGAATGTGTGGGGGCAGGAACTCTGAGCTACCAGGAGCAAACTGTCTGGTAAGAAACAGGAAGCTTAGTTTGACATCTGTGTAAGATCCTTGACTAGAGTAGAATGAGATCTTCATAGCCATTTAGATCATTCTAGGTTTGCTTTCTTCCTGCTTTTGTTTGAGCTGAGTCTAGAAAATTCTGAGCTCTCAAACTTGATCTATACCAAACCTCACTCTTCCTTCAAAACCTGAAATCATAATTCCTCTAGAAGCTGTAAAACCCTGTGCATAAGGTCATGAGCTCTGAAGTAAAAGAAGTCTGTACTCTCCACCACTGAATAGCTTGGGGCTTCTGGGTAGTTTACTTAAATTCTCACCACTGCAGTTCTTTATTGTGGCCAGCTCTTACATGCAGGAGAAGAGGTTCAGGAAGAATAGTGGGGTGGATTGCAGGAGAGGTAGGTAGGAGCTAGATTATGCAGCCTTCTTAATAACAAAACGAAAAAAGCCTGCACATGCATAGAAGATTATGGGTTAAAATTAAGCTATTATTGAGACTGTAGCCTAATATTTCTAAATTATCTCTATGGCAGTGTCCAGGTAACCCTAAAACTAAGGGAGATGACTATGTGAGACTTGAACACTCCAATTGTGAATTCTGATAGTAACATATATGGCTGAGTGAAATTTTATCAAGTATAAATTATTCAGTAGATGAAATAAAAAATGGAATAGTCTAAGCTTTATTTAATCTATAGCCACCATTAATACAGAAGTAGAGCCATGTTTATGGGAAATTCTCAGAAGCAAAAAATGAGCACACCGTAAAAAGAAAAAAAAAGGAAAATTACCATCACCAAAATGTGGTTCAGTGATTTTTTGACAGCTTGTCCGGATTAGTGTTTCTTATCCTTCACTGCCAGACAGTGGAGATGAGTCAGGGCAGAAGCTGTAGGTGGAAGACTAAGAGTAGGGAGGAATGAACGAGAGCCAGAGTCAAGAGCTACCTGTTCTACTTGACATCGTGACAGCTGGCCTCTATGTAACGGGGTTGGATGACTCAGGATTGTATCTGCTGGCACTTCTTGGCCGTACGTCAGCACCAGGACTATTTGAAAACTACTGCTCCAGAACAAAGGTTTTTAGCCCCAAATTTGAGACTTTGAAAGGAAAGGGCTTTCTTAAATGTGAATTGAGCCTTCCATTTGGTTTGCCAACAATGAATTTATTCTGCTGTCTTCTATTTTTTTTTTTAATTACCAAGCTCTGATTCTTTTGGCAGCTGGCTCAAAATCCTTTTTCCAAAATTGGTGGCTGTTGGCAGTAGCCAGGAAATAAATTGAAATCGTAATTAAAATAGTCATCCATTGGGAAAAGAAGTTGAAACTTGGTAAATCAGACTTACAGTAACTCCAAGAATTGGAGCCAGAAAGAAGCATGCAGAGCACCTAGACTGGTTCCTAGTGTAGTGGCCACCCTTTAACGACATGGTCCATGCTTCGTTTTTTGTGACCTTCCGTCACATGCCTTGCATTTCATTGGCTTTAATAAATACACATTAAAAAGGTTGATCACAGTTGTATCACAGGAAAAAGAATAATGTATAGTTTTGTGACAACTGACAAATTAGCAAGTGACACGTTAATTTTGGTGAAACTAAGGAAATAGCAAGTAGGCAGTTACTATTGAATGGGGAAGGGAGACATCAGTAAAATAAAATGTTCCGAAATGTATGCTTGTTGGTGATAGAAGACATTCAGCCTTGAAGACAATATCCTGTATTTAAGACAATTATATAACATCTAATGTTGTGAACAGAGGCACTGGATTGCTGATTAAGACAAGCCCTATAAGCACCAAACCAACAAATGGCATGATTTCAGCCTTTGTTTAAAGCCACTCTGTTTTGTGTTCACTCATACAAATTTGTCCTATTTCTTTGTTTTCTCCAAAACTCAGAATCTGAGTGCAAATGTATTTATGGATAAATAGTGTTGTGTTAGGGGTAGCACCATCTAAATGATCTGGTCTGAAATGTGGCCTGTGTCCCATGAGACCCTCATGTGACTAAGGGCAGAATTGTTTTAGGTAAAATAATGTCTCAGCTGCCTAACATGAGATATAATTATCTCTCGCATAATTATATCTGCACATAAACATGTTTCGGCAAATGGGTTAAGCATTTTATGTGTCATTAATTCCTCAAAAGAACCCTTTATGATAGATATTATTGTAGCCATTTTAAAATGAGGTATTCAAGGAACTGGATAAGAAACTATCCTACACTCTCACAGCGAGTAGCGGGTAGGGCGCCAGGATTGTCGTGCCTCTCAAAGCTGGTGTGCTTCCCATCAGCCTTCCGCCGCCTCTGGGCTTGCTGCTTAATTGGGGCTGGATCCCATACAATCTCTCGCCTTGTTTTTCCATCTCATTCATCAGATCTGTCTCCCCTACGATATTTTAACACCTCAAGGACAGGAACATTTTTTGGCATCTCAATTCTTAGCTTGTCTGTGATAATGATGATCACATCCTACAACAATTTCAGTTTTGCGAAGCAGACTTTCTCACTATCTTTTTGCTCTGTTTTTCAACTCAAGTGAAATCCAGCATCCACCACCGCCACCTCAACCACCACCAACTTTTCTGTCCCTAGCCTGCTCTTCACCTCCTATTCTGTCTTGGATCTTTGAGATATATTTTCAGCACCCATTTATGCTTCGTACCTGGATTTTCTTGTTTCTTGTTTTACCGATTACTGGCATATTTTGTGGGTGTATTTTGCATATTGTCAATCTGTTATGTTGGAACATCATTTTAACATTGACTTCAAAAAAATCTCCAATTTTTAGTGTCCCGATGTAGGTGAAGCATTTTCATCTGCTTAGATATGTACATGGAATAGATTCAAGGGCAATTTTTTTTGAGACTTGATGCTTTTGTACATTTTATATATGTAGAATTTTTAAATAAGTAGTTTAGTTGCATTATGAATCTGCCCAGATAGTAATTACAGTTTTTCATTGGAATTCAAATGACTTTTAACGTAGGACCTATTATGTGAGTAGCTGTTTCTTTAAGAACTCACTTCTTCTTAAAGGAACAAGGTGGAAAGAGCTTCACAAAAGTTGGAAGAGGATGCAAATGTATTTCAGGGAAGCATTTCACAGAAGTTAGAACTCTACTTTTGCTTTTCTAACAACTCCCAAAATTGAAGTTTAATTGTCAGGTCACCAGGAAAGTATCCAATTGTTAAAATCAGATTCCTGTGCCTTTAAGTAATGATGTATTGTTTAACTTCAATTATTAATACCATACAATGGTAAATATAAATACATTTTTTCCCTTTGTTTATAAAAATGAACATAAGTAGAAGAACTTAAGGCACTGAAAACAAACACTTGGGAGAGACTATGGATGGAAATAAGCAAAAAGTTGAGTCTTTCCATGTAAAAATTGACCTAGTTTCAGTCTGCTCCTAGGAGAATAGCCACAAGCTCAGAGAGCTTTTGTTGTTTGTTGTTTTGGTATTACAATTACCAGTAACTTTGCATTGGTGATTCCTATTCTCATAAGGCATTTTACTGATCAGAATCTTCTTATTTTGTTGAATTCTCTGTGACATAAATTTTTGATTCTTTAAATTAATAGCTTTTTTAGCATCTTGGAAATCTCAGATCACTTTGATAATCTAGAAAGCAGTGGTTTTTCTGTCCAGGAAAATGAACATACACATAGACATACCAAATCTGGCATACAATTTTGGAGAGTTCAAGAATTGTTGAACCTATTTGAGGACCCATTAAAGTATTTTAAAGAGCTTTATGGCGACCCATGTGTTTTCACCAAACAAAATTGTAATGTTATCTTTAGACGAAACCTCTTTAAGAACATTGAGTTATATCAGATGTTTCTGTAGATCAAACATTTTTGCAATTTCCATCTATGGATCAAAATGTAGAGTAAATAAGTGAACAAAAGCAAACTACATTAAAAAAGTCAGGCATGGGCATAAAACTCTCCAGACACACAGCCACCTGCACATAAAAAGATATATACCATCTATATTTCCTTACCAACCTGTGGTAGTCATGTTGCTGAGGCAGTGCCTCAATCTAGATTTTACTAACCTAGACTAAATAACATCCAATTTTCTGTAATTAGAATAGCCTAGAGATAGTGTGATGGATCCTTAGGTTTTTAAAACAATAAATCAAGCATTCCTGTATTTTTTCCATTGATTTTTACATACAGAAATTAGGATTTTTTTTATTGTGTCCTCTGCAGCATATTCAACATCAAAATGCAGAAAGTGTCCTTGATGTTTTAGCCCCTTTATTCATAGAGAAGATAATCCTGTTTCTGTTTAATCTCTTTATTTATTAGCTTTCATAGTTGCCACTAAATATTTTGAATCACTTCCAAATGTCTTGATCTATAATTACATTTCTCACCCAACTGAGAGACGTCAGTAGCTTTATCTGTTTTTCAAAAATGCATTAAGTACCTTAAGTTCCTTTAAAACAAGTTGTCACACATGTCAAAATATAATTCTCAAAATGTTACACATAATTCTCATATAAATAGTTACTAAGCACATGTCAAGATTTTACTTAGCTCAACAATCAGGATGAAAATCCAGTTCAAAAAAGAGGAAATATATACACGTGTATATATAATATATATGTATATATAACATATAATATATACGTTTATATATGTATATGTACATATAATATGTATATGTATATATACATATAATAATTATAATATGTATATATACATATAATAATTATATGTATATATACATATAATAATTATATGTATATATACATATAATAATTATATGTATATACACATAAATATACACATACATATAATATTATATGTATATATACATATAATATTATGTGTATATATACATATATTATATGTATATATACATATATATGTGTATGTATATAATATTTATATGTATATACATATATATGTGTATATATAATATTTATATGTATATACACATATATATGTGTATATATATTTATATGTATATATACACATATATGTGTATATATTATATATAACATAATATATATGTATGTATATAACATATATACATATATAGTGTGTATATAATATATATGTATATATGTCTGTATATACATATATAATATAATGTATATATACACATGTATATAATATATAATATATACATGTGTATATATTATATATACATATATACATATAGAGAGCAAGAGAGAGACTATATGTAACATATATTTTTTCTGTATATATTATATAGTATCTCTGTATCCATAGCTATATGGATATATTTATAAATATAAATGATATACATATTTTATATTTATAAATATAGATTTTGGTAGCATTCCTGAATGAGACCATTTTTTCCTCTATCAATTATTTAATTCACAGAATTCATTTAGAGTAAAACTCCATACACTCCAGGTTTCTAGTTTACTAAGATGCATCCTTTTGTTCGGTAACTTTAGGTTCTTTCACATACATCCTCAGACCTATCTGAAAGGCTTGTTAAAACACATTGCTGGGTTCCACCCATAGTGCTTCTGTAGACCTGGGATGGGCCCTGGAAATTTGTGTTTCTGACAAGTTTCTAGCTGATGCACACTTTGAGAACAAGTGATTTAATCCCAGGCTTTATTTGAGGATCAAGTAGGGCAGCAGGGAGTGTTGATTAACTCCCAGGAAAGTCAGTACAACCTCTGATTGGGTCCTTATTACTTCTTCTATGTTATTCCTGTTTTCTTCTCCTGTCCCCTCTGTACACACAAGATCATCCACACCTGCGGCTTCAGCTGCCAAGTCTTTATTGCTGCCTGCACAGCCGCACCCCAGTGCTGCTCCCTACATTTGAACATTTCAAATCCCTATTAAGGGCCAGACTCCCAGTGTCTTCCCCACAGAGACCTGGCCTCCCTCGTTTGTCCCATTTCTGTCAGTGATTTCAATTCCACTGCAAACCAGGGCTAGAATGCTCCAAATCACATGTTGTAAACTAGAAGGTGCTCTCCTCCCTCCCCAGTTATCACTGGCAGGCTTCTCTTAGTAGAGAAAATGTTTAATTTTTAAAAGTTTGGAATCTTAAAGAGAAAATCCTTTCAGTTTTCAATCTGCCAGTTCTCTCTTCTGTTTCGTGGATGTAGCCTTAATTCTTTATAAGAAATAAAAGCTTCTGAGACTTCAAGGAAGTTTGGGAACTGAGAATTGTAGTAAGTCAGGGAAGCAAGCTAGTCCTGGCAATCTCTTGGAAGGGCAGCTTTGGAAGGCTGGGAGGTCAGAGGCCAAGCTTCTAGAGGTCATGTCTGAGGTGTGTAAGTGAGACTTGGAGCAGGAGATAATAAACATAAGCTTCAGGAGTTTGGAAGGGCAAGAAAGGAGAGTTTAAGAAGATTATCAAAAGATATATCAGCTTCAGTTTCAGCTACTCAGGAGGCTGAGGCTGGAGGATCACCTGAGCCCAGGAAACTGAGGCTATGGTGAGCCATGATCACACCACTGCACTCCAGCCTGGAAGACAGCCTGGAAGACAGCCTGTCTCAAAAAATAAAATATAAATGAAATAAAAATTAAAAAAATAGATGTAACAAGATCAGCTGAGGGTAATTTATTTTGGAAGAGAGGGAACTATTGAGAGCAGAAGAATTAATGAGTGGATTTTAATAATGCTACAGAAATAAAGTTCAAAGGAGAAAGAAAGATAGTCCAGAGTCTAAATTAAGTGATTGACTTTGGAGAGAAGAGAACTATTTTTATCCGAACCCAGAGGAAAGAATGATGGTAGTTATGTCAGGCAGACTTGATGTTAAATAGGAGAGGGGAAATTGGGAGGTCATAGAAATGAGACGCCTAGAAAATGCTCAGGTGAATGAGCACATTGCTGTCTGGATGAGTGTTGGACAGAGTGATTTTGTCATGAGTTAACCTGGCACTACTTTTCTTCCTTGTCTACTCCTCTGTAATTAGGTTCAGTGGAGAAGGCTGAGGTTAGAGATGACCTCAGTATGCGAGGTTGATTTTCTTTGTTTCCATGTAGATGAACAGTCCCTGTGTATGGATGGCTGCTGCTTTTTCTCACGTACCGTATGTCCCGTGTGGCCAGTAGATAACGTTTGATTCATTCCCATTCTGTGCCAGCGCCTTAGACCTATGTGTCAATGACAGCCAGCTGTCACTCATTCCTTGGCTTCACAAAGGGAAAGAAAGAAATTCCCATAAGGAAGTAAATGTCCTAAATTAGATTATTTATGTTTAATGGAATAATTGAAAATATTTAATGGAATAATTAAAAACCTCATGCTAATTTTATGAGGGAGTCATTTTCAAAAGTTCTATGTGAAAGAATTTCAAAAAAGAGCCCTTCTTTGTGTTCCTAGAGAAAAAAAAATGTGATTTGCTCTTCTCACCAGTGCTTTGTGTAGGAAAGGATGGCAGAATGCTGAGTGAGGGAAGCCCATCAGGTTATTGAAATGCAGCCACTAGAGTGTGTGTGTCTCTTTCCAGGACCATGAAACCTCCTTCCCCAGGGCTCTCTCAGCACAGAGGCTCTCTCCTCGGTGGTGCTTCCTAGATGGTGAGTTCTGCCTTTCTTGCGGGTATCGTGGGAGTTGGGGAAGTTGAAGAGCAAGGCATCAATTGATAGGGTGGGCTCTAGTTTTCCAAAAGATTATTCAGAAAGCCTTCATGTGACTCCACATGGCTGGTATTGGCATGCGGAACAATGTGGGCCTGCTGATATTGCACTGTCCTTTCCTGAAGTCATTTCCCTCAACACAGCTTGGTTAACTCTGGCTGAACTCAGCATCAAGTTGCTCAGGCCGATGTTTTTCTTTCATCAGCCCTCTTTTCTTAAAGCTTGACTGCCTGCCTTAAATTAATTCAGACCAGTAGCTGGATTCTATATGCATAGGATGGATATAATTTCTATGTTATTTGCATCTTATGGAACATTCATATTATTTTTATGAGACCATTATTGCAGTATGATGTATACATTTCTGGAAAAAGGTGGAAAAATTCAGTTGCATTCAAATCTGCTCAGATCCGCATGATATATTGCATGCATAATAGGTTAGTTATCTTATGATTGTTTAATGAGTCCGTTTTTTTATCTCAAGTATCTCTCTCCTAGATGCTGCCTAATACTACATTTCTATCCAATTACCCGTATTGCAGTACCTTCTCACCTCTGTATATTCATGCTTACATACTACCGAATGTATCTACTACCCATTCTCTCTTTTGTTCATATGGAGACATGATTTTCATTGTAGACCCCTTTTTTGTTTTTCTGGGTGAGCATCTGAGAGGATATAAATGTGAATATGAGTATGACAGGATTTGTGAGTGTATGAGCAAGCATTGGGATGGCAGCAGCAGAGATCTATTAAGATTTAAGGACTGTCCAGTAGCCTAGCATGACTGCAATGTAAGGGTTTTAACTGGCATAGTGGAAGAGAAGGTTATAACTTTGGTGCCAGATCACAGAACACTTTGAATGCCATATATATATTTTTCTAGTGTTATGAAGATGGGCACTTGTATCTGTATGAGATCTAACCCACATAAATCATGATGTAGGTTTTTGTTAATGTCTCATCAGCTGCCTCTCAGAACTTTCCTCCAGCTTCTTTATTCCATAGCAATGAGAAACATAATCATTTGTCATTCCTGAATTTGCAGAGGAACAACTTGTATTTGAGAAAATTATGAAAATATTTATGTTGTTATGTTCTATCTAAAGTCTTAAATAAAAGTACAAATATTGTGGCTGACAGTCTTAGCCCAGGTAGTAGTTTTACTCCATAGTTTTAATAAAATAAAACCTTTAAAAGGTAATTGCAGTCATGGTTTAAAAGAAAAAAGTAGAGTGAATTTCTCCAAGGCAGATTTTATTCTATTCTTAGGTTTTAGACAGCAGGGGTGATGATTGGCTGGTTTCTTAGTTCTGTCGCCTTTGGAGAGAAGCTACTCATTAAATGTTTGTGAATTTTAAATAAGTGCTTGCATTTTGAGTTTTTCTTTCTTGTGCTGTTTGTTTTGTAGAAAATCTATTTATAATATTTGGGCTTTGTTAGATAGATTTAAGTGAGAAGCACATAATTCTTTTTGGTTTGCTTTTTTTTTTTTTTCTTTTTTGAGATAGGAGTCTGACTCTGTTGCCCAGGCTGAAGTGCAGTGGCATGATCATGGTTCACCGCAGCCTTGAACTCCTGGGCTCAGGCAATCCTCCTACTTCAGCCTCCCAAGTAGCTGGGACCACAGGGGCACACCACTATCCCTAGCTAATTAAAAAAATTGTTTTTGTAGAGATGAAGTCTTGCTTTGTTGCCCAGGCTGGTCTCAGACTCCTGGCTTCAAGCACTTCTCCCACCTGAGCTTCCCAAAATGCAGCTGATAGTTCTTTCTAATATTAGGAATATTTAAAATAATTTCTAGAAACCCAAAATTTGTAATTTAGATTTTTTTCGCATACCATAGATGTAGCTCAATCTCTTTCAGAGAATGCTTAAATAATTTTTTTGCTGTTTTGGCTTCCTTCAGACATGACTCTAAGGATGCAGGTTGAAAGTGAAATGATTCATTTAAGACCACATATGGTCTCTGGCCTGAATCTTCAAGCCATTTTCCGAAGTGGGAAGTCACTTCACTGAGAAGTCTACGTAACTGTAGCTTTTTCTAGCTTTATTTACTTAATAAATACATACTAATTCCTAACTTACTTTAAGATCATTTGCTAATTTCAGGAGGCATAAAAGATTAAATGAAACAGATTTTTAAAGAGGCAGGTCTCTTAGTCTCATGGTTATCTGTGAAGATAGTCTGTATAAGAAGTTTTAAAAAATGTAAATGTGGATGGATGCAGGGTCAGCAGGTTCTGTCTGGTGTTGGGAGGTTGGGACTGAGAAAGGTTTCACAGAAGCAGAAGCACTTGAGCTGGTTCTTTAAAGACAAGTATGATTTAGATGGCAGAGGCAAAGGGAAGGGCTTTCCAAGCCTTAGAATAGCAGTGGCAGAGGCATGGAAGTGCTGAGGTTTTCTTAATAGATTTAGGGACTGGCCAGGAGACTAGCATGACTGCCATGTAGGGGTTTTGACCAGCATAGTCGAAGAGAAGGTTATAAATTTGGTGCCAGATTACAGAACATTCTGAATGCCATCTGCATTTTTTTTCCCCTAGCAACTTCTGCTGATCGCTTTTATCGAATAGACAGATCTCAGGTAAGTTTTTTTCCAGCCTGCTTGTGAAAGTGAAAAATTCCCAAGTTAATGTGCTTTATTGGTAGCTAATCTCATAAATTTTTCTAACGAAAACCACTGAGACACAAATTTTGGAATGGTGTTCATAACTTAAGCTTGAACCTTTTATTTGTCTTCACGTGTTTTATGATTTATGGACTCAAGATGATGTGGCTTAATCTTGCAAATGAGTACAGAAAATAAGTTGACTTGTAGACATTATCACCAGCCTGTACTCCAAATTTTCATTCACAAAGATATTTTTACTCCTTTTTAGCCAAATTTCATGTCTTTTTAAGCTCATTTCTGTTTAGCAAGTTTGAGGCCCCAGGTGTATAACTAGACTACTTAGTTTCAGTTCGCCAATCCCTGGAGGTCAGTGATGAGAAAAAAAAAATGGTTTTGCCCAAGTTAAGAATTCCTCCCATTATCTGAATTCTCCTAGGAGAAAAATGTACAGTATTGAACCTAATGATAAAGTTGTTAACCATGCTGCTTAGCTTTGACCAGATGACGGGGTAGAAGTCCACTTACCATACACTCCTGCTGGGCCAATTGTATGTGGGTGTCACTTCTCTAATAGTATTTGGGAAGAAGATGAGGCAAGACCATTTCTAGATATATCTAAGAAAAAGTCCTGGTTAATTGGAAATCCTGAACCAAGGGGATTCATCTCTCCCTATCTCCCACTGTCTGCGTTAGCGCAGCTTTGGGGAGGATCACCAACTGATCAAGCTTCTGACAACACAGTGTGATCCTTTGACACGTTGCAGAATTTCATTATTCCTCGAGACCAAGAATACTTGTTTTGTTATTCTTCATGCAACAGACTTCTTGTTCTTCTTTAGGAACATTTGCACTTTGTGATGGAGATTTCCCAAGATGAGATTTTTATTCTGGACCCAGATATGGTGGTGTCACAGCCGGCGGGGACACCTCCGGGCATGCCTGACCTGGTGGTGGAACAAGCCTCGGGGTGAGTGTGCTTCTCCTGGCCTGTGAGGCTGGCCTTAGGGTGACATCCATGTCTGGTTCGCCTTTGAACTTGACATCGTTCTAATGACATCAAATGATTTTGAAGTGTAGATTTTCTTGTTGTGTTTCCTTAGAGTGGTTATTATAAGTCTGTCTTATGAATGGCCGTGAAGAAACACAAAACCAGATTTACACCATGTCCAAGCCTCTTTCCCCATCACAGCAACCCTTCCTAACAAACCTAGAAAGCACTAGTACTTGTGTTTGTGCTTGTACGTTTGTAGTAACTCTGTTATCTACATTAAAAATTGACACAGGTGATTTGACAAATTTTCTCCTCTTCCTCTTCTTTGCTATTTCCAGGCTGCTGGAGACATGTAGATTATATAATAATAACTATGACATACCAAGCCCTTTTTAAGAGCTCTGTCCTGTGTCTCTCTTCTGTTTCTACCACCGCTTCATAGTGACTTAATCATCTTAAGTGCTCTGTGCTTATTTTCTCATCTGTAAAATACAAATAACAATAATCCTCACTCAGAGAATTGTTTGGCGATTAAAAGAATTGATACAGGTAAAGCACTTAAAGTCATTCCTGGCATTTTTAAAACATGCATTAAACAGAATGTTATTACAATAATAATAATAGTCATCACCATCATTCTAGTGACCTTGAAAATTTGGTACAATTATCCTTAATTCATAGATTAAAAAATTGAGACCTAAAGGGTTATGTTACTTGTCTAATATTTCACAGAAAATAAGTAGAAAAAATGAGATATAGTCCTGGGTTACCTGATGCCAGAGCCCATGCATTTAACTACCACCTTCTACCACCAAAACATAATTAGTATTTCTAAGTTATTTCAATAATTAAAAACTATTTATTTAGAGAATTTTGTGTGCCAGGTCCTAGTGTAAGCACTTGGGGAATAACAGTACAAAAATAAAAACAGATAAGAATCTTTGTCCTTGTGAAATTTAGTGTTTTACTGGTCTATGGGGCCTGAATTGTTGAAGTAAGAATTGCTCTAGAAACCATACACAATGTGCCCAAATAGTAAATGCACATCGTGTACACAGACTCATACAGTATGAATAAACAGTCCACTAGGCTAGCACAACTGCAATGTCATCTTCATTCCTGTTTTCCCCTTGTCACTTGATTTACTTTTTTTCACTTTTTTTGGTTCACTGCTGCTATTTGTGGGTGGTTTCCCACTCTGCCAGGGGCAGTTGATGTCCAATATGTACCAAGTCTAGGTGGAGACAAGAGAGGACACAAGTGGCTGCATGGCCTGATAGCAAGCTGTTCTCAGGAAGCCAGAGCTGCGATGTCAGAGCATGGGGGAAGGCCGACAGGCACAAGGGGTAACCTGATGCACCCCTGGGAGCCCCAAAGGTGGTGGGGAAGGCCAACTTCGTGGGGCACATCCATGCATCAGACCCATCAGTAGTGGGGAAAGCAGGTAGAGTGTTTTGTCCTACTGCAGAAGCAGCAGGTGCTAGAGTCTGGGTGTCCTCCTACCCCACCTAACCTGGGCTCTGACTCTTGATCTAGTAAGGAGAAAGTCCATTCTGCCAAGTTGCCCTGGTCTTTGCTCACTTGGTCATTTTCTTTTTCTTTTCCTTTTTTTTTTTTTTTTTTTTTTGAGATGGAGTCTCGCTCTGTCACCCAGACTGGAGTGCAGTGGTGCGATCTTGGCTCACTGCAAGCTCCGCCTCCCGGGTTCATGCCATTGTCCTGCCTCAGCCTCATGGGTAGCTGGGACTACAGGCGCCTGCCACCACGCCTGGCTAATTTTTTGTATGGTCGTTTTCTTCATGTCAAATAATGGCCAAATGCTTTGGCCTTGCTAGACCTCTGTTAGCTCTAGCTCCAAAAATAAAGTAGCCTGAAAATCCACCAGGACTTGAATCAGTGCCTTTCTTATTTCTCACCAGTTGCCTCCCCTGAACTAAACCAGGAACAGGGAAGCAGTGAAACAGGATGGACTTTGTTATTTTCTAATCTGCATTTCTGCCCTAGGTCTATTACTTCTTATTCATGTCACATTTAAAATGACTTAATCTTGAAAATCAGTTTTCTCATCTGTGAAGGGGACAGAATCATACAAATAGTTCATGATTGTTGAGATAAATGAATGAAATAATAAATGGGTAGTATCTGGTAAACACTTCATAAAGATGAATTTTGCTTCTCACATTTACTGGCAAGATTCATCTTCAGAAAGTGGAAACGAAGTCACGTGGCTGACTTTGAATGTTTAACTGTCTGGTGCCCTTCTTTCTCTCAGGATCTCAGACTGGTGGAATCCTGCCCTGCGGAAACGCATGCTGAGTGACAGTGGGCTGGGGATGATAGCTCCCTATTATGAGGACTCAGATCTGAAAGATCTCAGCCACTCCCGCGTGCTACAGTAAGAGTTCTCTTGCTGTTCTTTTCCTCTGTGCCACTGTGATTGCTGGGAGAGGATGTACTGTGGGCTGTGCCCCAGTGGTCAGGATTCTCTTTTCAATGGCGCTCAGGCTGTCTCATGCAGGTGCTACTCTGTGTTTTCATTCCATGCACCTTGCTCATATTTATCTACCCCAAACCGTTCATGGAACTCCACCTTCCATTTCTTTTGCTCCTGAGCCACCTTGAGCCCCTTGCACGTGGACCTCCACATACTTTAAACCTCACCAGTGTCTTCTTTACTGGAGTTTAGTGTTTATCACACGTCCCTGTTTGCCACATCATAAAGACATGCATGAGAGTGATCATGAGTAGCTTGAAAGTGACACGTGGTTTTTCATTTGTGAACACATTATCTTGCTGTTTCAGTGGTCCTCAGTCCTGAGCCTGTGCATGTGTGCTGTACCCAATATTGCCACGTGGGTTTGTTGGCTAAAGCTGGGTGCTGCCCATGTTGTGGTTGCAGTCTCTGTGGGTAAGCAGTACAGCATTTGTTTGTAGATCAGAACAGTATGTGTGCTTTCTTCTGAGGTCTGATCATGGTGAGAGTGTAGGATGCATGCTGAAGTTTCACAGCAGTGTCGATACCTTTGTGCTCGGTGAATCCACCTCCCTATCATCTCCTCTGGTGACAGATACACTCATGCGCACCTACTCTTTAATTTCAGGCCAATCAATCCATCTCAGAGGTTATGCAAATCCAGTGTGTTCATGAAATTAGGCTGGTTTCCAGTTTACCTGGGGTCTTAATCAAATAATGACAATGGCCTTGTAACCACACAGTCTTAGTCTTTTGACAGAATAACAAGATAACTGAAGATTCTTCGAATCCTAGGGTTAACTAAAGAGGCAAAGGAAGTGCTTTGTTTCTGGAGAAAGACCAGAAGCAATTTCAGTATTACAAAGGGGAAAAAAATGAGAAATTTGGAGCTAATTATTTCATTGGCAAAGTTTCGAGGCACACACCCTCAGGGCAGAAGACTTCATTTTAATTGCTTCTCTGTATTACCTCTTATTTTCTTGTGTGAAGACGGGAAAGGAACAACAATGAATTACTATGGATTTTTCTTTTTAATTAAACTGTGTTGTTAGTTTCTGATGGCATTTTGATTGCTTATAATTCAGGATGTTTTCCATTTCCTTTTTATACAGAATTGAGGCTTGTGAATCAGGGTGAGTCAGCCACCCACGAATGGCTAAAAAAGTGGCCATTTATCTGTTGGCAGACTTATTGGAAAATTAGTGTTTTAATTAGCTACAGAAATAGAAATTAAGCCTGGACAAACCAGTATTTGTTTACTGAGTAAAAACTCAGTAAACCAATGAGTATTTTAGTTGTATATATATATATAATCTGTTTCCACAAAGCAGAATATGAGCTCAATCTAGTTTTCTAGGTCCTGATTTTTCTATATATAACATACTGATGTACGTATCATAATAAATAAAATAATTGTATATAAGATAGTAAATATTCTTCCCAAGAATGACAAATAAATTTACCACTTTATATAATAGCCAGGTTCTTAAAACCAGATGTCAAAATGAACTCTTTCTGTCTGTTTGCGTTAAACTATCTTTTTAGGGATGTCTCTTAATTTTTGGTTGATCTTCAATTTACAGCTATAAGTTTTTGCAGTCATTTATACTACTTTAGTTCTAAAATGCCCTAGAGTAGTAGACACTTTTTAAAAAAACCTGAAAAATTACTTTGAAAACAAGCAAAGTGGCATTCAAACATTCATCCCCAGCCTTTCAGCTTCTCCAGCTGGATCTCCAGACATTGTGGAACAAAGGCAAGTCATCTCTACTAGGCTCAGTCTGAATTCCTGTCTCATAGAAGACACAGCATAATAAAATTGTTGTGTTAAATCACTTAAAAATAAAACTAAACTAAACCAGATGCCTTACCTCAACTTTTTAATTAATTCTTTAACTTTTAAAATTATTATGTCCATTTATTTCTTAGAATATCTTTTTATTTCCTTCAGACATCATCTCTGATACAAATAGGTATAATTGCAGTTGTGGAAATATCTAATAATGTTAATAATAACTACTATTGATGGACTACTTCCCACTTGCTTTGTATCATAATTAAATGATCTTCATTCAACAATTTTTAAATTTAGCTGTTGCTTAACAGATAAGTAAACTGAGGCTCCTAGAGGGTAAAATATTTATCTTAGGTCACTTCAAATGGCAAGTGTAGTTTGACCTGAGGTCGGTTTGGCTTCTGACTCCATGCTTTTTCCATTGTCCTACACTATCTTCCCAAAGGGACCATACAAAGTCAGCGTACCAGAGCCACAGAAGTTTACTTTGGTTTCTATTTCTTTTTTACATTTGTACAGTGAAAAGTCCTACAATATAGGGGTACTATGCATGCACATTAAATATACAACTGCAAACTTACCCAGAAGTAAATATGGCTGAGAATTAATTTTTAAGCATTTTTTTCTTTAAAAGAAGAGATTGAAACAAAATATAATGGTGGTAAACTTCAGTTTAAAATTGCTAAATATATATAAACTATGTTCTAATCAAAATAAGCGTAAAAATTATATAGAAGGCCATCATGTACCAACCACCTTGATTTATTATGTCATTGTTTTTCTATATTTGCATTATATCTTTCTTTCAAGCCATAAACAACACAGAGTAGTGTAAAAAATATTGTTTTATGGTTTTGTTTTGTATTGTACAAGTTGGAGTATCTCTAATTGGAAAATCTGTAATCTGAAATGCTCCAAAATCCAAAACTTTTAAAGTGCTGACCTGATGCTCAAAGGAAGTGCTTATTGGAACATTTTGGATTTCAGATATTTGGATTTGGGATGCTCAACTGGTAAGTATAATGCAAATATTCCAAAATCCTAAGAAAATAAAAAATCTGAGGCACTTCTGGTCCCAAGCATTTTGGATAAGGGATACTCAACTTGTATTTTTGTTTTTGCCTGTGTTATATAATGCATATATTTTGGAACTTGCCATTTCACTCAGCATTGTGTTTTTGAAATTCATTCATATTGATATATGTGGGTTTTTAATAATTTTTGATATAGAATATTGCATCATACATATGCTATAAATTGTTTCTCTATTTCGATAGTGATTTCTAATATTCTATTATTTTTTAAAATGCAGCAAACATCCTGTGCCCTTCTGTGTTGCAGAATATATATGCAGTTTCAGCTTACTCGATAATGCAAAATTTACCTTCCCAGTTAGAGTACTGATGAATCAGTAACTGAAAAGGCCCTGAACACTTATTGTAATAATCTAGGTATGATCAGCATCTGTTGCTTTACACTTTAAAGCCCCAGTCAACTTGGGGGATAGGAAAGGTTCAATTTAGCATCCTGTTGACAGTGCTAAATAACTCACTATATAAACAGAAATCAAAAGAGAAACTTTCAATTCTTAGAACTGAAAATACTACTTATCAGAGTTTTCGAGACACTGCTAACGTAGTATTCATAGTACGTTAGGACTGCAGATTCATTTATCAAGGGAAAAATGATTGTGTGCAAATAAGCAAAGCATTCAATTTGATAAATTGGAAAAAGAATCCCAGTGTAAAGAAATGAGAGGGGAGAAAAATGATAAAGATAATGAGAGAAATCAATGACAAGGAGAATAAAACAGACAGATGATGAACAGAAAATAAAATTTTTGGCCGGGCTCAGTGGCTCACGCCTGTAATCCTAGCACTTTGGGAGGCTGAGGCGGGTGGATCACGAGGTCAGGAGATCAAGACCATCCTGGCTAACATGGTGAAACCCCGTCTCTACTAAAAATACAAAAAATTAGCCGGGCGTGGTGGCGGGCGCCCGTAGTCCCAGCTACTCGGGAGGCTGAGGCAGGAGAATGGCGTGAACCCGGGAGGCGGAGCTTGCAGTGAGCCAAGACCGTGCCACTGCACTCCAGCCTGGGCAACAGCGAGACTCCATCTCAAAAAAAAAAAAAAAAAAAAAAAATTTAAAAAATTCGTTGAAAAGATAAATAAAACAAAATTCTGAGAAGTCTGATTTAAAAGAAAAAAGTACTGAAAACAGAAAGAAATATACCTGCAAGGCTTTCCCCATATCATTCTTCCTCCAAGGCACCCAGGGCATTTTTGTGCCAAGCGGCCCTTTCTCCTCCAAATTGCAACTGACCCGGCTCTGTTGGATCTTCTCAGCATTTTCCCATGGTTTTAAAATTTAAAATAGTCCCTTAGATCCATCAACCTCCCTTTTTCTCAGGCAGAGTGAGAGGCAATTAGTATAAAAAGGATGAATTAGATTTCTATCATTACTGGAATTGGTTGCATTTATTTTAAATGTTTCCATTTAGAAGCATTATAATTTTAAAGAAAGATATACACATACCTACTTATATGCAGATCCTATAGGAAAGACTGTAATTCCAAAGTAGGATACGCAATGTGTATAGTGTCTGCAAAACCTGTGAACATAATAACAAATATTTAAGAACCAATTTTGAAATGAATTGGTGAGAAGTGGTTGACTGACATTATTACTGCTGGGACCATAATGATTTTTTCTTTAAGTTAAAAAAATTTTTTTTCAGTGTCCAAGGAAGTTCTATTTAAAATGACATGATTCTGGAAATGTATTTGCTCTTATCATTAATTGTACCACCACGATTAGTGACAAGACTATATTTCATTTGGCAGAAGATTAATAGAGAGGGAATTTACTTAAATTTTAGCAGACCAAATCTATTTGAGTTGTAAGGAAGAATTTTGCCACTTGAGGATCTATGAGAAAAGAAAATAGGCATGGAATGAAAACTCTGATATATTCTTCTTAAGTTTTCTTTGAGAAAAGGACTGACTCACCTCTGAGTCAGGTGGGTTAAGAGCAGGCAGGTAAAGGGTCTAGGAGACACTGCTTTTGTTTCTGAATCAGAGTAACCTTTTTCCGGTTCTTAGATTTTGTAGTTCGTAAGAAACCCCCAAATGACTGAAAGAGTTGTACTTTTTCTCAATGTCCCCAAGTCCTAGTCCTGAAAGAACTAAAATGGACTGTCACACAAATAATATCTTGCCACTAGACTAAGACACAGGGGAAACAGTGTAGTGAACCACACCGAGGGTAGATATTCAATCCAGATAATTGTGTCTAGGCAGGTATCTGGTACCCGATCAGCTGCACAAGGCTAATGGGTTTTTATGATTGGCAGAGGATTTCTGTCTTCAAGGAAAGATAATGCTATCAAATGTTTAACTATAATGTGTGAGGTCTGATTTGTGATTTCATTGTGATTACCCTAAGAAATAGGGTAAACAATTCAGTCAATCGTGTATTGAACAAATCAGTATTGGGCACCTTCAGTGACTGAAGTCAGGCACTGAAGATATACAACTAAAGAAGAAATAATTATTGCCCTTGAAGAGCTTATATTTAAAGGGGAAATATTAAACCAATTATTAAAGTTCCTTCTAATAAGTGCTATTATGGATATATGCATAGAGTGTTCTGGAAACAAGAGGAAATATAATTTGCTGCTTTTTTTTTTAGATTTAACTTTTTTGACCCTAGAAATGATGAATATTTAAAGAATTAACGAAAATGTCAGCCTCAAAGAAAAAAAATAGGCTTATTAAGTGTTCTATGTGTATTTTCTTCATTTTTTACATGTGAACAGATAAGTATTTGTCCTTCCTCATTGTGTAAACCAGAAATATCTCTCAAATAATGGAAAACATTCAATGGTAGTTCAACCTCTCCATATGCTATGTGTGCTCAAGGAAATTTGGACAACCGAGAAATTATTTGGAGATACCAAGATACCTAATAATACTTTAAACTGAAAAACTGGCCTTTTTAGTATAGTCTGCAATTGCAATTCTGAATCACTATATCGAGAAGATAAAGCCCGGAGACCTCCTGTGTTCTGAAAACTCAGATGTTCTAAGCTGATTATGGGAGAAACAACATCATTCCCCTCTGGTCCTCAACTATTTTCTTTATTCAGTTTCTTCTGGGAACATTAGGTTATGGCCTGAACCTAATAAAAAGGGTAATTGTGCTTATTGTGAAAGTTTCAGGTTCTCAACAGGAAGACAGACTGTTGGACAGCGATTTTGATTTTGGAAATATTCTTTCAGCTTCACAATCAGATAAGCGGGAGAAAATTAATCTTCTTAGTGGGATGCAGGTTTTGCTGAAATATATCTTAGAGATGAAATCAGTGCTGTCAGGATAAAGATGGCTCCTGGCATCTGTTTCACTGAGATAGTTGGGTCCCGTTTCTACCTACCTTTGACATCCCTGCTTACCTTTGACTGGGCTCAATCTTGCTCACCCCGGATACTCATTCCAGCTGGAAAAATACAGGATAGCTGACATATGTCTTCCTTCTTCTTTTTCTTCTTGACTTACCTTGAGTTTGAAATGACTTGGTGAATTACTCTATTTGGCAAGCACATAATAACACTCTATTCCTATGGGTGTGTGAAATATTTAATAAGAGATTTGCCTTTGTTATTTTTAGAATTGTTCCTCAATCAGTTATGCATATGGAGGCCCTAAACCACTCGGAGGAAATGGATTTAAATTTACCTTTCCAAGTTCAGTTAGTGGAAGAGTTAGAACAGAGTTCCCTGTGTACCAGATCTTATTTTGACTGACATTGAAAGAAAAACAAACAAACTTACTTTAATGTTAAACATCCATTTTATTTGAAATAATCCCAGGAAATTCTCGCCCTTCATTGCCATGAGTTCCAAGTTTTGCCAATGATTAGAGTATGAGGAAATATTAGTGTTAAGTGGCTCTCTTTTTACATTTGTAAAAGCTGGCAGCCATATTTATTCACACTTCAGGAATACTGTGAATGTGAGGCAGTATTGATTGGATCCCTCTTTAAAGCATGTGAGTTCCTTGGATGACCAAACTGTGCATTTCTCCCTCTGTCTCCATAGCACTTTGCACCATACCTAAAATGGTAGGCATCCAACAAGGCAGGCTTTTGGGATGAATAGAAGGATGTTCCATTCATAGAACATCCCTTGATAGAAAAGGTGCTTTGTCAAACCAAAATAAATACGTGTCTATTTATATTGCTATACTAAACCCAGTACTTATCAAATTATAACAAAATAATAGTGATAACAAAATAATATGTAAAATGTTGACCATTTTTGTTAGGCTGTGGGTTCCATTTATATATTTCAAATTTGAATATAAGTATGCTGGATCCAGGGAATTCACAGATCAAAATAATAAAGACACACCTGAATGCCTGACTTGGAGAAATGTTGGTATTTCACAAGCGAGAAAGTAAAAGGTAAGTATGGTCGGTATAGGAAGTTGTAGGCACTGTTGGTGAGCACAGTGGTAGGTAGAGTGGCAAGGAAGAATTGTTTCCCAGGCATTCACCTCCAAAATAAACTGTTGGTCCCCGGCTGCATTCTCCAACTTCCACCAACACTCTTGTTTTCTCAGTGTGTCTGTCTTAGGTGAATAATTTGATTAAACAGATCTAAAGTGTGAAAGAGTGATCATTTTGAAATATTTTCAAAAAAATTCGCTTGCAAATCTCAAGTTGCTGGGATGTGGAGCAGTAATCACTTACCATGTTCAGTGTGGAGTTGAGGAATGTGAGAGGGATGTCATATTATCACTGGAAATGGTGGTGGCTGGGGAGTCATATCGGGCATGGGACTTCTCTGCGGTACTTCTGGGGCCCTCTGAACCCCCTACTCTAAGAAGATCAGAACAAGAGATATCTCCACACCATGCTAGCACTACTTATTTGGAATTCAGGGAGATGGAGACCACATTCCCCGCCCCCCCCCCTTTTTTTTTTAACTTTTCTGGATGATTGTGCCAGGCATCACACATAAGAACAACAATCCTCCAACAGTTTTCTCCAATACTCTGTGAGATGCTGGTCTTACTCCATGACTCCCTTACAAGCTCCTTAAAGGTGGGAATGGAATGTTTTAAGTTAAGTACCTCCCACAGCTCTTGGAATAGAGTTAAGTACATAGCAGTTCTTAATATCTAACACTGGAGTCACTGAATTATTCTCACAGTCTGTCGAGCCCATTTTAATTTCTTGTTTTCAATATTACTATGATTTATCTGCATTCATTATATTTTTTTTCACAGAGCTCCTCGAACTGATCTATAACTGAGAAACTCTCTTGTCCTTAGACACATTAGAGTCAGGAGGAAGCAGACAATGTTTAGATTCTGTTCCCACCCTCTCCTGAGAAGGGTGGGGTGGGAGGAGATGTTGTCAGAAAGCTGCTGGGGTATGTTACAGTTATCTTCAGAGGTGCCAAACCAGCTTCCAACCCCGCCTAGTTTTGTCTCCCATTTTCTAAAACTGGGATCAGAAGTCCTTATTTGGATTTCCTAAAAATAAGTAGCTGTGGCTGAGCCCTTACTCAATTACCACAGGGAGATATTGCATATCCGGGATCACGAGATAAGTGAGGTGCCTTGCTTATAAGCCCCACGTGCTAAGACTAAACGTGGCTCTCATGTGACTTGCCTTCACAATCCAGAGCTCCCTCATGTTTCAACTTATGCTTAAAAAGAAAAAAAAGAAGTCCACATTTACAAAATCCAGATGGATTATGTCTCAACAGAAGCTGTTGGCCGGGGTTCCCAGAGTCACTAGGATAAAGCTGGCAGCTTGGCTTTTCCTAAAGGGTCCTTCCTCCTGGCTCTCCGGGTATGTCTCCGTTGTCTGGATTTTAGAATAATGTGCCTTTTCTATTTCTTCACCCTTTTTTTTAGAAAGTGGGCTGGCAACTATATTGCAGAGACTGATTTCTAAAGGCAAGCCACCCATCCTTTATTGCTTCACAACTGTGCTGGGTTTAATTATTTCTTTTTTCATTTTGTCTACAGAATGCTAAAATGTGATGGCTACATCGTCAGGATAAATAAGCTTGTGAAGTATTATTTTCTCCAACTTCATCTCTTTATTTTATCTATTTCTTTTCTGTGTCCACTGTCGCCCATTCTTCCTCAATCTCTCACATTTCAAACTGCTTTGCCCTCATTTTGTTGCAGTTCTTAAAAGTTAACAGTAGGTGGCAGTAAAATTTTATACTCGAAAGACATTCAGGCGACTCAGCAAACTGAGGAGGGTATACAGAAAGTATGGAATTGTAAATGCTAAAGGTAAAACAGCGTTTTTTTAAAATTAGTTTTTAGACTTTTTAATTGACTAATTGCATATATTTATTGTGTACAACATGATTTTTTGAAGTACGTATACATTGTTGAATGGCTAAACCTGGCTGATCAATGAATGCATTACATCACACAGTTATTTTTGTGGTGAGGACACTTAATATGCACTCTCTGTGCATTTTTTAAGAATATATTATATCATCATTAACCAAAGTCACCATGTTGTACAATGGATCTCTTGAACTTAGTCTGCTGAACTGTAATTATACGTCCTTTGACCAATATCTCCCCAACCTGAACAGTGCTATTTTCTAAAAGCCAAATATATCTAAATATAGGAATCTATTTAAAAAAAAAAAAAACAAGATATTTCAAGCCCAGCTCACATGGGGGTCATCAAGGCATATATTTGGGTAGGTGAGTCTTAAAGACTGGGAAATTATGATAATAAAGGGAATTGGTAGAAATTTGTATCAAATGAGGAACTCACCAAGCAGCCTTTATTATTTACATGCTGGAAATGATTTCCTTCCCTCCACACAAATGCTCATCTCTGTCTTCTTCCTTTCATTTTGCTCTTTCTGCACCCCTTCCCTCTGTTGGTCATGAATGTTACCTTTGAGGCTGCTTGGCATTCCCTGAATGGGTTTGTGACCACTTGAATAGAGAATGTGTTTGTCTTTCTCTCATTTCAATGCCACTCTGTGTGTTTGCTGTAACTTTCATCTCTCACTCTCATTCTCGCCTGCTCTCTTTTACTGTATGTGCTTTGTTCACTGTTTTAAGAGAAATATTCACAATTAGAAGGACCAAAAGCAAACAAAGAGAGGATTATGTAGTCGATGGAGATTTGCAGTGCTGTGGGATTTCTGGTCCTATTTTACCTAATTAGAGATGCTTTGGGGCTAGAGTGATAATGGTGAAGATGTCACACAGATCCATGGTCTCATTCTTTCTCCCTTGGGTCCTCCAAATGATGTCATAGGCCTGGCAAACTAGTTCTCCAGGATAGGCAATGCACCCTTGAGAGATGCTCAAGGGAAGAAAGCTATTGCACAGAGATGATAATCTGCAGCCATGCTTTCACAGCACAGTAAATCATACCTTTGCTCACTTGATTTGAATGAAGATTCTTGTCTACCAACAGTTTTAGGAAATAGATGGAATTTGTGTAGCATCACCACTTCACGGTAAAACAGAAGAAAAAGATGAGGTTTCTGCAGTTGTGATGCAGACCGTTGAAATGTGCCTGGAGAGAATGCCCAACTGGGAAATCGGTTTTCATTCGGGACTACGTAGGAGTGTAACAGAGGACAAGCATCATGGCTCAAGAAGCAGGGAGGAAAGTGGAACCTGGGGAATGCTGACCAGGCATGAACATTCTTACATGTTCACCATAGGAAAAAGGTGTGAGCACATGATGGGAGGCTGTTCTATCCAGGAAAGACTGGATTCCACCCAACTGTGACAAAGGTAAATGAGAAAGTCCAGGAAACTCTCAGGGCTGTGGTCAGGAGAGGGGAAAAGAAATACAAGTAAATGACTGAAACGACAGAGAAAGAACATTCAGAGCTGACATTAAGAGCTTCTCTTTCCCTTCCTAAGTAGGATGGATCATCACCTGATGTTTATAGAAAGTGGTCTTTTTGCTGTGGTTCTCATCCCCAAAGCTAGACAGTAAAGAGGAAAGACAGGCATGAAAGGGAAATTGAATAAAATACGCATATAGTGAGTTGTTTTCAGTGTGTGGACATACGTGTGCTGCTTTGTTCCCCAACAAGAACTTCACAATAAGGAGTGGTGTACTTATTTGTAGTGTGCTGTGTAGGGTGTAGAAGGAGCACGGTGTCTAGCTTGCCCAGCATTCCCGCTTTGTTTCCTTTTCTTATTGCAGGATGGTAGCCAGAAAATGAAGGGGCCTTGGCTATTTCAGTCAGGCCCGTGAATTGGATGAGTGTCTCCCACCTCTTCTACTCCATCCATAGTCTGTGGTCCTGGGGAATCCCACTGCTGAGTGTTTTCAGAATATGAATCTATGCTCTTGTGCCTATTTAAACTCTGCTGTCACACCTGTCCTGCATGTTTATCTTAAGCCCATCTCTATGTGGTGGCCCCATCCCTTGGCCAACTCCCCACCAGGTGATGGTTTAGCAGTGCTGAGTAGAAGGTATATGTGTTGGGGACACGGAATAGAGATAGACATTCATTTGTAGATGTTTCTTTACAGAAAGTAAGAGTCCCATATAGAGGCATCCCCAATATTTATCTAATCTATCCTCTGTTCTTTAGGAAAGACTAATGGATAATCTATTGACATCCTATCTCCAAAGAAGGAAATGATGTAGCCATTCTGAGGAAGGGCCAAGTAGGAAGGCCATGGGTGCTTTTAAATTAAAGCCATGAGATGATGAAAAAAAATAAATAAAGCAAAATATGCATAGAGTCTAAAAAAATAAAAAGAAAGAAAACTGGACAGTGTTATTGAAATGAAAAGGATATTGTATTAGGATCAGCTTGTAAGTTTTGATCATTTCATGGAGCTTACCAAGAAAATGCACATATCTAAAACCTATTGTAAAGTATATTATACCAGATATAAAGACTGAAATAGTCGTGACACCCATTATTTCATTTCCAGGTTTATTGACTAAAAACGATAAAACATCATAAGAGGTGCAATACTTTATAAAGTCCTTTGCCTTCCCAAATATAATACTCATTTGCTTTTATGTATTGCTCTTTTGCTGGTAGAAAACTGGGCACATTTTTCAGTGCCCTTAAGCCTTGTAATCGATCTACTAGAAAGATAAAAGGCTTTGAAGGAAAATTTGTGGATTGAAGGCAATCTAAAAAAAGTATCTTTGAGTTTCTTAGAGATGCTTGAGTTTAGATAGAGTGCTGTCTGTAATGCAGCAGCCACTAGCCAATATGTGCTGAATGTCTTGTTCCCTGATTTGTGATATCTCTATATATTAATCTAATAAAATGATTCATTCCAAGATATTATAGCTGTGTTTAGTTGGGTAATTTCATATATTCAGACTGCCATGACAACACTCCGTTCCAGAGGAACAAACTTACTTCCTTGGGAACCTGGAGACTTGTCTGAAGCTGACTGCCTCAAACACAGATATCTGTTTTGTCCTGTTTTATTTTTTGTTTGTTTGTTTGTTTTCGAAGTTTGTGACTTTAAAAATTCAAGGGACTTTTGCTTTTGGATACATAATATGACTGTGCTGGTTTCAGTATGAAAATATTTTAATTTTTACCAGTTAAATTACATAATATTCTATCTAAAATAGCATTTTGTTTTCCAAGAGCTTCCCTTTTTTTCCAAGTTTCTCTGTGTATGCTAGTTTGAAAAGTTGTCTTTATTTTAGAGACAATATGGATATTCTCATAAGCAGGGTTAATATTGGGAAGGGTACTTTCACCAGCAAATATTCAGATCAAGATTCATGGAAGAGTAAATCCAAAGTAAAATATATATATATGTGTATATATAAAGATATGTATATAATTAAAAATATGTAACTATATATTATTTTAATTTTTTATTTTTTCGAGACAGAGTTTCGCTCTTGTTGTCCAGGCAGGAGTGCAACGGTGCAATCTTGGCTCACTGCAACCTCTGCCTCCTGGGTTCAACTGATTCTCCTGCCTTAGCCTCCCAAGTAGCTGGGATTATAGGCGCGTGC
This sequence comes from Homo sapiens, assembly GCF_000001405.40. Taxonomy (NCBI): domain Eukaryota; kingdom Metazoa; phylum Chordata; class Mammalia; order Primates; family Hominidae; genus Homo; species Homo sapiens. The sequence continues at coordinate 137,450,588 of NC_000007.14, read as the reverse complement.
CACCACGCTTGGCTAATTTTTGTATTTTTTTAAGTAGAGACAGGGTTTCACCATGTTGGCCAGGCTGGTGTCAAACTCCTGATCTCAGGTGATCTGCCCGCCTTGGCCTCCCAAAGTGCTGGGATTACAGGGGTGAGCCACCATGCCCAGCTATTATTCTAGTTCTTTAAAAATAATTTTAAAATTGACATAAAATTATTATGTGTTGTATACAACATGATGTGAAATATATATAACCATTAATTATGTAGCTAATTAACGTATGCATTACCATGCATAGTTATAAATTTTATTGTGAGAGCACTTAGCATCTACTCTCTTAGCATTTTTTAAGAATGCAGTGTATCATCCTTAACTATAGTCAGCATGCTATACCATAAATCTCCTGAACTATTCTTCCTATCTAACTGTAACTTTGTCTACTTTGAAGAGCATGTCTCCCATCTCCCTCACCCCGAAATGCCCCAGCCTCTGGTAACCTCCATTCTACTCTCTACTTCTGTGAAATCAACATTTTAGATTCCACATGAGTGAGACATGCAGTATTTGTCTTTCTCTACCTGGCTTATTTAGCTTAACATAATATCCTTCAGGTTCATTGATGTTGTTGCAAATGACAGGATTTCCTTTTTTTTATGGCTGACTAGTATTTCATTGTGTATATATACCACATTTTCTTTATCCATTTGTACGTTGATGGACACTTAGGTTGATTCCATATCTTGGCTATTGGTAATTGTGCTGTAATAAATGTGGGAATGCAGCTATCTTTTCAGCATGCTGGTTTCACATTCTTTTAATACTTACTTTTAATATTTACCTTATGATTGCTGAATCATATGGTAGTTCTATTTTTGTTTTGTTTTTTGAGGAAACTTCATATTATGTAGGTTGTTTCTTTGCTCTGGTGATTGTTTCCTTTGCTGTGTAGAAGCTTTTGAATTTGAGGTAATCGCATTTCTCTATTTTCGCTTTTGTTGCCTGTACTTTTGAGGTCATGTCCAAAATAATCATTGCCCAGACCGATGTCGTGGAGCTTTTCTGTTTTCTTCTAGCAGTTTCATGTTTGGGGACTTACATTTAAGTCTTTAATCCACTTTGAGTTGATTTTTGCACATGGTGTGCAGTAAGAGTCTAATTATATTCTTCTGCATTTAGATATATGCTTTTCCCAACACTATTTATTGAAAAGACTGTCCTTTCCTTATTATGTATTCTTGGAGCTTTTGCTGAAAATCAGTTGGCTATAAACATGTAGATTTATTTTCCGGCTCTCTATCCTGTTCCATTGTTCTATTTGTCTGTTTTTATGCCAGTGTCATGCTGATTTGGTTACTGTAGCTTTGTCAAATATTTTGAGGTTAGGTAGTGTGATGGCTCCAGCTTTGTTCTTTTGCTCTAGATTGCTTTGGCTATTCAGGGTCTTCTGTGGTTTCATACACGTTTTAGGATTGTTTCTACTAATCTGTGAAGAATGTCTTTGGTATTTTTATAGGAATTACGTAGAATCTCTAGGTTGCTTAAAATACGAACATTTTAGCAATATTAATTATTTTAATTCATGAGAAAGAGATGTCTTTCCATTTATTTGTATCTTTTTCAATTTCTTTCATCAATGTTTCATATCTTAATAGATTTTTAATTATTATTTATCTTCTCTTAATCTTTTTTCCTAGTGCGGTGGTACCACAGTGGAAAAAGCCACAAGTTTCTTTAATAACAACTAGTTCAAAGACTCTGGGCAGACTTTTGCTCTTTTTGCCTCCCTGTAACTATTTCTTGATCATTTTTCTTCTTTAAGTTTACATTTCACAAATGCTGTATTTACCCCTACCTCCCTTCCTTCCCTCCCTCCCTTCCTCCCTCCCTTCCTCCTTCCCTTCCTCCCTCCCTTCCTTCCCTCCCTCCTCCTTCCCTTCCTCCCTCCCTTCCTTCCCTCCCTCCTCCTTCCCTTCCTCCCTCCCTTCCTTCCCTCCCTCCTCCTTCCCTTCCTCCCTCCCTTCCTTCCCTCCCTCCTCCTTCTCTCCCTCCCTTCTTCCCTTCCCCTTCCCTCCCTCCCTCACTCCTTCCCTCCCTCCCTCTCTCCTTCCCTCCTTCCTTCCCTCCATTTCTAAATTACACGAAGATTTATTAATCATTTTTATCTGCTTTATGCCATCATCTTTTTAGTGTGTTCTTTGCCTGTGTTTTGTGTTCTCCTCTGGTATTTTTGCATAGATGTCATGCTGGTTCTTTTCTGTTATTACTTGTAATATTTGCATTGGGTGAGTTTTTTTTTTTTTTTTTTTGAGCTTCTAGTTTGGGATGGATGGTCGGTCTTAGTGATTTGGTGTGCTGCTCTTAAGTTTGACTTTGTCTCTGTTATCTTCAAACTTTTGCTTATCAGCATCCTCTTCTAGGTTTGGGTCTACTTCTGGCTAGCAGAACACCCTGGCTCAAAGTGGAAGGCTTTCTGCCATAGATTTTGTTGTGTATGAAATAGTTTATATCTCTTTAGCTGACTAAAATCAAAATTATCTGTTTCCCTAAAACTTAGCTCTATTTTTACTGTACTTGGTAGCTCTTCTTCATGTATGATGGTTTGGGCTTATAAATACCTAGTTTAATCAAAGAGGGTATTTCCTTTACCATTTCTCATCCTCCCTGTCATTTTCCATGGGTTTCAAAAAAATTGAAGGGCAGAGGAATTTTTTTTCTGTGTTACTAACATGGAAGTTTTTCAGTCATAGTCTTTAACTTGAGCTCTGCCTTTTAATTTGTCTTCTTGTTATTTTATGGTTCACTCTCCACTGCCTGCTCATTGCAGAATGTGTGACTTCTCTGCCTCACAAGCTTGCTCCATTTAGCTTAGAAGGTAAATTGCAAGTACTTCACCGGGGCCCCACACGCCATGTATGAAATGGCCCTTGCCACTTATTTCTCAAGTCCTTGCTTTTGTTACTCCTTTACATTCTAGCAATACTGAGTTACTTGTATATCTGGTAGGATTCTATGCAATTTCATATCTGTACTCCTTTTCACACGCCTATTGCTATTCTGCCTGGAGTTCTTCTCCTTCCTAACTTACCTAATAAGCTCCTCTTTATTCTTCAAAGCCAAGTTCAGATGATTCTTGTTTTTCTAAGCCTTCTTTCACACTTTTCATACTGAATCAATCTCCCTGTTCTCTGTGCTACCTCTTTGCCTCATATATATTTTGATCATTATATATTTTTTACATTATAATCATTTATTTACATATTTTTCTTTTTCACTAGATTATGAGTTCCCTGAAATTGTTCTTTGTGTTTCCTTCCCTTGGCACATGGCCTGGTAATAATAGGGTCTCAAGTAATAAATTGAATCAACATAAATGGAGAGAGTCAAACCTGAATAATAATGATTTAGGCTTAGTAGGAGAAATATTTTTAAATGCATGGCTTGAATTTTTGTTTTGTATTATTTTGCTGCATTTAAGCAAAATAAAATGTAAAAAGTACCAAAATAAATAAAAACAAAGCACAAACAAATATGAATATTCTGTAGCTAAAGGACTCATGATCAGGAAAGAAGTGAAGAGGACAGCTATAAGAATGCTAGTAATAGTTTACACTATAAGGGCAGATGCTTGCTCCAAGATAAAGTATACATGGAGGAAAAATAAACAGTCTGGGATACAACCACATGTCTTTCAGGTGTGGTGAAAAGAATAACCAGAGGGCTTTCCTGCATGCCTCAGTTGTCAGGTTTAAGATAATTATCTCTTTTTGGGATTGAACCTCTGTTGTTAAAATAACTACTTATATTGCTGATTTCAGAATATTTCTTCTCTCCTGAGCTAACTTCTTTCCCCTCCCTCTCTCTCTTTCTTTCTTTCTTTTTTGAGACAGAGTTTTACTCTTGTCACCCAGGCTGGAGTGCAATGGCGCGGTCTCGGCTCACTGCAACCTCTGCCTCCCAGGTTCAAGTGATTCTCCTGACTCAGTCCCCTGAGTAGCTGGGATTACAGGCACCCACCACCATGCCCAGCTACTTTTTGTATTTTCAGTAGAGACGGGGTTTCACCATGTTGGCCAGGCTGGTTTCAAAATCCTGACCTCAGGTGATCCACACATGAGCTAACTTTTTATGCCGATTTCCAGCAATAATGGATGATGTGCATGTCTCAGTAGTGCAGTGCAGTAACTTGTTGCAGTGAAAGGTGAAATACTGAGTGAGGATGGAAATACTCCATATGTCTTAAAATTCCACAAAGCCAGGCATATGGGAGACATTCAACATGGAAACTCAACATGACTAATTTTCACAAAACACTCTGAAATTGATATTTTATCCACTGCCTGGACATACTGCAGAATGCGTCCCCTTGGGACTCTAACGGAGCCATCTGGAATTTTTCAGATTTAATATCAGGGCTTTGCTTTTGCACAAAGCCAGCAAAGACCTTGCTTCACAAGCTCTCCACTTGAGACATTTAGTTGTCCTTTGGCATGAATTTTACTTTGTTCCTGTAGCTCTGTGACAAATTAATTGCAAACAATCCAAGACACGTTTTCACTTACTTCTCATCAGCAAACACCAGGAGGAAAGATATTTCCTTGTGGCTGATTCTAGTATGACCTAAGCACCTGAAGAAATTAGCTCATCTTACTTAAAATATAGGTTCTCTTTTAGATTCAGCTTCTAATTTCATTTCACCTCTCATTCAATACTCCCCTCCCCAACTTTATTTTTAATAATAATGGAGGCAGAATATGGGTGCCTGTGTTTCTGGGTGCTTTTGATGTCCTTTGGCTCTGAGAGTGTCCACATTATAACCAATTGGAGCTTCAGGCACTTTCAAGTCTCTAGGACTTTTCCTTGCAGCTGGCCTAGGAGCAGGCAAGCTTGTCTTAAGGATGGTTTTACAGTAACATGATGACTTTTTGGGAAGCTCCAGAATGTGTCAGTCTGAATATCAGTGTGATGGAACTGAGATTAATTCAATTCAACACATTTTAATTAAGGGCTCATCTGTTCTAAATAAGATACAGCCTTAGTTTTCAAGGGGGTTACAACCCAGTGAGAAAGGCTGGTATGTGGATGATAAAAAATAAGGGAATCCAGTGGGAGGATAAATCAACCCTACCCAGGGAGGCCAAATGGTGCTTCTCAGGCAGTGTTGACTAGGGATTGTGGCAGGTTTCCGCTCACCACCCCCATGTCCATCTCCCAGAAGCCAATTTTCTTTCCACCAAATCTTGGGACTCTGTAGTTTTCATGAAAAAGTCTACTTTAAGAGATTTGCACAGTTGAAATAAATTGATACTTTGCCACTCATTGAGGTTCAAGGCCTTTTCTCCTTTACCACTGTGTCTTTATTCTTTACTGTTCACTCACATAATAAACAGTAATCTTACTAACCAGTAGATAAAGTCATATCAAGCATCCCAAAGTAGCTAAAAATTATTTTCAACCATTTTTGTATTGACTGAATGATTCTTGTCCTGAGGTTTATCTTCATGTCTCATAAATATTAGTTATAGTAATTGGCAGCTCTATTGCCAAACTCCTGAGTTTATCTTTGGCCATTTCCCTGCTATGGATTTGAGTGAGCCAATCATTCAGAGAAGAGGACTCCTTCAAAATAGGGGAAGTATGTGATGTCTTGTCTTTCCCTTCGAAATTTCAACAACTCTGAATATAATGTTATATGTCTCTCTCTTTCTCCTCAGAAAAGAATAAGTGTGAGTCAAAGCCGTAGTCTTCAAGCTGGAGGTGAATTCATCTCCAAACTTAGGTCTATACTACTCAAAGTATTTCAACTAGTAGTCAACTGGGGGGAAGCAAGCCTTTTAGGGTTGATATGATTTTTCATTTGAGATCTGATTATCATAATTAAAGCAGAACTCACATATAGTTTGCAAAAGTTGTTGATAAAGTTCTGAGGAACCTCAGTGATTGCCTTCTGGCCTCATGCTGTTTCTCCCGGGTTCTGAGACATAATGCAGCGAATAGAGGGTCAGCTCACTCAAACATTAAATTCCATGAAGAGTGAAAACAAAAACTGGTAATGATAAGGGTGCATGCTATTTCTTTTACCTCTGTCTCAATTTATACTGTTCAAGTAGATCTCTTTGTATCTACAGACACCCAATCTAATGCTTTTTTTATATCCCTGGCTGGAGCCATGTCCTTGGGCAATACACATCACAGGATTTCATCTATACTACATTTCTATGAGTTCTCTTTTTTTGTGTGGTAAATCTAGACTTAGCTAAGTTTGTTGCAGTCCTAGGACACCATGCATAGACTGATATTTTAGTAACCTGTAACATCCAACCAATCCAGGTAAGAGTTGGGAATTGTTGATTGAAATATACCATGCAATCAACACATTAATTACACTGTCTACTATATTGACTTTCCATTTAATTCAATTTGAGGGTAAAATTACTATGAAATTATTCTTGATTATCATTATAATTATCATATAAAATATTGATCATGCTTATTATTTCCTTTTAGGTCACCAGTCTCTTCAGAAGATCATGGTAAGAATCATCTGTCTTATTTATACCAATTCAGGATTGAAACTTGACCCCTGGTCTTTGCAGTTCATTGTCAGAGCAAATAATTGTTTAAGCAAATGTCTCTAAGATATTGGCTTTGTGGTTTTTGAATGTGAAATGTCAAACACTTTTAAAAACTTAAATCACCCTAGCTGAATTTGATATCTTTCAAATCTGTTCCAACCCGTCTGGTTGACGAATATTGTGAAGCCTTAATTTATTCTGCCTGATTTCAGTCCCATCAGCAGAAACTTTTTGTGGTTTTGTGGTTTTGGACTAGTCCTGTGCTTTTTATGACTCAGATTTTTATCCTTAAAATGATAAAAATTTTTGTGGTAGTTTGTGGTAGATATTCCCTACAGTCCCTTCCAGAATGGACATTGGGATCATGTTCCAATCACTCATTTGTGAAGAGCACTCTAAATCTGAAAGGAAGGCAAGCAGTCAGTGGTATTTGTTGTTACCCAGTTGAGATGAATTGTTTGCATTTTAAGAGACAGCTAATTCACTCAAAAGAGAAAATATCTCATTTTGTTCCATCTCACCTTTGGAGTTGTTCATTTATCCAATCAGTCACAAAAGTGTTAAGTGTCTACAATGATCAGTTATGCTATGTAGTTATGTTTTACAAATATGCTATATGGAACTTTGGTTTGGGGCCCCTTTGTATCTTACTTGGACTTTGGAAATTCTCTCATAATTGGTATCCATACCTCTATATTTCTTTTCCCTAGTACACTGTATACCGGGCTAGCACCAAAATGATCGTTCCATAGTAAAAATCTGCTCCGATGGCCTCTAGAATGAAATCTTTCCAGCCGACCAATAATTGTGTTCAGCTTTTCAATATTGTATTTTAGCATGGACTAGTAAGCACTAAATGATGGAATCTTTGTCTTCCTCCACTGCTTATTGCTTCATTTACCATCTTTTCCCTTCTCCTACCCATGATCTGTTTTCCAGCCATGTGACAATACATCTAATTCTACATCAAATTTCTGGAGCTCACCATCTTTTCTGCCATCTCCCTGCTTTTCTCCATACTGTTCTCTCTGACAGGATGCTACTTCTTTTGCCATATAGATGGTTTCTATGCACCTCACCTCATCCTCTGTAAGGGCTTGCTGATCTGCTTATCGTTGTGCCTAATATTTTTCTACATTCTAGGGCTTAATGCGCAAATTTCATGCTTTATTTACCTGTTTTCCCTATTAGACTATGAGTTCTTTGATATAGTTTCCAACGAAGAGCAAACAAGGAAAAAGTGTTTATTAAATGAATGAATTAAGAAAAGGGAGAAGGAGTTTTAGGCTGGCCTCTTCTACTGCCACATTGTGAAATCTGACTTAGTACTGGAATGAAGTTGTGTTATTCTCTATGAAGAATCATAGGGAAAATTATGTTCAGGCCCATTAAGTCAGGATCAGGCAATTGACCACCTAATGGTAACCTGCTATTATGTGCTATTTTGCTGATTGCTGTTGGTATTACTAGGTGTTTGCCCATTTATATAGGCCCTTGGGCTTCCATGTTCACATTATAAACTAGAAGCTTGTGTTTGGTTTTTATTTTGAACTAGGATTCCCTTTAATGACTTTTGGTTGTCTTTGCCTTCCTGTCTATGAGAATTTATTCCTCATTCAGACAAAAATGGTGGGTGAGGGAAACTTGTGAATTATAATTTGATAATCCACTAGGACTTCTTAAGTGGTTATGAAATAATAGGGGGCATATGTCAGGGTCCTTTGAAGTCCTAAAGGGTGACTACTGACAGAAAGACTTGCTTGGAAGATTAAGAGCACTTCAGAATTGATTATTTTAAGAACCTTATATGTGATTAGTTGAAGAAACATTATTGAAATTAGAGGGCCATTATAATTTCATGGCTTCAAAAAATTTCTTACATGTTCATACCTCTTAGTTTGTTTCTGTGACTTCCAAAAATAGTTCAAGTACATAATGCAAAATTATAGTGATGATTTACCTAATCCTATGTAATTGTTCATCATTTTCTAGCCCATATATTCTTGAAAAAAAGCTTTTTTCTTTATTACCAGAATTTTCTATCCACCACTCAAAATATATTTCCTTCTTTTTATACATTTTTAAGAGCTCATGTGTACTATGGCTAGTATAAAACCTCTTGAATGTTATAGCATCAATCTTACATATTATTTGTACACAATAATGGCATTGCAACACACTTGTAGGAGAGGTGAGAAGTAGCAATTTGTCTTTCTCAAATTTATTGGTAGAAAATTTAAGGCATGTTGGACACATGGATTGTGAAATTGGAATATAAAACCTTACGTCTCTTGATTTTCTATTTTGTTTGCTTTCCTCAAATAGTCCTCCCTCTGTAATAACTAGTCACTTTGGCTCTAAGACAAGAACTTATTCTTGGAAAAATCTAATTTTGCAACGTCCAATAACCCTGGTATTTTTCATTCCCATGGTACTCTTGCATAGAGAGCTTAAATACAGTGGCTTTGTCCTTTACCTTATCTTGTTTGTTTTCTTTTCCTTGTCTGTAAAATGGAGCTAATCATAAACTGCGTACCTCATGGGATTGTAGCAAGTTCAATTGAGAAATCATTTGTGAAATCACTTTCTGATTTTTTTTTTTTTTTTTTTTTTTGAGACGGAGTCTCACTCTGTCGCCCAGGCTGGAGTGCAGTGGCACGATCTCGGCTCACTGCAAGCTCTGCTTCCCGGGTTCACACCATTCTCCTGCCTCAGCCTCCCAAGTAGCTGGGACTACAGGCGGCCGCCACCATGCCCGGCTAATTTTTTGTATTTTTTAGTAGAGACGGGGTTTCACCGTGTTAGCCAGGATGGTCTCGATCTCCTGACCTCTCGATTCGCCCACCTCGGCCTCCCAAAGTACTGGGATTACAGGCATGAGCCACCGTGCCCGGCCCACTTTCTGATTTGTTAAAAGCACCCCAAACATAGTATTATTCGCTAGCATCCAGGCAGTAGAAGAGGAAGCACAAGTTTATCTGTGATGTTTGCTCGGGATTATGTTCCGCCCTTGAAAAGTTTAAAGAGGACGGGAGAGAATAACCGTTTTTTTCATTATCATTAAATTTTCTCTGGAAACCTTTTATTACATCAGGGTGAGGAGGAGTAAAATGTTTAATACACCATTTAGCTTATAGTGCCAGAGTAAAGGCTCAGTTGATGATTAGATGTGTGGTCATATAGAATTGGCAACACAAGGTCTAAATGACACATAAACTGTTTCTATATTTATATAATAGCGCATCAGGGTCACTAAGAATAAAGGCTAAATTGTATTGAGTGCTTATTATGCAGAAGCACTGTGCTCGCATGCTCCAACTGCCTTATGTCCTTTCATCTTTCACAAATAACACTCTGTAGTCAATGTATCACCCCCAGTTTCACAGCTGCAAAAGCAGGCTCAGAGTGCTTAAATAACTTGCTTAAGGTCACATAGCTAGTAGGTGAGAGAGTTAATTTTCAGACCCAATTCTAACAATCAAACTCTTAACTCTCTTTTATCGGCCATGTCCCTGGAAAACCAAAGACATGATTGAATGGATAGAACTATGGAGATAATTCTTCCCTCCTCTAACAAGAGTATATTTACTACTGTGTAAGTTAATTTCTTTTTAATGACAAAACAGAGCAGAACAAAAATAACAACTTCTCCCTCCTGCTGGTAATGATTTGTCCCTGTAGAAAAAGGAAATACCAATGTCACATTTTCTCATAATTAGTTAACTGAGTGAAACTGAAGTTTCAGGGAAACCTGCCATGCTAAACCCCAGTGGAAACATTAAGTTTTAATGTTACATCTGGAAACTGGAGCCCTACTCCTTGTTAGAAGATAAGCTTGGCAGTGATTGATTGCACTGTCCTCTGCATTTCCTCTGTATTGAATGCCTATCACTTCGTCATTTAAATTGCTCCTGGAGCCATCTCCTGGGCCCAGGCTGCTTCCCTGGCTCTGAGAACTCATCTTCCTTTCTGTCACCTTAGCCTGCTTATTTTACAGGCTCCTTGGAATGCTGCGCTTACCGCTGCTTCACTTACTGCTGCTACCTGTGCCAGCACACTCAGGGCAGGTCATCTTCCAACTAATGTCTGTTCATTTACAAAATAAAAGGCATTAGTGGCTTCTCAAAGAAAGTGCCAGCAATCTGCTGCATGCCCCACTGGAACATCTGAGGCAGGCATCCCTCTCCTGTCCTACCTCTTAGACCTGTTGTCAACTATGGCCGTCACATTCTAGGGCAGCTTTTTTGTTGCAGCAGTAACATAGTGGACATGAATTGCAGTAATGGCTATTTGGAAATAAAATTGTCACAACCACAATCACTAGTGTAAAGTGTTCAATAATGAATCCACTGTCAGGCTTGGAGACGGCTGTACTTGGCAGTAGGTTACTGATATGGTTTGGCTGTGTCCCCACCTAAATCTCACCTTGAATTGTAATAATCCCCATGTGTCAAGGATGGGGCCAGGTAGAGATAATTGAATCATGGAGCAGTTTCCCCCATACTGTTTTCGTGATAGTGAATAAGTCTCATGAGATCTGATGGTTTTGTAAATGGGAGTTCCCCTGCACAAGCTCTCTCTTGCCTGCCACCATGTAAGACATCCCTTTGTTCTTCCTTCGTCTTCCGCCATGATTGTGAGGCCTCCCCAGCCATATGGAACTGTGAGTCCATTAAACCTCTTTCCTTTATAAATTATGCAGTCTTGAGTATGTCTTTATTAGCAACATGAGAATGGATTAATACAGTTATGCAGTGAAACACACTGTGGCGTGGCCCAAACTCTTTGAGGCATCAATGGCTGTACCTCATCAATTCACTTTTCTTTCATGTATATTACTGAAATAGATACTATTCATAAAATATATAAAATGTTATCTGCTCAGTTTAAATAATAAGCAAAACGAACTACTGTGTACTTGGCCCTCAGACTAAGAAGTAAAACATTTGTAGGAATTTGGGAGCTTCATGTCATTTGCTTCCCTAATTATGTCCCCTTCCCTCTCCTTCAGAAATAACTACTATTCTGCCTTTTTGTTAATCATGTCCTTGTTTCTTCTTGTTTTACTACATATATGCATATCTTACATATGAATGGATACGTGGATATATAACTCATATATGTATTCCTATATGTGTGTATATGTGTGTGTGTACATAGTTTTATGTATTTTGAATTTGTACAAATTGAATCATGTTGTTATTTGTTTCTTTTGTTCAAAAGAATAATTTTTGTGATTCATCCTTATGGATGAGTGCCATATGCATTTCATCAATAGTTCATGTTGTATACTACTCTATTGTATGAGTATATACCAATTTATATATCCAATCTGCTAATGAATATTTACATAAATAACAGGTTTCTTGGGGGTTTGTTTTTGTTTTGCTCTTGCAAACAATATTACTATGAACATTCTCTTTTTTGTAACTCTTCCTCGTATCCATGCGCTTAAACCTGGGAATAGCTTAAGTTAGGTGGTAGATTATACACATATTTAACTTATAGCATTATAACATGTTGTTTTCCAGAGTGATCATTTTAATATACACTCCCAACTTCAGTGGATAAGAGTTCCCATTGATCTACATCCTCACCAACACTTGATATTAACTAATTTAAAAATGTTTGCTAGTCTTGTGAAAGTATGAAATGGCATCTCAATGTGATTTTAATTTGTAGTCAATGATTACACATGAGATCAAACATCTTTTCATATACTTATGGGCCATTTGTGTTTACTCTTCTATGAAAGGTCTTTTTATTTCTTTTACTCACTTTTCCCCACCTGGTTGGTTGTGTTCTTCTTAATGATTTATGAACTTTTTAATGTATTCTATGTAAAAATTATTTTGTTTCCTATGTGTGTTGCAAATTTTCTCCAGTTTGTGGCTTATCTGTTCGAGCTCTTTTTGATGTCATCTGATGAATAGATGGATATTCTTTATTTTACTGCAGTAAAATCATTAATGTTTTCTCTATGGTTTATGCCTTTGGTATTTTTTAAAGAAATCTTTCAAAGCATAATCATAAAGATATTGTCTTGTAAAATTTTTAGAATGCTTTCTTTAATATTTGATAACTTGGAATTGATTTTTGTGGTTTGGTAAGAGATAAAGGTCAAATTTAATTTTGATTCTGTTCATATACATAACTAGCTATTTCATTTTCATTCATTTTCTTCACTGACTTACAAAGTCTGTCGTCTCCCTGTAAATGTGAGTCTCTAGGTTCTATTTTCTGTTATATTGATGAATATATCTATCCCTGTGCTATTGTTTTAGTTGTTATAACTTTGGTATGAGTCCAGATATCTGTTGGAGGATATATCCTGTAATTTGTCCTTTGGGAGTGACTTGGTTATAATTGAGTTTTGCCTGTTTCATATAAATTATAAAATTAGCGTATCAAATTTTGTGGTGAAATTTTTTATGAAAATTGCATGAATCTATAAATTTGTATAAAGAAAATTGATATTTCTATGATAATGCATCATTCTATTCCAAGCCACATCTCTTGACATTTAATTGGCTTTTTCAAATGGCTATGAATAGAGTTTTATAATTTCCTTCATGAAGGATTTGGTCATTTTTGTGTTAAATATATTCCTAGGTACTTTATATTTTTAGTGACAATTTGTATGTTGTATTTTTAAAATTATGTTTTCTAAGTAGTCTTTGCTGGCATATTGAAATGCAGTTGAATTTTAAAATCTTGTTTCTTTATCAATATTCCTGCTAAAGTTTTAAATTCATAAATCTTATCTGAAGCGTCTTTTTGTGGGAAGAGAATTCTATATAGGCAATCTCATCTACAAAGAATTTTGTTTCGTCCTTTCCAATCATTATGCTTTGTATACATATTTCTGGTGCTTTCTGCACTGGTTAAAACCTTCAGTGCAGTATTGACTAGTAACAGAGATAGTCAGCATCATTGACTTGTTCCTGATCCCAAAGTGAGTGCCATCCACAAGTCACAATTAAGTAAGAAGTTCACTGCCAGGTGGTCATGATGCAGGTGACAGTACTTGTTTTGTGGATATTTCTTATAAGGATCTTTTCCTTCGCTCTAATTTGTTAAATTCAACAGATGTTGAATTTTATTTAATACTCTTTTCTTCATCTTGAGAGATGACAATTTTTTTCCCCTTGGTCTGTTAATATGGTGCATTTTACTAATTGATTTTTAAATAGAAATCAATATCGTATTTATGAGAAGAACTCAGATTGGTTCTTATATTTACCGCCTTTATACATTGCTAGATTTGATTTGCTAATATTTTGTTTAGATATTTACATCCATGTTCATAAGTGTGATTAGTCTTTAATTTTGCTTTCTATTATGTAGTATGTATATGATATTCATAGCTTAAAATGAATTAGGAAGGGTTTCCTCTTTTATAATCTCTGGAAGGCTTTGTACAATACTTGAGCTACCTATTTCTGGAATATCTTGTATATACTACTATTATTTTCATTTTACAGATGAGAAAACATGCCTATTGAGTAAAAGGTAGAACTAGGATGTGAACTCAGGTGATCTGGATCCAGATCCTTTTCTTAACCATTTCTCTGTACTGTCTGTCAATAGCATTGCTGAAATTTGAGCTGGTGTAATAGGAAATCATGATATTATTTGTTAAATAAAGACCTCATAATTGTATGAGGTCTTTTTATTGGGTAGAAAGTGATTATTAAAGATGGGAATTTTTTATTCATGTAAGTAAGAAAAACCCTTGACACAGAAAAACATTCAAAGATATATTTTGGATCCACTTCTTGTAGCCCCATACTTCATAATCAAGAAAATAGGGTTCCAATCTCCTGTCAATAACATTCATTTTTTTAAATAGTAGAGTTCTCAAAAGGTAGCTATTCCCTTAAAGAGATATCACAAGTAGGAAGATAATTATTATGACCATGATGACTACGAGTAAAGAAGATTAAGAAAGTTAGATACTGGCTGGGTGCTGTGGCCTACACCTGTAATCTTAGCACTTTGGGAGGCCGAGGCGATCACCTGAGGTGAGGAGTTTGAGACCAGCCTAGCCAACATCGTGAAACCTCGCCTCTGCTAAAAATACAAAAATAAGCCTGACATGATGGTGCATGCCTGTAATCCCAGCTGCTTGGAAGGCTGAGGGAAGAGAAGCATTTGAACCCAGGAGGCAGAGGTTGCAGAGAGCCGAGATCGTGCCACTGTACTCTAGCCTGGGCTACAGAGCAAGACTCTGTCTCAAAAAAGTAAACTTGACTGATGTTACAGATGGAAATATGTGCAGATCTTTAATTGCATTGCTAGGTAGAGCCTACTGTACTGAGCGTCACAGTACATCACTTTGCAATGACTTTGGGCTATCATAAATATAAAGTTGCTAGAGTGTCCTTTTTTTTGCCCCATATCAGATTTTTCCTATAGAATCCCCGTTGTAAAAAACAGTGCTCATTTTTGAGGCTCTTTCTCTTCCCGCTTTAGCTCATGTTGCTTTCGAGCTTTAGAGAGTTACTTCTACTCTGCTTGCGGGACCCTCTCTAGACCTCGCCTTTCTTGTCTTTATTTAGCCATAAGCTTTCTGTCACCTCCTACCATCTCTCTGGCAGGCACCTTCATTGTCCTTCATGCAGGTCTCACCTCAATGCTCATTAATTTCCGTGTCTTGGAACCACCTCTATAGACGCTAAGGACAAACAAAGATGAATTTTCCTGACAACTTAAATGCCCATGATTTCTCCTTCCTTATTGCCTGTTTTGTTTTTTTGAGTGTGTTCCAATTTTCTTTCCTCATGGGTAATGTTGCTCTTCTTATTTGACTATAAACTCAGTGAATAGAGACATTGCCCTATTCTGTGCTGTGCCCTGGCACAGAACTGATTCTCTCTATACAAGTCTTACTGTTAAATTTGCTGCAGTATGTGGTGTTGGCAAACAGAAACTTTCATTACACATCTTTGAATCCCATTGCAGCCTCATTAATATTCTTCCCTGTTGTAGAAGATAGGTCACTCCTGGTCTTTTTCCAGAGATTCAGTTACTATGTGCTGAAAAGATGGCCTTTTGTGGTAGTCTCAGTGGGTGTTCCCTATAGACTGTGTTTTGAAAGGAAAAGAATAAAAATGATAGCATATTTTTTCTTAGTTAGCCTTCTTTCACAAATCCTAGGAAAATAGATAATTCACTGCTGATTAAAAAACAGAACAAAACAAAACAAAACAAACCCCCCTGGGCTTTCCAAAATCTGGTTATATTGCTTTCTATGTGTCCTGACCCTACTATTATCTGTCATTTACCTTTACTAAATCTCACTATTGATTGTAACCATGTAATCCTTTTGATTGTTCTGGTTTTTCTGGAATGCTTTGTTGGTGATAATTATCTAGTTGTCTTTTGAAGGTTGATTGTAAGTGGCTGGAGAAGATGAGGGAATACTCTTTTTTGTTTGTTTTTGTTTTGTTTTGAGATGAAGTCTTGCTCTGTCACCCAGGCTGGAGTGCAGTGGCACAATCTCGGCTCACTGCAACCTCCGTCTCCCAGGTTCAAGCAATTCTCCTGTCTCAGCCTTCCGAGTAGCTGGGATTACAGGCGTGCACCACCACGCCCAGGTAATATTTTGTCTTTTTAGTGGAGACAGGGTTTCACCATGTTGGTCAGCCTGGTCTCAAACTCCTGACCTCAGGCAATCTGCCTGCCTTGGCCTCCCAAAGTGCTGGGATTACAGGCATGAGCCACCATGCCCAGCTGCGGGAATACTCTTTATTAAAATTTACCTACAGCATTGCATTGGGTTGCTTTTGGGGTTATAGAATATTTAAGTTAAAATATTAACACATTGTAAAATAAAAAAGTAACGGGAAAAAAGGAGTTAGAAAAAGGAAGAGAGCTGGTGTCCAAGTCCTAGTTTACTTTTTTTTTTTTTTTTGAGATGGAGTTTCACTGTGCCACCCAAGCTGTAGTGCAGTGGCATGATCTCAGCTCACTGCAACCTCTGCCTCCCAGGTTCAAGCGCTTCTCCTGCCTCAGCCTACTGAGCAGCTGGAATTACAGGTGTGTGCTACCATGGCCGGCTAATTTTTGTGTTTTTTACTAGAGATGATGTTTCACCATGTTGGCCAGGCTGGTCTCGAACTCCTGACCTCATGTGATCCACCCGCCTCAGCCTCCCAAAGTTCTGGCATTACAGGCGTGAGCCACCACGCCCGGCCCCTAGTTTACTTTTAAGTGGAAAGATGAGAAGGGGCCATCAGACAAGGTGATGTGTCTGGCAACAAGTGAAGAGATCATAGATTTCATTTCCACAGATAAGTCAATACAGTTATTTAGGAAATGAGAAATCTCTGACTCTGGTCTTTGTGTAATATTCTATGATAGCAGAAACAAAAAATTGAATTGTGCCTATTGTTAAAAGTTTACTTTGTTTATGATTTCTACTGTATGAAATTATATGATCTGGGTTATATTAACACCCAGTGAAACCAAGGGGCTGGGTTGGTACACTGAAAGTTATTATAATATAATTCTCATGTGAGGCTAATTGTTACTATATTTGTTTTTAATTTGACTAGAAATCCCAATATTTAATCAAAAGTCTTCTCCTCTACCTAGAGCTTGTTTTATCGTTTTGGTGGCCTCCTCTTGCAAAGGACTGGCTGGTGAATGGTTTCCCTGAATTATGGACTTACCCTAAACATATCTTATCATCATTACCAGTTGCAAAATATTAGAATGTGTTGTCACTGTTTCATTTGATTCCTAGAAGGTTAGTCTTAGATATGTTACTTTAACCTGTATGCTGTAGTGCTTTGAATGCATTTTTTGTTTGCATTTTTGTTTGCCCAACCTGTCAATTATAGCTGCTTAGGTCTGGACTGTCCTGGATAAAGCTGTTAAAATATTCACCAGTCCAGCCATCTTACAAGCTAATTAAGTCAACTAAATGCTTCCTTGTTTTGCCAGACTTGTTATGTCAATCCTCAATTTCTGGGTTCATTTTGGGTGCCCTAAATCTTAGGGTGTGACTTTCTTAGCATCCTGTAACATCCATTCCCAAGCAAGCACAACTTCACATAATACTTTCCAGAAGTTCATTGCTGAAGCCTTTCCTTCACCCAGCAGAGCAACTTGATTTTCTACAACTTCCCTCATCAGAGCCACAAGAGTATGGGATATGGAGACCACTAAAACTACATCCCTTTGGCCTTACCAGGGAAATATTGGGAAGGAAGGACCTTGTATTACTACCTAATGACCCCATAGTATTGTTTGACAGTCTATACAACCAGATGAGCAGGCAAGGTAGTACCCTGCTAAAGAGACAGGCTTTCTCATATCTCATAAATATTTCACATCCTGGTTCTACATGCTGGTTTTATTCCATATTAGCCATGAGGTCTTCAGCAAATTACTTAATGTCATTAAACCTCAATTTCTTCATCCTGAAAATGAGGATGATAATAATAAGAGTATATATCTAATAGGCTTATTGTGAGGATTAAATTAGGTAATATAGGCAAAGACCTAGCATACAGTTTGCTTACAAACATCAACAAAAGAAAGAGACAGGAAGAGATGAAGTGTGCAAGAGAGAGTGAGAGCAACCATCAATGTCAGACAGCCAAAAAATGGGCATATAGATTTTTTTATAAATAGACCTCATATGTCTCATTTGCATGGGCTTTTGGGATGATTAAAGCCTATTGTTCTCTAGGATTACTTGAAATACACATTTCCTGCAGGTTACAGCCCAATGGACACAGAATGACTTGTGTATTAGTCCATCCATTCTCACATTGCTATACAGAATTACCTGAGACTGGGTAATTTGTAAAGAAAAGAGGTTTCATTGGCTCATGGTTCCACAGGCTATACAGGACGCATCGATGGGGAGGCCTCAGGAAACTTACAATCATGGCAGAAGGCGAAGGGGAAGCAGGCACATCCTACATGGCTGGAGCAGGAGGAAGAGAAAGCAAAGGGGGAGGTGCCCCACATACTTTTAAACAACCAGATCTCGTGAAGACTCACTCACTATCGTGAGAACACCGCAGGGGAAATCCACACCCATGATCCAATCACCTCCCATCAGACCCCTCCTCCATCACTGGGGATTACAAT
Organism: Homo sapiens; assembly: GCF_000001405.40. Classification (NCBI taxonomy): domain Eukaryota; kingdom Metazoa; phylum Chordata; class Mammalia; order Primates; family Hominidae; genus Homo; species Homo sapiens. The sequence goes on along the minus strand of NC_000007.14, from coordinate 137,431,926 downwards.
TCAACATGAGATTTGGTGGGGACACGGATCCAAACCGTATCAACTTGTATCATTCTGAGTAATTGCAACTTTCGAATGGGTGGTAGGGTTGGCAATTGCCAAAAGCCATGGTTTGGAGTCACTTGCATCAGGCCTGGGTTTCCCCCTGGAGCAGGCTGAGCTTGGCTGCCTTCTAAGGCCTCTTCTGCTCTGGACATTTACAGGCTTCTGAGCCAGGAGAGAACACTAAGCAATGAAACACAGGAGGAAAAATTAAAAACACCACCTTTAAATTTTGGAAAGTATTTTGGAGATACCTGTGCCCTGCTCTCTAAGGAGTTCCTGTAGGGATTTCTGCTTATGAATTCCAGTATATTGTTTCTCTTTGGGATGACAAATGGAGTTTCTGTTGCCACACCTTGCCACAGACCCACTTTTTGAAAAACACTAAAATCCACTTTGCAAGTGTATAAATATTGCAGGCAGGCAGCTTCCACATTCTTTGGCAAGGGAACAAAATACTATTTAATAATGCAGGTTCCAGCTTTTCTCCTGACAATGCAAAGTGCCAATGATTATTGAAAAGGGAATTTGAAATCTGCCAGAATCCACTCAGTTTTCCTTGTGTGGTTACATTTCCATCCTGTCACCCTCGCTAGTGAAGACAATTGTTTCAGCCATTGAGAAAAAAAAAAAAAAGGTATTTTATAAGATTGCAAGAAAGTGATTTAAACCATGACTATGTCTGTTAACTGTTTGCTTTGTTTCTCTGACTGTGTGCCTCTCTAGTCACCCAATCTTCTTTAGCTATCCTGTGGGCTTTTTCCTGTTGTCAAAAAGCATGGTCTACCCAAAGCCATTCTTCAAGCATCTGATTTCCCAGCTGTCTTTCTGCTATATATTTAAACTTCTAGTTCTCTTTGGGGAAGAGGGTGGTAGACTTGTGTGAGGATATAGTCTGAATGAAGTCTCCGAGTGATTTTTTGTTGATGTTATAGGGGTGGGAGTTCGGGGAGAGGAGGGAGAGTCTTTGGCCTCACACTCCCCTCTGAGTCCTGAATGGGGTTCTCTCAGCATCTCATTTTCCCGCTATTCCTGACACACTCCTCCCTGACCCTATTTTAGAGGTCCCTGTTATCAAATGGAAGTGCTTCTTATGTCTTCCTTCATTCTGCTAAGCTGACTGTTCTCTATAGAAATCTGTACCCCCAGCTTTTCTACCAATGCGAATCTTCGTTTTTGGAAAATTTCTTTTACCTTCTCTAGGAAATCATTCTCTACATCACTCTATTTCTTTAGCAATCAGGGACTACATTTGGATGTATAAGTATATACATATTAAGTTTCTAGATATTCTTTTTCTTTTTTTAAAATTATTTTTTATTTTATTATTATTATACTTTAAGTTTTAGGGTACATGTGCACAATGTGCAGGTTAGTTACATATGTATACATGTGCCATGCTGGTGTGCTGCACCCATTAACACGTCATTTAGCATTAGGTATATCTCCTAATGCCATCCCTCCCCCCTCCCCCCACGCCACAATAGTCCCCAGAGTGTGATGTTCCCCTTCCTGTGTCCATGTGTTCTCATTGTTCAGTTCCCACCTATGAGTGAGAACATGCGGTGTTTGGTTTTTTGTCCTTGTGATAGTTTACTGAGAATGATGATTTCCAATTTCATCCATGTTCCTACAAAGGACATGAACTTATCATTTTTTATGGCTGCATAGTATTCCATGGTGTGTATGTGCCACATTTTCTTAACCCAGTCTATCATTGTTGGACATTTGGGTTGCTTCCAAGTCTTTGCTATTGTGAATAGTGCCACAATAAATATACGTGTGCATGTGTCTTTATAGCAGCATGATTTATAGTCCTTTGGGTATATACCCAGTAATGGGATGGCTGGGTCAAATGGTATTTCCAGTTCTAGATCCCTGAGGAATCGCCACACTGACTTCCACAATGGTTGAACTAGTTTACAGTCCCACCAACAGTGTAAAAGTGTTCCTATTTCTCCACATCCTCTCCAGCACCTGTTGTTTCCTGACTTTTTAATGATTGCCATTCTAACTGGTGTGAGATGGTATCTCATTGTGGTTTTGATTTGCATTTCTCTGATGGCCAGTGATGGTGAGCATTTTTTCATGTGTTTTTTGGCTGCATAAATGTCTTCTTTTGAGAAGTGTCTGTTCATGTCCTTCGCCCACTTTTTGATGGGGTTGTTTGTTATTTTCTTGTAAATTTGTTTGAGTTCATTGTAGATTCTGGATATTAGCCCTTTGTCAGATGAGTAGGTTGTGAAAATTTTCTCCCATTTTGTAGGTTACCTGTTCACTCTGATGGTAGTTTTTTTTGCTGTGCAGAAGCTCTTTAGTTTAATTAGATCCCATTTGTCAATTTTGTCTTTTGTTGCCATTGCTTTTGGTGTTTTAGACATGAAGTCCTTGCCCATGCCTATGTCCTGAATGGTAATGCCTAGGTTTTCTTCTAGGGTTTTTATGGTTTTAGGTCTAACGTTTAAGTCTTTAATCCATCTTGAATTAATTTTTGTATAAGGTGTAAGGAAGGGATCCACTTTCAGCTTTCTGCATATGGCTAGCCAGTTTTCCCAGCACCATTTATTAAATAGGGAATCCTTTCCCCATTGCTTGTTTTTCTCAGGTTTGTCAAAGATCAGATAGTTGTAGATATGTGGTGTTATTTCTGAGGGCCCTGTTCTGTTCCATTGATCTATATCTCTGTTTTGGTACCAGTACCATGCTGTTTTGGTTACTGTAGGCTTGTAGTATAGTTTGAAGTCAGGTAGTGTGATTCCTCCAGCTTTGTTCTTTTGGCTTAGGATTGACTTGGTGATGTGGGCTCTTTTTTGGTTCCATATGAACTTTAAAGTAGTTTTTTCCAATTCTGTGAAGAAAGTCATTGGTAGCTTGATGGGGATGGCATTGAATCTATAAATTACCTTGGGCAGTATGGCCATTTTCACGATATTGATTCTTCCTACTCATGAGCATGGAATGTTGTTCCATTTCTTTGTGTCCTCTTTTATTTCATTGAGCAGTTGTTTGTAGTTCTCCTTGAAGAGGTCCTTCGCATCCCTTGTAAGTTGGATTCCTAGGTATTTTATTCTCTTTGAAGCAATTGTGACTGGGAGTTCACTCATGATTTGGCTCTCTGTTTGTCTGTCATTGGTGTATAAGAATGCTTGTGATTTTTGTACATTGATTTTGTATCCTGAGACTTTGCTGAAGTTGCTTATCAGCTTAAGGAGATTTTGGGCTGAGACAATGGGGTTTTCTAGATATACAATCATGTCATCTGCAAAAAGGGACAATTTGAATTCCTCTTTTCCTAATTGAATACCCTTTATTTCCTTCTCCTGCCTAATTGCCCTGGCCAGAACTTCCAACACTATGTCAAATAGGAGTGGTGAGAGAGGGCATCCCTGTCTTGTGCCAGTTTTCAAAGGGAATGCTTCCAGTTTTTGCCCATTCAGTATGATATTGGCTGTGGGTTTGTCATAGATAGCTCTTATTATTTTGAGATATGCCCCATGAATACCTAATTTATTGAGAGTTTTTAGCATGAAGCGTTGTTGAATTTTGTCAAAGGCCTTTTCTGCATCTATTGAGATAATCATGTGGTTTTTGTCTTTGGTTCTGTTTATATGCTGGATTCCACTTATTGATTTGCATATATTGAACCAGCCTTGCATCCCAGGGATGAAGCCCACTTGATCATGGTGGATAAGCTTTTTGATGTGCTGCTGGATTCGTTTTGCCAGTATTTTATTGAGGATTTTTGCATCAATGTTCATCAAGGATATTGGTCTAAAATTCTCTTTTTTGGTTGTGTCTCTGCCCGGCTTTGGTATCAGGATGATGCTGGCCTCATAAAATGAGTTAGGGAGGATTCCCTCTTTTTCTATTGATTGGAATAGTTTCAGAAGGAATGGTACCAGTTCCTCCTTGTACCTCTGGTAGAATTCGGCTGTGAATCCATCTGGTCGTGGACTCTTTTTGGTTGGTAAGCTATTGATTATTGCCACAATTTCAGCTCCTGTTATTGGTCTATTCAGAGATTCAACTTCTTCCTGGTTTAGTCTTGGGAGGGTGTATGTGTCGAGGAATTTGTCCATTTCTTCTAGGTATTCTAGTTGATTTGCGTAGAGGTGTTTGTAGTATTCTCTGATGGTAGTTTGTATTTCTGTGGGATCAGTGGTGATATCCCCTTTATCATTTTTTATTGCATCTATTTGATTCTTCTCTCTTTTTTTCTTTATTAGTCTTGCTAGTGGTCTATCAATTTTGTTGATCCTTTCAAAAAACCAGCTCCTGGATTCTTTAATTTTTTGAAGGGTTTTTTGTGTCACTATTTCCTTCAGTTCTACTCTGATTTTAGTTATTTCTTGCCTTCTGCTAGCTTTTGAATGTGTTTGCTCTTGCTTTTCTAGTTCTTTTAATTGTGATGTTAGGGTGTCAATTTTGGATCTTTCCTGCTTTCTCTTGTGGGCATTTAGTGCTATAAATGTCCCTCTACACACTGCTTTGAATGTGTCCCAGAGATTCTGGTATGTTGTGTCTTTGTTCTCGTTGCTTTCATAGAACATCTTTATTTCTGCCTTCGTTTCCTTATGTACCCAGTAGTCATTCAGGAGCAGGTTGTTCAGTTTCCATGTAGTTGAGTGGTTTTGAGTGAGTTTCTTAATCCTGAGTTCTAGTTTGATTGCACTGTGGTCTGAGAGACAGTTTTTTATAATTTCTGTTCTTTTACATTTGCTGAGGAGAGCTTTACTTCCAACTATGTGGTCAATTTTGGAATAGGTGTGGGGTGGTGCTGAAAAAAATGTATATTCTGTTGATTTGGGTTGGAGAGTTCTGTAGATGTCTATTAGGTCCACTTGGTGCAGAGCTGAGTTCAATTCCTGGGTATCCTTGTTGACTTTCTGTCTCGTTGATCTGTCTAATGTTGACAGTGGGGTGTTAAAGTCTCCCATTATTAATGTGTGGGAGTCTAAGTCTCTTTGTAGGTCACTCAGGACTTGCTTTATGAATCTGGGTGCTCCTGTATTGGGTGCATGCATATTTAGGATAGTTAGCTCTTCTTGTTGAATTGATCCCTTTACCATTATGTAATGGCCTTCTTTGTCTCTTTTGATCTTTGTTGGTTTAAAGTCTGTTTTATCAGAGACTAGGATTGCAACCCCTGCCTTTTTTTGTTTTCCATTTGCTTGGTAGATCTTCCTCCATCCTTTTATTTTGAGCCTGTGTGTGTCACTGCACATGAGATGGGTTTCCTGAATACAGCACACTGATGGGTCTTGAGTCTTTATCCAGTTTGCCAGTCTGTGTCTTTTAATTGGAGCATTTAGTCCATTTACATTTAAAGTTAATGTTGTTATGTGTGAAGTTGATCCTGTCATTATGATGTTAGCTGGTTATTTTGCTTGTTAGTTGATGCAGTTTCTTCCTAGCCTCGATGGTCTTTACAATTTGGCATGATTTTGTAGTGGCTGGTACCGGTTGTTCCTTTCTATGTTTAGTGCTTCCTTCAGGAGCTCTTTTAGGGCAGGCCTGCTGGTGACAAAATCTCTCAGCATTTGCTTGTCTGTAAAGTATTTTATTTCTCCTTCACTTATGAAGCTTAGTTTGGCTGGATATGAAATTCTGGGTTGGAAATTCTTGTCTTTAAGAATGTTGAATATCGGCCCCCACTCTCTTCTGGCTTGTAGAGTTTCTGCCCAGAGATCCGCTGTTAGTCTGATGGGCTTCCCTTTGTGGGTAACCCAACCTGCCTCTCTGGCTGCCCTTAACATTTTTTCCTTCATTTCAACTTCGGTGAATCTGACAATTATGTGCCTTGGAGTTGCTCTTCTCGAGGAGTATCTTTGTGGCGTTCTCTGTATTTCCTGAGTCTGAATGTTGGCCTGCCTTTTTAGATTGGGGAAGTTCTCCTGGATAATATCCTGCAGAGTGTTTTCCAACTTGGTTCCATTCTCCCCGTCACTTTCAGATACACCAATCAGACGTAGATTTGGTCTTTTCACATAGTCCCATATTTCTTGGAGTCTTTGTTCATTTCTTTTTATTCTTTTTTCTCTAAACTTCCCTTCTCGCTTCATTTCATTCACTTCATCTTCCATCACTGATACCCTTTCTTCCAGTTGATCGCATCGGCTCCCGAGGCTTCTGGATTCTTCACGTAGTTCTCAAGCCTTGGCTTTCAGCTCCATCAGCTCCTTTAAGCACTTCTCTGTATTGGTTATTCTAGTTATACATTCTTCTAAATTTTTTTCAAAGTTTTTAACTTGTTTGCCTTTGGTTTGAATTTCCTCCTGTAGCTCAGAGTAATTTGATCGTCTGAAGCCTTCTTCTCTCAACTCGTCAAAGTCATTCTCCGTCCATCTTTGTTCTGTTGCTGGTGAGGAACTGCATTCCTTTGGAGGAGGAGAGGCGCTCTGCTTTTTAGAGTTTCCAGTCTTTCTGCTCTGTTTTTTCCCCATCTTTGTGGTTTTATGTACTTTTGGTCTTTGATGATGGTGATGTACAGATGGGTTTTTGGTGTGGATGTCCTTTCTGTTTGTTAGTTTTCCTTCTAACAGACAGGACCCTTAGCTGCAGGTCTGTTGGAGTTTGCTAGAGGTCCACTCCAGACCCTGTTTGCCTGGGTATCAGCAGCAGTCGCTGCAGAACAGCAGATTTTCGTGAACCACAAATGCTGCTGTCTGATCTTTCCTCTGGAAGTTTTGTCTCAGAGGAGTACCCGGCAGTGTGAGGTGTCAGTCTGCCCCTACTGGGGGGTGCCTCCCAGCTAGGCTGCTCAGGGGTCAGGGGTCAGGGGTCAGGGACCCATTTGAGGAGGAAGTCTGCCCATTCTCAGATCTCCAGCTGCATGCTGGGGAGAACCACTGCTCTCTTCAAAGCTGTCAGACAGGGACATTTAAGTCTGCAGAGGTTACTGCTGTCTTTTTGTTTGTCTGTGCCCTGCACCCAGAGGTGGAGCCTACAGAGGCAGGCAGGCCTCCTTGAGCTGTGGTGGGCTCCACCCAGTTCGAGCTTCCTGGCTGCTTTGTTTACCTAAGCAAGCCTGGGCAATGGCGGGTGCCCCTCCCCCAGTCTCGCTCCCACCTTGCAGTTTGATCTCAGACTGCTGTGCTAGCAATCAGCGAGATTCCGTGGGCGTAGGACCCTCCAATCCAGGTGCGAGATATAATCTCCTGGTGTGCCGTTTTTTAAGCCCGTTGGAAAAGCACAGTATTAGGGTGGGAGTGACCTGATTTTCCAGGTGCCGTCTGTCACCCCTTTCTCTGACTAGCAAAGGGAACTCCCTGACCCCTTGTGCTTCCCAAGTGAGGCAATGCCTCACCCTGCTTTGGCTCGCGCACGGTGCACTGCATCCACTGTCCTGTGCCCACTGTCTGGCATTCCCTAGTGAGATGAACCCGGTACCTCAGATGGAAATGCAGAAATCACCCGTCTTCTGCGTCACTCACGCTGGGAGCTGTAGACCGGAGCTGTTCATATTCGGCCACCTTGGCTCGACCCCTCTCTTTTTCTTAAGAATATATGAATTCCTATGAAGAATGAAGGTTTAGTCTTGATTTCATTTCCCTTCCTATCAACTGGACAATAAAAATTTGATCTTTAATAAATATAATTGAAGACTTACTGATACACTGAAGCCTATTCTATTTCAAATTAATGTTTTATGTCTTGGGCATGCTTCAGAAGTAACCATTTACATAACAATTCTTCTAAGGCATAATGTTGCTTAATCAATTTAGCATGATATAGTGAAAGTTAAGATTTATTTTTACTTTTCTGAAATAAAATGCTTAATTTTTATATTCTTCCAAGTAATAACTGTCATATGCTTATATGGGGAAGATTCAAAATTAATGTTTTATTATAACCCAGTAGGGGTGGGTCTAGGGGAGGGATAGCATTAGGAGAAATACCTAAAGTAGATGATGGGTTGGTGGGTGCAGCAAACCACCACGGCAAGTGTATACCTATGTAAAGCTGCACATTCTGCACGTGTATCCCAGAACTTAAAGTATAATAAAAAATTGATAAATAAATAATGCAAATAATCTATATTTACAATAATAAGTGAGGGTATGCTCTTGACATTTTATTTATTTTTTAATTGTACACTTTTGCCGTATGTGCATTTTGCTGGTATGTCTCTGAACATGACCTTTGCTAAATTAACTCCTTCCTGACTTTACTTTTGTTCCAGTGAGGGGTGTTTGGCTGTTCTTCTTTTTGGTTTAAAAAGCCTTTATATTACAGAGTGGTCAGTTTGCTGCTAGTCACTGAGAAGAAATGTAATGTGTATCCTGATGACTGGATGACTTATAAGCTTATAATCTTTTTGAGCTCTAGTACATACTTAACTGTACTTGGCTTCTGACCTTAAACATCATTTTCCAAACAGTCTTGATGTTTGGTAAAACCAGTAACCATCCATTACTCTCAGGCCACATCAGACCTGCTTACAGATATCACTGGGTGAAACATGAGTACACTTGTTCACCCCAAGTTCCTTTCAGAGGCCTTGAAGGACACTGCTAAAACACATCCAGTGAGTTCAGGGACCCTGATCACAGGAAGAATGCCTGCCTGATGTTGGAGGAAGGGGTAAAGCCAACGCCTGAAGCTTTCTCTGTGCTTCTCTGTAACAGTCACCAGAGCTACAGGCCAGCAGCACTTTTCTTTTACATGGCACCTTCCTCTCATTTGTGGGGAAAATAAGGACTTTATTAGTTCTTCCATTTCTCTTACCCTCTCAGGATTATAGCTTTATCATCCAAATGCCAGGAAAGTAAAACAAAACAAAGTTAGACAATCTAAATTAAACTCTCTCAACATTATAGGGATGAAGGACCTTCAGAGTACTAGAACTTCTTAAAAAAAATCTCTTGCATTGCTACATCAGTTTCCAACACACATATTATTTCATTCAAATGTTAAGAAGGGGAAAAGAATGTTACAGTGTACTGTAATTATTTTAGGTTCATGATGAAAATGCTTTACAAGGGTGGGCGCGGTGGCTCACGCCTGTAATCCCAGCACTTTGGGAGGCTGAGGCGGGTGGATCACTAGGTCAGGAGATCGAGACCATCCTGGCTAACATGGTTAAAACCCGTCTCTACTAAAAATACAAAAAATTAGCCAGGTGTGGTGGCGGGCGCCTGTAGTCCCAGCTACTCGAGAGGCTGAGGCAGGAGAATTGCGTGAACCCGGGAGGCAGAGCTTGCAGTGAGCTGAGATGGCGCCACTGCACTCCAGTCTGGGTGAGAGTGCAAGACTCCATCTCAAAAAAAAAAAAAAAAAAAAAAAAAAAGAAAAGAAAAAGAAAATGCTTTACAAATATGAAAACTCCTCCCTGGTTTTTTTTGAAAGCTTAATGTTTGTCTAACAAAACCGTAAATAGGATTCTATAATATTGATGTTAGAAATGAATTTATATTTTTCTAGTTTTAAGGGAATAGCTGTATATTACTTTAGATGGTGGTACTATATAAAAATATGTTTTCCCATTACATCCAAAGGTGATGATATTAATTTATTGCTAGAGAAAGAATTGATATTGAGTTATAGAGATTTTCCAGAAGGTATTTTAAGACCCTTTGCTGGTCCTTTGTGACTGGCGTCATGTATGTTACACAGCAGGTTGAAAGTGACATGCTGTGATTCTGGAAGAGTGTGAGTCTATTGGCCCTGTAACCCATGAGCTTGTTTTCACTAACCCAGTGCTCAAAGCAAATTAATTCACCCACGAAGTTTGCTTTAACACTTATCTAAGCGTTACTATCAATGTTCTAGGAAGTAACAAGTATCATTGCTGATATACAGCTCTGAGTTGACTCATAAACATTTCTGATCTCATGAGATAGTTGCAGTGGTGTTTTGCTGTGTTTACTAGATGCAACTAACAAACACCATGAGATTTACAAAGAGATTTGAAGATATCTGTGTCTCCAAAATTGATTGCAAGGTGTAGCAGGGGCCAGTAAGGTGAGCTTTCTTCCACTCCCTAGAATGTCTTCCTCAATCCAGATTTTAAAGTGTATTGAAATGATAGCCGGCTGAATCACCAGGTCGAAAGGATCAACCAACTATTTATTAAGCACTTCATGTATTTTCTGTCCCATAGAGATTTCAGTGAAAGATATAGTGTGGATAAAACAAAGAGAAAAAAGTGTCCTCATGCTTATGACTTAATCGCAGAAGTGGAACTTAGACATGTGAAACAATTAAACAATTTCACAACAACAGATAAGCAAATGGGATGCTTTGGAGAGACATCTGGTCCCTGTGCTGTTTATAGCCAATTCCAGTGGTGAATAAAAGAAGTGGAACGAACTGCTTTTGAAGGGAGTGCATCCTGATCCTCTGGCAGCAAGGTAGAGGTTTTCTGCCAGGAGGGAACACTAGACGGAGGCTGTTTGTTTTTTCTCCAAACAGAAATCTCTTCCATGCTAATAGGAGCTTCAAAAGGATTGCCACAGCAGATGGAAAGAACCAATATATATTCATGCATTTAATTAGCAGGAATTAATTGAATTGGGGGATTAATTCTGTCATTAGAGAGAAACAAAACCTATTTTTGTCTCCCATCTATGGTTACACAATCTAAGATGGATTTGGCACAGGTGGTGTTTGAATATAAAGCCACCGTAGTATCTAATGGCCTTTTGATGCCACTGATGGATTAATCCCAGGGATGATGAGAAGGTAGCCATGTGAGATGTGTGCTCTGCACCATGTTTCAGCAGTGGAGGAGAAGCTGGTAGGTGGAGTGTGAGGGGTATAAACCTAGAATTCAGTGAGTGTTTGAAGGAGGAAAAAGGGGAGGAGATTGGGAGAGTCTCTTCTCTTACATCTGATTTTTTTTTCTTTTTCTTTTTCTTTTTTATTGAGACGGAATCTCACTCTGTCACTCAGGCTGGAGTGCAGTGGCGTGATCTCGGCTCACTGCAACCTCCGCCTCCTGGGTTCAAGCAATTCTCTTGTCTTAGCCTCCCAAGTAGCTGGGACTACAGGCTTCCACCGTCATGCCCAGCTAATTTTTGTATTTTTAGCAGAGACAAGTTTGTACCACGTTGGCCAGGCTGATCTCAAACTCCTGACCTCAGGTGATTCACCTGCCTCGGCCTCCCAAAGTGCTGGGATTACAGGCGTGGGCCACAGTGCTCGGTCACATCTGATTATTAATGAGAGATTAAGGACAGACACACCTAAGACAGAATTTTTAATTCAATCTAACAAGCACCCATTGCCTGGTCTTCCCCCTGCTTTTCTTTTTTTTTTTCTTCTCCAAAAATCTGTTCCTCCAGAAAAGCAGTTTTCATCCTTTTTAATTTTTAGGCCAAGATACTCATGACATAAACCAGATGACATTGTATGCATAACACATTCCCATAAGTGACATAGGTAAAAAGACTGTTGATTATACCCCTTTCCCAACACTGACAAGTCAACACCAGCCCTCCGACTCAAAGCACATCACAATTCAAGTATATGATGTGACAGTTTGTACTTTTCAAAAATAGCCATGGCATTTTCTCCCACCTACACACTCATCTTGCAATGTGACTTTGATGCTCTTTCCATTGAAATGTGGGATCTACGCTCTCTCTCCTTGTATATGCGCAAACGTGGACTTCAGCAGGAATGATACCTTGGGATTTCCAAGGCGAGGTGAGTTGATCACTGGGCTCTCTTGGGATGGTTGCTTTTGGAACCCAGCCACCATCTTATAAGAAAGCCCAAGAAGCACACGGGAAGCCCAGGAATCCCACATGAGAGGATCCAAGGCTCCTAGCCGATACCAGTACCCAGTTACTAGCCATGTGTCTGATCATATTTGAACTGGATCTTTCAGCTCTTAGTGGAGCAGCTCCAACTGCTGCCAGGTATAACAAAGACAAACTATCTCTGCAGAACGCTGCCCCAAATGCAGATTTTTGAGCAAAAGAAATAATTGGGTTTTAAGTCATATACTTTACCATGCAATAATAGATAGTTGATACAGAGTTGCATGTCATTAGAAGAATAATCTTAAATCTGTTCTAATATGTTAAAAACCTTCAGTAGTTTAACTTTTATTATAACAAATAATTTGTCACATGTCTTTTTACTGATTGTGAAAAAGTCCTCTAGGCCTAGATAAAAATGCAGAGGTCTTTAGAAATTTATATAATTCATTCTTTTTCTCACCTCATCTTGGACTTATTCAGTATGCCTATGTAGAATAATATTAATTACAGTCATTTTTCTTGAGCTGCTTCCCATTTATGCCTCATTAGCATAATTCACAGCGGTCATCCATACCTGTGAATTCGTGTTAGATTACCTTTGCTGTGTTTGATGATTATACTAAATTTCATTTTTTTGCGAGCTAAGCCTTCACAGTTTGTTGCTCATGTACCATGGCTGGCTGCTCACAAAATAGAAAAATTGGACAGAATGTTTCTGATAAGGTAAATACAGCAAAGGCTATGCAGAAATATGTATCTCAGAGAGTGAGCTATGGGGCAGCTATGGTATAAGTTATCTGGTAGCCACGCAAGAAGTAACGGATTGAATAAAGGCAAACTATGAAGACTTCAGTCATGATAAGATCAAGAGAATTATTTGTGTCACATTTGCGATGGATTTTGTCTCTGTTGGCACACACAAAAAGTTGGGCCTTAAAACTGTAAATTTACTTTAACTTCATTTTGTATGTCATGCATTCATGAAACTTTTTCCGGGGGTTATTTTCATTTTTGGCTGTCCTGCTCCAAGTTAAACAGAGGAGAAACAGCATCATATAGTGGAAGAAACTCAGACCTGGGGAAGGGGGGAGGCAAGTAAATGAAACAAGAGTCCTTTGTCTCTCAGCTGGATTGCTAAGTAATCTGTGTGATCCTGCAAAGGTCAGTTCAGATCTCAAGCCCTACTTTCCTCATCTATGAAATGAAAGGTTAGACTAAGACCAAATACACGCTAGAAAGTAGAGTATTATTACTCCTCAAGAAATAGTTTAGGGTTGTGACTCTTGCTTTGCACATGAAAATATTTAGGAGTAAAAGTTCACAGAACTTGGCAAAGCTAGATGCATTTATGATTCCCAGTGAATCAACTGATGTTTTTCCCTACGTCTTTTCAAGCCATTCTTTGTTTAGCAGTTTTTATATTTACTTTTATTTTTTTCTTCTATAATTTTGGAAAAAAAGAGTTAGCTGACTGCTACTATGGGCAGACAACAATGTGGTAATAGGATATTATTTTTAAAACTAAAAAAATAACTGAATATGAAAGATCAAACTTTTAAAAAATAGACATAAGTGTTCAGAGTTGTGATTCTATTTTGCATGTAACAATGTAGTTATTTCAGTTGCTTTATTGAGAATCACAAACATATATATATGGCTTTGCCAAGTTCTGTATACTTTTTATTCCCCAATATTGTCTTCTGTACAGCAATAATTACAACCTTAAGCCATCCCTTCAGAAGTAGTCATATGCCAACTTCTACCTTAGTCTAAAATAATTCTTTTTCTGTGTGATGGGGCTAAAAACATCAGTTCTCCCTGCTGCTCTCCACAGATGTCCAGGTACCTTAATGGTTAGGTTCTCTGTACCTTGAGCTTATTTGCAAGGCAGAGCCTCAAAAGAACTGCTTTTTAAATTTTTCCACTGATAGAACTGGAGCTTGGTAAACTAACTTGCCCAAGGTCATAGCAGTTAGTGATACTCACAGGACTTAAACCCAGGAGGTCTGAATGTAGACTCAATTATGGCATATCCCTTCCTAATAATAAGCCAGATTTTGTTTTGTACTTCTTGCCAAAATGTAACTCCATGATGACATTTGTTTTGTACATTGCTGCCTTCTTACTGCCTCAAACGGGGCCTGGCATGGTGGGAACAGGTGGGGATCTTAGTCTGTTCCTGCTGCTAGGACAAAATATCTTAGACTGGATCATGTTTAAGTAATAGAAATTTATTGCTCATGGTTCTGGATTCTGGGAAGACCAAGATCAAGGTGCTAGCAAATTACTCTCTGCTTCAAAGATGGAAAGCTCTTGCTGCATCCTCACATAATGGGAAAGCAAAAAGAAATGAAAACTGTGTCCTCACATGGTGGAAAAGATAGAAAGGACAGGCAGCTTTCTCAAGGCTCTTTTAGAAGGGCATTGATTTCCTTCATGAGGGTGGAGCCTTCGTGACTTAATCACTTCCTAAAAGGCCCCACCTCTTAATACCACACTGGGGATTAAGTTTCAACATGAATTTTGGAGGGTTTATACAAACATACAAATCACAGCAGCTGTCTTCTCCCTTTCCTGATTCCACATGACAGAAGCCATCTCTTCCTTCCGCACATGGATGTCTGAGCACATCCAGACTCTTGAGAGCCCAGACTTAAGAGAGAGAGGCTGTGAGAAGGAAGATGGCAGTTCTCTCCTGGAAGTCTTGACTTCTCAGTCCCAGTTTTCTGTGTTGGTATGTGTACTGAAAAACAATTTATTTGAAGATACAGCATAGAAGGAAAAATAAACCATTTCCTATGAAGTAATGATTCAACTTCTAACCTGTAAAAATGAAAAATTTCTCAGTTCCCTACGCCCTTGCATTCCTGTCTTCATAAGTTTGTGATTTAATTTTCCAAGAAACTTAATATTCATATACTTAAAAACTTTTATATCCATTAACAACTTGACTTTCCCTGCTTCTTTGAATTTTGGAGCATTGTTTCCTTAGTATGAAGGAGTTTTGAGAAAGGCAAGAAGACAAGCTCAGAGCTTAAGAAACTATGAAGAATAATATTGTAATCATAACAACTCATTATTTGTTTTTAAGCTCAATCCTTCAGAAGGTTATTATCTGGAGTTGAATAATAATAGATTCAGGCTCTTTTTATGTGGAGGAAATCTTAAACAACAGTGTTCATAGGGAAGGACATTAATCAGGAGAGAGAAGTGAGCCTTGTTTCTAATAATGTTTGCATAATAGCTACCCTTGGGTGTATTGCTTGACTTAAAATAAATATTCATGCTTTTCACATCCAGTACAATTGGAAACTACTCGTGGTTATGATTCTGTCATATGATCTTCTACCTATTCAAGGGGACTTCAAACTGGGAAGCTGTTGGAAACCAACAAACATAAATAACAATGCTTGGGAGCGATATGGGGTACAAGCTGAAAGATGCTATAATGTTGGCTATGGGGAGAAAAGGAGCGAAGAGTAGGAACTTAACTGTTTCCAGAGGGGGGGAAGCAGACTCACACTGACATGCTTAAGGACATTTATATGCTCTCCTGGTTTGCTTTTAGCTCTTCAATAGCTTCTCATCACCAGGAGAATAAAATTTAAGTGCCTTATCTTGGTGTCAGACTCACTCCTTGGAGTGGTTCCTGTGAAACCTTGGATCGCGTTACCTGAGACTACTCTCCACCTCAGATGTGGCAACACAAAGCTCTTTGCAGATTCCCTCAGACACCATGACTTACTTTTATCTCTTTGTTCACATCCTTCCTTCATCTTGCGAGGATTTTTCAAAGCTTCTTTGTTAATTAATCTATGTATCATTGAAGAGTCAGCTTAAACTTCACCTGCTTCAGGAAGCCTTCTATGAACTCCACACCTAGTCAAGAGTTTTACCCAGACTGTCCTATTTTTATTAACTTATATATTTAGTGATCCTTAAATAGCCTTTGTCCTGGGGAGTTTTTTCATCATCTTGCTTTATTGCTTACATGTACCTAATTTTATTACATAAATGCTTTCAGTTAGTTAATTCATTTTTCTTTCCTTTTCTGTCTCCTTTCTCCTTTCTTTCTCTGTTTCTCTCTCTCTCTTTTTATTAACTTTTAAATTCTGAGAAATGTTTCAATACAGTCTTGAGAACATAGGCTATTTTGTTGTTGTTTTTTTTGTTTGTTGGTTGGTTTTGAGACAGAGTCTCACTCTGTCGCTCAGGCTGGAGTGCAGTGGCATGATCTCGGCTCACTGCAACCTCTGCCTCCCAAGGGTTCAAGCAGTTCTCTGCCTCAGCCTCCTGAGTAGCTGGGATTACGGGCGCCCACCACCACACCTGGCCAATTTTTTATATTTTTTTATTTTTAGTAGAGACAGGGTTTCACCATCTTGGCCAGGCTGGTCTTGAACTCCTGACCTCGTGATCCACCTGCCTTGGCCTCCTGAAGTGCTGGGATTACAGATGTGAGCCACCATGCCTGGCTGAGAACATAGGCTATGTTTTGAACTTCTGTGTGTGTTACAAGGCTTTGCATTAACTGCTCCCTCATGCAACTTTCCTAACCTTCTTTCTCTCCTATTAGAGACATTCTGCTTCAGTCAGGAGAACATCCTATAGTATTAAAGTCCAAACTGATTTGTTCTCTTGGACCTGTGATTGCTAATACAGCTGTTACTCAGTATCTGTGGGGGATTAGTTCCAGGACCCCTTGCAGATACCAAAATCTACAGATGTTCAAGTCCCTGATCTAAAATAGCTCAGTATTTGCATATAGCCTTTGCACATCCTCCCGTACACTTCAAGTCGTCTTTAGATTACTTATAATACCTAATCTAATGCAAATGCTATATAAATAGTTGTTATACTGTATTTTTAAAATTTATTGTAATTTTTACTGTTGTATCATTATTATTATTTTTTGAATGTTTTCGATGTGAGGTTGGTTGAATCTGCAGATTTGGAACCTGCAGATACGGAGGGCTGGCTTTACTTTCCCCAGCCTCTCCTTCCTTGTCCTTCAACGCAGGGTTTTTGATAAACACCACATCCTTGGCTCATTATCTGTGCTTCTAATCCGATGGGTTCTATATTAACAGAGATATGTCTGCCCAGCTTCACATGCCAATTTTACCCTTATTGGTAGGCTCCTTCTGAAGGTCCATATGTCTTTTTCATGTACTTATGTGCAGTCACAAAATACTGAAAACTGTGCCTTCTGTTTATATAACATACCTATTTATAAAACACTTTAAAAATTTTATCCTAACTACCGAGAGGTGAGCAGTGCAGCTGTTAACCTCATTTGCAAATGGAGAATTGGTTCAAAACGATTGAATAACTTCCAAAATTTATGTGTCCAATAAATTGTAGCGATTAGAATTAGACTCCAGTTGAGAGCATTGTTCACATTACAAACCTGACAACAGTGTTTTTTTCACTGTCTGTAGGCCTTGCAGAGCCTAGTAGAGTTCTGTGCATGATGAACTCAATGGGGGCACTGGACACAGGCTCACACAGGGTCTGTATTATGGTGCTGATTTGGGCCTCTATACCTCCAGAGAATTAAGTTACTTTAAACTCCACTATGGACATTTATAAAAGGAAGAGTGAGACCCTGTGTTTTCATAGGGTTTTTTTTTTTTTTTTACACATAACACTTTGTTAATTCCCTTTCTCTTATTTTCATCTCTCTTTTCTTCTCTTTTTCTGTTTTCTTTTCAGTCAGTTCAACAATTAATTGGTGTGCACCTACAATGTGCAAAGCATTATGCTAGGGTTCACAGGGGAATGCAAAGAGGATGCTGCTTATAGCTTGTTATGGCGAGGCACTTTTCTTCTCTCCATTTTTCTCCATTCTTCTCTTCTTCCTACCTTCTTTTTCCTCTGATGTTCAAGTAGCCCTCATCATTTCTATAAATTTCCAAGGCTTCAGCGTTGGTCAAAGGGAAGGCACTCAGCCCAGGGGCAGTGAGTAAGTTTAACATTCTTATGGTCCTTTGCATCTGCTCACCCAGGACTCATACATACTCAATATAAAAGCTTTGGGGGTTTTGCTCAGTGACAGCTGGGGACTCTATGTAATTTAATGCATGATACAGCACTTTTGGCTAACTCTGTATGAGAGACTACTCAAATAGGAATAAAATATCACTTTGCAAAATACATTTAAATTATTTTTCTTCTAAAACTTTGTGACTTTAAAGCCTTAAAATCTATTTTTTGAAAGCCAAAAAATAACAGATGTTGGTGAGGCTGTGGGGAAAAGGGAATGCTTATACACTGTTGTTAGAAATTTAAATTAGTTTAGCCACTGTGGAAAGCAGTTTGGAGATTTCTCAAAGAACTTAAAGCAGAACTACCATTCGACCCAGCAATCCCATTACTGGGCATATACATAAAGGAAAAGTAATCATCCTACCAAAAACACATATGTACTCACTGTTCATCTTAGTACTATTTACAATAGTAAAGACCTGGAATCAACATAGGTGCCTATCAGCAGTGGAGCAGATAAAGAAAATGTGGTATATATACACCATGGAATACTACACAGTCATAAAAAAGAATGAAATCATGTCCTTTGTAACAACATGGGTGCAGCTGAAGACCATTATCCTAAGTGAATTAATGCAGAAACAGAAAACCAAATATTGCATCTTCTTACTTGTAAGTGGGAGCTAAATCTTGGGTACTCATGGACACAAAGATGGGAACAATAGACACTGGGAACTCTAGAAGGAGACAGGGAGGGGGACAAAGGCTGAAAAACCTCTTGTTGAGTACTATGTTCACTGTCTGGGTGACAGGATCAATAGAAGCTCAAACCTCAGCGTCATGCAATATATCCTTGTAACAAACCTGCACATGCATCCCCTGAATCTAAAATAAAAATGAATTTTTTTTTTTTTTTTTTTTTTGAGATGGAGTCTCACTCTGTCGCCTGGGCAGGAGGGCAGTGGCGCGATCTCCGCTCACTGCAACTCCACCTCTCGAATTCAAGCAATTCTCCTGCCTCAGCCTCCCGAGTAGCTGGGATTACAGGTGTGCCACCACTCTGGCTAATTTCTGTATTTTTGGTAGAGACGGGGTCTCACCATGTTGGCCAAGCTGGTCTTGAACTCCTGACCTCAAATGATCCACCCACCTTGGCTTCCCAAAGTACTGGGATTACAGGCATGAGCCACCATGCCTAGCCTCTCATTCCTCTTCTACACCCCACATAAGGTGCATGAATCATTAGACACGTATATTTTTTTTTCCCTAAGGCTACGTATTCCTAAAAGTAGTTTAAGTTACCTATTACCTCTAGGCTTTTTTTTCCATAAGAATCATCAATAAATTAAATGCCAAACACGTGGTTGTTTTCTCAAGCACACAATTAAAATAGACTTGATTCCTCTTTGCTGTCTCCAGTCCTCTTAATATTCATAGCAATAGGTATTTATCTATCATCACAAAACACACAAAAAGACTGGTGATTGCTTAAATCCCAAGAGGGCAAAGTAGAAGGAACTAGAAAGAAGGAAGCAAGTGCAATCATGATTAGGCAGTTACTCCGCATCTGTGGCTGGGTTAGGAACATTCATAGGACTTCATGAACCCTACTAAGTTACAACCTGCTCTTTTACAAATGTGGAAACTGAGGCTCAGAGGGGTTAAATGATTTGCCCAGTGTCCTACTGCTTAAAGTATCAGAGTTGAGATTTGAACCCAATTTGCGTGACTCCAGTTTTTAAAATATTTACTGTACCAAGGCTGGAGGGGGCACGCATGGGCCCTAGAAGGGTGCGTGGAATGGGTACCTGGGTGGGGAAGGGTTAAAGAGGGGGCCTCGGTCTGCTTCACCAAGATATTTTCCTTCCCTGATTCCTGCCCCAAATGTAGACTACTTATCCAAAATATGGATCCAACTTTGTGTAATATTTTAATAAGAGGGTCTTCTACTAATGGGACATCTCTCTTTTGTCTTTCACAGCAATTTTGCAGGCAGTAATAGCTGGTGATCTTATGAAGGTAAGATATCTTCCTACCAAATCTTTGGCGATGCTTTAAGAACTTTAAATCAACATCATTCCTCATCAAAACTCTATGTTCCCATCTATCATTTATCATCCCCTGCTTGCACTGGCTGGGTAGAAGAGGCAGGATGTTCTTTTGAGAACTGAGCAGAGATGGTGTTCAAGAGCACCGGGGTACTTGTCTCAGTTACTTAAAATGAACTGCATGTCCCCAGGATGCAATGTGCACAGTGTGCCTGCCCTCTAGAAGCTGACATTTGAAGAATTTAAAGATTTCCTTTCAGGCAGGTATTGAAATGAATGTATCTGTAAGAATTACCTGGGCAACACTCAGAAATGCATCCTTCAGGCCAGAGATTAATCTTTCCTTGTCGTGGTTTTATACTTTGGGGATCATAGTTAGTCAAACAAGGACTCTCATAGTTAGTCAAACAAGAACCCTGATCCCCTTGGAATAGTTTAATTTGTGTTTGTGTTTTCTGGTGAGTTTTGTTCAGAAGGAAGGAAGCGGTCACCACTGCCCTGAGGGTGAATGTAAAATCTGAAGTCAGACTTTCTAAGTTTGGATCTCGGCTCTACCATTCACTGTCTGTGTGATTTTGTGTAATTATTTGATTCTCTCTGTGCCTTAGTTTTTTCATCAGTAAAATGGAGTAATATTACCTCTCTCTTTGGCTTGTCATGAGGAATTAATGTAATAATACATATAAAGCTCTCAAGACTGTTCCTATTTCATGGAAGGGGCTCTAAAATGTTAGCTATTTTATTAATATTCTGATAGTGTAGATCTGTGTTTTTTAATAGCTAAACATGGTGGAAATACAAATATTTGTTATATAATATAACATCATCTATGAATATTCTAAAGCTATATTTGGTTTTCAGGCATCAGGCTGATGACTGCCCATATGCCCCTGCAAACCCCCTGCTGGAACTGATCTGCTCTGTATTAATGACAGCTGCCTGAAGGCAGAGGCTACGCCTGACTCCTCAGCCTGTGGAGTGAGGTGCCATTGCAGATCAAGGAACCAATAGCCCTAAGAGAAAGCTGAACAGTCCTACCCTCAGACATAACTTTTTTTAGGCGCATCTGTTGGACAAACTGAAGGACACCTGTGCTGCATTTTTCAACAGGTTACTAGAGGAAAACAAATGGTGAAAATGTTTGCAAACATCTTGATCAACTGCCCCCTTTAGGCACATAATCCTGAAAACGGTGCCTGTGCCACTGCCCAGATCATAGTGTCAATAGAAATTGTTACCCAGAAGAGAAGAGTGCTCTCCAAGCAGTATATTGATGAGTTCAGTGCCGTTTCTTACCAGTGGATTAAGCCCATACCATCCTGTACTCTGTGCAAGGCCTTCCATTAGGTTTTGTGGGAAACAAAGGCATGAATAAAATTGATTCCTGCCCTTGGTGGATTTCTACACCAGAAAATTTTGCAAAGCACTGTACATTTGAAACCCTTCCATTTTATTTTCTATATGCTTTTAGTTCAGGCAACTGATTTCCCAAGATCCTGAGTTTATTATCACACTTTTTTTTGTACTTTTAAATAAAGAATCATTTGCAATGTGGGAAATCACTATATCCAGCTGGTTGTCTTATTATAGGTTGGTGCAAAAGTAATTTGGTTTTTGTCATTTCAGTGACAAAACCTGCAATCATTTTTGCACCAACCTAATGCATTCTCTGTTATAATTCTTTCCTAAATGACTAAAACATGACTTAATAACACCTTATTTTGTTTTTGTTTTTGGAGATGGAGTCTCGCTCTGTCACCCAGGCTGGAGTGCAGTGGCACGATCTCGGCTCACTGCAAGCTCCGCCTCCCGGGTTCACGCCATTCTCCTGCCTTAGCCTCCCTAGTAGCTGGGACTACAGGTGCCTGCCACCACACCCAGCTAATTTTTTGTATTTTTACTTGAGACGGGGTTTCACCGTGTTAGCCAGGATGATCTCGATCTCCTGACCTTGTGATCCGCTTGCCTTGGCCTCCTGAAGTACTGGGATTACAGATGTGAGCCACCGCACCTGGCCAATAACACCTTATTTACTGAGAGATGGAATATTTACTGAGGGCTTAAGGTTTTACTTTTTCTCTCTTACATATTTTCTTATTTTCCTTCTCAAATATTCATGCCCTCTTCCTCTTCTCCAATATCTTTTGTTTCTTTCTTCTGAGCAGAAAGTGCAATATATATAAAATATTAAATGGGATACATGTGTATATGTTTGTATGAGAGAGAGGGAGAGAAAGAGAGAGAGAGAGAGAGACAAAGAGAGCGAGAGATAGAGACTAGCGAAGAGAACATCTCTGGAGCCACCCCTGTGTGAAGGCTGTCACAAATAGCTCCTGGACAACTGGGCTGCAGAAAGTGTCCGTGGACTAACTGAATGTTCATGGTGTCTAGAAACAGCACAGGAAGGCAGGATCAAGGCAGTTGACCCTGAACAGGTCCCATGCTGCTATCCTTTGTCGATCTCCCCACAAAGAAAGGGAGTGTCATTTTAAGACAACGCAGTTGAATGGAACAGGATATCCTTTTAGAGTTTTGTGGAAAATTGCTAGCTACTTCTTCCTGCCCTCTTGCCCCCCAGTTTAGGGATGTTCCTTACCTCCATTGTCCTTACCTCCATTCAGCTACTGCTTTGGATCCATGTCCTGGGAGGTCTTCCGTGGCTGTTTCCATCCCCTGCTTCATGCTTCCCTAGTGCTTCTCTGAGACCTTTGTGATGTTCCTGTCCATTACTGTGTGATTCTTTACCTATCCGTCTCCACCATGGGCTGTGAGGGCTTTGAGCACAGTGACTGAATTGTATTCACATTTATCTTCCTGGCATCTAGCACATGACAATTCTATGGATGTATTTGAGTGAAGACGTGAACTCTGAATTTAGGTTCTTTTTTTAAGAAAGTATTTTTAATTGACAAATGATTATACATATTAATAGAGTACATAGTGATGTTTTGATACGTATACAGTGATCAGATCAGGGTAATTAGCATATCCACCACCTCACACATTTATCATTTCTTTATGTTGGGAATGTTCAACATCCTCCTTCTAGCTATTTAAAACTATTTAATATATTATTAACTATAGTCATCCTACAATGGTATGGAACACTAGGACTTATTCTTTGCATTTAGGTCATTTATGCTCTTTCACCTTATGGGATGTTTGATTATCTATAATGTGTGCCATCTAACTTCTTGAGAGATAATGTGTTCCTTTTGCTTATTACCTGCTGGGTTATTTAATTCTCATTTGTCCTAAAATTACCTGTTAGAAGCTTCATGCAGGCACTCTTGTCATGAAATACTGTAGTTTGGAGATGAGGGACTCATTCACATTTTCTGTAATGTTCAATATTTTATAAACTTAGACCATATCCTCATGTAGCCACCTTATCCTCAGGCTACAAAATTCTGTTTTGTTTTTTTTTTCCAGTCTTCTCTCATATAGAAACTACTACATTTTCTGAATCATTTTGGGTCTCACTCTGTGGATTATCTCTAGCCTATTAGGTATGTGTTGGATGATTAACAGAAGGTTTGCAGGCTGGGCTGCATATCTGGATGAAGAAGGAAGCCAGATGTGTGTTCGTGTGTGTGCATGCATGCATGCGTGTGTATGTGTCTATACTTGTATTCAGTGATCTTACATGGGAGAAAAAGAAGCAGCTTTGATATTTGGTATATAGGTTCATAAGACTGAAGAAAAACTGAAGGACACAGGCAAGAAGCTTAGCTACAGTCACCAAGCTATTTCTGCTTATAGCCATAATTACTCTTTCACTCAGGAGAATGCTAAGCCAACATAGAGATGCTTTTGTTCTCCACTCCACCCCTCACTACTCCTTCGAGAGAGAGACCATAGAGACCAGTGCTCAGAAAATAAATGAAAAAAGTAATTCAGCATGATTCAGTTTCCCTAGCCTGTTCAATACCCACAGACTCTCTCCAGAGTTAGAAGAGACACTGGTCATCTCTGTGAGTGATAACACAGTCCAGGAATGTTACTTCACCTTTTTGACTTTTCTCTATGTCCTCTAAGGCTGGAAACATTGTGGTCTGCTACATGACTCTCATTTTATTACCGGTTAGCTGTTATCCTTGTTCCGAATTCTGCCTGAGCTTCTTTTTGTATGTCTCTCTTTGCAGCTAATAGAAAGCTATAAAAATGGAGGCAGTCTGCTAATTCAGGGACCAGACCACTGTTCACTCCTTCACTACGCAGCTAAAACCGGCAACGGGGAGATTGTGAAATATATCCTTGACCACGGTAAGTAGGCATAGTGAACTTACCAAGGATCACTTACCTGTGAAATCCATTGCATTTTGCATTTTCTAAGTTACCCTTCATCCAGGCAGTTTTCAGAATGGCAGAAATACTCTCGAACTTTTAGCAGACTCTGCCCCTGCTTATTTGAGGCAGTCGTGGTTGCAGACCACTGACACATACGGGCCATCCTATCCAAGCAATTAGTAGAAACAGTGTTCATACCAAGCTCTTTACAGGCTATTTTTCAGACTAATTAGTTTTTTTTTTTAAATAGAGGACAAAAATAAATGCAGCCTGGCATCGTGTGCTTTATTTTTTTCTAGAGCTCTTCTGTAAATTAATGGGTTGGGATTCCCTACCTCACCTGTATTTGCGGTTCATCGTTGTGAAGATTCATGAGGATAATTGTTTTGCATCTTTCCAGTTTCTCATTTTTTTTTCTGTTTGATCTCATTTATCTTTTCCACCCAAGTTACGCTTTATTCTCTTTGAAAATGTCTGGTACTATTGTGTTGTCTGTGGCAGATCATACTAACCTTCCAGACTGCTTTCTAACTGGATTTCTAATAGTTGGTGCCAGATCGTTTGCAGGAAGTAGCATGCGCTATAGCATCTGCCTCTAAAAACCCTTTGGAAGCATAAACATATTTAATGAATACCAAATCTAAACTGTTACATTGAATTTATCATGTTTTGTAGTATTTCTAGGAATAAAGAACAGGAATAAAGGGGAAAAATACTGCCTAGCTAGTCTGTTTTAAATGAGAAGGAATGAAAGAGTCTAATTCTGCTGGATCTTGGTATACAGAGAGATTGGAAAAGTTTCTTTGAGCCCTGACAGTCAGCCTGTGGCTGACTCCTTTTGTACCCAAATTCAGCCTGTAGATAGTAAGCATACTCATAAACATTCACATCCTTTTTGCTCCTTTTTTTTTTTTTTTTTTGCAATTCAGCAAGTATGTCTTATTCCATTCATTGATTCATTCATTTAACAAATATTTGTGTAGTGCCTAACAGGAGCTGCCTGTTATAGATGGTACACAGACAAAAATAAAATACAGTCACTGTTTTCAAGCAATTGCAGGCTAAAGAAAAAAATAAGATCATGTGTATAATTAAATTTAAAACCGATATATGGAGCTGTTTTAAGTCCTATGGTAAAGCCACAGATAGATAACATAGCTACCATTTATCAAGCACATATTTGCCAATTGTTTATAGTAAACACATCCCGTCATTTGACAAGGTCCTTGCAAGGTAGGTACTAAACTATCAATCACGTTAGACACCCCTTGCTTTGTCTTCAACACCTTCTCACTGTGAAGATTCTGCTTGAACCCTTGGTCTGAAATACGGTAGAAAGGGTGGGTTAGAAAAAGGAAAGACCATGAAAACAGGAGGGCTGCGATGACAGCATTTCTTTACTCCTTGTAGGCTGGGTTGGATAATCCCAAACCTGTCTGCCCTGGAAAGCCTAGGTAGATAGGATGTATTTTTGGTGCTAAGTCTGGGGCTTGTATCATTCCATCTCCTATTTCCCTGGCTATTCAGTCTCTTGCAGTTAAAAGCGTTCCTTTCTGGGCAAGAGTGAAGCCACACTAATATCTCAGGATTTCTACTGCACAAAGCTCAGGTGAGGGTTAGATGTATACTGTCACTTTATTTTTGTTTAGCTCAGGTTTAAAATTCTCCTATTTGCTGTCTTCTTGATCACTTCCAATCTACTCTCTTTAGTTTACCCTTTACCCAAGAGATTGAATGCTTGCTTGGATACCTTAAGCCATTTGGTGCCCACCTACCCTCTCTCTGGAGTTAGGTGAGACACTGGCCATCTATTTGAGTGACAACACAATCCAGGAATCTCTCTCTCCACACCCCCCCACCCATCTTTTCACCTTTCCTGGAGAAGCAGTATTTCCTCCCCTAGTCCTAGGATCCTCTCTGTATCCACCGTCTCACTTGGTCTCATTTAGGAGGCTGCAGTCAGCTCCTTTTTTTGATGAGGCTTTGTTGAAGATGGACTCTCACATGTTTGGGGCTTTCAGCTGGGAGGGCTGTGGAAGGCCAGGACACCTAAGCCTTTCTCAACACCTCGTCTTTTTTTCCCAAGATCCTTCACAGCATGGTAGTGCTGGGGTTCCCAGGGGTGAGAGTGGAAGCTCCCAGATGTCCTGAAGCTAAGCTGGGAAGTTCTGGATGATCTCTACTGCATTCTATTGGCTAAAACAAGTCACAGGGCCAGCCCAGATTTAAAAGGTTGGGAAACAGATTCCACTGTTTGATGGCATGAGCTGTGAAAAATTCATGGAGATATTTAATCTACCACACTCCCTTATGTCCCGGTCTCTGCAGTTTAAAGTGAACAATGTCCTAAACTTCTGACTCACCTGGAATCCCTTAGAGCTTCGTTTTTCTATTTGACTTTGGTTCTGGGTCTTAAGAACCCCAGTTTCACAAATAAAAATACAAGATGGCCGGGCATGGTGGGCCCATAGTCCCAGCTACTTGAGGCTGAGGCAGAAGGATTGCTTGAGCCCAGGAGGTGTAAGCTGAGTGAGCTAGAATTGCACCACTGCACTCCAGCCTGGGCAGCTGAGCCAGACTCTGTCTCTTGAAGAAAAAAAAATGATAACAATAATGAAGGTTTTAACATAAGTATAGCCCATGCAATATTTGAAATATGATTATACTAAAAATGAAAACAGCAGAACTCCTCATCTGAGTTGCCCCAGGGACATGAATGATGAGTCCTGTGCCCCAGGGACATGAATGATGAGTCCTGGGATGATATCACCTTAACACAGTAGCTTTTCACTTTCTCTACTTCCTCTCTTCCCCTGCGTCCAAAAATAGGGCCTTTAAAAGCACCGTTCATCCAAGCTCACAGGCCTTGGAGTTTCTAACCCCAAATATAGATCAGTACACACCTACTTTGCCTGGCATCAATTCATCTGGCACATTAGTCTCTGAGGGCCTTGATCAAAACCTAACATTCCAATACAAATCAGTTTCTCATCACCCCGCATTGACTCTTGCAAGACTGAGTCACACAATACCACTCCGCCCAAATGGAAGGACACAAAGGAATTCAGTCTTTTTTAGGGGGGTGGGGGTGCTTATTTTTCCAGTGCTTTGGTTAGATGTTATAAATTAATCAGCTTAATATTTATGCTCACGAGAAGAAACACAATGTTCACAGTAATCATCCTAACTTCACTTCCAGGCAAACAATTTCTGAGGTCTCAGAAGGCATCCTATACCTTTCCTGCCTCACCAGGATCTCTAATAGCACAGGAAGAAAGACTGTGGAGATGGGAGAGCACAATCCATCTCTTTTGTTTGTAAAGAAAATGTTATTATGATGTTCAGTCCAAGGATCACCGCATTTTTGATGGATGGCAATTTTTAACACTTTACTACTATAGCTGAATATGGAGACTTAAATGCAATTGATTCTTACTGAAATTAGTTTTTATCAACATTGATAGACATTGTCAATTTCATTTTTGATGTCTATCTTATCTTTTTTATTTATTCAGAAATACGGATGTAAAATCATTTGATATAGCCTAATTCACCTCATTCCACAAGAGCTAAACACTTCAGCTCAACTGTCGTTTTGTTTTTTAATATCTTTAGTTGCTGATTCAGTTTATATTAACCTTTGCATTTTATTGAAAACTATCATAGCAAAACCATTCCTCTCTTTTAGATGATAGAAACTCCTTTAAATTATAGTGTTCTTGAAGTCAGAGACAAGTACACAGAAAACATTACCCTTTTTCAATACTGTAATCACCTTCTTAAGGTGATCTCTCTTGATTGAAATACTCTCTCCTAACTTAGTAATGATGATAACTCTGGAATATCCTGACCTGACAAAGAAATCAGCCTTTCCAAGAGGCCTCAGTAAGTCTGGGATTTAGGGATGTATACCAGACTATGGCATTGTATTTTTAAATTAGCATCAGATTTGCAGTAGGTAAGTCTGATCAGTTTGAATTCATGTAAATGAAAAAAAAAATAACAAATAAAAATTTTACACTATGCCGAAGATCAAGAAAGACATTCCTCCTGGTTATTGAATATTGCAAATCTCTTAAAGCCTTTGTTGTTTATTTACTTATTTTTTACAATTTGGTTTATGTCTGTCCCATGGTTTCATATGACATAAATCTGAAAAATTGTTCAAAGACTTGACTGTAAGGATGCCTTTAGTAATAGCAATTCTGAAGGATTCACAGGCTCTTTGCCAGGTGCACAGCTGATGTTGTTTGTGGCTCTTGAGTTGACACTTCCTTTGCTTCCTGCAGCCTTACTCCTGAGCCCCTCTCCCCTCTGCTCTGCCCTCTTCTTCATTGGCTCTGGTCAGGAGTGTGGGCCGCCACCATCAAGAGGACACCTGAACAAGAGTCCTGAGATTAGTTATTCTCCCAGACACAACAAGCAGCAACTGATTTCTCTTCTATGGGCTCTTTTAAAGCAGGCTGGGGGCTGTGCCACATGAGATCTGCGGTATGTTCTGAAAGCGCCATGGGAGGCTTGAATTTTTTTCGGCTTGCATCTTCTTCCTTTGGATGTCTTCTCTCATCTATACAGCATGCTGCTTTCCTTTATGAAAAACTGGAATTTGGACATTTAGAGAGTTGAAAAGAGACTCGGGGAGGAAGAGTTAATAATTCCACAGAGACTGGGAGAGAGACTAAGGATGCAGGGATTCCAGCTGAGATTCCTCTCAGTGCTTCCCGCTTTTCAGCTCCTTTCAACCATATTTTCTGCCCGCTCCCTCCCCCCTCGTTTGCCCCTCCAACCCTCCAAGGGACTTTTGTGTTGTTTCTTTCCTTCGCCACCCTGCACACTCTGCTCTTTTGTTTTTATTCTCCCCACGCCTACCCCATTGCCTCCTACTGGTTTTCCTGATAGAAATCTCACTCATGCATTTCCTTTTTGATTTCAATGGGTTATTTTGTCTTCCCTCTTTTTCTGTCTTCAGTCT
Organism: Homo sapiens; assembly: GCF_000001405.40. Taxonomy (NCBI): domain Eukaryota; kingdom Metazoa; phylum Chordata; class Mammalia; order Primates; family Hominidae; genus Homo; species Homo sapiens. The sequence goes on along the minus strand of NC_000007.14, from coordinate 137,402,878 downwards.
TTCTTTTCTCTTTTTTTAACCCCCCTTTTTCTGCCTCTGGTCCCAGAGAGAACTGACCACCATCCTGCTGGGACAGGATGACAGTACTGTTAGCATTCCCAGTGCCAGCTCTCCCCACATCTGTGCAGCTTTTGTCCTGTGGCAGGGGAGGATTTGGAATGGTCTGCTGGCAGCGTCAGGGAGACTAATGGGAAATGAGGGCCCAGAGAGAGGCCATGGGAAGTGGAAGGAATAGCAAAGGGGATTTGGAGGCATTGGTGTGGGAAGCAAATTAAAGGATGCATGTGACAAAAGGCACGTCATATATAATACAAATATAATATTGATGACAAAGTCACATCAGCGGGAGCTGGGGTATCCAACAGAAGAGCCTATGGAATGAGTACTGGGCAGCAACATTGTAATTTGGAAGGCCTGGCTGCTTAACACGATGTTCACTTTCTCATTTTGAAAGATTTGTGAAGTTTTGCTTCCTTTCGCATTCCCTGGGTGTCTCCTGAATACTGATGTGTATGTCCACTTAACAGAATTTTCTTTCCCTTAGCTTTCAGACCATTTCCCATATAGCACAGTCTTTTGAATCCATATTTCAATTGTGAATCTTTCTCTTAAAGTGATATTGGCTGGGATCCAAAATGGCTTTAAAATGTCGTTTATTCATTCATTCATTAAAACATTTTAATTCCGTCCCAGGCACTTTTGAGGAAAAAAAAGTTTCTGTAACAATCACTGCTAACCTCTTTGTTCTAAATGTTCTAAATGCATTATCATATTTAATTTTTACAACCCTATACAGTAAGCTCTCATCTCCGTTTGACAGGTGTTGAAAACTGAAGTATGGTGAAGTTAGGTTCCTTGCCAAAACTCATCCATACGTGAGAGATGGTCTGTGTCCTCCATATTCCTAATACCAGCAAGGGAAATGAAACATGGATAAATAACCACAATGCAGGGTGGCACCACGTGAATGTCGTAAGCAGAGTTCAAATGACAACTGATCTAGGGTTCTGGAAGAGCAGAGGCCGTTTTCATCTGAAATTTTCATGGAGAAATCTGCACCCATATCTCCTCAATAGGGATTTTATAGTATTTTTTCTGGTTCAGGTCAGCCAAAGGATGAAGGGTGGACATTTCAGTAAACCCTGGAAGAGACAGAGACCTGAGATTTCCTTTTCTATTGAGGAAACAACAGTGAATTCTCTGCTGACAATTTGATGATCTCCCTCGAAATTCCTTAGGGGAGATGGCATAGTGTCTGCAATCAGAACGTATGTGTATATAAAACAAGCCCCAAACTCAAATGTTACCCATTCATATATGTTGAAGGAATTCAATTATCTTTATTTTTATTTTTTTGAGACAGAATCTCACTCTGTCACCCAGGCTAGAGTGCAGTCATGGCTCACTGTAACTTTGATCTCCTGGGCTCAAGCAATCTTCCCTCCTTAGCCTCCCTAGTAGCTGGGACTACAGGCATGTACCACCACGCCCAGCTAATTTTTTTTTTTTTGTAGAGTTGGGGTCTTGCTATGTTACCCAGGCTGCTCTTGAATTCCTGGGCTCAAACAGTCCTCCCACCTGGCTGTCCCAAAGTGCTGGGATTACAGACGTGAACCACCGTGCCTGACTAGTCTTTATTTTTTTCTCTCTTGTTTTTCTCCTTTTGTCTCGTTTCCTTTATTAGTGAGACTCAAATTAACTTTTCAAAAATCACAGGTGTTATTGTTTCTACACTAAAAGTCACAGGGTACAGTTAAACTCCACATTGTACAGTTAAAGCATAGCTCCCCATTGGGCAGTGCAGGTTCAAATAAGGAGAAGAACAGCCTTGTCTTAGGCTTCTCCTGGCATCCACTCTCTGTAACTCCTTCCTTGCTAGCATTATGCAAACAGTTATCCTAAAGCAGGCCAAAAATGATTAGAAAATGTACCTGTGCTTTTAAAAATAGCTGCCCATTCCCATCTGTAGTCAGCTGGCTGCTACTTTTGCCTCTTCTTGGCCAGTGTTCAGAACATTCTGCTATTTTGTGATTATCTATGTTGATGGGAGAATAAGGAAAGTTGAAGTTAATTAAATTGATTATTTCAGAGCCATTCCCCAAACCTTTTAATGGGCATTTTTTTTTTAGATATTAATTATGAGCAAAAGTTTCTTGCCTTGTTATTAGTGCCTCTGCCTCTCACCTCTGTCAGCTGCAGAGGATGAAAGGGCGTGGAGGGAAGGAGAGTGATGGGTAGCCGCGGGCATGCCTGACTCACAGACTGGATAATCAGCTCTGGAATAATTCTGGGTAGTGACTCTGGTCAGAAATTGTGAAGAACAGCTTTCTTCCTTGTCCCCACCTTCATATTGTCAAATTATTGCTGTGCTAGCTCAATTAAAAGCCTTGAGGATCCCCTCACTTGCATAGAGGCTTAGACCCTGGATAACTGTGGACTCACCGTGGCATGGCTCTGAGAACACCGAATGACAGAGCTGAATGAAGGAGAAAAGTAAACAAGGCCCCTGTTGCCTAAATAGTTGTGCAATTAGCAGTACCAATGGGAACAGAGCTACTAATGAGTGTAGGCTGCTCATGTTCATGGAATTTCTTCCAAAAGGAGTGGCTTAGAATGTTCACTGAAGGCGACAGGCACTCTTTAAGAGGACCATTGGGTACTTAAGCCCCTTGCTGACGTGAAGAGTGCCCTGTTGGCAGCTAAATAGGCCTCAGGTGCTTGTTTCTCAGGACATAGAATTTGAGTCAACAAGTGTCTTCACATGTAAGTGGGAGTAAAGTGACCCTTTCATACCACATTCCTTCACTGATGATCCCATATCTTGATGTAGTGTGACCTGCTGTATCAGGACAGAGAATAGGACACTTCATGCTATCTAAAGTTGAAGCAGTACCTGTGGTGTGCCAGGCACTGTTTTAAGCACACTATGTGTATTGACTCTTTTCTTTCTTTCTTTTTTTTTTTTTTGAGAAGTCTTGCTCTGTCACCCAGGCTGTCACCCAGGCAGTGAGCACAATCTTGGCTCACTGCAACCTCTGCCTCCTGGATTCAAGCGATTTTCCTGCCTCAGCCTCCTGAGTAGATGGGATTACAGGCACACACCACCACGCTGGGCTAATTATTGTATTTTTAGTAGAGACGGGGTTCCACCATGTTGGTCAGGCTGGTCTCGAATTCCTGACCTCAAATGATCCACCCGCCTTGGCCTCCCAAAGTGCTGGGATAACAGGCGTGAGCCACCATGCCCAGCCCTCTTGAACTCTCACAACAACCCTGTGAGATAAATATTATTATTAATTTGACTTTACATGGGTGATAAACAAGGAGCTGAGAGATTAATTAGACTTGGCCAAGACCTAGTCTATATAGAGCTGGGATTTTTAACCAAGAAGGGACAGCTCCAGAAACCTCGCCCCTGGTCACTGTCCTGTGCTGCTCTGCACTTTTGTATGTGTGTGGGAGGATAAGGATCATTATTCATGTTTTCATAGAATCACAGGACCAAGGAACAAAGAGGTATGAGTTAAATCTTTGTTGTTTCCTTAATATAGGGTAGGTGCTAGAAGGATACAAAAAATAACTGAGGTGTTCTTATATTCAACAAATATAGAATAATTTATTTATGGAAGGCATGCATTCAAAAAGCAAATACATAGTATGAGGATAGAACCAAATAAGTGCTTTGGGAGCTGAGAGAAAGAATACATTCCTTCTGTCAAAGGTCATCTTTTGAGAGGACCTTGTCACAGACTAGCCTTTGAAGAACATGTCAGATTTAGATAGGTGGCTGTTCTGGATAGGGAGAGCTGGGAAAGCCTGAGAAATATGTGGTTGAGTGTGCAATTACCACTTTAGCTTTTGTGAAAAAAAAAAAAATGGAACCCTGGGAACAAATTGAGGAAATGTAGTTCCAGATGAAAGACTGTGAGCTCCAGTGTTTAAATACTTGCAAGTAAGCAGTAGATATGATGTATTGGAAACCTAGAAATCTAGATGATATAAGACCTTCTTATCTTTCTTGGTAACTACTTCTGCATGCTAATAATGTTCCAGGCAGATACTGGTTAGGAAGTCTATTTGTCAAATAGGACAAGCAGAAAAGACAAATAGGAGAGACTTTGCAAGAGAAGATTCACCTGGTCCCAGTGAATAGCAGGTGTGAAAGAGAAGAGGTCAAGATGATTTGGATGACCAGGAGAATTATGAAATCCCATAACATCTCTGTTATGTTGTCCTTGGCCAATGACTTTCATGGTAAGAGTGATAACCTCTTCCACCCCTTCTTACTATGCACAATAAGTTAATTTTTAATAATAATGATATCCACCAATAAAGAGAGCAAATTCCCAGGATCGTCTTTCTAAAGACAAAAATACTCAGTACCTTGAACTGTGTTTGGCACTTACAAGCATATTTATTCATCCATTCAATCAAATGTTTAAGCATCTACTTATCTCCAGGCTCTACACTAGACACCAAGGAATGACACAATGCTAGACAAAGCATGGGCCAAAACTTTAAGGGGTTTTCTGGAGTCTAGTTATAGGGAGAGATAAATCAGTAGGTTATTTTAAAACGGTTTGTTACGTGTCATGATCAGTATCATGATCATATATCCCCCCTTGCCTGGGGTGGTCCCAACTTGGATGATAAATCCCATTACCCATTCAACTATAGGAAATAGGGTCAGTACATAAAGTGAGGGATTGTATAGGCAGGTGTTTAATAAGCTGCTTGAAGTGGGATCATGAAGGGCTTTATGGGGAAAAAAAGTCTCATTGGATACCCATAGGCTGAAGAGGGCAAGAGATGGCAGGGAGAGAAGCAGTGGTACAGAGCTAGAAAGGAAGACATTCCAAGCAGTGTTTGTAGATTGAATGGATTAATTCATGAATACACAAAACATTGTGAAAGGGAAAATTCACAGAATATTTCCATTCCTAAGGATGCATCTATAGTCATTTGATGTATATGCATAGTATTTCTTTCTGGTCTGAGAAGGGAAATTTTATAAAAACTGGAATTGTACCCTAGATGATACGTATAGTATCTTACAGCCTTAATATTTTGCTTCATAAGACGCCATCCCAAGCAACTCGTTTGAGAATGAGAAATTGCCCTGATTCCTAAAGCCCACCTAATCTTCCCCTTTCTCCCTTGTTAGCCACTTAATTATTTTTCAGTTATTCTATTCCAGTTTTATTTCATAAACTTGATCGAAAGCTGCTTGACAGCAGAGACCATACCATTCTTTTTTATCTACCATTCTGTACATATTGGTTCATGGAGATTGGGAGTTTGGTGATGAGGAGGTAGAGGAATCCTTTTATTTTTCTTTCTGTCTTATTATTCCTATCCCCAAATTTAGCTTTCCAAGGCATTTTAATTCTGTGACTATAGATTTTCTGTTAATGTTTAGTTTTTGAGCTTATTTTTGACGGTCATCTTGCTTTCTTCTTATTTAGGACCTTCCGAGTTATTGGATATGGCAGACAGTGAAACGTGAGTGTTGCCTTTTATTACATAGTCTAGGTTATTTTCTTCAGAACATATCTGGGAGAAGAATGTAATCTATAGAGCATATCATAGGTAATTTTAACTTAATTAATTCAAAGTCCACTTTCAACTTTGTTCATAAATGTGCAGGGCTAATAGCCTAAATAAAAAATTACGGAATAGAAATTGATGACAATTGTCATAATGCTTGCCTCCATAGTCAGCGCTAATCATCATTTAGAGCTTGCTTCAAACAATGTACTTCTGCACTGGTGCATCTTGGAATGTTGAGAAGTCTAAATAATTACACTTACCTTTTAATATACCCATCACATTTATTCTTTCTCAACTGGAGTTTCTGAAAAAATGGGGCCCTACTGCCCTAAGGCATTATTCACATGTAGTGACATAACTTCTCTCTGTTAGTCTAGAACAGGACAAGTTATGAACCACCACTGAAGAACTGAGAACATAGTCACTCTATTTTCTGTCTTCTGTGGTTCAGAGAAGGGATCCTGATTGAAAAAGTCATCAGCTCTGGGATGGTGCCTAAACTGATGATAATGTTTGTTTTCAACCTTATTTCTAAAGTAGCGAAATAGCTACTGCTCCCCAAACAGGAACAAAGATAGGCTGTACAACTAATCCTGAAAGCCATATTTGAAAAGGTATAAAGATGAGTTGGTGTGGAGAGGAATGAGGTGGTGAGTAGCTAAGCATGTGGGAAGGAGGAGAAGTAGAAATGAATAGAATGGAGGACGAAGAGAAGCAGTAGAGCTGTGGAAGAAGCTGTCTATCACTCCATAGAGCTGGTCCACATGCCAGCACATCCTATTGGCAAGATTATAAGTGGTGCCATCACTTACCCCATTTTGCCTTCTCTAAAGGCTGCTATTGATTTTTCCTGAAACACTTTGGCGTTAAGCATCTTGGTGCCTTTGGGCTCAGGATAGGAATACCCTCCTCCCTATAGAGCCTGTCAGTGATGGGGAAATGGCCAGTTTCCCTTGCTCCTTCCCACACTGAGTGGCTGGCCTCAAGCCTGCTGCCTCCTGGGGAGAGCCCTGGCTCTCAAACTCTCCCAGGGTCTCACTGTGCCTCTCAGATATCCTCTATGGCTGCCCCCTCCTTCCACCTGCCACTCACACAGAATCTAAAGTGGATAGAGCAGAGTGGGTGTTGGCCTGGTTCTTTGAACTTGGGTTCTCAGGAGATACTCCACTGCAGGCCGAGTGGCCATCAACCAAGGGCTGCGTGCTGTGCCTGAAGGGCCAGAGGCGCTCCACACTGCTCCCTGTTCTTTCACCCAGTGCCTTTCTCGCTCTGCTCAAATGTATGCACAGAGAGAATGGCTTCAGTATTCAGATACATCTAGACAATTAGTCTGTTTAATACTGCATTGACTATCACCTAAATCAAATAGTAGTAGCTTTTAAAAAAATTACTAAACTTAATCAACACTATTTGGAAAGGGGGCTAGAGTCAGATATTATGATCAGTTGATGGCTAGCTCAAGGAATTTTTAGAAATCCCCTTCCCTACCTCCCCAGAATGTACCCTACAGCCAAAGTCTCAGCAGCCTACAGGGAAGGAGGCTGAGGAGCACCCTACATCAGCTCCCCTCACCCATTCCCTGCTGCCTCCAACCCCTTTATGGGTGGTTTCCCATTTCATCTTTGATTTAGGGGTGAGACTGCACTGCACAAGGCTGCCTGCCAGCGGAACCGGGCTGTGTGCCAGCTTCTGGTGGATGCAGGAGCATCTCTGAGAAAGACGGACTCCAAGGTAACTCGATGAGTGAGTGCAAACATCCTCCCGCTGGGCGAGATCGCAGGCGCTGTTGCCTTTGCTTGTGACCATAGCACGGACATCCTTTCTGTGCTTATGGAAGTGCCTGGGGCTTTGGAAAAAGGAGGAAAAAATAGAGTGCTTCATTTAGAGAAACTGTGATTTAAATGTATAAGCACAAAGGGAGGGCGTGTGCTTGCCTATGGGGCTTTATAAACCTCTGAACACGTTGACCTTGGGACTTTGGGGTTGTCCTGCTGAGCGCTAGCAGCCAAGTCATGGGAGTTGAGGTCCGAAGCCCAAGGAGAGGGGTCAGGACCATTTTCAAAGACTTTGGCCTGACTACTGAGAAGCCCCTTTGGGGTTTTCCTTCAGTACTTACTCCAACGTGTTTTAAATTCTATGATTTATATGGCCCCTTATATGGGTGCCAAAGGGATTCTTTCCCAGCTCCCAGGATGGTAGGATCTGGCTTTGAGATGGTCATAGTCTTAAATCTGGTGTGTTTATGTAGTTCTTCATTTTTAAAAAATTCTTTCCATTTGTTTTCTAATATTATTCTCTAAAAGTTAACCTCAGGTACTAGATAGCATGGGAATTACTGTCATTTATAGGTATAGGAGCTAAAAGCCTAGAGAAAGTTACACATACCCTTGGACCAGTAGCTGAGGCTTAAATTAAATTGAGCTCTTTTGACGTCCAGCCCAGTGTTGTATCAGCAGGTTGGTGGTTCTCATTTGGTGCCAGAACACCCCAGCCACATAACAAAATCGGTTTGTTTATGGAGTCTGTTTTGTTGAGGTACAGTGATACCTGTGGCACTTGGCTTGAAATGTGGTTGGTTTCTCCACAGCAAAAGTTATGTAAATCTGAACTTAAAGTGTCCACTTTCTTAGGACTATCTTAATAAGAGGGCAGTGAGGCCAGATATTGTACTGTGACATGTATGCCAACCTTGATAGCATCAGCTGGCGGAGGTGAGGCCTTAGGGGAAACTCTGTTTAGGAGAACTGAGAACAAGCTGCACCACGAGTTGTTTAAGTTTATAGAGAGCACCCAAGAGAAAGGGTTGAAAGATAGAGGGAAGGAGGAGTTGTAGCTTAGTAGAGTTGAACCAGGGCTCAGCCTATAAGAAAGAAGAGAGAGAAAGAGGAGTTAGTTTACATAGAAGATCAACACCATAGAGCAGGGGTGTCCAATCTTTTGGCTTCCCTGGGCCACATTGGACAAAGAAGAATTGTCTTGGGCCACACATGAAATACACTAACACTAACAATAGCTGATGAACTGAAAAAATAAAAATCACACACACACACAAATCTTACGATGTTTTAAGAAAGTTTACGAATTTCCATTGAGCCTCATTCGCATCCATCCTGGGTCGCATATGGCTTGCGGGCTGTGGGTTGGACAAGCTTGCCATAGAGGATTCTGATAAGCTCTGAGAGTTTTAGAACACTCTCGGTAGACTCCAGGAAAGAATGAACCACTTACCTATAGACACTTACAGAGAAGAATCTTGATATATAGTTGAGGCCTTCATTAAGCAGGTACCGAGTAGCTCAGGTTTGGGGCCAATGGTTGTAACCATGACACATACATAGATTACTTAGAAGCCTAATTAATGGCTTAAGCTCCATTAGATTTATTTAAGTGATAAGAATCTGCCTATGTGCAATTTTTTTCCCTGGGGCCTCCTCAAACTGCAGTCCACTTTATGAAATAACTTTGCCTTCCTAGTGGACTTTCTTTCCTTTCTGAGCCAGTTGTATTACATAGAACTCTCCACTTTCCTGGCAACCCATGAGCACCCTTGCTCTCTGAAGTCCCTGGCTGCCTAGGTATATCAAACACACTTGAGCTGTGTCCTGGTTTCTAGTGGTCTGTTACCTGTCTGGCTAGCTAATTGGGTACACTATTTCAAATGGCAGATAATTAGGTTGGTGTAAAAGTAATTGTGGTTTTTGCCATTAAAAGTAATAATTTCTCAATGTGATGTTCTTCCCAGATGTTATTTGCACTCAGATGTTTTGATGTTTAGCCTGATTGAGAAACACACAACTTATATTCAGGATTAATGGAGCCAGGTTATGGGGTAGGGTTGGTCTTGCCAGGGCCACTCAGACCACAGCAGCACAACTGCCTCTTTACCACACAAAGGCTGGTCCTACACTCAACTCAGATCATTTTAAAAACAGAGAGAAGCCATGAAAAAGAGGGACAAACCAAACAGGAATCAGGAGACCTGGCTCTTGAGCAGGTCTGCTTTTTTATCTTTCTAAGTTTCTGAATCAGATAAAAGACTCAATGTTCATGGAAACTTCTTTCTGTTTTGTGTTGTGTATGTGTCTGCTTTTTTTAAAAAAAAATGGAAATAGCTTGTTTTTATAATTATAAACCCCTCACATAGAAAACTAGTAATGTAGGAAGATATGCTCCAAAAAGCAAAAAATTGCTGGAAACCTCACAACCTAGACCTAGATATCATTAAACTTGTAATGATCCCCCTTCACATGTAGATATGCCTGTTTTTCTCTCTTGTTGTTTTTAACTAGATGAAGTCATACATACATGATATCGTATAACTTTTCACTCAACGTTATATTCTAGAGGTCTTACCACATGAAATAATATAGCTATACTTCATTACTTTTTAAGGATTTTTAAATTTTGCCATTCTGTAACTTGATGCTAGTTTAAAGTTGAATGTGATCATTACAACTGAATCTTCTCCTGGAATTTTTTGGAGAGAAGCAGCATCCTGAGAATTTCTCCTATTAGAGTTCAGTTCCTCAGAAATCACCTCAAAGGCCCACCTCAGCAACCTCTCTGAATATTTGGAACCTGGAAATTCCAACCTCATTATTATGGAAGTAAAGACACAATTATCTACTAAGGCTGCAAACAAGTTGAATAAAAATTATTCAAGGAACTTCAAACTAGTGGTTAACGGCTAAATCCCAAGTGAATAAGTAACATTTTAGAAAGATTCTAGAGCCATTGTTACTTCCCTTTTGTCCTCTCCCCAGTAGGCTATGTAGAGCAGGTTGGATTGAGGTCGCCAGTATCTGTTGGGATAGCCGAGATGAAAGCTGAGAAGTCTCTGATAATATTTATAACACTTGTGTGCATTTGTACATGGAGCTATTTATTTGGTACAATGATCATGCCTCTACCCTTCCTTTGGAACTTAACATAACTTTTTAAATAGTTAAAACTTTATCATTCAACAAAAATTAGAAATTTTGAGCGATGCCAAGTAATATATACAGGCATTCAAAAGAATGGACACTCTTTCTCCCTTTACTGCTGACTTCTTATTCAGTGGCCTCATTTAAAAAATAGCAATATATATATACAAATATATGTGTATATGTGTGTATATAAGTGTACAAAAGGCATTATAGTAGTCTGTAAGAAATTATATGATCATTTAACATGTTGATGTAAAAAATTAATGACAAATTTATGATATATTACTAAGAAAGGTTGTAAAACAGTATGTAAATGAATTGTGGTTTTGTTTTTATAAAAATACGTATAGAGGCATATAAAAGACAAAATCTAGTTATCAATGGAAGGTTAGTAGTGGTTATCTTAGTTTGGTGGAATGATTAGGGATATTCCTTTTCTTCTTTGTGCTTTTCAAGCTTTCCAAGATTTCTTTAATCAATATCTACCACTTTTGTATTGAGAAACTAGCTTAGTTTTTAGAGAGATGAAATAGCCCAAGTCTGAAACCAATAAAGAAAACCTTTCAATTTTTTTATGACTATCCCTTCCTTTTAGTTTCTGTATGTTGATTTCCCAAGTTTAGAATAATAGAAAGAGTCCTAAACTAGAAATCTAAATGCCTGCCTCCCTATTTTTTAAATTCAGTAATTTCTACCTCCCCATCTTCCAGAAAGGCTCTGGGTTTCAAAACTCGCTTTACCCCACTGTTTCCTTCTGTATACTGTTAACCTCTGTGAACTTCTGTTTCCCTAGTATAAACCCCACCCGTCAAAAGTGATAAACTCTTTCCCTTTCATTTACCAATCGCACATGTTCAATTTAATGCTCATATAAGACAATAGATTTGAAAGTGTCTTGTAAACTCTAAAACACCAAATGTGAAAGGATCCTTACTAGCAGGTATCCTTGCGTAGTTCTGTTTCTGTGATTTTTGTTTTGTTTTGTTTTTTGTTTTTGTATTTCACGACTAGCGCTTGTGTCTATCTCTCTCTCTCTTTTTTTTTTTCTCACTATTTTCGTATAGGGTAAGACACCTCAAGAAAGAGCACAGCAGGCTGGGGACCCAGACTTGGCTGCTTACCTAGAAAGCCGTCAGAACTATAAGGTCATTGGCCATGAGGACCTGGAAACTGCTGTTTGACCCTGGTATTCGGGCAAAGAGGACATGAGCAAGCGTATCACATCTGCCCTCCCTGCAATTGGGCAGCTCCCCTGGAAGAAGCTGATGGAATTCATATATCTGTCTCTCTCCTGCAAGAATCTACCTGAGACCATGCCACTAGCTTTTAAGGGCTACCAAGATGTACAACAGAACATGATAGCCCATTGAGAAGGAGGCAGGATACCTGGAGATTTGTGGAATACAGTACGAGTTCCACAAAATTTGATCCTTATTGCTTCCAGCAAGTAGCATGAACTTCTGTGTTCACCTGTATAATTTATTTTAAAGATTCAAAGGATGTTCGTATAAATGGCACTGCTCCATCCTCCCCCTATGCATTGGTTTTTTTCCCTGTACCATACAATTCTACTGTAACTACCCATCAACTTAAAGAAAAATATTATCTCTTCTCTTTACATTCAGTCTTGGAAGACCACAAGATTGTCTGAAGGCCTTCTAAAACCTTCTGAATGTCCTGCAGAAATATAACTGTAAAACCACTTCCATTTCTAAGACTAAATATATCAAGACTATTTAGTGACTCTCTCTGCATGTCCCCCTCACCCGCCAACCCTCCGTTTCATTATATAGGAGCTGGGAAGTGCCACATGGATAATGTCAACTTGTGTGCTATATCTCTGAGGAATGGTGAGGTGGCATGGGAGATGTCTGTGCTTGGAGGTACCTCAGAGAGGTAACCCAGGGGTCAGCCCAGGCTGCTGGGCTGTAGCCAATAGCCATGCAGGACTGGTTCAGCTTGGGCTGTCTGTACAGCTCCGTACTGCCTATGTGTAGCCATCTTTGCCTTTTGCTGCAATAGAAGATGAGCAAAGGATTAAACAGAGGCCCACAGCTAGTTTGCAGAACCACTCAATTTTAAGTGCTGTTTAAATTGCAGAGCAAATAATCCTGTGTGGGAACTGTGGTTACAGGAAATGGAGCACTCTAACAATGTTTACTTCTAAACTTTGTTGAATGATAATAGAAAGCACCCTAATTGACTTGGAAAAAAAAAACAGCAAAAGCAAAAGTAGCAACATATGTCAACATATGTCACTGAAATAGGAAACAGTCATTGGAATGTTGCACAGAGGCTAATAACTATAGACTGTTGGATACAGTGGTGAGAGGAGCCCCATTTTAGGTCTTTCTTTTAGGTTTTTGGTTTTCATTACTCCAAGTAATCCTTGACCCAAGAACAAAGGCTTGTTGTATGAGTTCCACTGCCAGATTTATGGGATGCCTGGATCATTCAGAAGGATGCTTCAACTATTATTTGTCAGGTCCAAAGGTCGTACTTAATAACCCCATTTTCTATGTATGGGGTAGTCTAATATATTATTTTATCTACTTTATTTTTCCCTTTTCAGAAAGTCCTTAGTGCAAACCACCATTGGAATCTAGCCAGAAATGTCTGTCAGATAGTTAGAATTGTAACATCTAAACCTGCCACGGATCGAATGGTACTTACAGGTACCTCTCTTAGGGACTCTGTGATCCCTAAAATATCAGAAGAAAATGTCTGTCTTTCTGTCCAAATATCTACTTGACTTGGGGGTAAGTCAAAAATAAAAGTAGGTGTCCAAGGATTTTACTTTTGGCGAAATCTGACGTCTCCTGAGCTTATTTTCATTTTGTCCTTGGACATAGCATAGTGCTTCCCTAATGTTTCTACATATGACCATGAATGATAGTGTCTCTACATTTAATTTAAAAGTCTAATGGTGACATTTTGCTTATCTGAGTCACATTTCGGTAACATATCATCATTTTGAAAGTGCGGCTATGACGTGCTATATTAAACAGGAACAGCCTTTCAGTGGATGGGGATTTTATTACCACAGTCTTTCCATAGTCATTTCAAAATCAAATTGTTGGTGGGAGGATGGATTGGGTTGTGAGTAATCTACTTCCATATATCAGCCTCAGAAATGGAACTATCCTTTGGATATTACAGGAGACACTGCAGCAGATTGTTTCCAGAAGCTGGAAAAATATGCTCCAGGAGAATTTAATCACTGGGCTTTTGCTGGGGGATTTTTAGTTGGCGGGACTGTCAAGGAAATGTGATGACAGAAATATAATCCTTAACACAAACTGGAATCTGGCTTTGAATGGCATCTTCCATTCCCTGGATTGAGTCAAATGTTTGGCCAAGCAGTCAGTTATCTAGCTGTTACTGTTGGGATGAAGAACTCTGTTTTCATCAACTACCATCTCACATTTCTCTAAATACTTCCAAGTAGCCCAGAGAAAATTTAGGGTACAGGTGGCTATGGGCCAATTTCTAAATAGCTCCAATTGAAGACATAAATCTGTGTTATGAAAAATGATGAGTTGGTACTGTAAGATTCCTGATGCATTTGGAAATTTTTTCAAACCAAAAAAAAAAAAGGCATTAGAGTCCTGTGTTATTCATGGAGACCAATATTTGATATATCGCTTTGAAAAAAGCAAGTACCACTAGGACTTGGGATTTCCAAAATAAAGTGAGCAGAATAACCACATGTTTAATGGCTTCAACATTAAACCACCTCCTGTAGCATGTTTTAAAAATTGGTCCTGGGCTTTGGAAAGAGCTAAGGCCTTATGGTCTAGGAGTTTCCATCTCAGCTTAAGTATATTGTATCCCTACTATTAGGACATCAGGAAAGCAAGTGATCTAGTCCTGGTCTGAAGTGCCATGTAACTTTAACAGACATAAAAATATGTACCTATAGAAATATCATTTCTACAAAGCCTACTGAGACAGCACTGAAGAGGCAGCTAGCTTGGCTGACTCCTCTGTGTTTGTTTCTTTGTGTCATGGCACTGACTGCTTTGAGATTCCATTTTTAGATGTGGTTGATAGAGGAATGGAAAATGAAGAGTTATTAAAAGACAACATTCTGTAACCTGAAAGGTAGTCATTTTTGCAAGCTTATATTTTAATATTGTGCATTTAACAAAATAGAACACAGTTAAACTGTGCTTTATCGTATTCAAGGACTTCATAAAGAATAAGAGAGAAGATTAGTAAGCCAAGAATGGAATAAATACCATGACTAGGAATTTTGCTTTCAGAGCTTATGTTTCCTCTGTAGATGTGATAACCAAAAACCAGTGCAAGTTTTGAAACATAATTTAGCTGGCAAATGCACAGTGATGGAAATTAGTAATGACTGATGGAGAGCCGTACATACCTGTTGCTCCTTATCCTTTCAGAATGGCTGCTTTGGCAGATCTGCCTGTGCTGGGAGCTACTCAACATCACTTCATTTTCATCTGGACCTAGTGAGAGTCCCTTTGCCTAACGAATTTCTGAAATTTATTTATTTACTAGACCCCTTATAATATTCATGGCTTTAAAAAATGACACAGCATCTTTATTTTATTACATGTCAATTTTATTAATAATATTTAGGGGTTTTTTTAAATTATAAAAATGGCACATGCTTTTTATAAAATGTTTTAATACCACAGATGAGTATCACATCCACAGTCAAGGCATCCCTTTGTTCTGGTGTTGTGTCCCACTTCCCAAAAATAAATACGGTTAACACTGATGAACACTGTTGCTTGTATGTGATGTCAGAAATACCCCATCCGTTCATGCACAAGTATGTATGTATATACGCATATACATTTACACACATATATAGACATTTATTTATATACACATGCAAGTATGTATACTATATTCATGTATATTGCATAGGTTTAGAAAAGAGCAAACATTTTAAAAGCATGCTGATCATTTGTATATGTCTAGTGAACACCAGTAGGCAAAGACAGGTTAAACAGAGAAGTTCCATTTATTTTTTTGTTTCCACCATTGCTAGGCTTAGATCTGTTATGGCATTACTACAATTGCACTTAGCATTTTCTATTACCTGTGTCATAAAATTCATGACCAAGAGTTCCTGTAATTGTTTATGTTGCCTTCCATGAAGCATGAAACCTACCATAGCCCCAAGACTTATCTATGCTATGTTTGTATTTCAAGTAAAGGAGAGTTCTTTCCTCTGTGATGCTTACACCACTTTACAAGGCTGTTTGTAACACTAACACTCAGTAGGTTGCCTAGTGATATTTAATTAGGGCAGGCTACTTCCGGGAAGGTGTAACTTCAGTGTAGTATGGGGGTCTGAGCAGCTTGTCTTCCTTCCAGAAGGAGTAGCTAATGAAATCACTGAGAACAGCATATTTTATTCAATTATGCTATTTAAAAATGGGACTTTGTTAAAATGGCTCATCATAACCATCAAATAAAACTACTAATTGTTCTATTTAAATGAATTATATTCATTTTAGGAAAAGAAGTAGAAAAACATCTAATAAATTAGCTTTCTGATTAATCTTTAACACTTATTTAATATAAAATGGCTTCTGCCTGCATCTTAATTGAACCACCTTTGAATCTCTCAACTCCTTTCACTCTGAATCTCATACTCAGCTGATTAGAAGTCCTACAGGTCCTTCTCTGCCAGGTCTGTCAGATCGACTTGGACCCTACCCTTTTCTGTGTCCCCAGTCATCCATTATCTCTTGTCTCTCTAAGTTTTGGGCCATAGCGGCAGTCCTGTCCCTGAACTTTCTGCCTACTACTGTCAATAATTTTGTCACGCAGTTGCAAAAATCTTCCCCAGATATTATGCTCAAAATACATCAAAATGAAATTACCCTCTGGGACAAGTATACCTTTTACTCAAAGGACACATGGATGTCCACTGACCTTGATCATCTTATAGAATTATGGCAAGCATGATTCTGAAAATCTATCAGGTTTAGCAAATATCTGTCTTAGTCCCATGAGGGTACACAATCACGGCTGCTGCTTCCTCATTCAACAATGTAAGCCACATGCCTCTTTGACGGCACCTGGAGGACTAGGTTATAGATTTTACACTGCTGAGGGCCATCTTTGGTTTTACACTGTCTCCTCACAGCTTAATGAGAAACCTGAAAATAAGAACCAAGAAAAGAGTCATGCCCTTGGACAACCTCCTCTCCCAGGACACTGAGATTTACTGACCAGGTCCCAGAAAGAAAGCAGAAAAATAATTCTTAGGCTCTTGTAGCATGGATTTTAAAATAGAAACGTGAAAATTGAATGGTATCTTCATAATGCATAGACTCCAGAGTCTATTTACATATGTATTCAGTTATGCATGTAATCATATGTCCATGAATCAATCATAAGTGCATGTATTTAATCATTATTTGAAAAATATTTGTCACTCTGAGGCAGGCATCATACTAAGGATATAACAATGAATGTAATAGACAAAACTCTTGATTTCATGAAGCTGGCATCTAGAAGAAAAGACAAATTCCAATGTGATAAGTGCAGTGCAGGAGAACCCCAGGGTGTCCAGCATGGGCTGGAAATTCAACCAAGGCTTTATTGTACCAGCCACTCATTAGCCAGCAATGTTTTGGTTCAATGAAAACATAAGTAGGAAGAGAATAATATTTTGCATTTCCATTTTACTGGAGTCATAGTAGATTTCTAAAAATGTATCTGAAACTAAGATTTTAAAACAAGACTTAGAAACACTATTAAAATGAAAGCTAAGACTGATTTATTCTAGCTCTCAGGATAGAACTAGGAAAAATAAGCAGAGTTTTCAGTGGGTTTTGACTAAATATAAAGAAGATGAAGTACAAATAATATGTAATAGTGGAGTGGATATCACAGTTATAAACTTTCAGCCTCTGTTAGCATTTAAACAGAGGATACCTGACCACTCTGAGGGGTGTTGTGATTAGGAATATGTGATTTGAGGGGGCTAAAATTAGATGCTGTGATTTTTCAAAAGATATTTTTTAATGGCTTTGTTGAATGGCAGGATTTTATTTTAAAAACTCATGAAAATCTTGATTTTTGATTTGTTAAACTTTGCTTTATAACTGAGAATTTTAAAAATATCTAGGGGAATGGCCGTTAGTTATCATTTAAAAAATTTTAAACTAAGCATGAATTTAAGAGCTAGTCAAAAGAAAACATACTAAAAGGTGTAATTTAATTAAAAATACTTCTGGAAGCTTATAAATTTTGATCAGTATTCTTAGTCATTGTCAAGTAAAATTCTATTAGAAATCTGTCTTACTGTCCATCCAATATAAAAAAGTGCTGTGGTTTGATATTCTAAGAGTTAAGTGTAATCTAGTATAACCACAGAAGAAAATTCTGCCTGTAAGGTATTTGGGAGCCAAGTAAATGTACATGAAAGGCAATCATGGAAAACTCTTTGGCTTCTGCCACCAGCGTGGCAACCACAAGGGAGGTCCTACCCATGGAAATAAGAAAATAGTGATCCAAGTTTTCACCCAACTTTTGAAATTTCAATATTTTGAGCCAAATGCCTTCTGAAATGGGAGGCTTTGATAGTGGGAAATACTGAAATTATCTTTTCCCTCAGACCTTTAGTGAAACACACATATAGTTT
The DNA here is from genome assembly GCF_000001405.40 of Homo sapiens. Taxonomy (NCBI): domain Eukaryota; kingdom Metazoa; phylum Chordata; class Mammalia; order Primates; family Hominidae; genus Homo; species Homo sapiens. The sequence goes on along the minus strand of NC_000007.14, from coordinate 137,384,767 downwards.
TCACTCTATGACAGTATAAACAACTCAAATCTATACTGTTTGTTAAGAACAGTTTCAAGAATTAAAAAGTGCTTTAGCGTTATGATGTATTGACATGTTTGAGCTTCAGTTGGGGTTCAAAACAACCCCAACGAGGTGAATAATGCATATAATACATTTTAGATGAATGCACTGAATCTCAGAGCAGTGAATTCAGCCTGTGCAGATTCATATAGCAAATGATAGTGCTGCAGCCAGAACTGGGTCTTTAGAAATTACATATTAACATGTTTTCTAAGTAAGTCATTTTCCATCATTGCCTTCAAGGATGTTTTATATCAATTGTTCAGATTTCCATAATATAGAAGTTGCCTCCATGAAAAAAAAATGTTTACCTAAGTTTCCACGGAAAGAATGAGTTAGAAATAAGGGAGAATGTGAAATCAAAAAGTCAGAGTTTTTGCTGTCGGAGAGAGGCTTGTCAGCTTGTACATAGTTCAAGCAAAGAAAAGTCTAATGTTTGCATACCAGGGTGGATTTCAAGAGAAGAAATTAACAGTGAGCGTTAATGGCTTCTTTAACTTATTTGTGATTCTCAGCATTTAAAAAATGTTAGTCCTATTTTTCTTCCTTTGAAGTCACTATTAGGATGATATAATTTCTGAATGCTGCAACAAAAAATGTTAAAAATGGCCCTGACATCCAAGACTCTATTGCTCTAAGTTTATGGGTGGGTATGCAAGCTAAGTGTTATGATAATACATAGTCATATACATAGAGGTTTAATACACCTATGGGAAATTCCGGCATATTTGAAGTAGAGAAAAACAAACAGGCTTGAAATGTCCTTCAGTTCAGAATCTCATACTTTACAAGGGACATTTATGGGCAGATTGGTGAATATGTAGAAGGAGGATGTTTGATCTGGAAAGAAGACAAAATTGGATTAGGAATAAGAATATGTAGAGGAGTTAGGTTAAGTAGGACTGTTAGTTTCAAATTCTGCAGGGAAGATGATTTGTAGAATAAAATAAGGAAAGAAAAGAGCAGTAACACATGAAAAGGAGTTAGCTTTATTACTTATAAGGATTTATTTTTCCTAAACATTGCATCCAGAAAAACAGTTTGGGCTTTCTGAAAAACAGTGAAGTTGTTATCACTGTTTCTTCTAGTAGTTAAGTGAAGATTGAACAACTAACTCAGAGATCAAAGGCATATCTTTAATTGTGAGAGATCTTGGACTAGAAAAACTCTGTGAGATTTTCTTGGTTTAAATGTCTATAATTTTAGACTGGAACAGAACTCAATTTGAGCCTATTTTTTTCCCCCAGGTTCCTGCCAACTAGATAGCAATGAAGGCATTTTTTAAAAAAGCTTCCATCATTGCAAATATATCCCAAATCACTTAGCAGCGGGGATTTCATGACCCTAAAAAGTTGCCTTGCTTACACAAACACACCTATGCTTTAGTAGAAACATATCTTTTTTAGGAGATTTGGGAATTGGCTAGCATTTTTGCCAATTGTTAGCCAATTTAGGAGATTTGGAAATTGGCTAGCAATTTTGCCAATTGTTAGCCAATTCCCAAATCTCCTAAAAAAGATATGTTTCTACTAAAGCAAAAAGGTCACAGATTCAGGAGTCAAAGTGAAAACAAAGGATTTAGTGTTCTTTCCCCTACTTACTACCCATTTGTTGTTTGGGATGTAGAGTCAGGACTGGAGAAGAGGGTGGGAAATTCTATATCCTCTGCCAATACAGAGGCATGGAGGCACTTTCTATAACTTTGTGTCATGAAACAAGACTTAACCCCATATCAGTAGACTAATGTTTCTGTCATATTTCTGTCTAGGTGGATTACAGTTTTAATTGCCCATCATCCCTTAATTCTGTAATACAGCTTGAGTTCCTAGATTTCAGGTTGACTGGGTGAGGGAGGAAGTCACTTGAGGTAATTTTAAGAAATGAATCCATATCCAGAGTCTTGCAGAAAAGACCTGCTTCTACTCCACCTTCTTTCTTGTTCTACTTCTTGCCTCTGGTTTGGGGGCATAAAAGAGGGGCAGAGTTGTGAGGAAAGGAAAAAAGATTCTCAAAAGTAGTACAATAAGAAGACCCTAGTAGTAACACAAATTCTCATGGTAATCTCAAACAACTGATAGTGTTAGCAGATATTGAAAATCAAACTCAGGAAACATACAGAAAGATTAAATTTGTTCAAAGTGGCTTCAAGGGGTATTAGTTGTGAAAATTTCAGTTTATGCAGCATAGAAGAATTAGATTGTGTGTGGAACTTGGGGGAAGTAGGGTCAGCTAATAGAAGAACTTTTTAATGGAGCTTTCCAAAGGACGAGGTGGTTTTTGGAAGGAGTTTGTCCAACCTCTTATAATACATTATGCCTGTCCACAAACTTGTTCTGGTCCCTGATAAAGTTTGAAAAAAATAAGGAATATTTAGGGTTTTTTCCCACAAATCTCAATATATTCACTTAAAAATTCAGAGACTGTGACCTTGTTATTTTGGGTTTAAATATACATTTTCCTCTTAAAAATGATAGATATATGTTTACAAATTGTCTTTACTCTTCACTTATAAAACACACACATACAGATAGGATAGTCCTGTCAGTTTACCCTATTTTTTGTTTCAAATTTATAGGTAATTTCAAATTTATAGGTGTTGGTGAGATTTATCACTTTTAAGATACCATCTAGCCTTGATATTTGTTGTACCTTCTATATGCAACCAAATGGCTCCTGATCTCCTGATCTTCTGGAGATCAAAGAATTTTTATTCGCCACTCTCCCCACCCATCATTGGTTGGATTGAGACTCTAATTACATACAAGCATAATTTCCAATGCAAGTAGAACTTTGATGCTCTCCCTGACTTACCGATTATAAGTTGGGAAAGTTTGGATTCTTGCCATCCTGGGGAAGGAGATTTAGAACTCTCATAGACAAAATATTCTAACACAACAGAATATTTTGCAAAACACATCTTTGAAAAGTCAGGGGCCAAAATAGTCTCAGCAAAGGTTAGCTTGGCTGTTTTTTAAAATTACCAATAGTTAAGTGGGCAACCATGAATCTGAATATTATACAGACCACCACTGACTGAAACTGAGGAAAACCATTCTTGTGAAAAACTAAGGAATAGAGGACAATCTCAGTTCTAAAAGAATGAATATATTTGATTTAATTTGATTTCTGAGTGGGAAAACGTTCCCAGGCATCCAGGGTACCCTTGGCTGTGGGTATTCCACTCGCAAAGGCTACATCTGTATGAAGAGTTGCAGTCACATTATAAAGGGCTTTTTCATGATTTCTGATTCTGCCCTATCACATCCCAGAGCCATGCTTTTGCAAAGCTGCCAGCTGGCAGGTGGAATCCATAAACAAGTAGCAGCTGTGGCAGTAGAAAGATTAAAGTTTTATTTCCAGGTAAAGGAGGATTCAGATAATACGAAGTGGAGGGAGGGTGGGTGGGGGGGGGGGGGTGGGATGGGAAAGGGAAGAATGAAGTTTTTTGTAACAAAGTCATAAAGTATTTTTCCCTAATTTTCTTGCATTTCCTATTTATATAAAGTATCTTGATCACTGTGTTGCACTACAGAGATTTTCAATGGAGTTAATTTGGGAGACTGAACTAATCTCTGAAAAAGAAATTGACTAGTTACAGTTACTTTTTGGACACTTTTTCTGTATTGTGAATTGTGTGGAAATGTACAGAATAAAAATGAAGAAATGTAGTTCATTTGTTTATTTTTTCTGGATCCTATAAGTAGTTGGTGTGAATGCTATTTTTAACTAAAGTTAAGTTAGACTTTCAAAATCAGGAGGTAAAGAAAGAGTTGACTATTAGAGCAGGCAGAGACTAAATGGGGTCCCTGATAAGGTAGGAATTTAAAAAAAAATTAAGACTTCTGCTTCCAAAATGGACTAACAGGCCAGATTCGCCCTCCCACCAGATTTTTTTTAAAAAAACCTAAAACATGTATATATAAAACAATGATTGTTAAGACACAGGACCTTGGCGGGGGCAAAAAAGGCAGTGATTCCTGAGAGATGGAAGCAAATGATATAAGCCCTTTAATCTCTTCATTTTATAGACTTCAGAGAGTTTCCAGATAGTGATTCAGGGAGTGCTAATTTAGGAATTCCTAAGAAGTTCCTGAGTTGAGACAGAGCTGAAAGTTTGGGAAATAGAGGCAGCTAGAGCTTACAAGAGATGAGTATCACAGAGGGGAGAACCATACAGAAAAGTAATCCCACAAATCTGCAGCTACTTCCTCTTAAGTATTCAATAAAGTACTGAGCAGTTTACGTATGTGAAGAAACTACTTGAGACTGGAGAAAGAGCCATCCAAAATGATCTAAGGGACAGTGTCCAGTGCTCACAAAGGACTGAGAATTGTGCCTGTTACCACTCATCACACTGAAAAACCTCATAATTCGTGAGGCACTGAATTGGGTCTTGACTCACCTATGAGGAGTAATTAACCGTAGACTAAATGTTGCCCTAAGACTGCCTAATCATAAAAGCAAGAGCTGAAAAGACAAAATTGTTTCCAAATAATTGAATCTTATCTCTAAACAAAGCCCAAGGATACAGAGGAATATAAATTCACCTAGCATGCAAAAAGAAACATTCACAACATTTGACATCCAATGTACAGGCATGCAAAGAAGCAGGAAAATATGACAAAAGGAAAAAATTAGCCATCTGAAACTAACCCAGAATTGACATAGATGTTCGCATTTCCAAAATATTCAAATAGTTATTTATATTCCAGATGTTCAAAGAGTTAAAGACATGAAAAATATAAAAGAGACCCAAATGAAATTTCTAGACATAATTACATTATCTGAGATTTAAAATACACTGCTAAAGATTAAGAGCAGATTTGGACGCTACAGAAGAAAAGATCAGTAAACAAAGATGTACCAATAGAAAATATCCAAAATGAAACATGGGAAAGGAAAGGGTTTCTAACTATGAAAAAAATGCATTAGTAGAATGCGGGACAACTTCAATTATTTTAATATACAAGTAATGAGAGTCCTAAAAGGAAAGAAGAGAGAGGGAGGATATGAAAACAATTCGAAAAAATAATTTCTAGGAATTTTAGCACTTTTACTTTAAAAAAAAAAACTATACAAATTCAATAAGCTTAACAAACTCAAAACACAAGAAACATGAAGAAAACTAGATAAAAATACCCTGTAATCAGCCAAAACCACTGCAAAAAAAAATCTTATTAAAAACCAGAGGAAAAAACACATGAATAAAAATAAGAATACCAGTAGATTCCTTATCACAAATAATGAAAGCAAAAAGAAAACGGAGCACATCTTTAAGGTACTAAAAGAAAAAAATGCTATAAAGCTATAATTCTTTAGCAACAAAACTATCTATAAAAATAAATGGGAAATAAAAACCTTTACAGATATATAAAAGCTGAAAGAGTTTAGCCAGGCGCGGTGGCAGGCGCAGACCTGAACTATAGACCTGAACTATAAGAAATGTTAATGAAAGTCCTTCAGACAGAAGAAAACTGTTACCATATGAAAACACATATCTACATAAAGGAATGAGGAGCAATGAACATTATAAGTATTTGAATAAATATATACATATATTTTCTTATTGTTATATTTTTAATAAATGACTTTTAAAACAAAATATTGATGATATGTGGAATTTTAAAGTAAAATATATGACAATAGTAGCATAAAAGAATGGAGGGGAGAAATAGAAGTATGTAACTGTAAGATTCTTATACTATTCATGAAGTGGCATAATATTACTTGAAGGTAGACCATGATAAGTTGAAGATACATCCTATAGCTCTGCAAGTGGAGAAGCTGAGAGGTCCCATTGATTAAGGGACAGTTCCCAAGAAAAATCCAGCCATCAGTGCAAAGGTTGTTAAAAAAAACACTGACTGATGGAATGTGTCATCATGGAAAATGGCCAAGTGGAATCCTCCAGGGTTTCATTTCTCTACTGAAACAACCTGTAACCTGGGGGACAAATGACAAGAATCAGCTATTCCAGAACTCTGGGACCTAATCAGACACAGCAACTGGGGGAGTGATTGAGGAAGAGAGAGCCTACTGAAATTTGGGATATGCAGGAACCTCTTTCAGACCACAGGCTGATTGCAGAGACAAAGGACAATGGGACTTCAGTTACCACACCCTAAGGAATACAGACTTTGCAAAAATAGTTTGGAAAGTTCATCATACAAACAGATTAATACAGCTTGCAACAAGCAAAAAAATAGCTTCTGAGGATGAGGAAAATCTGATTTCCAGAGTTACCACTTTACATTACTGAAAATGTCCAGTTTGCAACAACAATAAAATCGAAAAGCATAAAAAGAAACAAACTTTCACTTCTTCACTTAATTAGCCTTAAAAAGAAGAGAAAATGATAAATTTTAAAAAATAAGAAAATGTGGATTATTCACAGGGAAAAAAAGAATTTGACACTATCCCTGAGGAAGTTCAGATATTAAAATTTATTAGTGATAGATGTCAGCTGTCTTAAATATGCTCAGTGACTAAAGAAAACCATCAACAAAAGAAGTAAATTGTCAGAACAATGTATGAACAATTAGGGAATGTCAATAAAGAAAAATAAATTTTAAAAAGGAACCAAGTAGAAATTCTGAAGCAGAAAAGCACAATAGCTGAAATGAAAATTTCACTAGAGGGGTGCAATGGAAGATTTTGGCAGGAAGGCAGAGGAAATAATCAGAAAACTTGAAGATGAGACAATGGAAGTTATCCAGTCTGAGCAGCAGAAAGAGAAAAATGAACAAAATCTGAGGAACCAGTGAGATGGCATCAAACTTACCAAAATTTGCATCATGGGAGTCCCAGAAGGAGAATAGAGGGAGAGAAAAGAGGAGAAAAATATATTTGAAGATGTAATGGCTCAAAACTCCTCAAATTTGATGAAAGACATGGACATATACATCAAAATGGCTCAACAAACATCAAGCAAGATGGACTCAAAGAGATTGACACCAAGACATATTGTAGTCAAATTATGTAGACAGTCTTGAAAACAACAACAACAAAAATGACTTTTCATGTACAAAGGATCTTTAATGAGATTAACAGCTGATTTCTCATCAGAAATCATGGAGTCCAGAAGGCAGCAGGATGATAAAGTGCTGGGGAAACAACAACCAAAAGCCTGTCAACCAAGAAATTTATATCTGGCAAAATTACTGTATCCTTTAAGAAAGAGGGAGATATTAAGACAGTACCAGATGCACAAAAGCTAAGAGGTTTTGTTACCAGTACACTTACCCTACAAGAAATCCTAAAGGCAGTCCTGCAGGCTGAAATTCAAGAACAACCAACAGTAATTCAAAGCTGTATGAAGAAACAAAGAACACTAGTAAAAGTAAATACATAGATAAGTACAAAAGCTAATATCATTGTACTTTGGGTTTATAACTCCTCTTTTTTTTCCTATGTGATTTAAAAGGCAAATGCATAAAACAATAATTATGAATCTGTAATGACCACACAATGTATAAATATGTAATATGTGACAATAACAATATAAAGGGAGAAGGACACAGATGATAGAAGTAGAGTGTTTGAATACTATTGAAATTAAGTTGTTATTACTCATTATGTTAATTTTGATAGTTTCATGGGTTATAAATATATACAAACTAATTAATTTTACCCTTTATTATGTGCAGATTTTTTGAATGTCGATTATACCTCCATAAACTTGTTTTAAAAAAATCAATAGACTTTGTATTAAAATACAATAAATGTATTGTCATTACCCACATTAGAGATGGCTTTGGTTTATGAAACAGAAACATCTTTTCTTGATAAGTTTGTAAACCACAGTCTGCCTTAACAGCAATCCTAGAACAGGTTTTCAACCCTCATACAAGCAAGCAGCAAAGTTCAAATAAAGGATAAGTGTTATCCCTCATCAAACCATAATGCAGCTCAGATTTGAGAAGAACACCTGGCCATCACATTTCTAAACTTAAATACCAGAAAATAAATATAACTGTCCGTTTATTAAGAGTGCAGAGAAGTTTGGGATCTGTTTCTTCATTTAAAAATAACTCATGCAAAGTTTAATTCTAGGATCAAAATCAAAGGACAAAATCATCTTTAAAAAACTCTTATGAGAAGAAGAATGTTTCTCTTTAAATGGATCTTCATATAGTTAATGATTTTTCTTGGATTACAGCAAAATTCATGCTTCGTGAGATTTTCCTTTGTATCCATATGGTCAGGATTTGAAATCAGTGATGCACTATTATCCTCAAAAATCATACAGAAAGTCTGATTCAGATATCTTTAAGGATTCTGTTAGGGAAATGACTTGAGAATGTAAAATATGCAATAAATTACCTCTCCCAAAATGCAGACCCAAACTCCAGATTGTGGGTGCTTAGAGAAAGAACAGTAATTTTAGGGCCCCCACCTAAAATTAAAAAGTATATGTCCTTAGCTAAAGTTTCTAAAGCTTCCAAAAGGAAGTAAAAATTATTTAGGTAGAATAATGACTTTTCTCATATTTTCTTCTCAAGAATATTTAGATCACATTTTTACAAAGTCTTGAGCTTTTTAAGTTGCAAAGGAATAAAGAATAGATCAGCAAAAACAAATGTTTATATAGTGTATGTGTGCACATACACATTTATATATTATTTATGTTCATGTATCTATAAGTATATACCCATATGGGCGCTTACGTACATGCACTCGCACACACGCACACACGCACACACACACACACACACACACACAGAAATGCAACCAAATATGAAAGGTCATCAACTATACTCAGTGCTACTGGATCTCTCCATGAAACCTGACTGCCCAACAGTTACTGAAGGGCTATGGAAACTTGAAGCTTGAAGAATTTTTCTCTTTCAAATGTCAGAGTCATATTAGGATTTAAATTTTAAACTGGTTTATTTTAGGTTAATGTAGCCCAGTCTTTTAGAGACGGGAATCATCCAGAAACTTCCATTTAGCAGAATGTGATTAAGCCACCCAGGCATTCCCTAGGTCAGAGATTTTAAAATGAGTTCCTGGGACCAGCAGTATCAGCATCTTCTGGGAATTATTAGAAATGTAGATTCTCTGGTCCTATTCTAGACCTGCTGAATTAGATACTCTGGAAGTGAGCCCCAGCAATCTGTGTTGCAACAAGTCTTCCAGGTGATTCTGATGCACTCTGAAGTTTGAGAACCACTGCCCTAAAACAAAGAAATGCAAATGAAATGGTTCAGTAGACCATTTAAAAGTGTTAGCCTACTTCTAGTAAAAAAAAAAAAAAAATCTGATTTTAAGATCAGTATAATTCAAAATATTGTTGGTAAAGACTCAGAAAAAAAAAAAAAGAGGGAAGAGAAACCTATGAATGAAGCCTTGCACATACTCACTTCTCCCTACTTTGATATTATGTGATGCCGGCTTACTCCTGTTTGTTTCTTCATTATTTAATTCCTTTTGTGCTACTTCATTTACAGCCCTACAATCTGCAAGCACTCACAGACTTTTACTTATTAAGCAGTCATTACAATTTCTGCGTCACATTTCCTCCCGACTCCCTGTTCACAGAAGCAATCACTACAAAGGTTTTATGTGAATCTTACTCTTAGAGTTAAAAAAAAGTAGGGCTGGGCGCAGTGGCTCACACCTGTAATCCCAGTACTTTGGGAGGCCAAAGCGGGTGGATCACCTGAGGTCAGGAGTTGGAGAGCAGCCTGGCCAACGTGATGAAAACCTGTCTCTACTAAAAATACAAAAATTAGCCGGGCGTGGTGGTGGGCGCCTGTAATCCCAGCTACTCGGGAGGCTTAGGCAGGAGAATCACTTGAACCCAGGTGGCGTAGGTTGCAGTGAGCCAAGTTTGCGCCACTGCCCTCCAGCCTGGGCAACAACAGTGAAACTCCATCAAAAAAAAAAAAAAAAAATTAAAGAAAGTGACAACATGTAGAACTTTTAATATTGCTGCCAAATAGATTAAAATTTTACAACCATAACAAATAATATAATGAATAGAAACTGTGCAGAAGGGAGAAGAGAAAATGAGGAAATGCTGAGTTGAAAATTAAGAACATGAAATTTCATTAGCATGGCATGTTAATAATATATGCTGCAGAGCTAAGTAGTGTGCTAAGATTGCATCTTTTTTTCTGAAATATTTAAAGGCCATGACCCCAATGCAAAGGACATGCAATGTTCCTATCTTCCAGGTCAAATAATTTCTCTTAGATTTTTTAATTGCTCTAAGTTATACCACATTTTAGTTTGCTTTATATTTGAACTCTTTGATAATGTTTTTATGACTTTTTTCCTCTGGGTGTTTGTTATTGTCTCTTTGTTCTTGTTAAATGATAAAAAGACATATATGCAAACATTTTTTTCAACATGCAACTAATATCATTTAGCTTCCTGTTTATTTCTGGAGTTGATTCCATTCTTTCTTCTGAAAGCACTGTCTTGTTCTAATTTTGATGAATTGTTTCATAGACTTGCTGTATACTTATCACCCTAGGATTTTCTTATCACTTCTTGACTCACATATTTCTTAGCTTCTTGATTTGCTGGAGTATAGCCATAAATTACTTCTTAAAACTAGGCACTAGGGAAATAAATTTTCTGAGTTCTTACATGTCTGAAAATGTCTATTTTGTCCTTAGAGTTTGTCTGGTTTCAGCATCATTTTTATTAGCAATCCAGAGAATTTTAATGAAGGAAAAGAGGGCCCATGTGCTTTGTGAAAAGTAGAAGTTAACTCACAAATATAACGGATTAAAATCGAAGAGCCACATGTTACGAAGCAAAATGATTATAAAAATCAGTTGAACAACTTCACTTTACAGAGGAGAAGACTGTGATTTAAAAAGATTAAAACATTTCCCAAGACTACTCAGCCAGCTAGTGATCGGGGGACTTTACCAAAGCCCAGGGACTCCTCATCTGCAACTTGTATCATAATGCCATTTTCAAATGCTTTGCAAAGCCCAGGGACTCCTCATCTGCAACTTGTATCATAATGCCATGTTCAAATGCTTTGGATTCCACCCAAAGGCACTATTAAGATAAATGAAAGAGATATTTCTGGTAAAAGAGAATACACTGAGCCAGAGGAGACCTGAATTCCAATCCCAGCTCTGCTTCTGAGAAGCTGGACGTGTTTCTTCCTTTGCTTGGACCCAAATTGCCTTATGTGCACAATAAGAATGTAAGATTAATTGTCTCAGGAACCCTCCCTTCTCTCAAGTGGTGGAATTCTTTGAAGGGGATCTTTTAATAGACAACTCACTATAAAGAAGGGAAAAGCTTCAAAATTATCTATATTCAAGGACCTCACATTGGAAATCTCCACTAATACCACCCCTCAAAGTGTATTGTTTGGATGATATTTTTCATAGCATTCATAATTGGTTGGTATTACAAAATGCAAAATTAAAAAATAATATATCCACAGTCTGCAAGGGTTAAAGCCCACAGCCCTTGTAGACTGCAATCTCCTTGAGAATTGTTTTGTGTGTGCTCATTTTCAGAGATCACCAGAGTCAGCCCCATGTTGCTAGTTCGTTGATTCTATAGGCGATCACTTCAAAGGCTTAAAAATAATGAGCTCAGTTACATACAGATGGAAAGGACCAGAATTTACACGGAACACAGATGCTTAATAACTGTTACATGTTACAACTACATTGAGGATATGATAATGATAGGAGGAAAGGAGTTTCCCCTTCTCTGATCAGTCTAATTAGATAGCGGGGTTTCTTTTCTGCTTGGCATTTTCTGAATCAGTTTGGACAGACCTACACTGCTATTACAAACTGGGTGACCTTGGTCTTGAAACATTCTTTTTCTTTCTGAGCTTTGGTTTCCTCATCTGGAATATAGAAAACAATAACACCAACCAAATGAAGTTGTTGTGGACATGAAATGAAATATTAGCTGGAAAAATACTGAGAACAATGCTGAGCTCATAGTAAATGTCTGATAAATTGTAGCTGTGGAAATATGCTGGAGATGACTACATTGTTGAAAGCCTTATGATATTTCTAGAGCACTGTTCTTTATGCTGTGGAAGCGGACGGGTGAAAGAAGAGGAGCCTGAATGCTTTTGTCTTGGATGTCTTAGTCAGTTTACCTATTCTTTTTATTCTGACTATGAAATCCTAACCTACAGTTTGCCTCAGTCCTTTCTTTCCCCTCTATCTTGTAAAAATGCCTTCAAAATGAAAGATGTATAGATTTTGACAGTAATAAATAAGGTACAATCCTGAAAACTTACATTGAGAGAAAATGTGGAATAAATATAACCAAAAGTTTGAAATGAAAATAGAAGAAAAAAACGTCAGCTTGTCCTAAACCTAGTTTCATATTATGTCAGTCTGTGGACTTCATTGCTTTAAAAAGAAACCACTGTGCTGTCTCTTTCAAAATGCAGGGACACACATCCCATATTGACTATTTAGTTTTCAAGTCTCTGAATAGCTTTCTTATTCTAAATTTGCCTGTTTTAAAACTATCTTCATTCTTCTGAGAATCATCAGATTTCTAAACTCAGATGGCCTAGAGCCAAACTTTTGAAGATTGTTTTATAACATTAAAGCCTCTGACAATATTCAAGTTGTAGTGATATTCTGTAGGTACTCCAGATATCCCATAGGGCTCAGTTTCAGTTCCTGTCTTGTCACAGTACTGGAAACCTATCTTTACATTTCCTCTATCCATAACTTTTCATCTCAGCTCTGGAATTGCATTTGGCCCATCTCATCTGAATTTAGTTTCCTTGTACTTCCACAGAAAGAAAAATGCCTCCTTAGCGCCAAGCTGAAGTTTTAAATGAGGACTATAATATATTTACATGGACTAAGGCCTTTCCATTGTCACTGATGATGGGTATGAAATACAGGCTCTTATGGCAGTTTTCAATTACCTGTACAGAAAAATCAATGGCAGCAGCTTGTGCTGGCTCAGTGAGCTGTTGGCTGACTGTAGGGAGAGGTTTCAGCTGTTCTGTCTGCCAATGACAACATCATTCCTCCAACAGAGGCCATTAAGAGTGAGATTCTCAACTCCTTTGGCAGTTGCCCCTGTTAAAAATACACACTTAATCGCCAAATGTGAAATGATTATTTAGGATGTCAAGAGAATGCTTATACTGAAAGAATGAAATCTTCTAACCATAAACCAAACTCAACTCATATCTTTCATTCTATTTATCTTGTATAAAAAGAAGTAGGGAGTTAAGGTTGAATGGACAATACTAAATTTCATCAGAGTGTTCCACAGTAGTGCTAGTCATTTGATTTAAGAAGTCCACTCAAGAAAAATTGATTTCTCAGAGATTTATTAGCTCTGTTGTAATTTTTATTTTCAAAGGACTAAACAGGCTGTAGTTGCCTGGGTCATAAGCTGGTTTAGTGTACTCAGTGATATAAATTGTTTGAACTAGAAACCCCAAACAGGTGTCTCTGGTTGACTCTTATTTTATGCCTCCAGTGAATTCTGCCCCTTGATATTAATGTCCTGTATAGTCCCCTCACACTGACTTTGGTTTGTCCCTTTTGCTTGTCACTGGGGCCTGTCCTTTGGGTATGTGCCTTCTTATAACCCAGCACCATGATGAGAAAGCCCAAGCTAGCCACAAGGGGAGTCATGCAGGAAAAGATGCCCAGCCAGCCTGCATCTGTTTCAGCCATTCTAGTGATGGCATCTTCAGATAGGTGGTTGAAGAAGCCATCTTGAATATCCCAGTCCTAGCATGTAGCAGAGTAGAACTGCCCTGACAAGCCCTGTCCGAACTGCAGAATCATGAACAAATAAATACCGAATTATAAAGCCACCAAGTTTTCGGTGATTTATAATAGCAATAGATAATTGAATGAGATTCTCAATGTCTGAAAAGAGACAGCCCAATAGACTTGACTACTTGTGATCCCTTCGTTTATGTTAGTCAGACAATTTATTCTGCATTGCGAAAGTTCCCATTTTGAAAATTAAAAGACCAAAAACAAACAAAAGAGAAAAACTAGAGTCCAGAAAAGTTAAGCTAGAAATAGAATTTAAGTCTAATCATTCCTGCCAGTATCTGCTTTATTTTGACTCTAGCGGTCTCTAACACTTTCATGGAAGTAGATCATGATGAACAACATCTGGAACATAGTAAATGCTAAGTTAGTATGAATTAATTTATTATCATTATTGTACTTTTTCTTCTAATGTTCATCTAAAGCCATCAGATCCATGATTATATCCACATCAGAGCATATAGTATATGCTGATAATAAGGTCTTTGAGAGGAAAAGGGTGAGGGGAAGGACTGAAAATATATCAGTAGGATAATGGCTCCATCTACTTTCTCTCCTCATCGAAGCAACAACTGTATCAGTAGCTTCTCCCTAAAACAGAGTATTTCATCTGAATATTCTCTGATTCAAGGGTTCTGCTTCAAGTCTTGATGATGACTTAGGGAGCTGCAGTCTCATTTTTTTCAGAGCACTTAGATTCCAGCTTATGTTTTTTCTTCTCCCTTTATCTTTCTCTCTCCTCTACCCTCCTTTCTTCCCTGTTTATCTTCCTTCCTTCCTCACTCCTTCATTCTGTTTTGATAGAAAATCAATCACTTAATGACTTGAAGGAGTTTCAGGCTCCTAATGGAGAGCTACTTTAGACTCTTGGGAAGGAGGGACCACAGGGGTTATTTGTGAGTTTCTAAATCCCAGGTATGTCAGCCTGAAAAACCTCTAACTGTGGGGGGTCAAAAAAATCACAAATTTGAGGTTAAAGTACTAAAAGTTATTTTATATTCTATGTCCTTTCTTGTGATATAGCTTTAAGGTTAAAAAAACAGTTTATGACATATTTTATCAAATTTACTATTAACGTAGCTAACCAGTAATATTCTAGTTACTGAAGTCATCATTATCCAAATCCCTGTAGTTGAAAAGATGCATAAAATCAAGAATCAAAAGTTGCCATGACCTAGCACCATTCACTTTTGAGCATATGGCTAATAAAATTAGTTTCCTTTCAAAGAGCCTTCTATTCCTGGCACAAATACCCATCCTCAACCAATCAAGATCTTATTGATCAGTCTCTAGCTAATTTTTTGAATGCTCTAATGCCCTAACAACCCAATATAATACAAGAAAAGTCAGCTATAGAGACAAATCATGGACTTTTAAAAAGATAGAGGACAATGATGGGTAGTCTCTGGATATGAGAATAATCTGAATAGCAAAGAATTGAGGAAATTTTGAAAAATTAATGAGTTATATATAATTAGAAATATAACCATGCTGCAGAATTAAAATGTGAAATGGGGCATAATGTCTCATATAATTTTGTTGGATAAACAGAAATGCAAATGTAAAAAATAATGCTTGATTTATTCTTTGTGTTAATAATCAATGTTTATTTGTAGTTAAAATCTAAATTTGATAAATAATATAAAATATTTTAGTTTTGTTCCTCAATATAGAAATGCTCAACTTACAATGAAATTTTGGCCCCTTATATATGCAGATATTTTATAGGTTCCAATTATTCTCAGATAATGACACCGTCCTGTTTATACTAATGGTATGACATTTAAAATTCAACTTGCGATACAAAGAACAGAAAAAGATGACCACTTATTGAGTGTCTTTTATATTTTGTGATGTGCACTAACTATATATTACACGTATTTTCTCATTATTAATCTTCACAGTGACCTTCCATGGTAAGAAGCTATCAAAAACTCCACTCTATAGATGAAGACACCAAGACTTAAAATTTAAGTAGCTTGTATAAAGTCAAATAGTTATGGTGTGAAAGAGAAGGAATTATGTTTGTAAGTTGTTTATTAATGGTGTTCAAGAAGGACCAAGTAAATAACCCACCACCTTACTGCTCAATTTCTCTGCCAGTTGAGAAATTAAAAATGAATGAATGAATAAATGAATAAAAATAAAACAAGACAAAGCAAATAAGAACCCAAAATATTACCTTTATTACTGATAAATCTTATGTTGGAAATTGTGGTGTCTATTGTGGAGACTTCTAGAATGATGCAGTCCACAGGTTGACATTACATGTGGTTCACTAAATCTCCTCAATTGATATGATTTGGCTGTGTCTCCATCCTAATCTCACCTTGGATTGTAGTTCTCATAATCCCCACATGTCGTGGGAGGGACCTGGTGTGAGGTAAGAGAATCATGGGGGCAGTTACCCCAATGCTTTTCTTGTGATAGTGAGTGAGTTCTCATGAGATCTGATGGTTTTAAAAGGGGCTTTTCCCCTTTTGCTCAGCAGGTCTCCTTCCTGCCACCTAGTGAAGAAGTTGCCTTTCTTCCCTTTGCCTTCCAGCATGATTGTAAAGCTTCCTGAGGCCTCCCCAGCCATGCTGAACTGTGAGTCAATTAAACCTCATTATAAATTATCCAGTCTCAAGTATGTCTTTATTAACAGCATGAGAAATGACTAATACACCAACCTTGAAGTCCAAAAGAAATGTGAATTAGTACAATTGGGGTTTTAAAAATTCATCAACAAGAGCTATAGCATTGGCTGTTCAGGAAAAATGAAGCTTTTAAAACATACATCCCATCTTTAATAACATTTCATCACACACAGCTCACGTGCCATTATCAGAGATAAAACATGTGGCTGAATGAGACATTGATATGACTTATTGGGAATACATCTTGTGCTCTTAGTAAGTTCCTCTTCTAAACATTATGATGAAAAAGTGCTTGAAATAGTATATTTCTCACCTACTAATTTTACCTTATTGAGCCAAAGAAATAAAAACGTTGTTATCTAAAACAGTGATCCCTAACTGCTTGGGCACCAGAGACTGGTGCCGTGGAGAACAATTTTTCCATGGACTGGCAAGCTGCAGGGGATGGTTTTGGGATAAAACTGCTCCACCTCAGATCATCAGGCATTAGATTCTCATAAGGAGTGCACAACCTAGATCCCTTGCATGTGCAGCTCAAAAAAGGGTTTGCATTCCTATGAGAATGGAATGCCACCACTGATCTTACAGGAGGCAGAGCTCAGGCAGTAATCTCGCTAGCTGCTCACCTCCTGCTCTGCGGCCTGATTCCTAACAGGCCATGGACCAGTACCCGGGCCATCTATGGCCCAGGGCTTGGGGATCCCTGATCAGAATACATAGTCAAGTTCAGTGTACATGAATTAGTGATCAATAGATCTTGAGAAGAAATTCTGAATTTATATGGGAACATCAACCCAAAAACTCTAAAGGAAGAGACTGCAATAGAAAATAAAATGGAAAGAATAGGACTGTTTTAAGAATGTCAGCACAGGCAGAAGCAATGAAGTGATCTGATGAAAATGAATAGTAAAATAACAACTTTTCCATCACGGCAGCTTTTTATTAAAAAATGAAATTGCTGAAACTCAATACAGAGGAAGTACTGAAATTCAGCGTTAAGTAAAAAAACCAAAAAAGGAAAGTTGGTACCAAAGACTGTTTGGTTTTTTGGGAAGAGATCATCATGTAATTACAATTTGTTCGTCCTATTAAAGGCAGGAAAATCTGTATGTGCCATGCAATCACTGTAGCAGATGTGTTCGTTGGCTGCCCCAAAGCCTTGGCTTCTCCAGCCCCATTTCATTTGCCTGGCTTTCATTACAGAGACTGAAAAAATTTCTCTCTTTAGTTTATTCAACTTTCCTTCCGGGTCAGGTCACATATGGAAAGAGGGTCTCCTAGGAGCTTTTGGGAGGATTTCTCCTTTTTTCCATTAGAAAGAGGTACCCAAGAAGGAGCACTCTTAATACTGTCTCCTGAGATGCAGCCATCATGAAACCATAAGGAACAGAACAGCAAGGAACCGACACCAAATAGGCTGGGAAATCTTTGAGACACTGAACCAATGCCGCGACCACTTATTTCCAAAGTCTTGCTATATGAGGCACCATTGTTAACTAGGTTTTTCTTTGATTTGAAGCTGAAAGCATTTCTAACTATTTCTAAAAGTGGAGGTCACATTTTAAAATGAAACTTATCATCTGAATTCCTTCATGACTTTTTTCTGTTTCAAAAGGCAAATAAACACGATGATTTATTTCCCACAGATCAAAATGTTATATGATGTGGCCAACATGTAATAAAAAAATTGGGAAGATAACTAAAAAGAACTGGAGTACATTCTGGGTCTATTGGGCTCAAACTCCAGCTTGACTGCTTCTGGCTGTTTGACCTCAACTGAAAGTTAGTAATAATCAGAGTCATTTACATCATAGGATTATTGTGAGAATTACATGTGATATTTTTAAATTGCTAACCCCCATGCCTGGGAGATTACGATGATTGTACCCTGTTGTTATTATATACCTTGAATTAATTGCAAAATAAATGTTCAATTTTTATAGTCATTTTCTTTATATCAAATAGTATTTTTTTCCAGTTTTCTAGGAAGCCTTTATTTGCTTCTTAAATGTACTAATTTTCTCTTTCTTGACAAAACTCCCATTAGTGCCACATTTTTTTCTGAGTAGTTTTCAAATGCTTTAGAAGCAATCATTGCAGTCTTTTTACCTCTCTCTCACTCACCTACTTAGGATGAGACCAAATTAGTATAAGGGAAGTGGAGAGAAGGGTCCATGATGGGGGTATAAATTAGCTGGAGGCAGGTATCCAGCCCTACGTATGTGAAAACAATTCCAGAGAAATTTCAGGTAGCTAGGTAGGGGAGATTTCAGTGGGGGTGTGAAAATGGAACAGAAGTTAGGGCACCATTGATCTTCTCACACATATAAACACAGGGCCAAAACAAAACAAAACAAAAAACAGCACTGAAAAGAAACTGACAGAAGTATGTAAAACAAATAACAGTAACTTCCCCTCTCCACAAAAAAAAAACAAAAAAACAAAAAAACAGATTTTTGAGAAACTGAGATTGCTGGCCTTCGGCAATAGAAAAAATCTGCTTGCATGCTAACTAAATATTCATTAGGAAGATTATTAAAATGGTTTAGAGAAGGGCATGTACAGTGTGAGTGGTAAGAGTGGAGAGTGACTGGGGTGGGAACAAGGATTAGTTAAGCTATCAACTTCATCACTTAAGTAAAGAAGATTTTTTGGTTAACAAAGACATGGCTTCCCTTTTCTCTAGTACACTTTGATGTAAGAGACCACCAAAATTTGGTTACTTCTCAGAGTGGGGGAGAAATTAAAGAATTAGCCATTAGCAAAGTTTCTCTTTTTCACTTTGGATATAGAATAGACACATCAAAAGACACCCCATTTAATATGGCAAACTCTAGTTTGGAAAGATTTTTATTATGGAGTTTGGAGCTTCTAGTATAAATTAATTTAGAGAGGCATTATAAATGGGCTGATTAAATAAATTGGTTCATAGTTTTGGATTATTCATTGAAAACACACATAAAAGTTGAATATAAAATTGTCAATATGTGTCATGGTATATACTTCTAAATTTTTCTTAAATACTACATTCTCAACTTGGATCTCACGCAAACATCTGAACTCAACATTTCTAAAAGTAGACTCATTTCTAATATTTCAATTCTGTTTCCTGGCTCAAAGGTTGGCACCATCAATCACAAAGCTGGAGTCATAGGGGGTTATTCTTGATAATTTTGCTCTTTCAGCACTCATAGACAATCATTCACTGTTTCTTATCAGTTGTTTTCTCTCTCCTCTGTTGTCCCTCTGTCAACATTTCTGGTTTACTTATTTAGATCCCCATCATTTCCCACCTGGATTATTTCAACTGGCACCCATGAGATAGGAGGCTGGTGGGACTTGTTTCCTGGTCATGACCCCACTGATGGAAGCAAGATCTGGTCAAAACAGATACAGTAAAGAAGTTGAGGCCGGGTGCAGTGGCTCACACCTGTAATCCCAGCACTTTGGGAGGCTGAGGTGGGTGGATCACTTGAGGTCAGGCGTTTGAGACCAGCCTGGCCAATATGGTGAAATCCCATCTCTACTAAAAGTGCAAAAATTAGTCAGGTGTGGTGGCATGCACCTGTATTCCCAGCTACTCAGGAGGATGAGGCAGGAGAATTGCTTGAACCTGGGAGGAAGCAGTTGCAGTGAGCCAAGATCGCGACATTGCACTCCAGCCTGGGCAACAGAATGAGACTCTGTTTAAAAAAAAACAGAAGTCAGCCCACACCAGCAGATGGCAGTGACCTGTAGTTGCCCTCGCTGCTCATTAGGATAAAGACATTCCCATTGGTACCATGACAGTTTGCTAATGCCATGGCAATGGGCCATGGCAATGGCCTGGAAGTTACCTTATATGGTTCTGGAAACGCCCTGTCCCTTTTCCAGAAAGTTGTGAATAACCTGCCTCTTAATTAACGTATGATTAAAAGTGGGTATAAATATAGCGGCCAACAACCCATACACTGACAATGCAGGCCACACTCCCTATGGGTTAGCTTTGCTCCACAAGAAGCAGTACCAGTACAATAAGAGTTGCTTTCTCTCACCACTGGCTAGCCCTTGAATTCTTTCCTCAGTGAAGCCAAGAACCCTTCCAGGCTAAGCCCCATTGCCTGCCCTGCATCATCATGGTGACAATGAAGGGATGAGACAAGATGGCAAGGTGGCAAGACAGCTATTGGTGATTGGTGAGATGGTGAGACAGCGATCAGCAGCTGGCAATAAGGAAGGAGACAAGACGGTAAGACCAGTGATCTGTGAGGCAATGAGTAGCGAGCAACAGACGATGAGATAGCGAGTGGCTGGCAAAAGATGGCAAGGCAGATGATCGAAGCTGCAGAGCTCTAACACAGAAGCTGTAGATGCAGAGCTGTAATGTTAACCAAAGGCTTCTCTCAGAGCCATTGTCTTCCCTGGCAGGTGGTGGCAGCAGAGCAGAGTGAACAGGCAAGTGGTCACAGTGCTGCCTCATATCATACTCAACACTCTGGCCAGCTGATCACAGGACCATGCCCCGATCCCCTCACAGCAGCCAAGCCTGTCCAAGCCAAGGAAACCTGAGGAGGAGACTTTCACCTGAGCTCCACACTGGAGACTGCTTAGAGCCATTTTGGCTCATGTGGATTAGTGAGTGACCCCTCTGCCCCTCCTTCAATATTGGGTGAGCAGGAAATAAGGCCTTTGACTAGGTAATCAATTTGAAGTCACCTGCCATTTGGGGGCCCTGGACAGAAGGACAACTAATCAGCTATGACAATTGGTCATTTCTCCTCTAATGCCATTTTACTTTTTTATCAGCTATTTTATTTTCCACCCTGAAATATATGTTTTGTTTCCAGTTTTTGGTGTGGCTCCCTGCTCCTGTGTTTGGACAGTTGTTTAAGACAGGATACTTGATTGTGAGAATGTTCACTCTAGGATTGTGGGTTAGAGGCCCACTTCAGGATTGTGGGTTAAAGGCCTACCTTCACTGTTGGCCACCTTGTACATGCTCTGGAGTTTTTGGCATTTTGAGTTGGAGACCTACTTGAGGGAGGCATTGTGGGTTTGAGGATACCCACTCTAGGATAATTTTTATTCTTGCTTTTTTCTGTTTACTGCCCTAAAATCCAAAATGCTTAATCCTGCCACTGCATTTTCCCTTTTCCTTCTATGTTTTGGTTAATGAAAATACTTCTTTTGCCATATTTCATGGAGAACACAGTAGTATCCTACTTCCCAATCATATTTCATAATCCACTTTCTTAATGCTTTGTTATCTATATTTACACCTTCTCTGCAGGAAGTGGGAATCTGAAATGAAAAATGATGAGAGCTCATTTATTTTTCCTCTTATTAGACTTAAAAAACTTCTGTGTCTAGTAGAGATGCTTGTCAGACCAAGAAACAACAGTGAACATCCTGAAGGACCCACCACTAGGGTGCCTTATAGACAACTGGAGCAAATTTAAATTAGAAGGTGATATGGTTTGCTCTTTGTCCCCACCAAAATTTCACCTTGAATTATAATAATCCCCATGTGTCAAGGGCGAGACCAGGTGGAGATAATTGAATCATGGGGGTGGTTTCCCACATACTGTTCTCAAGATAGTGAGTGAGTTCTCATAAGATCTGATGGTTTTATAAGGGGTTTCCCCTTTTGCTTAGCTTTCATTCCTCTCTTGCCTGCCACCATGTAAGATGTGCCTTCACTCCTCCTTTACCTTCCACCATGATTGTGAGGCCTCCCCAGCCATGTGGAACTGTGAGTCCTTTAAACCTCCTTTTCTTTATAAATTACTCAGTCTTAGATATGTCTTCATTAGCAGCCTGAAAACAGACTAATGCACCACTCATATCTCATCTTGAATTGTAGTTCCCATAATCCCCACATGTCGTGGAAGGGACCTGGTGGGAAGTAATTGAATCATGGGGGTGGTTACCTCCATGCTGTTCTCATGATAGTGAGAGAGTTCTCACGAGATCCGATGATTTTATAAGGGGCTTTTCCCCTTCTGTTCAACACTTCTCCTTCCTGCCATCATGTGAAGAAGGACGTGTTTCCTTCTTTTTTTGCCGTGATTGTAAGTTTCCTGAGGCCTCCTTAGCCATGCGGAATTGTGAGTCAGTTAAAGCTCTTTCCTTTATAAATTACCCAGTCTCAGACATTTCTTTATAGCAACATGAGAATGGACCAATACAGAAGGATTAAAAGAAAACAAACTCATTTTCTACTGTGACACCATTTGGGTTCAATGAACATTGGGAAACCAAGAAATTAGATCCAAAAATGGCTCTTTATGTCATAACACTATTTTACAATTGGACTTATTATATAAAAAGGAAGGAAAATGGGGAGGGATCCCTTATGTAATGGCTTCTATGGCCCTTTACCAGACAACTGTAGGATGTGTTTGGCTCATGTTACTTTCAGACAGCAAGAAGCTGCACCTAGGTGACCCCTCCTAGTTATTCCCCCTAGATGTCCCATGCTCCCCTGGAGCCTCCTCAGTCTCCCAATTCTAAGGGGAGGCCCACCAGTTCTCTAGTGCAGGATTCCACCACAAGGTCATCAGGCACCTCTCCCCCTTATCCAACTAGCCCCAGCCTATACCTCTCACTGCCCAAGGAAGTAAGCCCTACCAGTACCACCAGGAGGGTACCCCTATATCAGCCCCTAAAATCAAACCTGTGTCCATTGTGGGAGGTAGCTGATAGAGATGGGAGGGACAGTCAATCACAGTACATGTGTCTTTTTCTATGTGTGATTTGGCTTTATGCAAGGAGAAATTTGGCCAGTTTTTGGAGGATCCAGGGAAGTTCATTGAGGAGTTTGTTGAGTTGACTATGTCTTCTGACTTAATTTCACATGATTTGCAAAAATTATTGTGCACCTGCTATACCACAGATAAGAAACAGATGGATCTGAGTACTGTCCAAAAATATGCAGATGGAGTGGCCACACATAACCTAGACCATGCTAGTTATCATGTGGAAGGAGATACAGTTCCAGATATGGACCCTCAGTGGAATTACCAGAGGGCTTCCCAAGATCTCAAATGCAAAAATCACATGGTAACTTGCTTAATAAAAGATATGAAAAAGCATGTAGTTAAGCCAGTTAATCATGACAAGATTAAAGAAGTAACTCAGAGAAAGGCTAAAATTCCTGCTATATTTCAAGGCCATTTGGTTGAGGCATTCAGGAAATATACAGAAACAGACTCCCAAGAATGGCAAACTCTCCTGTGTATGCATTTTATACTCAATCTGCCTCTGACATTAGGAAGAAGACATAAAAGGCAGAAATGGGACCTCAAATTCCTATGAGCCAACTCTTAAACATGGGCATTAGAATTTACAATAAGAACAGAGCAGAGGAAGAGGAGAAAATCAAAAGAAATAGCCAAAAGCACAATTGTTAGTGACTGTTTTAGGCCCCCAGACAGCTCAGGATTACTCAGTCCAAGTAAGTGTCCCAAGATAGATGTCTAGAATGTTCAGATAAGAACCCCTAATCCATAAGCCCTTGAGCCAGAATCAATATATCTTCTGTAAACACGAGGGCCATTGGAAAAGGGACTGCCCCAGTTTCCAAAGGGAGCCTTGGTTACCCAAACCCATCATTTGCAGAGGATTTAAACAGCCCAATATCCCCCATGACTCCCATTAGACACCTTACCATCTCTACAGAGGAACCCTGGGCAACCCTTAGTGTGGCAGGTAAAAATACTAAGTTACAATGTGCTCTTTTTGTGAAAGACTGTTTTTGCCCAACTTAAAAGTACTTAAAGGTTAATTAAAATTATGGACATGAGAAGGTGACTTATGAAATAAGGTAGAAATTAACTAGTAAGTAGGCGAGAGAGATATATGAAGAAAGATAAGGATATGAAGGTGTATTTTTGGTAAAGGATGATATAAATGTAAAAGAATGTTGTATGAGAAAGGATCTTGTAAGATAAATTATTGTCCTACAGTAAAGTGACTGGTTATTTATAAAAGAGGTGGTATAGGACTAGTCAGAAAGTTCAAGCATGTTGTAGATGGTCTGTGTAAGTCATGATGAGGTTCATGATGGGGGATTTATGAAGGAATTTTGTGTATGATTAAGTTGGCTGTCATTCAAAGGCAATTGTTTAAAATAATCTTTCTAGAAGATGGTCTGCTATGTTAAAATAAGGTTTTCTTAAGGTATAGATTTGCTGTTAATAAAATTTCAAGAAATTTTGCTTTTCAATACTACAACCTATTCTTTTTTTACATTTCTCAGATTCATATCTCAGAAATTCAACTGTCGTGTCTCACTATTTTTAGCATTTTTTTCCTTTTGTGAAGGCCTAAAACAACTGTCTTCAGCTTTTTCATCAGTCTTTCTAATTTATTCTTCTCCAGTTCTAATGGTTGTTATGTCCTGATGCTAAAATATTTTGTCTTGGAGGTCTATAAAAGCAAAGTTTTCCTCCAGTATAACTTGATTCTATACTCTTGTTTTTTCATAATGTGTAACTTTAGTTTTGGCTGTTGGTTTTTTACTTATATTGCTTAAAGCCGTTTTAAGGGTAAATTAGTGCCTGCCTGCCTCCATTCCTGTCTGGCCTAAAACATTTAATTGGCTATAAGAAACCTGAAAAATTAATTCAGGCTATGGCAAGAAACAGGGTTGGACATTCCTAACTATGCCTTCCATTGGAATTTAGGCCAAGTTCAAAAGGCCTTCCAAGAGTATGGAAATTGAGTTGCCCTTTACCACAAAGGAAAAGATTAGCTCCCCTGCTCAACCAGGAGATCTAGTCCCAATAAAAACCTGGAAAGAAGGATTTCCTGAGGATCAATTACAACTAAAATGGAATAGCCTATGTTAGGTATTGTTAAACATCCCTAATGCTGTTAAACTTCAGAGAATCACTAGCTAGGTACACCTGTTCAGGATTAATCCTGTTTCTTATGAGTCCCCCAAGTTCAAGAGAAGGACCATGACCTATATTAATAACTCTGAACAAATGGAGATTACCATTCAAAAAATGATGAACAAGCTACCTGGATACATAGATATAACCAGGGCACTGATCCCAACTATATCTGGTCAGCTATCAAAATGGCCTTTCCAAGTCTTACCTGGTTTTGACCTTTCCTAGGACCTTTGTTATCTGTTGTGTTGCTACTAATTTTTGGCCCTTGCTTGTTTAACCTCTTTGTAAAGTTGGTGTCTTCCAGCTTACAACAATTCCATGTAAAGACAAAGCTGGCAAAATGTTTCGAACCCATCCCATCTTCTGACCTGGAAAATGAAAACATTATGCTTTTGGACCCCTTAGATCAGGTATCCAGGAATTGTTGCTCCTCCAACCTAGGAGGGCCTTTGCCCATGAAATCAGCAAGAAGCATTTACAGAAGATGGACCTCTGTTCTTCTGAAACCTCCTAAAGATTAAGGAAGAGTGTGTAATTTCTAAGGGGAGGGATGAGATAGAAGGCTAGCAGGACTTGTTTTCTAGCCAATACCCTGCTGATTGAAGAAAATTCTGGTCAAAACAGATGCAGTGAAGAACCCAGCCAAAACCAGCAAATGGCAATGAAAGCAACCTCTAGTTGCCCCACTTGTCGATAGCATAAAGATACTCTTACAGGCACCATGACAGTTTACAAATGCCATGGCTGTGGACCATGGCAGTGGCCTGGAAGTTATCTTATATGGTTCTGGAAACTCTCTGTCCCTTTTCCAGAAAGTTCTGAATAACCTGCACCTTAATTGACATTTGTTTAAAAGTGGGGATACTATAGCCAATATCATACTGAATGGGCAAAAGCTGGAAGCATTCCCCTTTGAAACCGGCACAAGACAAGCATGCCCTCTCTCACCACTCCTGTTCAACATAGTATTGGAACTTCTGGCAGAGGCAATCAGACAAGAGAAAGAAAGAAAGGTATTCAAACAAGAAGAGAGCAAATCAAACTGTCTCTGCTTACAGATGACATGATCCTGTATCTAGAAAACTGCATTGTCTCAGCCCAAAAGCTCCTTAAGCTGATAAGTAACTTCAGCAAAGTAATCAATGTGCAAAAATCACATGCATTCCTATACACCAACAATTGATGAGCAGAGAGCCAAATCATGAATAAACTCCTAATCACAATTGCTACAAAAAGAAGAAAATACCTAGGAATACAGCTAACAAGGGATGTGAAGGACCTCTTCAAGAACTACAAACCACTGCTCAAAGAAGTAAGAGAGGACAAAAACAAATGGAAAAACATAACATGCCCATGGATAGGAAGAATTAATATCATGGAAATGGCCATATTGCCAAAGTAATTTATGGAATCAATACTATTCCCATTAAACTACCATTGTTATTCTTCACAGAATTAGAAAAATACTACTTTAAAATTAATATGGAACCAAAAAAGAGCCTGTATAGCCAAGACAATCCTAAGCAAAAAGAACAAAGCTGGGGGCATCACGCTACCTGACTTCAAACTATACTACAAGGCTTCAGTAACCAAAACAACATGGTACTGATACCAAAACAGACACATTGACCAATGGAACAGAATAGAGATCTCAGAAATAAGACCACACATCTACACCATCTGATCTTTGACAAACCTGACCAAAGCAAGCAATGGAGAAATGATTCCCTATTTAATAAATGATGCTGTGAAAACTGGCTAGCCATATGCAGAAAACTGAATTCCTTACACCTTATACAAAAATTAACTCAAGATGGATTAAAGACTTAAATGTAAAACCCCAAACGATAAAAACCCTAGAAGAAAATCTAGGCAATACCATTCAGTACATAGGCATGGGCAAAGATTTCATGACAAAAACATCAAAAACAATTGCAATGAAAGCAAATATTGAGAAATGGGATCTAAGTAAACTAAAGGGCTTCTGCACAGCAAAAGAAACTATCATCAGAGTCAACAAACAACCTATGGAATGGGAGAAAATTTTTGCAATCTATACATCTGACAAAGGTCTAATATCCAGAATCCACAAGAAACTTAAACAAATTTACAAGAAAAAACCCAAACAACCAAAGTGAGCAAAGGACATGAACAGATACTTCTCAAAAGAAGACGTTTATGTGGCCAACAAACATGAAAAAATCCTCAACATCACTGATCATTAGAGAAATGCAAATCAAAACCACAATGAGAAACCATCTCACACCAGTCATAATGGTGACATTAAAATGTCAAGAAATAAAACATGCTGGTGAGGCTGTGGAGAAATAGGAACACTTTTACACTGTTAGTGGGAATGAAAATTAGCTCAACCATTGCAGGAGACAGTGCGGTGTTTCCTCAAAGATCTAGAACCAGAAATACCATTCAACCCAGCAATCTTATTACTGGGTATATGCCCAAAGAAATATAAATCATTCAATTATAAAGATATGGAATCAACACAAATGGCCATCAATGATAGACTGAATAAAGAAAATATGGTACATATATACCATGTAATACTAGGCAGCCATAAAAAGGAATGAGATTATGTCCTTTGGAGAGACATAGATGGAGCTGAAAGCCATTATCCTCAGAAAACTAACACAGGAACAGAAAACCAAGCACCACATATTCTCACTTATAAGTGGGAACTGAACAATGAGAACACCTGGATGCAGGGAGGGAAACAACACACACTGGGGGCCTGTCCAGGTGGTGGGAGGAGGGGGAGCATCAAGATAAATAGCTAATGCATGTGGGGCTTAATACCTAGGTGATGGGTTGATAGGTGTGACAAACCACCATGGCACACACTTACCTATGTAACAAACCTGCATGTCCTGCACATGTATCCTGAAACAAATAAAATAAAATAAAATGAAATAATATAAAATAATAAAATAAAATAAAGTACAATAAAATAAAGTGGGTATAAATAGAGCCACCAATGGCCCACATGCTGTAGACTCTGGGCACACTGCCTATGTCCCTGCTCCACAAGGAGCAGCACTGGTTCAATAAGAGTGGCTTTCTCTCACCACTGGCTAGCCCCTGAGTTTTTTTCCTGGGTGAAGCCAAGAACCCTCTCAGGCTAAGCCCCAATTTTGGGGCTCACTTGCTCTGCTTCATCCAGGCTTCATCTTTTCCTTCTACTCTATCTACGCAATACAGCCAGAATGTGACATTTTACAAATGCAAATCTGATATATAGTATTCTCTGGCTTAAAGATATCAAAGCATTCCTATAAACATAAAATTAAGTCAACTTTCTTAATAATACTGGCAAGGTTGTCCATGCTTATCTTTTCAGATTCATCCCCTACAATCTCTTGCTATGCATGTTATATAATGAAAAAAATGGCATATCTATGAGGAGTTAGTTGTCTTGTTTCAGTTTTGATTACTTTTTCACACATATTCTAAGATAGTGCGTGTACATATATGCATATATATATATATATAGACTTCTTTCAGGTCATCCTTTCATTTTCTTATCTAGATTTCCACTGTAATCTCCATCTGTGTCAGTTGAAGATGTCAATCCATTCAATATAAACCAATTAGTCAGTAAGGTAATGTGAGCGCTAAGAATGTAGCTTCTTATAACAATTATTATTCATTTGCAGTTTGAAAAAAATGCAAAAATCTGAAAATTATATGCTAGAATATATTATGACAAGATTTAGACATGAGAACAGGTTGTAATTAAATGAGGTATTTACAATACTTTTAATTTTCAATATACTAAGCCTCACATTGCATACTGGATATGTACTATATTCACCTCAATTCTTGGAAAGCTTTTTTCAAACTATTCAGAATTAAAATAAACAAGTTGCAAATTGTGCATGCTCTGTTTTCAGGAGAAGAAAGCCTCAATACAAACTGAATGTGAATGGACACTGAAAGGTAACCACTCAGAAAGCAACTGATTGGGGCACTCAATTACCACTAAATAATTCAGCATCTCTAATGGAAATCAGATCCAATGTTTCCCCAGTGAAGGAACAGCCTTTCTTGGTTACCCAATACTCAGCTAGCTACTCAAGGGCTTTAGAGAAAAACAATAAAGTAAAAGGTAAGAAATATTTTAATGGTGTTCACATTCTCTTGGGTGCTTTCCTGGTAAGAAATTCCCAACTTCCTAGCAGCTGCTGCCATTATGGGGAGACATGGAGAGTGAGAGAAAGAAATCAATATTTAAATCTGAAACAGCCAGAAAGTTCAAGGAGGGGTGCCAGTATTAACTGGTTTGTGTATGTGTTTGGCCTTTCAAAAAAACCCAGTCTTAAGAGGAGAGAAGACATTTTAAGTAAACAACTCATTAGGAATCACACAGCAAGGTTTGGTTAGCTCATTACAAACACATTTAATTTAAGGAAGAATATTCATGTGAGACTTTTGTCTAGAAACTTCAATAATAGAATGAACTGTTGCATAAAGTAATGTGTTTTTTTCTCTCTCTCTCTCAAAACAGGAAGAGAATATTGATTTCCCTGTCTTGGCCACCAGCCCCACCTTGTCTCACTATAAGTACTGAGATGAATGAATTTATGTCTCTAAAAGCACTAAGCAATCTTCAAGAGAGTACTGTTTATAAATAAAAAAGCTTTATTATTATGGGGTAGAAATGTTAGTGAGAAAGTTGGAACTCTTATCAAAGGGTGTTGGTGCCCCGACATTTGCTGTCAGCTCTGAAAAGGTGGCTGCGAAACTCATTGTATCCAATTCTGGTTGGCTTGGGGCCCAGCATACAGTGGGATTTCTGGCCAATGGCCTCATACAGTGGGATGGCTGGCGCCTGGCCCAGGGATTAGAGTGCTTTCATTTCTTTGTCTCATTGATATTAGTCACAGAATCTCCCTTTTCATTTACAACCCAACACCCACCCCCACCCCGCGCCACCCCATGCAGGCTGGGGACAAGGGGGTGCAGAAGCAGAAGTTGCTGCAAACTCTGAGCTCTTGTACCCCAAGAGAAAGAAGAAAATGTCCATTTCCAACTCAGCTATCCAACATCTGTATGTATTTTGTTGTGCACATTTACCAGGAAGTTGATAGTATGTTATGTCCTTGAAAGGAGAAGTGCCCTAAAGATATAAGATACTGTAAGTTAACCTTGGATAAACAAGGTATTCGGTATCTTACGGCTTCTTTTTATTTCTCCCTCTCTCTTCCTTTCTCCTCTTTCACCCTCCCTAATGAACTAGTGACTATTTTGAAATTTCATCTCAAAGAACAATTTGGTGAACATAATTTGTGGGCACATTTTCTTCAATTCCTAGATATGTGTGTGTGTGTCTTTATGTGTGTGGGTGTGTGTGTGTACTCTTTGGAAAAAGCCATATATATCATTTGTTGATAACTTTCCTTCATGTCTTTCCTTTACATGTGCGTGTGTAATTGTGTATTTGTGTGCATGTATGTGGCGTATGCTTTGCAAAACCCATCAGTGATAATATGCCCTAGAGCCACATTCTGCTTGAGTCTTAGAAAATGCTCTGCTGAGTTCCATAGGATAAACTTTGGTCTTGAATAATAATAATCATGTCTGAGATATTTATGCTCAGAAACTGAAAGTAATTTCCAAAATAAAACGAAGAACATGAATTCCTAAATAGCAACTGATCTAAAAATAAACCACAGAGCTCCAATACATCACAACACAGTGACCAAGCTTTCATCTCTTTGCCTAATTCCCTTAAAAATCAATTTATATAAAAATAGAAATATTAATGCTTTAAATAAGGTCTAAATTGAATATAGGTAGATAACCTTGCTCCTTTTCATTATATTACAGAATTGCCATTAGTGAGAAATCAGCTAATTCCAGGTACAAAATACTCCCATTTTCTGGAACCAGCTGAGAGGTAGCGGGAAAGAGGGAGAGAAGAACCCTTAGATCCTGCGTAAATGCCCTGATGAAAAGTTGTCACCCTCTTCATTAGAGGATTAAACTTCAGCTTCTTCAGCTATGTAGTAGGAATACTGATATCTAACCTTACAGGGCTCATGATGTGCATTAAATGATAAAATATATGTGAAAGACTGCAAAATTTACGTTATTCAGAGAAGGCAGTGTTGTTGTAGTACTTGAAGATGTCAATATTTAACGGGGTGTGTTCCTGCGACTGTATCTTTAAGGGCTTCTAAGTTCCTAAAATTGTAATAAAGTGTCTAGTTTCATACTCAGAACAGCAGGAATTTTAAATATTGCCAGTCTTGTCATATTTTAGAGATAAGAAAATGAAGGTCAAGAGCCATTAGTGATTTATCCAAAGTCAGAAAACAACTCAACAGCAGATCAAGGGAATCCTACTTCAGCTGATTTTTAACTCCAGATTCTTGTATCTGTATGCCTTTCAAAGGACAACTCACTGTTTGTTTTTTTAAATAAAGAGTGAGCTCTGAGAGAGGTAGTGCCATACTGGGCAGCTCAATGTGGCCAAGTAACCCTAGAAAGGCTTTATAGTTTAGGGAGAACTTGACTAAAGGGTAGCGTTTACGTACATGTAGCAGATCAGGAAAGCCCTTATAGGTATGGAAAATAGCAAGAACCTATGAGGCCTGAAAAAGCATGTTGTGTACCGAGGCCACTGGGGAGAGTTACCTGGCTATGAGAAATAATGCACTGGAGATTGTACAAAAAACATGTGCATTAGTAAAGGCCAAATTTTAGATAATGCCTTTCAAGTAAATTCTGCCTAACGATATAAATGTTTATATTTTTGAAAGAAAGACGGACAGGTTCTTAATAGATTTCTTTTCTTTTAGGCTGACTCCATGCTTTGTACATCTGCCAAATTAATCTTCCTAAATAGAACCTGCATTGTGTCAGTCTGTATTGGAACACTCCCAAGTCACTGCAATGTCCATAATAAAACAAAATTCAAGATCTGCCGCAAGGTAAACTTCACCCCATCTCATGTTTGCTTCTTGATCTGATCCGTTTGCTTCAGCCAAAATGTTCTATGAACCATTTCCAGAATTCCTCCTGGACTTCTGGGGCTTCCTAGTCTAGAATAATAGACATCTCTGACTCCACTCATCACGTTTTTTCTAAACTCATTTTTCAAAACCCAGTATAAACTCTTCCATTTCTATTGAGTCTTCTTTCATTTTCCCTAATCTTTACTTTGAAGCTTTTTCTTTTGGACCAAGAAAACAACCTGTCACTGTAAACTCATATGCATTTGTCACTAGAGCCATGTATGTACTCTCTTTGAGGACAGAGCACATGCTGTCCTGGATGAGCTAGTCCTGAAGCAGAATCTCAGAGGGCTGACTGGCCAGGCACTTAAACACTGCAGACATCCTTCCTGGTTGATACCAATTGAATATCTGTTAACAATAGGAGTTCAGAATCCACTTTGAGAAATGAACAAATAAAATCGATTTCTTAAAATGAAGAAACTACTTTTGAAAGTCTCTGGATTCAAATTTTCCCTAACAGAATGTATGTTTAAAGGATTTGTTACTTCACAACATACTTTTTTTTTTTTTTTTCTCACATGAATGAAGTTCCAACTTAATGCAGTATCTGGCCCAGAATTTAATGTGGTATTTTTAAAAATTCTTCTTAATTTGATAAGTGACAATACAGTATTTATTAATTACCAAGCAGCATTATAAACATGTTAAATGTTTAATTTTTAGCAAACTTATGGGACAAGGAATGTTATTATCCTTATTTTACAAATGTTAACCCAAGGCACAGAGGGGTTAAGTAACATACCAAAAGTCACACAGATAGTGTAAGTGAAAGGCCTAGGCTTTGAAATCAGCCAATCTGACTACACAGTCAATTTTATTTTATTTTATTTTTTAGTTTTTTAGAGACAGGGTCTTGCTATGTTGCCCAGGCTGGCCTTAAACACGCGGACTCAAGCAATCCTACCTCGGCATCCCCAGTGGCTGGGACTACAGTCTTGGGCCATAGTGTCCAGCTTATTTTATTTCTTAAATAAATTTTATTGAGATACAGTCAGGAATTTTAGTTATACATAATAAAATACACCCATTCTAAGTGTACAGTTTGATGACTTTTGACAAGTGTATATTCCATGTAGTCACCACATTAGTAGAATATTTGGTAGTTCTATCAATTTCTCTCCCCCTCCCCAGCTTACTGTCCCAGGCAACCACTGATCTATGTTTTGCCAGTGCAAACCATTAGGTTTGCTTTCTCTAGAAATTCATATAATGAAATCAACATATACAGTATATGCTCATAAGTCTCTGGCTTGTTTTTCTCTGTGCAGTGTTTTTGAAGTTAATCCGTATTTTTTCATTTATCAGTAGGTTACCCTTTTATTGATGAATAATATCTCATTGAATGGCTCTACTAAATTTTAATAATATATTCATCAATTGATGGATTTCTAATTTGGAACTATTATGAATAAAGATGCTATGGGCATCTATGTACAAACCTCTGTTTGGGACACATATTTCTCTAGAGCAAATACCTAAGAGTGAATAGTCTAATATCTCTAGGAAAATCTAATCATATGGTAGGTGCATGTTTAGTTTATAAGAAGCTGTCAAAGGGTTTTCCAAAGTGGCTGTACTATTTTACATTCCTACCAACACTTGGGATTTCCAGTCCTTTTAATTTTAGCTCTTTGAGTAGGTGTGTAGGTGGCAGCTCATTGAGGTTTTAGTTTGCTTTTCTTTGACAGGGCAAATGAAGGAATGCATTTCTCATATGCTTATTGGCATTTACATATTTTCTTTTGCAAAGTGTCTATTGAGATCTTTTGCCTATTTTTTGTTGGATTGATTGGTTTCTGATTATTGGGTTATCTTTGTCAGACATGTATTATGAGAATATTTGCATTCTCTGGATTGCCTTATTATGATTATTAATGAATTAATGTATTTTTTTTTGACACGAGGTTTTGCTTTGTCCCTCAGATTGGAGTGCAGTGGTGTGATCATAGCTCAGTACAGCTTCGAACTCCTTGGCTCAACTGACCCTTCCACCTCACCCTTCCTAGCAGCTTGGACTACAGGCATGTACCACAACACCCAGCTAATTTTTTCAGAAAATTATTTTTTTGTAGAGATGAGGTCTCACTGTGTTGCCCAGGCTGGTCTCCAATTCTCAGCCTCAAGCGATCTTCCCACCTTGGACTCCCAGAGTGCTGGGATTACAGGCATGAACCACTGTGCCTGGCCTATTATGTTTAATGATGGCTTTCAAAGAGCAAAATTTTAATTTATCAGTATTTTACTAACAGTTTGTACTTTTTACATGCTAGCTAAGAAATCTTTGCCTACCCCAAAATAACAAAGATTTTCTCTTATTATATTGTAGAAATGTTATAGCATTTGCTTTTATGTTTAGGCCTTTAATTCATTTTGAGTTAATTTTTTTCTATGATCTCAGAGTTTATGTCTTTCCATATTGATATCCAGTTCTTTCAGCATTATTTGCTGGACAACCTGTCCTTTCCCCATTGAAAAATGTTTGATTCTATTTGTGAACTGACCATTGTTTCCCGTTGTTCTATAAGTCTATCTTTATGCCAGTACTGTACAATAATCTTGATCATTGTAGGTTTATAGTGAGACCAAGTAGAGTCCTCTGGCTTTTTTATTTCAAAAATGGTTTGCCTAGTCTATGTCCTTTGCACTTCCATATAAATTTTGGTTTCAGGTTGTCAATTTCTATAAAGGCACTTATTGGAATTTGGCTTTAATGATATTTAATCTATAGATAAATATACAAAGAATGTATGTCATAACAATCTTAAATTTTCAAATTGCTGAACATGATGAATCTCTCTATTTAGGTGTTCTATAAGTTATCTCAGAAATGTTCTGTGGTTTTCAATGAATAAGGCTTGAAAATATTTTGCTAAAGTTATCCCTAAGTATTTCTTTCTGTCTTTCTTTTTTTTTTTTTTTTTGAGACACAGCCTCACTCTGTCACCAGGCTAGAGTGCAGTGGCACAATCTCGGCTCACTGAAACCTCCGCCTCCCAGGTTCAACCGATTCTCCTGCCTCAGCTTCCCGAATAGCTGGGACTATAAGCAGGTGCCACCACGCCCAGCTAATTTTTGTATTTTTAGTACAGACGGGGTTTCACCATGTTGGCCAGGATGGTCTCGATCTCTTGATCTCGTGATCCGCCCACCTTGGCCTCCCAAAGTGCTGGGATTACAGGCATAAGCCACCAAATATTTCATACTTTTGATAATTGTTCATCGTTAGAAATAGAAATAAAATTGATCTTTATAATATTAACTTGTATCCATGTAGAGTCATAAATTAGTTCTAGAAGATTTTCTGTGCATTTTTGATCAATGTCTATGTATATACTCAAGTTATCTGAAAATAAAGCCAACTGTGCCCCTCCTTCTCATTTTTTTTCTTTTTCTGGACTTATTTTATTGGCTAAGATTTCTCATGCAATATCGAATAAAAGTGGTAAGAGTGGCCATTCTTGGCTTTTTCTTGATTTTAGGTGGAAAGTATCCTTTAGCTTTCTGTGGATATCTCTTATCAGAACAAGAGTAGTCATTCATATTCTTAAGTTGATGAATTTTAAATTATGAATGGATGTTGAATTCTGTCAGATGCTTTTCGTATATATATTAATGTATTCTCTTTTCCCCCTGCTTAATCTGTAAATATGAATTTTATTTTTTACATGTAAAACCTAACTTGCTTTCCTGAAATAAATATCTAATATGATGCACAGTATTATACTTTTTATACATTAATTGCATTGATGCGATATTTGTTAAAGACTTTTGCATCTATGTTCATTTTATATTTTGCTCTGTATATTTTGTTTTCTTGTAATGTGTGATCAAACTTCTTTTGATATTTCAGATCTAATTTTCTGTGTAAGTCTGAGTGAGGTCATTGTCCAAGACCTGCTCTTTCAGAACCTTGATTTTAGAAGTTCTCTTTACAAGATTGAGGGTCTTAAGTCAAGCTGCTTAGATGCATAAGACACTGATAAAGTCAAAATTTATAACTTTTTAGGGAGAAATTGTAGCAGGCATTGTTTGCTTCCCAAATTCTGTTTGCCTCTTCCTCGTGCTGAAATAGTCTGTATGGCTATGTGACTAGAGAAGCTGACCTATTCTGCACTAGAATTTGGGTCTATTTTAAATCTTTAAAGCCAAATATGATTGGAGCTCCTTGAAACCATATTGAAGAGCATTGGGCTGCAAATTTGAAAATGCAGAGTCAAAAGATAGAAAGACTTCAGTTCTTGAAGACTTGGAAGCATTGACTTTATCAATTTGTGTTGTTTGTGAGATAAATTTCTAAAATTTCTAAGCCATTTTTATTTGCTTTATGTTTTTTAATAAAATATCATAATTATTATAAAATATATCTAAGATAGAAGTAAAATTTGTAATCTTGTCACAGCAGTAAAAAACAAAGTAAAAGATTTGTTTTTATCACCTTTCAAATATTTCAGAGAGGGGGAGAGAGATGTATTAATGGGGCTTCTAGAACGCTGTGAAAGTTTGATGAATTGTCCTTTTACATTCTAGGGATATTAAAGAACCTAGAGTGGTAATCAAGACTCTAAACATCCTGTCAAGTAGGCAATCCAAGAGACAAGCTGACAAATTTTTCATCAGGTTCCTTCACCTTTTTAAACTTCATGCTGATCACACTTCTCCTTGCATTTGCCACTGCAAAATCAGCAGCCTCATTTTCAAAATACCCTTAGGAGATGTTATAATTTCTGTGATTTCAAATCACCTTGCATAGTTATATTTTGGCCTGGTAACACTCATGCAAGGGGCATGTTCATTACACCTGGAGAGGCTGAGAACTGACATTAGCAAGCCAAAGTCACTGCTGACAGGAGCTTGTGTGGGCAGAGAAAGTGCTAAAGGGCAAGTTTGGAGTTAATTATTTTGCACAAGAAACAGGAAGAAGGGGAAGACTTTTGGGGAGTGGGTTAGTGCAGTAGCCTCCTACTGGGCTCTCTGCTTCCACCCTCATCCTCCTGTGCTCTATTCAGCATAGCAGAGAGGACGTTTTAAACCAGAGTCAGGTTTAGTCACTCTTCATGGCTTCCCACTTCATTCAGAGCAAAAATGAAATTCCTTACAGTGGACAAAGGTCTTAGGTGATCTGGCCCATTGCTTCCCTTAATGCCTCTCACTGAGTTCCTGCCATGGTGACCTCCTTTTCTTCCCCAAAAAACTTGGGGCAAGGTCAGACCTCAGAGTCTTTGCCTTTGTTGATGCCTTTGCCTACAGGCTCTTCCCCCAAATATTTACTTGGCCAGCATCCTCAATTCTTTTAAGTCTTCTGTCAAATATCATCCCAAGGAGACTTTTCTCCCCCACATTGACACTTTATCTTCCATCATTGCCTTATTTTTTTCATGTTACTTATCACATCTATTAAAGAATTTTAATTGACTAATTAAGAACAACAACATAGGGCCGGACGCGGTGGCTCACGCCTGTAATCCCAGCAGTTTGCGAGGCTGAGGTGGGTGGATCACCTGAGGTCGGGAGTTCGAGACCAGCCAAACCAACATGGAGAAACCCCATCTCTACTAAAAATACAAAATTAGCCAGGTGTGGTGGTGCATGCCTGTAATCCCAGCTACTCAGGAGGCTGTAGCAGGAAAATTGCTTGAACCTGGGTGAGCCGAGATCACGCCATTGCACTCCAGCCTGGGCAACAAGAGTGAAACTCCATCTCAGAAGAAAGAAAGAACAACAACATAGGCTATCTGAGAGTAGGGACTGTCAACAGTTTTTCTTCATAGCTCTATCAAGCTAAAGACTTAAGTGCTTAAAGAATATTAGCCTAATGAATGAAATAACTTGGACTCTGGAATCAACAGACCCCTGACTATGCCGTAGGATGAAGTTCGGATTTGAAACTGAGTATTTCACTGTGTATTAAAAAACATTCTACTTCAACTTTGATGAAAATGCTGGATTGAATTAAATTATGACTAATCTCAATCTCATAAATTTCTATTTATTAAAAAAAAAACTCTCTTTAATCCGTCTTTGCATTTTTAAAATACCATGGTGAATAACATTAGGTTTTCTTAACCTCAGCCCTGTTAACATTTTGGGCCAAATAATTCTTTGTTGTGGAGGTGTCAGAGGTGGTTAAACCAGAGCGACTCCATCTTGAATAGGTGCTGGGTAAAATAAGGCTGAGACCTACTGGGCTTCATTCCCAGGAAGTTAGGCATTCTAAGTCACAGGATGAGATAGGAGATTGCCACAAGATACAGGTCATAAGGAACTTGCTGATAAAACAGCTTGTTGTAAAGAAGGCGTCCAAAACCCACCAAAACAAAGATGGCCACGAGAGTGATCTCTGGTCGTCCTCACTGCTCATTACATGCTAATTATAACACATTAGCATGCCAAAAGTCACTCCTACCAGCACAGGACAGTTTACAAATGCCATGGCAGTGTCAGGAAGTTACCATATATGGTCTAAAAAGGGGAAGAACCCTCAGTTCCGGGAGCTGCCAACCCCTTTCCAGGAAAATTCATGAATAACCTACCCCTTGTTTAGCATACAATCAGGAAATGACCAAACAGATGGACAGCCAGAAGCCACTGGGGCTGCTTTGCCTATGGAGTAGCTAGCTATTCTTTATTCCTTTACCTCTCTAATTAACTTGCTTTCACTTTACTCTATGAACTTGCCCTGAATTCTTTCTTGCAACTGAGATCCAAGAACCCTCTCTTGGGGTCTGGACCGGGACCGCTTTCTGGTAACAAAGGCTGTCCTATGCATTGTATGATGTTTTACAGCATCCCCGGCTTCTACCCACTAGATCCAGAGCAACCCCTTCCACCAAGTTGCGACAACCAAGACTACCTCCAGACATTATTCCCTTTTCCTGGAGGGCAAAACTGCTCCCAATTGATAATCACTGATGTATACAATTTTAGTATATACCCATCTGAATAAAGGGTGATATTTTTGGTGTAACATATGTAATTGAGTAGAAATCATGGGAATCTCATGCTTACTTTATCAGCCCTATAGAGAACACCTCAATCAAGCCAGCATTGTTCACCTAACTGGTAGCTAGCTGTATGTTACATTTGTATATGTTAACATAAAGCTGAAGAACAGAAAGAAAATGGATAGCTCTTTGTTCAATGCCTTAGAAACTTTGCCCCTATGGAGTGTTAATAGAATGCTGAGATATCTTTTTTGGTAAAGGGACTGGGAAAAATGCCAAAAAAAAATGCTAATGTGCGTTTCTCCACACTTTATACAGGTGAAATCTGATTAAAACAAGCACTGCTTGCTTCACACAGAAGTGGAATCACAAAAGGAAAACAGGTAACCTGAAGCCTGTGTGTAGGAGAAAGGAACACAGCTTCCTTATTTAGTTATTTCATTTGAGAATTGTATGTGGTATGTATATGAAGAGTTTGGGAAGGGGGATAAATTGTAGGTGTGTAAGTGCATCTCTGATGCCTTTCCTTTTGAAAAGCTTGATTGACTGCTTGATTGAGTTTGTAGAGCCACGTCTGGCTCCAGTCAACTTCTCCAAGGGACATTTCTACAGGTAGCTGTCAATAGAAGAGCCCCAAGTCCCTAAAAACTACTTGCCACAAGACAATGCTTCTAATTTGGGGATTTAAGGATAGTTCTAAGTAAACAAATTGCTTAATAAATATTTGTCAAATTGAAATGAAGGGATGTAACCTCAGAATTATGAAAAATGTGGTCTATTTTACAACCAATTTGGGAAGGACGCCATCAAATGATAAGCTGACCAGTAAAGGTAAAAGTAGGTAAAAGGAGCTAGCCACGGAGCAGGAAAAGCTGATAAGTGGCAGAAAATCTCGAAATTTACATTTCGAAAATGTTTGGGTGAATTTGTATAATACATCTTAATCCTTTTACACAATACTTTTATCTCATCTTTATCATAAATATTTACCTATGCATTGCCTTAGCGTCTTTCCTGTATTGAATGAAATGACAATTCCAGAGACGCAAAGCCCAGCCTCCAAGTTTTACAAACCTCAGAGTTTGAGCTACTTTGACGAATCCTCTAAATTCTTGGGTGTCAAAGGCATGTTACTAAATAGGTTGCTAAAGGCACCAAGGAAACCAAAAAAGGAAAGAGCTCTCCCTAAAGGTAAGTAGCACTTAATTGGGAACTTTGAGACGTCTGTCACTCTTTGTGACAATTGAGAAAAAGTACTTTGTACATTTTGTGCTTTGCAGGTGAGATGTGACTGACACCTTACTGTCTCTGTGTTTAGAGAGGGCTTTCGTGGGTGGAAGAAGAGGCTGGTTTGAAGAGAGTGCTTTTCCATTCTGAATATCATTAAAGGATTGTGGGGGGCCAAAAATGTAACCTAAAATGCCATCAATTGTCCATTTAAAATATCCTATTTGGCAAAGTGGCTTTGCACTCATCTGAAGAATAGATCATGGGTGGAGTTTGGAAAAGAAATGTTGTGTTTCGTCTCTGCTAAAAACAAAACAAGGTACCATCTCATGGCCTCTTGGTTCAAATCCGTTTTCTTGCTCCGCAGGGAGAGACTGCCCCTGGAGTATTCTGCTTTTAATAAGCTTCCCAATCAGCTCTCGAGTGCAAAGCGCTCTCCCTCCCTCGCCCAGCCTTCGTCCTCCTGGCCCGCTCCTCTCATCCCTCCCATTCTCCATTTCCCTTCCGTTCCCTCCCTGTCAGGGCGTAATTGAGTCAAAGGCAGGATCAGGTTCCCCGCCTTCCAGTCCAAAAATCCCGCCAAGAGAGCCCCAGAGCAGAGGAAAATCCAAAGTGGAGAGAGGGGAAGAAAGAGACCAGTGAGTCATCCGTCCAGAAGGCGGGGAGAGCAGCAGCGGCCCAAGCAGGAGCTGCAGCGAGCCGGGTACCTGGACTCAGCGGTAGCAACCTCGCCCCTTGCAACAAAGGCAGACTGAGCGCCAGAGAGGACGTTTCCAACTCAAAGTAAGTGAGAGGAACGTACGATTTCTCGGAGGGCTCTTCGATCGAGTTTGCCTTCACCCTGTGCCACTTTTCTGGGTGCCAGCAGATGATGGTGGTAGGGGTGAGAGAGGCTGCCTGGTGTCTTTGCTGATAGGACTGCTTTCAAAACTGACTTGCTCCAGAGGCCAAGGGAGGCATATTTTTGGGGTTTCAGGTTAGGTTAGTTCGGGTGTGCTTAGGTAAGTGAAAGGAAAGAAGTTTTTGTGATGTTAAGCATGTATTTGGACCGTGTTCCAGCTACCAGCTGGAGAGCAAGACAGGGTGGGCTGGAGAGTGCATCTTTGCTTTTTGTAAAACCTGGAGCTTTAGTAGGTGTGTCTCTGGCTGGGTAGGTGCAAAGAAAGTAAGGCAGCCTGAACAAGCAGCTCTCATTTTCCCAGCCTCTCTCTGATTCTCTGATTGCCCCAGAGCCTGTCAGCCCATGACTCTTAGCTGGCATTTCTAGGTAAGCTGTGGGGGCTTGTTCCTCCCAGTGCTAGCTGACATGAAACGTCTCTCACGGAACTACTGGCACCCGTCTTCCCACCTGACAGCCCAGGAATGGTTCCAGAAATGGTTAGGTCCAAAGTTTAGAAGACACACCTGGAGTCCCATCTCTCATTTGAATGCAAATTTAAAGAACTGCCCAGTACATAGACCCTTAAACTTTTAATTTGACCCACATAAATTTAGGATATATTTGTTACTAATTTACTAGATATTTAGAGTTTCTGAGTTGTTGTTTCTAATAAGTTAAGAAAACATTTTTTGAGAGGAATGTATTCAACTCCTTTCTTAATAGATGGAAAGTGAAACCTCCTCTCTCCTCTCCATACACACACACCCCTTTCTCCATGACATAATGTGACACAACACACACACACACACACACAGGAACACACACATGCAGTTTATATACACTCTAGTGTTAACTCACCCTTGTGTCTGTTAAGAGCTGCTTTGTAAGTTTGGGGACACATTCAGAAAATAGGAGGGGTAGGGGTGCTAAGAGGAGAAAATATTAAAGCTGCGGTCCTTGAGCATCTCTCATTTTAAGAGTTATCAGGCATTTTGCTTTAGCAGCTTGAGAAAGGGGTGATGTGTGTGTGTGCGTGTGCATGTGCGTGTGTGTGTGCTAGAGAGAGGGGTCTGGGAGGAGATTTAGAAATCACCAAAAAGAGCTCTGGACTAATAACATAATGAAACATTTTATGATCCTAGGCAAATGTGGAATTGATGAAACAGCAGGGCCCATTTTAGCCCCTTAATTATCCGGGAATGCATTGATATGTAGAAATATTGAAAGTTAATGACAATGAAACAAAAGAGAAGTCTCCCAACACAGAAAATAAAGCTGTATTTTCCATCTTCATTATGTTTCCTTTTAAGTAAATTATGCACTTTAAAGGCCAAGTCGTTTAAAAAATATAGTCCAGTTAAATTCAGAGGAAATTAGAATGAATATTTTTTTCTTCCTTTGGGACATGAGTTATTTCAGACTGGCAATATTTGTACTTTTTCATTTAAATTAGAAGATGAGATTTTAAAAAATTATATTATTTAAAAAAAACTCTAATGCCATCCTTTTGTGCTTTAAGAAACTTGGGCCTTAAGTTCTCTAATTGTACTTTAAATAAATAGAAGGTGATCTTTTTTCTGCCACTGCTCACTGGTTCCCTTTAGGACATCTTTTTCTGCATTTAGTGAAAAGCCACTATAAGGAACTCCCACCTGAAGCCACATATAACAGCATTAGGTGCTGTGTTCCAGCTGTTTGCTTCTGGATGCAAATGCATTATGTTCTCAAAGCTAGAGCTTGAGATAAATAAAAGTACTATTAGATACATGACTTTTTAATTATCTGACTTTAAATGAGATATTATAGATAATTAGAGTAATAAGGTATACCTAACTATATTTATAGTCTAATGTATTATATGTATTATATATAATTCTCTGTTTTTTTAGACCCCTTTCCATGAGATCATGAGATTTGGTTTAATAAACGTATTAATTTATTGATATTTTCCATATGCCTTATTTGGGCTTCACATATAGCAACACAT
Source organism: Homo sapiens (assembly GCF_000001405.40). Lineage (NCBI taxonomy): Eukaryota > Metazoa > Chordata > Mammalia > Primates > Hominidae > Homo > Homo sapiens. The sequence continues at coordinate 137,341,354 of NC_000007.14, read as the reverse complement.
AACAAGATCTACATTTCTTTTTAATGAGCATTTTCATTTTTTAAAAAAATTTCAGTCAAGCCAATGGCCTGGTTTAAAATTTCATAAAAGCCTAGTTGTTGAAAACAACAGAGAGAAATAAGATCCCCAGATAGTTGAATCACTTTTTTTAGTAAAATCAATCTTAGATATCAAATATTTTAACTTTAAATATTTTATTTTTCCTTTGAAGATATTTTTGCTTTCTCACTTACATGGCATTCTCACATGAATTCTGACCATATTCCTATTTGTCATGTGGTGTTTTTAATTACTATTCAAAAATTTCCCACAAAATCGAGTTTACCCGGCTCGTTGAAAATGGTGTGATAAATTAACAATAGATTGAGGGCCTGAAGTCAGAATTCAGAATACAAATTCCAGTTCTCTAAAGAATTATGCTTTTTAATATGGCGGCATAATGATATGGGGAGTTGTTCTTGACTTCTCTCAGGAAGGAGGTGTCCAGACTGAGACCACCCAATGTGATGAGTGCAAACATCCTCCACACCTGAGTGCACCTCAGCCCAGTTTGAGATGTGCTTTTCTCTGGAGCATGAGGCTGAGTGGGAGCTCTCCAATGGCCTTTGTTCCATAGCTTTGCTAGTGATGTTGAGTTGGGCTTCTCCATAAGGGTGAGGAATGTTTTTAGCTCTGGCTTCTGTTCTAAATGAATAGTCGAAGAGTTTTTGCCTCCTTCTGGCACAAGGTCATGTCACTGCTGTGGGAGGCGAAGTAAGATGATACTCAGATATGAACCTTCTTTTTATGAGCTGGGCTTGCTTTTTTCCATCCAGAGTCAATTGGCTTAAGTGGAATTTGGGCCATGGCCTCGTGGAAAGTTGTTTTTCCTTCTGATGTTTATGGACAATTCAAGTTTCCACCCACTGGGCTATTTTTCCATCCACTTCAAGCCAGTCTAGTGTGCGGCATAGTTTTCATGGTGTCATTACAATATTTCTAGATTGTAAAATATAACAAACCTCTTTTTCTTTCTATTTTGGCATTTAGTAAATAAGAAATTAAAACAGTATCTTAAAAGGGTAGCTATGATGGAACACTATCAGAGGGTATTATAAATATGGGAATATTGTGGACTTAATTATGTAGATCACATTCACCACAAATCTCTATTTCTTCAGGGTGGACAAGGAATACAATGACTCCTTCATGTTTGAGATATTTTTAGGGATAAAATTTAATTCATTTTTCTAGGCTTTATTTATTGAACCATTTTTTCAGAGTGGGTTGAGATAAAGTGATATCTCAAACAGAAAAAAATCATATCCAGTTTTCTAAAAATAGAAGTCTTAGATTTTTTTCAACTTCACACATAGTGTAACAAAAAATCAAGCGCTGTATATTAATCTTGAAAAAAGTGACTCATAGTAACTGATAATTGGGCTCTTAATTCTAAGAATTGCTCTTAGCAAAAGCTAAAACATAATTTTAAAACACAAATAGCATTCTGTCTCTAACCCTTTGCTCCCTTTTCTTCCTGCTTTTACATTTACCTATTTCTCCTTCTTTTCTCTCATTTCTCCATTAATTTGGTTGCCACTATTTCCCACCCAACAGGTCCCAGAACGTCTTGCCCAATTCCCTCTTGCTATGATGGCATACATTTCTCTATGTACGGATGTACCAGGAATGCCTGCCCATATGTTGGCATTCTTGGAAGCTTGGACCTTCCTAGCTGATGTTTTCAACACCAGTGCCCTCTCTACTGATTCAATGGCATTTTTCCCCCATTTTTTTTTTTTTTTTTGATTCAAGACCCTGCCTAAGGGTCAGGCAACATTTTCATCACTGCAATGTTGACCTCATTCTCTTCTCAGTTTCCCAACATCAATGTAGAGGCGCAGCTGGAGTTACTCATGTCCATCACATCGTCTCGGGGTCCTACTCCAACAATACAATTTTTCTTGCTCCTGTGGCCAGCCAATTTAACAATATTTATTGTACGTATGTTGGATGCCTAATACTACATTGTGCTGGACAATGTAGCATGTTTAAGAAATAGAACATGGTGTCTATCTCTATGGTTTCACAATATCTAATACTTTGTGTTTGGTACGTGGTGTGAACTTGTGAAATTCTTTATTAGAAATGTATTTAAAGGAGATCTCAATTAAAATCCATTATACCCTCACCCATCTCTGGAAAAGATGCTTTAAAAGTCACAGATTGCTAATCCCAACATTTTATGATTATCTCATACTGTAACCTCCTTGATATGTTATTGTCTTAATGTTTTCCTAATTTCTTTGGGCACTCCTTTTTTCATGTTTTGTTTTGCTTTTTTTTTTCTTGTCTTCCAAATGTGTACATTTATTTCCAAATATTTCAGTTTCCCGCCTTCCTCTCTCCTCTCCAAATGCTTTAGTATTGTCACAACTCTTCTTTGAGCTTTAACTCCTTCACAAGGAAAATTCTCAGATCTGAAGAGAATTGAAGGAAGATTCTCTCTAATGAGCTCTGGACTCACATTTTTAATATTTTTTCAATGAATACTGAAGGAAATCATTCAGGCACAATTCTATTTGGAGGAGGAGATTGAAGTAAAGGACTTCCTGTTATTTTATTTTTATCCCTACCAGACTTTTACGCATAGTGACTGACATACTATATGGTAGGTAGTGTGATGAGGGAAACAGGACAAATAAATATGTCTTCAAGCAGCTAATGATCTACTCAATATATATGTAAGAACATTAAAACACTAATTACTACAACACAGGTTAGAGGAAGATATGTACAATTGTTGCCCTAAGCAGTTCCAATGACAAAGGGATCACATTTTTATGAGAAAAAGGAAAGTGGAGCTCACAAAAGGCTAAATGGTACGCAACGTCTATTTCAAAAGCATTATGTCTGTTTGTTCCTTTAATGCTGTTTATTCTGGAAGGGAAATTGAACTCCTGATTCCTTCGTGTTTTCATTTCACATTTGCCACATAACGTAGCAGAAACAAATTATTGGAAGTGACAACTTAAGAATTCAGACTGAGTTTATTTAGAATCAATATAATTTTTAAGACATGGCACTCCCTGTAGATGTCCTTTTCAGGAAAATTTATACCAGAAGAGAAGAGTGTCCTTTAATGAAAACATATACATGAAGGGAAAGAAGGCAAATCCTTGTACTTCAGCTGTGGAATTTGGGTGAAATCTTGAGTCGGAAATTGAAGGCACCAAAGGTTTTCCAAGGCAAATGCCCCCTCTAGGTGGAGCTATATTTCTTCCCTTGTCTTCGAAGTCTCCCCATCACCCCTTATAGTGACTTCAGCTCCTCCTTTCTCACCATTTGACACCAGCCCCACCCCATCCAACCTGTGCACCCTATTAAGGCAAGGGCTGTCTCTCATTCTCTCAAGAACCCTAGCATATTTAGCATAGAACCATTGAAGATGGCAAATGAGTGAGAAAATAGGCAGCTCTAAATGCCATTCATTCTCTTTGCCCATGTTGTTCCACCCACCTTGACCATCTGTGTTCTATGCCTAATCCCCTTGCCTTACCAAACAACCTGGTGCCAATTTCCTGTTTAAGCCCAAGCATTCCCATTCTCAACTTTGAACCTCCAGAAACTTCTCCCACTCTCTTTCCTTCACTCCCTTCATTACAAATGTCATATAGGCTTGCTGGTTCTCTACAGTGTCTTCCTAATCATATTTCACCTTGATAATTTTAAACTTTTCATAGTTGCCGATTCAAGACTACCTCCAGAATGGAGAAAACCTTACTTACCTCTTCTTTAACAAACCATATTATTCAAAGTGACAAAGCTAGTAATTTGAAGCATTATTTTCATTATAACTTCTATGTAGCTATAAGGCCTGTTTTTAAAAATGTTTCACATTTATTTTTTCATCATATTTTTGTAACTCTACTCAGGTAGATTGAGTGGGATTTTTAAAAAATTGATACAGAAATGCAGGCTTAGAGAAGTTAAGGGGGCCATATTCAATGACATACAGATATGAAAACAAAAGTCTTAAAATTCCTAGTTTGAGTTTATTCCTCTGTAATATAATGCCATCTCTTTCTTAGGCTAATAAATAGATTTTATCTCCCATTTGTCTCTCATGTCAAACCCCAAATCCAATGTATGTACAGTTAGAGGTCAAATAACCTACAGCAGCAGTTCCCTGTCTTCAATGTTTATCAGATTAACTAGCGTCATGTGTAGGTTCCAGCTGCCTGGAGCCCATCTTCAGCAGTTCTGATTTAAGAGGTGGAATCAAGGACCCTGGACATACGACAGGGCATGTGGATACGGATGAAACATTAGAAACAGTAGCCTTAATCGCTCAATATTTGAGCTCCAAGGTCCAAAATACTGAGGTATAAACCACTGCACTTCTTAGTAGCTCTGTGACCGTGAGCAAATATTGTGGTCTTTCTTACTTCAGTGTTTTCATCTCTAACATGGGAGCACATACCTACCTTCCAGGATTGACGTCTGAGTAGTAATTGAGAAAATCAATGTGAAGTACTGAACATAGAGTCTGATTGCTGGGAGTGTTTGAGCAGGATGGTGAAAATGATGATCATGGTGAAGCAGCACCAGATGCAAGTCCTCACTTCTTCCCCCTCCTGAATTGCTTTTCTTTCTCATGCCCACTTGGCATCTGCAACAAACATACAAGCAAAATCCTAGGTGGAATTCCATGCTTCTTGAAAGGCCTCGCCCCTCCACATGCTCATACCATTTTCTTCCTTCTCTCTAAATGCAGATTGAAAATCCTTTCTTCTGGAAGAAAACATACGGAGCATGTGATCATGCTCAAGGCCTGGGGGTTGGGCAGGCAAAGTCTCCGATGCAGACTCTTTGACCTTATCCCTTCCCATAAGGTATAGGAGAGCATTTTGCATACAGAAGACTCCCAATCCAAGAGACAGGCACTTTATTGCTGACCTTAGTGATGCTCATAACCACATTCTCTCTGACCCCTGCTGATAGAGGCTTCAGTCCAGGGAAGGAGTTAAGGTTTGGAGTCAGGAACCAGCATCTCACCACAGTCCGCCTGTTGTTTGGTATGGGCTGCTGGATGTGCCACTGAATCTTCTGAAATCTTAGGTTTTTTAGCTCTAAGTGGGAAATGATGATGATGTTACTTGTTTTGCCAACCTCATAGGTTGGTGGTAAATGTCAATGGTCACGACGCAACATCTGTAAGCTCTAAACTGTTATACTGAACATGAACTGAACTTAATAAAGTCAGTGGGGCAAGTTCTGCCTTTCTGGTTTCCCAATCCTGCTATTGTCATTGTCATTTTCTCAGGACACACAGAGATTGCCTAAGTTGCTTGAAGGTAAGTTTGACTCACAAAGTGAGGAGGAGGTAAGATGTGCGACAGGAATGAAGAAAAAGAAATGAGTCATACTAAAAAAAAAAAAAAAAAGCGAGAAGACATCTTAAATGAGGCTGAACTGAAACAGGCATGCTTTCTTTTACCTCAGATTATGTTATATTTCCTTCTGAAGTGTCTTAAAAGCTACATGTCACATTTTTTAATTGGTTATTCTCACTAAATATAAGCCTTAGTAATTGGCTAACAGCAGTTCATTTACATGATAGCTGGATAACTGTGCTTCTCAAACTTTCATGTTCATACCAGTCACCCAGGGTCTTTGCCAAAATTCAGTAGGTCTCCAATGAAATCTCAGAGTCTGCTTTTCTGCCAAGCTCCCAGGTGACTGCAGTACTGCTAGCTTGGCGACCTCTCTTTGAGTAGCAAGCCACAACAGTTTAATTCAACAAACTTGAGGGAACAGGAGACAAATCAGAATGCTCCAGTCATGATGTCCATAGCTTAATAAAAATGATGAGGATCATTGTCAATATGTTATATGCAAAAGCTTCTAAAACTTACATCTTTGTGACCAAATAATATTTACAATGTATGATTATTTATGAAAGAAAATTGCAGACACCACCTGATTTGCTATTGACTTCACTGAAGTTCCCTTAAGTGTAAAAAGCCCCTGGCCAGATGTTGCACTTGGGCCTCCTTACCAGTGCTTCTGCTGGGGTCTTTCTCGGAGAGGGTGTAAGTGATCCAAATGTTGCCTTCTTCATTTGCTTTAAAAGCTAATGAAAAGTGTTTAGAAAACTTCATTCTTTTTTTTTTATTATTATTATACTTTAAGTTTTAGGGTACATGTGCACAATGTGCAGGTTAGTTGCATATGTATACATGTGCCATGCTGGTGTGCTGCACCCATCAACTCGTCATTTAGCATTAGGTATATCTCCTAATGCCATCCCTCCCCCCTCCCCCCACCCCACAACAGTCCCCAGAGTGTGATGTTCCCCTTCCTGTGTCCATGTGTTCCCATTGTTCAATTCTCACCTATGAGTGAGAACATGTAGTGTTTGGTTTTTTGTCCTTGCGATAGTTTACTGAGAATGATGATTTCCAATTTCATCCATGTCCCTACAAAGGACATGAACTCATCATTTTTTATGGCTGCATAGTATTCCATGGTATATATTTGCCACATTTTCTTAATCCAGTCTATCATTGTTGGACATTTGGATTGGTTCCAAGTCTTTGCTATTGTGAATAGTGCCGCGATAAACATACATGTGCATGTGTCTTTATAGCAGCATGATTTATAGTCCTTTGGGTATATACCCAGTAATGGGATGGCTGGGTCAAATGGTATTTCTAGTTCTAGATCCCTGAGGAATCGCCACACTGACTTCCACAATGGTTGAACTAGTTTACAGTCCCATCAACAGTGTAAAAGTGTTCCTATTTCTCCACATCCTCTCCAGCACCTGTTGTTTCCTGACTTTTTAATGATTGCCATTCTAACTGGTGTGAGATGGTATCTCATTGTGGTTTTGATTTGCATTTCTCTGATGGCCAGTGATGGTGAGCATTTTTTCATGTGTTTTTTGGCTGCATAAATGTCTTCTTTTGAGAAGTGTCTGTTCATGTCCTTCGCCCACTTTTTGATGGGGTTGTTTGTTATTTTCTTGTAAATTTGTTTGAGTTCATTGTAGATTCTGGATATTAGCCCTTTGTCAGATGAGTAGGTTGTGAAAATTTTCTCCCATTTTGTGGGTTGCCTGTTCACTCTGATGGTAGTTTCTTTTGCTGTGCAGAAGCTCTTTAGTTTAATTAGATCCCATTTGTCAATTTTGTCTTTTGTTGCCATTGCTTTTGGTGTTTTAGACATGAAGTCCTTGCCCATGCCTATGTCCTGAATGGTATTGCCTAAGTTTTCTTCTAGGGTTTTTATGGTTTTAGGTCTAGCGTTTAAGTCTTTAATCCGTCTTGAATTAATTTTTGTATGAGGTGTAAGGAAGGGATCCAGTTTCAGCTTTCTACATATGGCTAGCCAGTTTTCCCAGCACCATTTATTAAATAGGGAATCCTTTCCCCATTGCTTGTTTTTCTCAGGTTTGTCAAAGATCAGATAGTTATAGATATGTGGTGTTATTTCTGAGGGCTCTGTTCTGTTCCGTTGATCTATATCTCTGTTTTGGTACCAGTACCATGCTGTTTTGGTTACTGTAGGCTTGTAGTATAGTTTGAAGTCAGGTAGCGTGATGCCTCCAGCTTTGTTCTTTTGGCTTAGAATTGACTTGGCGATGCAGGCTCTTTTTTGGTTCCATATGAACTTTAAAGTAGTTTTTTCCAATTCTGTGAAGAAAGTCATTCTTAATATGAAAAAGATATATGTAATATATTTACTTAGTGTTAAGAGTCTTCCCTTCTTTCACATTTTAACGTCTATAACTGCATTAGACTCTTTCCTTCCATACCATAATGGAACTAGACCAGGAATCATCCATCTTTGTGACTTCCTTGAAGACGGTGGGGCTGCCCAGAGAAACAGCCAGGGCTTTTTGCTTCAGAGTCCAGATTTAATTAATAAGGAACATATTGTGGTAACAGTCTTAGGTAACACAGAAAATCTTCACTCAGGCTAGAACAAATAGAAGCTATCTTAGTCTGTTTTGTGTTGCTATAAAGGAATACCTGAGGCTGGGTTCTGTGTAAAGAAAAAAGTTTATTTGGCTCATGATTCTGCTGGCTGAAAGTTTCCAGATTGGGCATCTAGTGAAGGCCTCAGATGGCATCCACTCATGGTGGAAGGTGAAAGGGAGCAGGCATCACACAGAAAGAGAGGAAGCAAGAAAGACAGGAAGGTACCAGACTCTTTTTAACAATCAGCTCCTGGGGGAACTAAGAGTGGGAACTCACTTACCCACCCTCCCAAAACCCACCAGGGAGGGCATTAATCTACTCATGAGGGAATCTACTCCCATGACCCAAACTCTTCCCATCTGGCACCACCTCCAACACTGGGAAATCAAATTTCAACATAAGGTTTGGTGGGGACAAACATCCAAACTATAGCAGAAACCATGTAAAACTTTAGAACAGTGTTTTCATAATGGCTTTCTTATTTGATGTGAATATGGCTTTTTTCAAGACCTAGCCGTGGGGTCATTGTGCCCAGTAGCAGAATTATCTCTGAGGTTTTAACATATGGTGGCCTTAATTTGTGAGCTTATGAACATCAGATTGTTGGCTTAAAAAACATACTTTGGTCTTGAAAGAACTGGATTTCAAGGGTCAAGTCAGCTCCTCAAAAAATATTTATTACAAAAAAAATTGCCCTCTCTGTGCAATGTATTTCTTTAGATATGTTCCAGGGAATTCAAATGAGCCAGCCAGAAGCTGCTAGAGGAGAGAAAACAGGTAGGTTATTAGATTATTTTTAACCGGTGTCTATGCTTAAATCTTGAAACAATAAAATAAAGCCTTTCTTCCCATTATTTTTTCTTATTTACAATATACATTTCATTATTGAATAATGTTTCTGGGAATATGCAGAATCTCAAATATAGCTCAACGCAGGTCAAATGTGTGAAAAGTTTGATTAATTTTAACCATGTGAAAAATAATGAAATATTTTTTTTTCCATTATGATGTTTCTTATTAGGAAAACACAAATATACCTGAAGAAACACATTATTTTTCCCATTCTAGAAAAATACATGTTCGTGGTACAAGATATTCAAATTTTATAGAAAAGAAAACTTACTTACAATTCTTGAAATAGGCACCACTGTTAGCACCCTGATATACCTTTACGGTTTTTCTGATGTAACTTTTAAAAATAGTTAGATGCGTAATTGGGTGTCCTGCTTTTTAACAGTGTTACTGATGCATGCAATATGTTTTAACAGCTATGCACATATTAACATATGCACTTGATTCTACCAAATGAGCCAATTAAGATGGAAATTCAATTTATTTAGCTCGGTATGGGTAAATTAGAATCATAAAAAATGCTAAGTAAATTAATGTTATGAATGCTCATAAAAGAGCCAGCACTGGGAAAATGCAAGCAAACAAACATCTCATAAAGCAAACAAACAAATAAAAGTCTTTGTCCTTGCAGATGTGCTGTTTAGATGGGAACAAATAATCCTGGAGAACTCAGTGTGTGCCAGTTAAAGGTCAAGCTGAGTACACAAGGTCTTTCTTTCTTGCCCTAAAGGACCCTTCCATATATCTAAGGGTAAAAGTCTCCCCAGGGAAGACACAGCTGCCTGGTCCCACCCAGGTTGGATCTAACCCCTTAGCTCCTCTCAAGAGCCTGAGAAGCTTTGGAGTTGCTGTGAGGCCCAAGGGAGTGGGCCTGATGCACTGCAGGTGGGTAAACTGCAAGATCAGCAAACCTCTTTGATGCGTGTCGCTCCAGGGCTTGGCATCCTTCAGGGAGTTATTTGCTCTGTTATTATTTGGAATGACGAGTGAACAACTGGCTCGAGTTTAAAGTGAGTCAGATCAAATTTGGGTTTGACCACCACATTCCCGATCGCAGAGGAGGAGTGAAAGTCAAATGCGTTTAGTATCTGTGCCAGTATTGGGATTCCCACCAACTTTGGCCTGAAGTGATTTTTAGCCTTTTTAAATTGCGGCTTTAGTCTGATGGTTAGGGAATTACAGTTTGCCTTCTGATACGTGATATCTGGGGATTTGAAGATGTACTTCAAGGCTGTAATAAATGAATTTGATTTGGAGAAGCAGATTAGAAGCAGTTCAGCAGGAATAAGGGGGTAGATGTGGATTTCTACCAATTTCTCTCTAAACAGACAGATCCACATTTCCTAAAAGCAGGCTCTGTGGGTTTCTAATGTCTCATCCAGTGACATTCTTTCACAAGATGTTAAATGGAAGCCCTTTATGTCAAAGGCAGCAAGACCAATAAGACAAAAGAAACAGCATTGGACTTGAACTGAGGCTTTAGAGAAAACATCCAAGAATCCCATAGATAGAAGCCCCATTCCTGGACAGAGGAACTTCAGACCTCACATAAAATTCTATTAGATAGCATTGAGGCTTCTGCCACTAAAAAGGAAGTATTGAGCATGCCATAGGGTCCTTATGGCCCATCTGGCTGTCATGGTGTATCCTAAGGAGATTCCTCTAGGGTGGATTTGCCTTCTTTGTTTTCCACATCTCCTCGGCTCCAGGTGCCTCTTGCCATAAAAGTCCCATGAAATCACTCCAGCTCTGTGGAGCAAACCTGGTCCTCTTCTTGTTTTTCTCAGAGGGAGTGTTTCAAGACAAAGCAATATCTGCTGTTCTAGTGAAGAGTTCCTTCCCAAAACAGGGCCTGAGGAATCTTGGGTGCAGAACCTGGAGTTGGACAATCTGGTCCCTGAAGCCAACTCTTCCATAAACCTTTCTACCGTCTAACGCATTGTTTTCATTCATGTCCTCCCCACCTTTAGTGGTGGATCATAAAAGCAGGAGACTAAAGTGTGCTTTTTGTGGGCTGGAGCACACCAGGGTTCCTTCAGCCAGGGCTTTGCTGCACATGTGCCTTCTAGATTTGGGGGCTGGCTTTCTGCCTTGATTGCTATTTGCTGTAATGTGTGATGTTCAACATTCTGTTTCAGTTCAGAAAAAAGTTTAGGTTGGGTATGTCTCTTCTTCTTCTTCTCCTTCTCCTTCTCCTCCTCCTCCTCTTCCTCCTTCTCTTTCTCCTTCTCCATCTTCTTCATTTTTTTTGAGACAGGGTCTTGCTGTGTTGCCCAGGCTGGAGTGCAGTGGCACGATTTCAGCTCACTGCAACCTCCACCTCCTGAGTTCAACATTTCTCTTGCCTCAGTCTCCCAAGCAGCTGGGATTACAGGCCCATGTTACCACACCTAGCTAATTTTTGTATTTTTAGTAAAGACGGGGTTTCACCATGTTGGCCAGGCTGATCTTGAACTCCTGACCTCAGGTGATCCACCCACCTCAGCCTCCCAAAGTGCTGGGATTACAGGTGTGAGCCACTGCACCCGACCAACTGGCATTATTTTCATGTGGAGGTTTCCATAAGAAGCTACTTGAATTGCTAATCTTGCATTACTGTCTTTTATACTTAAAGGAAGTCACTATATTAATTTTGAGTTTCACTGGCTATGTTTCTTGTTGCTGAACCTCATTGTTCCTACGATTGTGTCTAGGTCTTTCACTTTACCACTTCCTGAATATGCATTGAGTATGGATATTCCTGAAAATGATGGAGTACCCACTATATGCCAGTTGCAGATAGTACTCAATCCATGCTTATTGTTGCATAGAATTGGAGTAACATTTTACTACTTTCTATTCCTCTCTTGTCCCATGTCTGGACCTTCAGAAACTCTGGCAAGAATTAATATTAACTGGCTGCCCTAGTGCAAAATTGTGACATGAGTAATCATTTTCTTTGGCATCTCCTGCTTTTTTCTTCTGCTCTGTCCTTTGTACTTAGATGATGGTTCCCTCATCAGTGCTCAGGTACCTGGAGCCAAGCTCCTGCTGTTGTCTGAAGCCATACCTTGTCCTCTACCTTCACCCTGGACAGTGGCGTCCCTAACTTCCCTTGCTGTGTTTTGAGGACCCATGGCAATAAGTCAAAATCAAGACCTGCCAGCACCTCTAAAACGTTGCTCCTAGGAACTACCAAGAGCAAGGAGACTTGCTCCCTTATCACCAACTAGTTCTAGAAGCTGAAGGCCTTGCTTTCTGTTCTTATTATTTCTCATCATTTAAAATTTCTGAGCACAATTCACCAGCATTAATAATACTGTCATAATAGCTGATACTTATTGAGTGCTTTCTATACAGTGGACAGTTCAATACTAGAACTTTACATTCAGTGCTGGGTTAAATGCTCCCAACAGCCCTATGGGGTAAAGACTATTTTTCTTCCTAAATGAGGGAAATGTATCTCAGAAGTAACTTGTCCAAGATCAAAAGCTAGTAAAAAATAGAACTGAGGGTGTAGTCCAAATATTTCTAACCACAAAATTCTTAAACGTCATACTCTTCTACCTCCATTCCCCTATTCAATGTCAAGGGTCCAGTGAGTATTTGAAGATATTCTGGTTCATGATTCCTTTCTTCCCTCTAGCCAGTATCCAGGAATATTTCTTCATATTATGTCACTTATTTCTACCTCCTTATGATCAAGAGATTACCGTGTCTTGGATAAGGAATGTTGCTGTTAGATTACCCTCCTTGATTGCATATGATTGCCCATTGTTTAATTCCCATTGTTTTCTCAAACACCAGTTGGCCTGGCATGGTGTTTCAACATGCCTGCGCTGAGGAAAGGGACCGCTGGGAGTACAAGCAGGAGGGTGTCTAGGAGCTGCTCAATCTGTTTCTCCAGCCTGCCATCACCTGACTAAATTGTTTGTTGGATTGCTGTGTTCTATCCCTTGGGGAGGCCACAGTGCCGGGTTTGTTTGTGTTGAGAGTCTCTGGCTTTGATTAGCAGCTAGCTCCAGTGCAGCTGAACATACAATAGGGACCAAAGGATGGGAAAAAAATCCTGCTACAGTTTCCCATTGGAAAGCATTCACTGTCAAGCTTGGACATCCAACAGTGGGACACAGATGAACAGAGGCTGGGAAAGGTTAGGTGATGGATTCTCCATGCCCTGCAGCCTGTTGTGAGTGATAGGTCATTCCTTTACATGAGCCTTGAGCCTCTATTTCTCTAAAATGTCTTTTATGATTCAGGTTTGAGACTGGTATTGATGTAGTTTGACAAGAGGCAAAACCTAGAAAGCTGCAAAGCATGAAGGAACCCCAGGATTACAAGAGCTAGGGTAAAAGCAGTGATCTATCTTAAAGGGCTAGTCACACAGTAAAAATTTTTAAAAGGGTCTTTAATCTGGCAGCATGGAAGAAGTTAAAATAACTGTAACTGTAATTCTACAGCTGAAACAGGGAAGTAAGACATTTTTATTTTATAATATAGTTAGTGATTTCCTTACCAAACTGATAATATAATTTTTATTTCTTCTCACTGAATTAAATATTAAATCTACTGCAAGTACCCACACCCATCATCCAGTAGCTGAATAACAAGGTGTCCGCCTGAAGTCAAGAACCTCTCATATATCCTTAGAGGGCTGCTTCAGTTGTCAAGGATTTTTAATCAATAGAATATCTGAGACACTGGGCATGTTCCAACAAGACACTGTCCATGATCCTGGCCTGTAGGCATCTTAGTTTCATCCTCATAAAAGGGGACAAAGCAGACTTAGAGCTGGAAAATCAAATGTAAAATGAAATGATAAAAGAGTGGTTTAGTGGTTTTTTTTCAGAGAAGGAAGACATTCTGGTCTGGAGTGGAAAAGGGTGGCTGCATATAAAGGATAGGATTTTCTTTTCTTTTTCTTTTAGAGATGGGGTCTTGCTATATTGCCCAGGCGGGTCTTGAACTCCTGGCTTCAAGTGATCCTCCTCCCGTCACATCCCAAAGTTCTGGGAAAGGGTAGGATTTTCAAAGGCAGGGTGGCATTGTGTATGGCAGAAAGATATGGGGAAAGCATCCCAGGTAACACATGAAGAAAGAGGAAAGCCAAAGAGATGATCCCAGGCAAGACCTCAGAGACAGAAAACAGAGGGGCCTGATTTGTGCAGAGAGTGAGTGGCCAAGAGTGGAAGCAACGGTTAGAAAAAAAATGTTAGGAGTGATAGCAAGACGCTTCAAGTGAAAGCTAAGCTGCCTGAATTATATCAAGTTAGATTGTAAGGAATCACTGAAGGTTCTCCACAACAGAGAAGAAAAGAATTGGTAAAAGTAAGGCATAAAAATATCATTTTTAAAGAAGTAACAGATCAGAGGTGGAGAGAATCAGTTAGGTTTGAAAACGTAATGCTTTGTGTACCAACCCTTACCCTACCCCTTGATCCTTTTACATTCTGGAAATCCTGTGCATACTTCAATGGTTTGCTTAAATACCGTCACGTCCGTGAAAATTTTACCTTTATTCCCCTAGTTAAAATGATTACTTACCCCTTTCTCTGTTTCACAACTTTCTATGGTTTCCTTTTATAGTCATTCATTCATTCATTCATTCATTCATGTGTTCATTTAAAAATATGCAATGCACACAATGAGCTGGGCTCTATGTTAAGTATCAGGAATACAGAGATGAATATGACACAGTCCCTGTTTTTGAATAGGACAGTCTAATTGGGGGGAGCAGGCAGGCACATGAATAGCTAATCAGTGAAATTTCAGTGCAATGAACTAGATATGCACTTGTAAAAGCCCATTGGAGAGACATTTTAGTCAGCTGAGGGTGGATTCAGGGGAGGCTTCCAGGAGGTAGTGTCTCCTAACTTGTGTTTAAAGATGGAAAAATATAAGGAAGAAAGTGTGAGTTCTGGTGGAAGCAACGGTGTGAATGCTTACTCATTCTTATATGACAGTTACTTTAAATGACTATCTCTCCCCACTTCACTATAGATCTCTTAGCCAATACTTCATACAATAACAGATGAATGAATAAATAAATGAATTGCTGATGCCTTGGTGTAAGTAGGTAGTTAAGACAGATTCTTTCTGGACATGCCGTGAGGTAAAATAAAGGCTATCTGTAATCTAGACATTATAATGGGAGGTGAGTACATGAAGGGTGAGTAAACAATGAGATGTTGACATTGATCAATTTGGGAGAATTCTAGTGCCATTGATAGAAAGGGGAAATGTAGGGGAAGAGCTGATTTGGGGTAAGAGAGTGTTGCAAGCCTGAAGGAATTGTGGAGAGACAGGATTATCCTAAGAACTGAGCATGAACTACGTGCAGGCTTCTGAGGTCTCACTGAACTGTGGACACCCTCAATGCCTGGGAGGCCCTTTCAATGAGAAGTAGCCTCAGGCTTGTAGCACTTGGTAATTGGTGACTGGGCTCCCATCCAAGCTGCAGATTTCTAGTCCCATTACTGTACCTTCTTCTTCCTGAGCATTCACAACATGCTTTCATTAGAAAATGTGGTAAGACCATATTAACAATTTTTATTTTCTGAGAAACGTTTTTCATTACTTTGCTTCTTACTTTAAATGTTCCTTGGATGCATCAGCTCTCAAGAAAACTCTATAATCACGTCTAGACATTTCACATGCACATGGAATGGTGTGAGGCCATATCTTCCAAAGGAGGCCAATTGGCCGAGGAGAGGCTTCTATAATTTCAGTAACTGCATTTTAGATGTGCACTGATTCACTCATGCAGAGATGCCAGCTCTTTTCTTGAAACTGCTTGTTTTCCTATGCTCAAATGAATGACCTTCTGCCAATCATACATGGAGTCATTATTTCTGCAGCCAGTGGAAAAGGTAGTTACTCATGAAACTCAACCCTAGGGTGACAGTGAAAGCCAGATTGTTATGGCTTGGTAAATATTGATTAAAATATGTGGAGAAAAACAAAATGCTGGGCTTCCATCAGAGGCAGAAACAGTCTCTTATGCTCCTTGTTGAAAGGGCCCCTGCCCTGGGTGGGTGTTTTGTGATGGTGATGTTGCTTCTTGCTGTCCATAGTCAGCACCTCCTCCTCCTCCTCCATGTGCCCTGCTGGGATGTGAAGACACTCCCTTCCTTTTCTATATTTTCTTTATCCCACTCCAGGCATCCTTCTTCCTAGGGAGGGCAGAATCAGTGGTAAATGGATCATTTTCAGTTTTCTTCCTTTAAAATTATTTTTTCAGCTTTGCTAAAAGAAAAGAATGCTCAGGAAGTAAATATTGTCTGGTTTCCAATCCCCAATTTAATTAATTTAATTATCAGCCAGAAGAGACAGGAAATGTCCTGGGGACAGAGATCAGACAAGATCTTTTCTAAGAAAGCCATTTAACACAGGGCATATTATATTTAATGTTGTTCCAGATTCAGATTTAGTCAGCAATTCCTGGTCCAGATAATTTGGGGCCTGGGAGGGTAAAATCTTGCAATTTCACTGAAGCTCTGCCTTATCTGTTTCCTTTGACAAATCAGGAAGCTACTGCAGGATGAGCCTATTACAGTACAATTAAAACTCTTTTATCTGCAGATAACCCAATTGATATTTCATACTCTGTTTCATACTCTGAAACAATTCATACTCTGTTTTGGCTTTCCATTAACAGCTAACATCCATGTAATATTTTACTATTCACAAATTGCCTTCCTATATCTCATCCCATTTTATACTCTAAACAATTCTGTGAGATCCATTTTAGTATTATTACCCTTTCCATGGATGAGAAGGAGGAGGTTCCCAGAATGGAGACTTCTCCAAGATTTCTTCAAAAAGGGAGTGTGACAGTTGCCTCACTGACCTTACTGGATCTTTGGAGGGAATTATCATAGCCTGTGAAAGTATTTTGCAAAAAAATTTTTTTTAAAGTTGGCGTTTTGTTATTTTCTGTGTGTAGATTATTTGGCTTAAAACATCAGCTTACACAATCGTAGAACATTGTCTCTTAAAGAACAATTTACCTGTTCTTTAGAATCTCATGGGGCTGTGGTCTTAAAGTGCCCCATACTTTATCTATGAATCAGAATTTTTAGATGAGGGCTTAGGAAGGTTAATTTATATATATATATATATATTTTTTTTTTTTTTTTTAGAGACAGGGTCTCGCTGTGCTGCCCAGGCTGGAGTGCAGTTGCTATTCACAGGCATAATCATTGCACACTACAGCTTGAGCCCAGGAATTCACTCCTGGGCTTAGGCGGTCCTTCTTTCTCCACGTTCCGAGTAGCTGAGACTATAGGCATACACCACAGTGCCCAGCTTAAGAATGTTAATTTTTAGCAAGGCCACAGAACTACTTTCAGACACACTAAAGTTTGAGAGCCATTTTGTGTGTGTGTAATGTATTTGGCATGTATCTATTGAAAATACGACCTACTATGGCACTAGCAGTCTTCTAGAATTTGTTGGAATATAATAGATTCTATGTTCTAGACCAGCCTCTACAACTGGCTGATTTTGTATTAAATCACCTGAATTTTTCAGGCTTCTATTTCTTCATTTGTAAAACGAGGGACCTACACTAAAAGATCTCTAAGATCCCACTAATTTCTTTGATTCAGTGTCTATGATTTTCCTAGATTACGATCTGTGGATTCTCTTCTCTCTCCCCATGGAATACTCTTCTGATTGTGTTTAAGTTGGTGGCTCTGCAGCATCAGCTTCACCTAAGAACTCGTTAGACATGCAAATTCTCAGCTAGTACCCCAGACTCTGAGGGTAGGGCCAGCAATCTGGCCCTTTAATGAGCCCTCATGGTGATTCTAATACATGATCGAGTTTGAGACCATTGAGATAATCCTGATTAGTAAATTCAAGCATATAACTACACAATTATAACATTTTGTTTTCTTAAACTTAGGCTATGGCTATGACTAAATATCTACTGCTGTCTGTCTCACAGGGAATGACATTAAGAAAGCAAAATCCCTCTTTGTTTTTCATATGTGACTTCCAAGGGTAAAAACTCAACTTTCCATGTTTTGAAAGTAGCTTCTTTCACACGTTAAGGTATTCAGACATCATTTGAAAGT
This sequence comes from Homo sapiens, assembly GCF_000001405.40. Lineage (NCBI taxonomy): Eukaryota > Metazoa > Chordata > Mammalia > Primates > Hominidae > Homo > Homo sapiens. The sequence goes on along the minus strand of NC_000007.14, from coordinate 137,323,476 downwards.
TTGGCAAACAAATGAAGTTTTAAATTACTGACAGTCTTCACTTTACCATAGTAAAATTAATTCACACCAGTCCCCCAACAACATAATTTATTAATATATTAACTAAAAGTATATAAAATACTTAAACTGCATAAATACAAATTTCACTGCTAGCTGCTCAATCTACAAATCACGACATACATAACAAATTTGCTTTCTAGTTGGTGACCCATCACATCCCTTCTTTCATAGTCTGTCTGTAATTGGTCACTGTGAATCTGTTATTCACTTTAGGCACAGGCAACAAACCATGTACTTTTGTTGTCTCCCTGTCTCACAATGATAAATTCACAAGATGTTTTTCAAAAATTGGTAATCCAAAGAAGAAATTGGACAACAAAGATGAAAGTGCAGGCAAGAAATGAGAAATAATTTAACACTGGAAGTGAAACTCAAGTCAAACATAAGTGGAGTTACAGAAGTAACTGAAGGTAAAAACATTGATGCTGCTGCCACTTGAGAGACTCTCCATGTGTGGCCAAAGGCACTTAGTAAAGGCAAATTAATAGCTATAAATAAGGAAATTGGATATGACTAAGAGGATGAAGGTGTCCTGAGGGAATTGATGCTGGCAGTAACTCACTTTAATGGATTCTTGGATTTATTTTATGACACTGAAAGAGTGAAGAATAAGTGAAGTTTTGGAAGCTAATCCAAATCTAGAAAGGTGTATGATGATTTGCCAAGGCACGGAAAAATGCTTATTCTGTATTGTAATGTGTACCATGAAAAAAGAAAAGCAAGCTGTTCTAATGACTCTTGATAAATACTTTGCAAAACCAAACACTTTACATCTCAATATTTCTAATGTTTTATGTGGCTGTATACTAAATAAATATCAATTTTACAATATTTTAATTTTTCTATACATTTATGAATAACAGAGTTTTTAATGATAGGTCATAAAAAAAACCATAATTTTCCTATTGATAATTAAGGTTGATCTTAAAACAAGGTCAGTTTTATGGTCCTAAACTACTATGCATAGCAAGAACTGCCTATGTATCTCAAGTTTCAAATATAAACACTTTGAAAGCAAGTGTATTACTCCAGAACTCATATGTCACTCCTAAAAAATAACTATATGAACTGATATGTTTTATATTTTTAAAATGGGCTATAGATGTCACCAGTTGAAAACATCCATCCATTGCTTCCCTCAATCAAATATTTATTGAATGCCCACATGTTATTCTTCTAAGCCCTGATAGCACAGGAGTAAACACCTATTAGGTACCTGCTTTCATTGAGCTTTCATTCTCAATTAAGGAAAAGCAAATAAGTAGGCAAAATTTCAGCAAGTAGTAAGGAAGAAAATAAAAGAGGATAATGAGTTAGAAAATGAGTCTACGTACGAGGGAAGGAGGGGTGGTGGTTTAGGAAGGAGAGTGCCAGGGAAGGCCTCTAAGCTTCAGCTAAACATGTTTCTGTTCCTGGGCTGAGATAAAATAACAGTTTCAGTGGTTAAGTCCGAAGTTCTTACTTTGTAACTTATTGTACACTGTATTTTTGAAAATTAAATATCAATATTAAACTTTTTTTTACTTATCCTAGTCACATACGGGCTATTTTAAGTAAAACAAATTTTCAAAGCCAATAATTAATTTATAAATAGAACATTAATTCTAGGCTATGGTAACTTTCCATAATTTAAGCATTAAACAATATTTCATTTTTGCTGATTACATATGTTTAAATCTGGAGCCACATATTTGAATTCCAAAGGCTGTGGCCATAGCGCTACTGAGAAATGATTATTAAATAGTGCTGTGACAAGAAGAAGAAATTATTTCTGGTAGTGATTAAACAGAAGAAAAGCCACCCAATCTTCATATCAAACAAAAATCACATTGTCATGGAAAAATTATAAACCTATATATAAAATATCTTTGAGCATCTACCATCTAAGAACGTGGCATCAATGATAAACACTATTAGTGCCAGAAGAAATATTGCCACTAATTTTGCAATTAACACATGAGCATGAATAAAGACATTGGATTACCTTTTTTAGGTGATGAAATATGAACTGTGAGAGGGAGAAGTCAATATAAAAGATGTGGTTAAAAACGGTATTAAAGCCAAAGAAAGATGCAAACCATATTTGGTGTAAAGGATTTTATTCTTTCAAAACAAACATCTCTTTGATTCTTAGCCAAGCTGTGAGCAGGTATAGTGCCTTCCCGTAAGCCAGTTTGACAACTGGTATTAACCTCAGAGTTCAGAGGAGAGAGAATGTGGTGAACATGCAGGGTCTTTGCTTGTTTAGCTGCACATGTGTTATATAATTCAGTACCACCTGCAGCATGAAAACAAGCTTGGCAATAGCAAGGGAGCCCTAATAGCTGTTGGGTCGTTTCCTTAACTGTCCATTAGCCTGGATGCTCTGAACGGGACACCTGTGGACACAAAGTACATTGTTGAATATTCATTGTAGAGCCACAGCACAGTTGACCTCAAAGCTTACTTTGAGTCTGTGAAAAATAAAGCCAGAAGTTATAACACAGAGGGTTCTTCCAATCCCAGCTTGCTTGGCAAGATGAATAACCACCATATCAAGATGTGTGAAGAAGAATGACAAGGTATCCTGTAGGGCAGGTTGACAATGAACTGCAGGACTAGAGAAGGCAGAGCAGGTTTCCATAAGGCAACTGCTGTTAGGAATAAAATTCAATTGACAAGCCAGTGTCAGAAAATCATGAGAAAGCATATAATGCAAACTTGGAAAAAAATCCCCAAACCTATTATGTTATAAAAGTTCATTTTTCTCTATTCCGTATTTGGAATCCTTTTTTAAAAAAAAATCAAAATTTTGCTTTAATCCTCTTTCTCCTATCTAAACACCTTCCCAGGGAATTTTTCCCGTTTTTATTTCTGTCAACAATAGCTTTAAGTTTGCCATGGAGCAAAAGTGCTCCAAATCTCTATAATAAATGCAAGTCACTGCATACTTGATTGTGCAAGGAAGAGTATCAAATTCTAAGAGGAAAGCACAGTACTAAATTTCCTAGAAGTGTGAAATGATCCAGTTATAGTTGCACTACAGTAGATGAGTGAGTTAGAAAATGGAGTCTTCATTTTAAAGTTGACACTAAAATGTTCTGCTTTAGAGAAAGATTTTACAGTCCTATGTGTGGGTCTTACTCTTTCCGTCAGGAAGGTAAGAAGTAAGTATGAGCATTGGGAAGAGACAGTGCCTGTGAATGTGTGGGCGAATTATGGTGAAAGATGAGTAGAAACAGACAAAAGTAGAAGACTGTTTTATTCTCCCATGGTATAAAGGTATAAGATAATAATCACACAATTGAGGATGCTCAATGATTGTCATTTAAATATGAATGCGTATATTTATGTCTTCCAAACTAGCAGATACATATCGTGCAAGGGAATTTTGGAGCTAGAAAGAGAGAGAGATTTGTTTTCTGCCTTTTTGAATATCCTGGGAACATGGACATACAGACATGTGGCCTCTTAATTAGCAGAATACACGTGGAGGGGATTACTTAGGAGTATTGAGTATGGACTGAAAAACTGACCTAGACCACATAAGACTCCCTTTGGCCCTTGGATGTTACACTATAAGCTACTTGAATGCTATCCTAAACGTACAAGACCATAACGTCAAGGAGTCCCAGCAAAGCTGTATGAAGCTGGAGTGCAGGTACCCGCCCAGCCCATTCCGGCAAAAGTATTCAGGTGTTGCCCCCAGCTTCTGGGTCTCCAAGCCTTGGCAGTTTGTCCGGCTTCTCATCTGTACAGGTTTGAATACCCTTTGTGGACACACAGAGACATTTTGAGATCCTGATAAAATGGAAAACAAAACCCCACAGGGGAGACATCCTGGGTTTTCCATTTCAATGACTATAGAGGAAGCTGAATGGCCAAAAAACGATCTGCCAGCTAAACAAGGAGGACTGTGGTCTTGGTGAAGTGACAAAGAGATGTTCGCTTTCAGCCCCTTGGAGTGCCTTGATTCAATGTCAGGTTTTAAGGAACGACTCCCCAAAGAACTCTCGGGTTGTGGGTATTAAAGTCATGCCCGCTTTGGAGACTTAAGCTTTCTGAGAACAAATGGAAGAAAGTAAAAGGTTACCCTTTGTAATATCTCACATTTACCAAGCCGGAGACTGATAAATGCTCTATCTTTATGACTCAATTAATTCTCACAAGAATTCTGTTAAGTGTGGAAACTAATTAATCCCATTTTACAGATGAGGAATTCGAGGCTGAGGGATATTAAGTAAACTGCAGAAGGTCTTTGGGTTTCAAATACAAACACTTTGAGAGCAATGATTTCCTATTACTCCAGAACTCAAGTAGTCAGCGACGATGTGGTGTCTGTTGAACTAGAGAGCTTAGGTCTTTTTAGGCGGACAAAAAGTAGAGAGTGGTGGACAAAAGTAGAGAGAAAGATAGATGGATCAGAAAAAAGTATCCCTACAGTAATTTAAAAAGGAAGAGACACGACAGCAGTCACTAAAATGCCAGAAAGCAGACAAAGAATCTTGGTGTTGGTGACGGTAGTGGGGAGGGAGAGTTTATTCTACTTATTGAGGGCAATGCTTACCGCTTTTACATACCTTATCTCACTTGAGGCACTACTATTCCATTTACAAATAAGGAAACTGAGGTCTCAGGCAGGTTAAGTAGATTTCTCAATGATTTCAGCCAGTAATTAGCAAAGGCTAGATTTGAACTTAGGTTGTCTGACTCCAAAATCAATGTTGTGTTTACAACTTCATGGTGAATGAAGGCCGACACCCAGAAAGATGGGGAAGGAAGATCATATCATTCGGATAATGCCTGTAGTCATTTGTTCATTCACGTATTAATTCGCAGCATACACATTTACTTGTCTCATCTTTCAAAGTCCTGGAAATAGAAAGTTAAATGAAACTTAGAGCCTACCATTTATTTTCTTAAAATTATATACGATGAGCACAAATATATAAAAAAGTTAATACTTAATGTGGAGCCACAGATGATAAAATGCTGTATGAAAGAATCTGTAGGATTCTACCTGGTTTTTCTGCTCTGAAGTCTCTGGAATCGCTGGAGTTACAATTAGGGCCAGCAAGAGAGAGATGAAGTGTTGAAATACCTGGTTCATTCACAGCCTTTTCTTCAATGTGCTCTCAGCCACTAGATTACTCTTTTATTTATCTATTATTAAGACGAGTCTCACACTGTTGCCCGGTCTGGAGTGCAGTGGCATGATCTCAGCACACTGCAACCTCTGCCACCTAGGTTCAAGCAATTCTCCTGCCTCAGCCTCCCAAGTAGCTGGGATTACAGGCATGTGCCGCCATGCCTGGCTGATTTTTTTTATTTTCAGTAGAGATGAGGTTTCACTATATTGGTCAGGCTGGTCTCAAACTCCTGGCTTCAAGTGATCCACCCACCTTGGCCTCCCAAAGTGCTGAGATTGTAGGCGTCAACCACAGTGCCTGGCCATGATTACTCTTGTAAAGAAAGGGTCAAGTCTATCTTGTCTAGAAAATTTTCTTTCAGCCCTGTTGCCTACCTGGCCACCCACTCCTTGAACTCCCAGGGTACTTACTCATCCTGAACCTCGCTCACCTGTCTTTGGTCACTCATGCCTCAGTTGACGCATCTTCCTGCAAAGACTATAAACTATAATATTTGAGAGAGGGACGACGCCTTCCCCCACCCCCTGAAAAAGAAAACCAGAGTTCTCTACAATGCAGTATTGTTTAAGTATTGAATGCCCCACATATAATTATCATTTAAGTACAGGATTCTTTCCAGAAGGCCCTATACAATTCAGAGACAGAAAGAAAATAAACACACGATCAAAATAAATACAACAAATGCTGTAGGATGAGAACATTTTACAGTTTCTGGGATGAAAAGGAACTCAGTAAAGTTCCAAAGTCTATAGAATTTCCCAAAGATGGCACTCGCATGTGTGTGGTCAGGAGATGTGAAGTATAGGGGTTGCCACATGGGGGATCTCTAGGATTCCTCCCACACTCTTTACCCACATACACCCACTTCTCAGTTAGTTAGAAAATTTAAAGAAGTCATTATGATTTTGGAGGTGGTTGGGCATTTATAAAATTCTTGATATTCAAATTTAACTTTCACTAACCACATAGGAAAAAAACCTAAAAATCATATTCTGATTTCTGCACCGAGGGTACCCAAAGGTGGAATGAAGAAAGCTCTCCATGGCTGGAGGCAACTCCCAGGAGCAGAGGAAGCAGAGCCTCCATCTGAATGGCCAGCCCCTGCTCTCCCTGACTCACCCAGGCCGATTTTCATCAAGCCTGACATATGGAGTGACAGATTCACAAACACAGCCTCAGAAACACTCTAGGTGACTGATGTAATTTCTGATTAAGATTGCATGCATTTGTGGAAATGAGAGAGTAGGGGAGAGAAAGAGAGAGACCACCAACCTGAGAGAACCCCACCTCCAATGGAGAGGCCGGGCTTGGGGACAGACAAAGCAGTTAATTGTGAGCAGTTCCACTAAGGGGCCTGGGAAACTCCAGCACCGAGGGGTGGCTGTGACCCATTTGGCACAGGCGCCACTGCCTTGCGTATTTCCACATCCTAGACGGTCAAACACCTGGGTTACCTCATGAGTGCAGCCCTGTTCTTAGAGATTTATGATGCTCACCAAACCCGGCAGCCGGCTAATTTGCTGGAAAGGTAATGCTCTGGCAGCCCAGTCTGCAACCCAATGCTCCCCAGGAGGGCTTTCCTCTCCTGCTTATGCTCTTGCTGAATTGCCTGGCCATTTTCTGCAGAAAGGAAAGTAATCTCCACTCTCTTTTGGGACGGCTCGATCCTCTGCTATCTGGCATGGGTCATTTTCAAAATCTGCCCCCTCCTGTTTGAAAGGCATGAGGCCCCTGTTATTAATGAAAGGTGACCTTGGCCTGCCTTTATAAAGTTCTCTTCCATTACACCACTTGACAGATGCAATCATGAAAAATGCTTCAGTCTGAATTTCTCAGGAACATTTGTTAGGCCTCCAAAGAGACTTTCTTGTAAGACTTATGTTCCCTGAATATGGACGATGCCCTCAAGATCAAAATTCTCGGGGTAGAAAATGAGGTGTAGGATTTGCACCTTGCTCCAAGTTTGCACAGAAATGAATGGAGAGACTGAGAATGGAGCTGAGGCAGTTTGAGTTCAGGGTCCTCAGAATTTTGATTTCTAACAAGTTCCCAGGTGACGGTGATACGGATCGTCTGGGAAAAGTATTTCAGACCTGAAGAGAGAATCTTGGAATGAGCTGCCTTGAGAGCAACAACGGCCTTAAGAGATGATTCTGTTCAGAGGTTTACTGACTATATTCAGTGGAGCCTGAGGATTCTGACGAGGTGCCTCAGGGTAGATGCAGCAGGCAAGAGGAGATCACCCAGTTAGCACAAGAAATGATCAGAGCAGATATTTTTATCAGTTGTGTATTTTGGAGTTTTAGACATGGTTTTATTTGACAGGAGGTTTTTGCTACTTAAAATAAAAGTGAAGCTACCAATCTAGTAGGGTGCATTTTTTTCAATATGCAAACCCAGTGGCAGAGGCAGAGACTTAGGATCACAGAACTGCATACCTAGGCCATCCCAGCATGTAATGCCACCTCCCATCAGCTATACCATGGGATACTTTTACTACATTCTAGTGTCCCAGCTCCAAAGCCGCCCTTCTATGCTCTACCCTGGAGTGCTGGCCATGTGACCCTGCCAGAGCACATTTCTGTTTCTCAGTTGGCTCCACAGCAGGCTGTCAGTAAGGGGTGTGAGACGGAAGCCCAGAGTCACTAGGTGGTTTAAGATCCTGGGTGTTCGAATCCGGCTAGATCTCCCCTTTCCACATTGCAGGAACTCCCTTTCCAAACAATGTCCCAACTTGCCCACGAGAGAACTGATGAAACTGTGACTTCAACTTAATTTGTAATTCTGCAACACACACACTTAAGAGCTGTGCTTGCTGTTCAATAATATCAGCCCAGAGGTTACAACAGATGAGATTCCTTTAAGGCTACCAGGTAAGTCCTCATCTGTGGTTTGTGATAAGAATTTGGACTTGAGCTTGCACTTTTTTTTTTTTTCGTGTAAGTGTTCTGGGACATTCAGGAGAATCCATCCCACACCACAGTCCTCATAGTCATCATTACTTTCGTAATGGTCAAGGACAGCAGCCATCTGGGCTCTTAAGGCATTTTCTTCAGTAAGTAATTTATTACAATCAAGTACAGGTGTTCATTTGATTAATGGTGATACCATTGCATGGCATAATTATTAGCATCCTATTTTGCATTGGCAACGAGCCCATCACCGTCAAGCCCGAGAACACAGCCAAACCAATCCCTCTATCCTATCTATGAGCGTCTGACTCCTGACCTTGTGCTGGCTACCAATTTCTGTGTGTCAGGATCAGCCAAGAAATACACCACATCAATTACTTTAACAGAGAGAATGAACATGAATAATAGTTAACAATGTCTAAAGTATTAATTATGTAACTGAAATAAAACATGGAGGAGTCACTAGTATCACAAAGCAACATGGGCCGGGTGCGGTGGCTCACACCTGTAATCCCAGCACTTTGGGAGGCCGAGGCGGGCGGATCATGAGGTCAGGAGTCTGAGACCAGCCTGGCCAACATGTTGAAAGCCCGTCTATACTAAAAATACAAAAATTAGCTGAGTGCGGTGGTGGGCACCTGTAATCCCAGCTACTTGGGAAGCTGAGGCAGGAAAATTGTTTGAACCTGGGAGTCGGAGGTTGCCGTGAGTCGAGATCACACCATGCTGGATTTCAGCATGGGCGAGAGGGCGAGACTCTCTAAAAAAAAAAAAAAAAGCATCATGTAAAAGACTGGGTTTGGACCTGAGAGATAATACCATAAAAATAGGCATAATGTATACGGCACATCTGTATATACAATTTCCCTTGACTTCTAAGCCCATCTAATCTCCTGAGAGTCTAATATTGTGGCACTTTTCACTTGCTTCTGCCATGTAAACTTTGCATTGTGCTACACATATTTTTATATATGTCTACCTTCCATCAATTGCTGGTACCTCATTGGTGATCTTATTCGTCTTTGCCATATGCTGTAGTACATGGAACAAAGTAAGTTAATACATGCAGAAAAGAGCAATGATCCATGATACTGCTAAGGCCACTTTAATGCATGGAGTACTCAATGTATGCCCTATTCTGGAAAGCCTGTCTTGGGGCTGTGTCTTTTAGGGTACTATAGAGCCTTCCGGAAATTTTAGCAATGCTTTATAGTTGAACACTGAGCCACAATGACTCTAAAAATAGATATTTTCTTCTGCCTTTCTACTGAGATTTTCTAGTCCCGCTCATCACTCAGCAGCTGAATAATAGAATTATAGATGAAAATATAATAAATAATACATAAAATAAAATAAAATAGGTGAGATTATCTTCTGCTTTCCAAATGTGATTTCTCAGACCCTTCTCAGAAACCAGCACCTGATGAAAAAGGTTGAATAATAAACCTATGTCTGGCCCAGTCTAGTTGGTCTGTGCATGGTGAACATCCAATTCTGAGGAGATATTAAATTCCAAGAAGGTATACGTTCTTTTGAATTTCTAAGTGGATTAAATGAAGCTTATCGGTACAACAGATAGGATATCTGTAGTACATTAGCTCTTATAACCTTGTAGAAGATAAGAGAGGACCTTGCCTCATGATTTTCAGATTAGTTACTCATGTGAGTTGAAATTTTAAAATCTTAGTGTGAATTTATTTAATCCTTTGATAGTTATGAAAGTGTTGGCTGGGAGCAGAATTTGATAATAAGGGAAAGAGTGAGTATAGGTCAATTTTTTAAAGTTGCAAACAATAACATTTCCTCCAGCTATTATAGTTTAAACAGTGAGGGATCGATTAAGGGGGAGAGCTAGCTCCCACAATTACTGGGATAGCTGAATGGATTAATTCAAAGCTGGACTTCTGGGAATAGCTCCTAAAAACACACTGCAGAGCCGCAGTCCTCACTTGCAAGCCAGATGCCACACACCGTGCCTGTGTCCCCTCATGACTCAGTTCCCTTATGAATGCATCTGAACAGCAATTCCCTAAGTCATCTGCAAAACAGTTGTGAGTGAGGCTGGGAAATGTAGTTGTTATTTCTTTTTAAAAGTTTGTTTAATTTTGTTTTCTGCTTTTTGCTTTTCCCTTTCTGCTTGCTGGAAGAGAGTTGGAGTGGATATTGAGCAAGCCGAGACACGATATATATTTGGAGGTGGGGAAATCAGAAGGCCCTCAGTGAAATGTCTCTCTGGAGACACGTGGGGAGTGAGGGCTGCCAGGAGGGCTCAGTTTCAGCAAGATGAATGAGAGGGGGGAACGAGAAGGAAGATAAAGGAATCTACTTTATCTAGGTACTTGTAGGAAGTACCTAGAAGTATTTTGTAACAAAACCACATATAAATAACACCTGGCAGAGTACATAAAATATTAAATATCACCATATAAAATTATTTTACAGTTTTCATTATATTTAGTCTTTTTTCTTTTTCATTTGATTATCACAAGAATACTGTGTGGCAGGTAAAGAGTAGTAAATTAGTTTGAATTAGTTTTAATATCACCTAATTCATTCACTACCCAATATATATGTTTTATACATTTGTCGTATGGGTAGTTGTTTTAAACTGGAGTGTAACTTTATTGAAAATTTAAGAGTTTTCAATTTTTTTATTTTAAAAATTGGCATTTTCTAGCCTTTTTCTTACTTTTTTGTCTATTTTTGGACCAGGTGTTGAAAATCTCTCCAGTGGTTAATAGCTTCACATTTTTCAATAAATATGAGAGAGGGGTGGAGGAATGGTAAAGAAAAAAAATTAAATGGCAACAATTTTCCAAAAGATAACTGTTTAAGCTGAATTGGAAAGCTGAGAAAGCGTAGCTTAGAACCTGTGGAGATTGCAAGTATGCATCAGGTGAACGGGCAGAATAAACCACCCAGGCAAATTGTCAACAGGCATAGTGTGTCTTTGAGCATCTTCTGTTTCTCATTTTAGTAGGCTCCCACTGCTTAGTTCCTTGTCTCATTTACCTGCTCTCTGTCATTGGTAGAAAAGCAAGTAAAGCACCATTAAGCCAAGCTGTTCTAAGAAATGTGCATCGCGGATGGATTCATTTGAATGCCTCATTGCTGCACAGTCTAATTTATATTCATTTTCACTGGAAAATGATTACAACTGTATAATTAAAAAATTGGCTTTGCTATTGGCACTCAAAATTGACAACAATTAATATCTTGTCCTTTAAATGTGGAGACATCACAGTTCTCTCATTGGCAGTGTCAGGTAGGTTTTATGGATTCATTAGGGATTAGGAGTTGCCACCTGTGTCTTAAAACCAAGTCCATCAACTTTGTATGACATGGTCCATTGATGATATATGGGCATACCTCATTCTGTTGGGCTTTGCTTAATTGTGCTTCTCAGAGATTGCATATTTTACAGATGGAAGATCTGTGGTAACCCTGCATTGAGCAAGTCTATCAGCACCATTTTCCAACAGCATGTGGTCGCTTTGTGTCTCTGTGTCATATTTTAGTAATTTATACCATATTTCAAAATTTTTATTACCATTATGTCCTTATGGTGATCTGTGATCAGTGATCTTGATGTTACTGTTGTAATTGTTTTGGGGTATCATGAACTACACCTGTATAAGATGGCGAACTTAAAATAGATAAATGTTGTGTGTGTTCTGACTATTCCATTGATAGGTCATTTCCCTGTCTCTCTTCCTCTTATTGAGCCTCCTTATTTGTTGAGACAAAATATTGAAATTAGGCCAACTAGTAACCCAATGATGGGACAATGGCCTCTAAGTGTTCAAATAAAAGGAAGAGTTGAACATCTCTCATTTTAAATTAAAATCTAGAAATGACTACTCTTAGTGGGGAAGGGCATATCAGAAGTCAAGATAGGCCAAAAGCAAAGCCTTTCATGCCAAACAGCCAAATTGTGAATGCAAAGGAAAGGTGCTTGAAGAAGATTAAAAATATTACTCCAGTAAATACACGAATAAAAGCAAAATAACCTCATTGTTGATATGGAGAAAGTTTGAGTGGTCTGGATACAAGTTCAAACCAATCACAACATTTTTTTTCAATCCAAAGCCTAATTCAGAGAAAGGCCTTAACTCTCTTCAATTCTTTTTTTTTTTTTTTTTTTGAAATGGAGTCTCCCTCTGTCACCCAGGCTGGTGTGCGGTGGCATGATCTCAGCTCACTGCAACCTCTGCCTCCTGGGGTCAAGCAGTTCTCATGCCTCAGCCTCTCAAGTAGTTGGGGTTACAGGTGTGTACCACCATGCCCAGCTAATTCTTGTATTTTTAGTAGAGAGGAGGTTTTGCCATGTTGACCAGTTTGGTTTCGAACTTCTGACCTCAAGTGATCTGCTCACGTTGGCCTCCCAAGGTGCTGGGATTACAGGCTTGAGATACCATGCCCAGCCTCTTCAGTTCTATGAAGGCAGAGAGAAGAGAGGAAGCTGCAGAAGAAAAGTTTTAAGCCAGCAGAGATTGGTTCATGAGGTTTAAGGAAAGTAACCATCTCCATAATATAAAAGTGCAAGTGAAGCAGCAAATGCTGATGTAGAACCTGCAGCAAGTTATCCAGAAGATCCAGCTAAGATCATTGATAAAGGCGACTACACTAAATAACACATTTTCAATGTAAATGAAACAGACTTCTGTTAGATGGCCTGCGGTGGTGGCTCATGACTATAATCCCAGCACTTTGGGAGGCTGAGACAGGCGGATCATGAGGTCAGGAGATTGAGACCAACCTGGCCAACATGGTGAAACCCCGTCTCTACTAAAAATACAAAAAAAGAAAAATTAGCTGGGCATGGTGGCGCATGCCTGTAATCCCAGCTACTCAGGAGGCTGAGGCAGGAGAATCACTTAAGCCAGGGAGTCGGAGGTTGCAGTGAGCCAAGATCACACCACTGCACTCCAGCCTGGTGACAGAATGAGACTATCTCAAAAAAAAAAAAAACAAAAAAAAAAAAACATGGTAACTTGAATTTGAAGACACTGCTCACTGACCATTCTGAAAATACTAGGGCCCTTAAGAATTATGCTGAACCTACTCTGCCTGTGCTCTATCAAAGGAACAACAGAGCCTGGATGATGGCACATCTGTTTACAGCGTGGTTTACCGAATATTTTAAACTCACTGTTGAGACCCACTACTGAGAAAAACTATCCCTATCAAAATATTATTGCTCATTGACAATGCACCTGGTCACCCAAGAGCTCTGATGGAAATGTATCAGGATTTTATTAATGTTTCCATGCCTGCTAATATGACATTCATTCTGAAGCCTATGGATCAAAGGGTCATTTCAACTTTCAAGTTATATGTAAGAAATACATTTTGCAGGCTATAGCTGCCATAGATGGTGATTCCTCTGATGGATCTGAGCAAAGCAAATTTAAAACCTTCTGGAAAGGATTCATCATTCTAGATGCCATTAAAAACATTCCTGATTCATGGGAGGAGGTCAAAATAACATTAGCAAAAGTTTGGAAGAAGTGGATTCCAACCTTCAAGAATAAATTTAAGGGGCTCATGACTTCAGTGCAGGAAGCAATTGCAGATGTGGAAATAACAAGAGAACTAGAATTAGAAGTGGAGCCTGAAAATATTGCTGAGTTGCTGCAATCTCATGATCAAACTTGAACAGATGAGGAGTTGCTTCTTATGGGTGAGCAAAGAATGTGGTTTCTTGAGATGGAAGCTTCTCTTGGTGGAGATGTGAGCATTGTTGAAATGACAACAAAGTATTTAGAATATTAATAAACCTAGGTGATAAAGCAGTGGGAAGGTGTGAGAGGAGTCGCTTAGATTTTGAAGGAAGTTCTCCTGTGGGTAAAATGTTATCAAACACCATCACATGAGACAGAGAAATCATTCATGAAAGAGTGAATTGATGTGACAAACTTCATTGTTGTCTTATTTTAAGAAATTGCCACAGCCACCCCAGACTTCAGCAACCAACTGCCCTGATCACTCAGCAGCCATCAACATCTAGGCAAGACCCTCTGCTAGCAAAATGATCATGTCTCATTGAAGGCTCAGATGCTCATTAGCATATATTAGCAATACAATATTTTAAAATTGAGATAAATACTTTTTTAAGACATACTGCTATTGCACACTTAATAGGCTACAGTGTAGTGTAAACATAAATTTTGTATGCACTGGGGAACCAAAAAAATTGTATGACTTGCTTTATTGTGGTGTTCACTTTAATTGCAGTGGTCTGGAACCCAATGTGCAGTATCTCCAAGGTATGGCCGTACATCAGTTTCCTCGGCCATTCCAATCCTCCAGGTCACAGAGAAATTGTATCTAACCCTCACTCTTTACTGTGCTCTAGGATCTATTTCAGTATGTACTTTGCATCCTGTCTTTCTTATTTTTTCTTTCAGTCCCAACATCAAATGGTCATTTGAACTGGTAGAATAAGTGAACCTGTTAGGTTTAGAGGTAACTTAATTTTCATCTGGGCCCGTCAGGGGTCAAAATGTCAGTGTCAGACAATTTAGGGAAACCAAGTAAGTTTAGGGTTATCTGATTGATTCAAATCTTCCTGTCCCTGCTTAATATTTACAATCCCTAGAATAGTGTTTATGCCCCAGGGAACTTACTGAGAGCCAGTGTGCTGTGGGGAGATGGAGACGTGAAGACTGGATCAGGAGCATCTCGTCCTTGGTCATCATCTGCCTGCCATAAAGGCTTAATCCTCACCACCTCTCAGGATATAGACTGTGATTATTACCAGATCACCCTACCCTGATATTAATATCTGTCACAAAAATTCACCTTACCAAGCTCTGAACCCCAACACCCAATAGCAGCCTGGCAGAATCTACCACGAAAAAGAAAGAAAGTAGATGGATAATCCCTTGAGCAGTTTCAAAAGGTTTTAGTCATCCAAATTGAGAAACTAGTCACCACTGTAGTTTGTATATATGTATGTACGTACATTTGTATTTCTGTGACATAGTGATGTTAAATAGTAGGATTCATTCTGTACTGATTTTTCTTTTCCTATTGGTAAGTCCAGTTTTCCTATAACCTTTCTTCCTTTGGATGGCTAGACAAAACCATAATTTAGTTCTCAAGAGAGGGCAGAGCACAGGAAAAGAGAATAAAATTCATGACTTTTGAGTAACAATTCATGACTTTTCAGGGCATAAAATTTAAAAAGATAATAAACAATGAGTTGGCTCAGTGAGAAGTAGTTCTTCCTCTCTCTGGGCTAGACAAAGATTCACGCCGTAAGAAAATCAAGTCAGAAAGAGTAAGATTGCAAGGAAATAGGTGTGCCTCTCAGTAGGGCTCCTGTACCCTTCCCTTTGAATAAAAGAGGACAGAAAATAGAATCCTAGGTGCTTTAGAGATTTCATGAACAGATGAAGCTGTTTCTCCCTTCCAAAGAACAAAGAAAATCTTGTAATATCCTTTCCCTCTCACTCATGGCATTTAGCATGGAACAAGCGCAGGAGTAGAAGCAGCTGTGGAGGGGGTTGGAAACAGAGTACAAGGGTACATTCTGCCTCTGGCTCTGCCCTTCATCAGTGACTTTGGGCAAATTACTTCGTCTGCCTTTCTATTGGGCAGGGTTGTTGGTATTGGTTTGTGTTTGTTAAAGCACACTATCAACTTGAATCTCAGAATCATAAGCCATATTACATACGGAAAACAACAAAATGGATTACTCACATTAAATATATATATGTGTATACATACTGTGGAGGTAATGTATATTTATTAAATACATATATATATATAGTCATAGACATATTTAGTTTGAGTTCTTAATTATGGACTGAATTTTAATGAGCTGTTTGTGGTCAGAAATAAAAATTTAAAAAATGAATTGTTGGAATAGAAATCAGCGTGACTAAGCCAGCTCTTCATCCAACTAGAGGCATTCTTAAATCAAGTTTAGGTGGCCTTTTCATTAAAAAATTTGTGTAGTGATTTTTTCTATTATAGCAAACATATATTGAATTATTCCCAGGTACCAGGATTGGAAACTCAGTGGTAACTTTACTAGTACAATATGAATAGGTACCTTTCTGAGTTGCCCTAAAAAGAAACTTAGATTGTCAGGAACCGAACAGCTGTCAGATGCTGTGCTTCAGTGGGCCCAGCATGATGAAGAGTCAATGAGGAGGGACAAGAATAAGAATAAACTTTCATGGAGGCTGAAACTATCCATAGGGAAGATAAAATGTCAACATGAACCAAAGCCCAAACTTTAAATTCGTTATTCAAAGTAGCTGCCACATATGCCACCGATACCTAATTGAATTTCAGTTTCTCTACTGAGCATTGACTGCTTCTGGCATGTATGGAAAATTGGCACTTTTCAAAGGGTTGCTAGTAGACCTCAAACCCATTATTTTCATATGAGGAATGCGAGGCACTGGCAGGTGAAGTAACCACCCGAGATTGTGTGCCAGGGAATAGTAAAGCCAGCACTAAAGGTGGATATCCCTGTTTCTGGTGCAGTGATTTTCCCACCACATTTAGTCCTGGCTACCTAATAATAGGTTGCTCTCATGACATACTAACATGAATGTGATCTTTCCAAAACAGTAAGTCAGATTTTATTTTGAAGATATATTTAGCTCAAGGGCTGTCATATTTAGTGATGTAAAGATAAATTCTAGCAAGGAGGTAAATAAATTGTGAATACATTTCCAAATCTGCTGGAAGATGAAAACTCAGCTATTTTTGTTATCCTTGGTTCAGATTTTTCTGTTTCTACAAAAAAAAATTGGTGAGTTGAGCTGTATTGGCTTTGGCATTTTTTCAAAGGGTTTCTTTCATTTTGCAGAAGATCTCATTTATTCCTAGCTCTCCCTGCTCCCAGGGGGTGGGAAACTCAGCCAGGGCATTTGATTTATATAATTAGCCTTTCGTGAGTATGGATGGCCTCTCACTCCAGCATGAAGTGAGGTGAATTTGAGGAAAAACACTCCTCCTTTATCCTTCTTTCTACCCTCCCTCCCAACTCTCATTCTCATTTGTAACCCGATTTACCAGGGAAAGCAATGATTCTGCAATCCGATGTGATGTCACCCTGTCAAAGCTTTCAACCGGAGAGACTTAGAGCCCATCAATTTCATAATAATGGGTGAATAATGACAGTCCCCTTGGTATTGCTCTCACCCAAATCCCCATTTAAAGAGGGCAACTGGAAGGACAAAGGCTAGTGTTTCAGGAAGGGCAGATTTAGGATAGATCAGCCATGGAAATCAGCATTGGCTCACATGTCCAGGACCTAATGAGAATCTGGCAGTGGCCCAAAATGAGTTGAATCCACTTTGCCTCTGCATTCTAGTCCCTTTTTGGGTTCTTTTCATGAGAATCTGTAGAATTATAAGGGGAGGAGGTAAGGAAGCAGCGCAGGGAGCGGGCACTCACAAGAGTATTTGCTACAGATTCATCTCCAGTTTCCTTCTTATTATAGTGACAATGGATAGAATCTCTGATTATTCTATGAGGAATTCTTCCACACTTATTTCTATGTCCTATTTTGTAATTTTTGAAGATGCTCAAGTTCCCTGCTCCAGGTCGTGGTAACTCTGTATACTTGAAGTCCATAAGGTTGCCACTTGATTTGAGCTCATTTCAATTTGCTAATTTGACTGTCAGCCTCTTTATCTTTTTCCAATGGTAATACATCATTTTCTTCATGCATTTTCTTATATTCTTGAAATCTGACAGTCCTAGAAAATATAGTCAGAGAGTGTCAGTAGAGATGAAATAAGAGGAAGAATGCAAATAGTTATTTAGGACTAATGCCACATATCCTGATGAGATAATTTAAAAATCTATTTGAAAGTAGCTGGAATATGTCAGTGAGGAAGTAGGGGAACTTTATTTTCTGCAAGAACAATCTTTATGCAGCCCTAATGGTGTAGATGATGTCCTTTTGGTAAAAGGATAATAGTCTGAAAGGTGATAGAAACAGCTTCTTGCCCTGCCATATTTGATCTGAAGCATATGGTGGTTGCTCTGATTCATACAGAATGAAAATGCTTTGGTGTACTAATCTCAGAGCCAGCATTCATATGATAAAGACAAAACAGGTTTTCAGATATGATTAATAGGTTAAAGAATGTTTACATCTTGTGGAGGAGGAACATGGTGAATGCTATAGAATTATTGAGCTCTACTTAGTTTTGAGGTTGATCTGAATTTAGTGCCGATTTTTATATTTTAATCGCTAACATTCTCAAACTGAGAGGATGTACTCTGTGTGTGTCAGCTTCTGTGTTGTTACCAAGTCGGTTGAACGTGAGGACATTGGCTAGTCTGATTTGCGTCACTTTCTTATGTTGTGGTTTGGTTCTGAGCACCTCGAATTGCTCAGCCATGCTTGGTAAAATACAGACTAGCTGCATGAGTAGTCTAAATAATACGGCCGCTATAACTTTCTCTCTGCTATGTAAAATAATTTCCTTTAGATGAGTGTTGGACTTTATGGGAGTCCTTAGTTCCCAACTCTTAGCAAATGCCTTTTTTCTGTCAGCTCCCAAACAGCGCCACCAGGATGCTTAAAGAAGACAAGCTCAGAGGTTCTGTGGCTTTTCCTTTTGCTTCTCCTCTAGGTGCATGCCTTTGTTTTAAGAAGATGTAAAACAGGTAGTAGGCATTCATTTTTGAAACTATTAACCCCTTATATATAATTCAGTTTGGAGAGATGTGCTATGCTGCTTTTCATCTTCTGAGTTTTTATTTTTGAGAACTTGCAGCTTGCATTCCACGTGAACTTCCTTACTTCTCTCCATTTCTTTCCTTGGCATTCCTTCTTTTTTGCCCTCCCTGTTTTTTAGTTCTCTTTTCAGGCAATAAAGCTTTCTTCTTCATCTCCTGCTTATTGATGAATGAGTTTCATTCATCTTTTTCTCTCTCTTTTTTTGATGGGGAGGGGGAGCGGGGTGGTCTATGAATAGCTATAGACTTTGCCTGCTCCCATTTTTCCACTTAGCTATTCAGTTCCATGGAGACAGAAAGTGGAAGAGAGCAGCAGGGTGGGAGGCACCAGGGTCAGAGGTCAAGAGTGGCCACCTTTTGAATTAAAGCTTCTGATTTCCACTGTGGATAACATATTGTAACCCAAAGTAACTGTGCAAGTACTTGGCTGTCAGGAGGCTCAAAGCAAAGAGAAGGAGGAGAAAAAAGAAGGGAAAGATCAGAGGAAAGGAGAATAATGCAAATCTTGGGGTCAGTTAACAATATTTGCAGTGTTTTTTAAGATAGTGTTTGGTAACTCCGTATGGGAGTCATTATTCTTTGAACCACGCTGCATATCTTCCCAAGGGTTGGACTTGAAGTACATTGTGCAGTCTAGGTACAGAAGACTGCAGCTTTCCCACCTTATACACAACTTTACTTAAAACAATTTAATTATGTGGCAAACTATTGTGCCACATCAAATTTTTTTGTGTGTTGTGGGGAATGCAACATATGCAATTTATTGTCACTTCTTACAGACTTTGCAAGACCAGCACTGAAGAGGCTATTAGTATCCTTTTGGGCATTATATATGAACTTAAGCTTAGCTGGTTTAGTTTCTTAGCGGTTGTCTCATAGTTAAACTGAAAGAAATTCTATAGAAATAGTCAACGAATTAAATTTGTTTGCTTTTTCAAACTCATTTGTGCTGTTTAACACCCTAAATATAATTTTGATGAGAATTGGATTAACATAAGAATCAAATTATGATTTTCCTACTGACTTTATAAGGGGTTACTTTTCCATTTTATTTGTCTTTATGCCAATAACACAGACATCTACAGTGTTTAATAACTGTGTGTAGAAATGGTAAATGATGAACAGAAAAAAATTTATGAATTTTTTTATATCTTAAGCATTTTTATATGCTAGGATAGTACTTGGTTTATATCAAATAATCTTAATGCAAATTGAGAGTCATACTAAGATAAGTCTCATGTGATTAGCCTTCTAGTTTTGTCTGTGGGAAAGGACTCCATTATAATAATAATTATAATCTGACTGAATCCCAAAATACAATGGTTCAACCTGAGTCTACAATAAAATAAAAGGATATTACATAGAAGAGTTCTTTCCAAATTGTATAGCTCATCAGAATTACCTGGGAAATAAAATTTTTTCTTGCTGGGTCTCATAACTGGTGATTCAGATGTGGAGCTTATTTGTAAGCTACAGTCACAGGGAATAAATCTTGCAAGTAAACTCTTCAAGTCTGAAACACATAGTGGAATTCAGAGCCATATAAAATAAAATTCCATTACGACAGCAACAATGAAAAATACAGTGAGAATGTTGTAAAACAAAACATTTTCATGTCTCATGCAGCTGGCCAATAGAAACAGTGCCTTATTGATATGATTACAATAAATACTATACAATGAATAAACACGAACATCAAGTACTTTCTTTTTGAGACCATACAAGCAATAGTTATTGTTTGATGAAGGAACTAAATTGCATACAGTTTACATTGAGAATAGGGAAAGCAGAGCTGAACTGATAGACTTTTGAGTTATTTTGAGCTATTTATGCAACTGTGTCCTACCATTAAATGGCACATCCTATATGTTCCAGTTACCTCCCTACAGAAGAAAATGAGACAATTCAAATGTAAATGCCTTAAAATTATAAAAGCAGCAGGTAAGTATAAGATGGAGTCCACTATTACATTGTTCTTAACAAAATTTCACTACAATAACAGCACTAACAATATTGGACAACTTCTGACATTCCTTGTCAAAAATATTAACCTGGAAAACATACCCAGAGAGTGGAGAGTAGACGAGGGCACTGATAGTTCCATAAAAGTCCTTGTGATATTTGGTATAAGTTGGTAATAAACCCAGTTCTTTTGCATCCATTTCTGAATTCCTTTCTTCATTGCTTTGTCTAATCTATCCTTCTGATTTTTTCTCATTGAATTTTGGCTGATTGCTGGAACTGCTTATTTTTATTTTAAAAGCAACCACATTCTTCCTTTTACCAGTAGTTAAATATTATGTTACTATACTGACAAGGTTCATGCAACTTGGAAACTAGAACTTAGAGGACATGGTACGTTGCCTCTGTTTTGTTTCTTACTAGCTGTGTCAAATTCTTGATGGCATTTAGCTTCTCTGAGGATTAGGTTTCACGTCTGGAAGATGGGGATAACACAAGCTGTCCTGTGTGCTTCACAAAATGGTTGGGATCAAATATGATAATATGCACAACATCTTTTTAAGCCATAAATTACTATATAAATAAGGTGACTTATTAGGGTTTACTTTCTTTCTTAACTGATTTCTTTTAAATTTCCAGATAATTTTTACTTTATACAGAAATAACTGTTAATGCTATTGATTTCTTGAAAAGAATGCTTTTAAGATTTAATGTTGAAAAAACAATAACAAAAATAGTCAGTTACTAGAAGTCTTAAGGAACATATACTAACGTTTTAATTACTATCCTGAATTTTTGACACACAAGAGTAAAGAGGTTCGCGGTTACCTCTACCTAGCTAGATCTTAGTCTTCAAATGCCAAGATACTTTTAAAAATTTTTACATTAATCAAAAAGCAAACAAAACAGGATAAAACATGCTTTTTCTACTGAGTTCAAAGAACAAGCAAACTGTTAGCATGTTTGATTTTTTGTTTGTTTGTTTTAATCTGAGTTCCTAGAGTCCTGCTCATTCTGTGTCTATAAAGGAGCTCATTGGTACTTTCCATGGGAATCCAACATTTAAGCTTCTGTTCTGCATGGTTTTCTGCACTGGGTAGGCTTGCTATACATTTTTTTTTTTACTTAATATACACAATTTCTCGCTTGTCTTGGCATCCTAGGGCAAAGCTATGGACGCTTTGAGTTGTTACTACACTATCTGAATTGACCAATATAGCTCATTAATCCTCTCTCTTAAAACATCTAGTCCAATCTTTACATGAGCTGGTTCACCTGTCATAGTTGTCCATGATGACAACTCTCACAGCTGTCTCCTTCCTGATGGATTTGTGAACATTTACGGTACAGGTGCTATGAGGAGCCTACGCTGTCTACCATTTCCTGTGGTCTTTACACTGCCCTTGGGTTGCACCTGGTCACTTAGGGCCCTCTCTTTCCTGCATTTTCCTCATATCAGTCTTTCCCTATAGTCCTGCTTTAGTTTCTTATGCAACTCTATTCCCCACATTGCCTATTTTATTTTTCATTCTGACACATATTGCAAATTGTTTAGGAGACTCTAGTCATGTAAGGATGTTGTTAGCAGAAGCTACATTTTACTAAATACTGTACTATACTCTTTATACATTTTATCTCTAGAACCTAGGCCTGACTTCTTTGTAATTACCCAAACTATCCTTTAAGAGGCTGTTTGGAGAGCATTAAGAATGGGGAATGAATGGGAATTCAGCTTAAGGTAGAGGTGGAAGGATGAAAACATAAAAGAGCTGATCCCCAATAAGGTGGCAAGAGTAGGTCAAATGAACTTTGTACCATATTCAGAATGAGATTTTGAAAATGGAAACTTCAGCTGGGCAAGGTAATACTCAGAAATTGGAGTTAATGATTTTTTCGGGCTGAAGCAGGGTGGAGTCAGGGGAAAATCAAAGCTCTGTGAAGAGAATTTGAGACACACGAAGATATGCCTTTGTGTTGTTACTGGGGGAGTGTGTTCTGCAAACCCCTATATTGTTTGGGAGATCCGCTGTGCTGAGTAGTCTGCCAGTTCCAAGCACCTCTTTGTCTCTGCTATCAAATTAGCTAATATCTGCTCATGTCTTCCAGGTTTGGCAGGCTTTACTGTGTCTGAAAAACTCCCTAACTCACCCCTGCCTCCCAAGGAAGAGTTAGGTTCTTGCTCCTGTCTCTTTCCACAATGCCCCAATATCCTCTCTGTTACTGTCAGCTTGTTTGTCAGTTTCTTCCACCAGGCTGTGATCTTTGAGGGCAGGTACTGCACTGTGTTTTGCTCTGTCTCTGGTCCCTAGCACCTGGGCTGACACCTACAAAGCACTTGATAAATATCCATAAGAATGAATGCATGAAGAACTAAGAGAAAATTAAGTTCATTTGAAATAGCTGATGAATTTTTATGCTTCTCAAATTACGCTGCTAGAATCAACCACCTGTACCTTAGGCCCTAAGGCCACTCTGATGGTCACAAAATTCTGAGTCAAATGGGGTAAAAGATATAAAAATGTTTAAATTGTGAATTTTAATGTAATATCAATGTTCTATCCATCTACCTGTTCATGTATTTATCATCTATCTACCCACCGAGAAAGAAAGATTAGTGTTGTAAAGAGAGAAGTGACATTGCTCCCATGGCGGGCAGCCACTTCATCTTGGGCTTTTCTTCCTCATGTGCTTAGCCCAAAGACTTGGGATGAAAGGCCATAGGCTTTCCGTGAAAGAATTTTAAACCTAGACCCAATGAAGGGGACTTTTGAGTATTTGGCATGTATGAGGATTTGGGTCTTCCCTGGCCTTTTGAATGAGTAATGCCTCTTACCTGGGGGCTACCATGATTCTAGGGTCAGGACAGGGTCTCTGGCAAAAGAGTCAGATCTTAATTCTTTAGGGCTGATTCTCAAGCACAGAAACAAAAACCGGGAGTGTACAATCAGAAGAGACAAAGATGTTTGTCTCTTTCACAAGGGCAGGCATAGGGGTGAGGAGTCAGGAAACGGTCTCTCTTGAAAGTTAAAGCTTACACATTTGATGGAAGTGTGTCTTTCATACCAGAGCATGGTTTTTAGCACTTTCTGCCTCCTCTTTGGAAATAACTGCCCCTCATATTTGGTGGTGTCATGAGGAAAGCTTCTTTTTATTCTGCACTGTGCCATTAAATGGTCTCAGAGGGGCGTACCATGGGGACCTTATGGGGAGTAGTGCAGCACTGCCTACTTTAAGCCCTAGCTCTGTTCCTTATGAACCTGGCCTAATGACTGGATCTTTCTAAAACTCAGTTTCCCCATTTGTAAAATGGGGACTAACGGTCATCCCCTAATGGACTTATAGTAAAATTAACTGAGATACAAGCATATAAAACATTTAGTATTATGCCTAGAGCCCAAAGGAATAACCACCACCATTGACAACAACAAAATCCAGTTAATGTTAGCTGTGATAGTTGAGAGTTTTGTTGTAGTTAGACAACATTCATTTTAGGCACTGGATGACTAAAGGACGTGACCTCGGGAACTACCAAAGGCTGGAGGTAGGGCTAGGCATATTAGTGTTGAACAGTATTCTGGCTGTGAATGCAATGTGCCCATGGAAACGTAGCATGGGTCCATAGAGGAAGTGTGTAGGAATGCTCAGTGCAATTTTTCATTAAACCCCAGGGGTAACGAATATTTTCTTTGCTATCGGTACTTAATAAAACACTCTTTAGAGTGTTCAATTGCTCCCAATTACTCCAAAGCTCACCAAGTCTTACCTGGAACTGATTCTCACAATGAGTCTAGCCCCGGCTTGGTGCTATTAACCAGGCCTAAAGACATGTAATTTCTCTGAATCCCTGGCTATATTATAGATCTTGCTCCATTTCTTTGCTCGCAAGTTGAATTTTGGATAAGAAACCAAAACAGTTACTGTTTTTGAAATTCCTGGCAGGAAACCCTAACCCCTGTTGAGAGGTGATGCCAAGAGCAAAGGGAGTTGACAGAGTTGGATGCTTCCTTCTATTTTGGGCAGGAAGGCAGGAAATAGTCCTGCTTTACAATAATTATAGGCAACAGAGCTAGGAATAAAGTAGAGCCTCTATGGAAACAGTCTGTTCTCAATACGGTGTGCTGAGCCACCAAGAGTGTGCACAGAATTTTGACCAGATCTCACTGTGTCTCAGTGACTAGCCACCCAGTGCCCATGCATTTTTTGACATGAATTATAAGAGGTTTATAATGCTTTAGTTATTTTTATGTTAAAACCTGTGGAAGGATCATAAAATTTGAAAAAAAATAAATTTCCACATTAGAGAAACTACTACACTAAATAGCTTGGAGTCATTTTTCTGTTTAATATTTAATCAGAAACTCAGTAAACTTTTGGACAGTTTCAGGTCAATATTTGGCTAAGTTAAAAGAAAAAGAAAATCTAAAGCATATTTACCGAACTAATGAATACAGATTTGAGGATTAGTTCAATCAAAATTTAATCAAAATTTGGATTAACACAAACCTCAGGACTGTCAAAAATTCAAGATTAGAAACAATAATGTTTTTATACTTAAGAATCCTTACAGGCTCTTAAAGTTGCGTGTGGATCTATATTTTATCAATTCTTGCTCCTTAATCCTTGACCCAGGTACTTTATGTTGGAACTCAGTAGGACAGCTTCTGGTCTCTGTTCTTGCAGAGTGAGCTATTTCTGACACGTGAACAATAAGAGTTAGATGTGGAACAAGCTTGTGACAGGGTTAGTGAGTGCAGACGGTAAACGACACCTGGAAACATTCCCCATTCCTGCCCACTTTGGAAAGCTTCTAGCCCCTTGGATATCTTCTTGATCTAACTTATCAGCTCTTCTGGATATCTTCTATTTGCACCTCCAGCTCTACTCTCCTACCTCCTTTATTCTGCTCTATCAGGAGGCTGACCTTCATGGAAAAATCAATAGATTCGTTTGCCGTCTGCCTTCTGCTTTGCTTTGGCCAATGGAGGAACTGTCGGGAATTCAAAGTGTTGGATAAGAATGCGCCTGGGCTATTTATTTCTCTCCCTCATTGCCTGTTTTGTTGTTGTTGTTGTGTGTATTTAGAGGTTGTTCCTCAGGCTGCTCTCTCCTTCTCTCTGTAGATTCTGACAATGACCCCTTCTAGTTTCCACCTCAGATCCAAAGGTGGTAAATCTTTTTTTGTTGCTCATCTCAGTATGTTCCAACATCTCTCCTTGGTATTCCTTAACTCAGCTCATGCAATTTTAAATAATGCATTCATGAAATTATCCTCAATGCATCCACTTGAGTATGCCATCTACCTCTTGCTGGGACTCATCTTCCAGTGCTGCTGTGTAAAACTTCCATTCTGTTTAGACAGGTTTACTCACAGTGTCTTAGATATCCACAGTGGCTTCGCCACCTCCACGTATGCAATGGCCTATGCCCCTTTATCCCACAGACTATATCCAAACCAAATTTAACTATGCTTATGTGAGTGAAATGATGGTACAGATTTTTTGGAAAAAAAATGATCATGTACTATTTTATAACATGTCTTATTTTTAAAAGTATTTTAGTCAACATTATTTTATCTGTCCATATCTTATGCAAGCTTCTTTGGGCAAAGTCTGTTTCTTTCCATTTTATGAATTTCCCTGTGGCATCAGCCTCTTTGCCATGCACATTGGAAAATGTATTTGCTGATTTAAATTAGCTCTGATTTGGAATACTTTTTGAATCTTTTGTGCATTCAAGTAAGCATAAAATAGCTCCACTTTCCACACTCTAACAAACTTCCCAGACAACTACAAGCATAACCTACATCTACATAGGACTTCTTAGGCCATCCAATCTGCTTCGATTTGGGGGGTTTGGTGGAGAGCCAGGAATGTTAGGATCAGCTCCGATCCTCAGAAAAATAATGGAACCTCTGTGTTTCACTAGTGTGCAATTATGGGCTAAGTGGTGTGGTGCCTGGTATTGCTAAGCCAGAAATTGTACAGAGTCCCCTCTGTTTCAACAAGCTTCAACTTATGCAGTGTGAAATCAGAGTTCTACTCTCCACCCCCTGCCACCACAGAAATCCCCAAACAATTGGCCACAATATAAATAGGGTGAGGGTTTCATTTTTAATCAGTAGTTTTTTAATAGAGCCTAGGAGGGAATACTCATTGGAAAGGCAGATAATATTAAAGTGATCTCCTGGCATCTGGCAATTGGTAGAGATGTGAGCTCCAAAACCAAATTGTCTCTACTCTTTCTCCTGCCTTCTCTCTAGTTCCCCATTCCCTTAGCTCTCTTCTTCCTTTGTCAACCTTTCTATTTATACATTAGTGTTTTAATATGTCTACTTGAATTTTTCTTGGTTTTGGAATTTCTCCAGGAATATGGTATTTTAATCTTTTACCTCTCACAATTTTTCTTGATTGCTTACAGAAATATTTATTATCATGATTATTATAAATGATGATAATGGCAATATGGTTTACAACTTATCAGATAATTTCACATATGTTTATCTCACTTGCTATAATTCTATCTGAAATAGGGAGGACAGATTCTTTTAGTACTTATACTTAAAGAGATGGAGATTCAGCAAGATCTGATGATTTGCTTTGGATTTTTCATTAAGTAAGTGAGAAAGAACTCTGAGACCAAAGGAATGAGATTTTCCAATTAAACTCTACTGTCTCTCCGTGGCATCATGCTACCCAGGCTTTTGAATCTTGTTCACTAATCACTCAAGGTACTAGTGACCCTTCAAGTGACCCTTCTTTTCTGCTTCTTTTCAAGCAGAAAAAGAGGTGGGAGCAGGGGCTGAGGCAGCTGACAGTTCCCTAGCTAGGTTCAAGTTTCTTTATCTGTTTGCTCCAGAGCTTTCTGGAGGGCAAAGTTCCATTTAACATACTTATTGGCACTGGTGAAGTAGAAAAAATTAGTATATGAAGTACCGGCCAATACAAATATAATGTGAGCCACATACGTAATCTTAACTTTTTTAAAACCACGTGAAAAAAAGGAAAAATAAACAGATGAAATTAATTCTAATAATATATTTTATTTAATCCAATATATACAAAATATTTTTACCATCTAAATCAATATAAACTTGTGAATGATATACTTTATATTCATTTTTTTCATACTGCTTTTGAAATTCAGTGTGTATTTTACACTTACACCATGTCTCCATTCGGACTAGCCACATTTTAAGTATTCACCAGTCACATGGGACTAGTGCCTATTTGATTTAAAAATGAGGCTCTAGAACAGATGAGAAATTTCATCCTGGCCAGGCAGCAATTGGTAACGTACTCCTAGCTCACATCCCAGTCCTCGATATTTCGGCAGAGCTACAATGGTATCTGCTTTGAGAATATCAGATATATAATCAAAATATTCATATGAAAGTCCAAGCAATAAAAAAGAACATTTTGAATAATATCTACTATACTTCAAGCTCCACAGAGGCCAGGACTGAGCCTGTGCTATTCATTGTTCTATGTGTAATGACTGATTGAATGAATAAGTATATTTGAGATATTTTTACATTCTTTTTCTGTTCATAGAGTCTCTAAAATCTGATGTGTATTTCACACTTATAGTACATTTCCGGTCTGACTACTTACATTTCATGGGCTTAATAGCCACAAGTGGCTAGTGACTACTGTGTTAGACAGGAGAGATCTAGATTGTTGGGATACAAGATTGACTCTGTCATCAACATAAGTCACCAGATGGGTGACCCAGGGCAAGTTATTTTATTTCTTTTTTATTGTTTGCCAAACTCTCTGAAAGCATGAGTTCTAACTTAAAATTCTGTGAGCCACTTTATATAAAAAAAGAAAAGCAAAACAGCAGTGATATCTGACACCCATATCTAATCCCACACCCACTTAAGACAGCCATCTTTATTACTATTTCAAATAATTTGGCTAATGGAAATGGCGTACATCTTTATTTGCCTTCCACGTATTTCTCCAAATGTACAAATACACATGCCACAAGGATACGTAGCTAGAAGCACTGAGGGGAGTTCAAGACACAATATATACTGGGCTTTTCAGTAACTGCAACTTGGCCTGTTTTCTGGTGGCTGAGGTGGATGGCAGAGAAACTTGCTAACAGGCCAGACTCTCTTGGTGGGGCATGGGATGGCCTGGTAGGGAGTAGGTGATTCTAATTTGGCTTCAGACTAGATACTTGACTGCCAAGCAAAGCAGACAGAGTCTAAATTTTAAAAGGAAACTTACATGTCAGGACCAAGGCTATTGTCCATCATGATGCAAATTGTGCTCTGCACAAGGCTGCCCAAGCCAGAGAGAGAGTCGGGAGAACTTCTCTGTATGATGCCCAGTGTACTCCTGTGTGGGCTTGTGTTCACCTGGAGGAAGAGGTGCCTTCTGAAATTTTGTTCAAGGGCACTTCATGGGCCATCACCAGCCCTACTAAGGACCTAAGCAGACTGTATTCAACACCCGAGCTATGGCTAGAATGAAGAACTCCCCATCCAGCTAAGCTGCAAAAAAATAACAACAACAATAATAAAAAGAAATCAGCTCGCAACTAAGGTCTAAAATATGGAAGGCTTTATGTATCTAAATTTTTGCCTAAATGAGTATTATTCCTTTCTAGGAAGTAAAATAAAAGGGGACAAAGAGAAACTCTGTAAATACATGTGTAAGAACAGACTCAAGATATACTTGTAATACTCCATCAACATTTTTTGCTTGCATGATATATCAAAACATTTTTTCCTTCAATTTTAAATAATTCCATTTAAAAAGGGAGGTCATAGCACAGACAGTCTTTAGGGCAGTGGAACATCTCTGTATGAGGCTATAATGGTGGATACATTCTACATTTGTCCAAATCCATAGAATGTACGACACCAAGAATGAACCCTAATGTAAATATGGACTTTGAGTGATGACATGTCAACGAAAGTTCATTAATTATAACATATGTACCACTCTGGTGGGAGATGCTGATCACGGGGGAGGTTATGCATGTGCGGCGGCAGGGAGTATACAGGAAATCTCTATTTCCCACTCTGTTTTGCAGTGAACCTAAAACTGTGCTAGAAATACAGTCTATTTTTAAAAAAAGTAAAGTCAGGACATGAGTTTGCCATCTTTATGATGCTGAGTATGGTAGAATCATCCACAGCTTCACATTCCAAGATAAAATATTTCTGTCTTCCTCAGCACCCTGCACAAGTAACTCCACTCTAATTACTAGCATTTCAAGTATGCTAGCCCAGAAACTTTATCAATCACATGAGGAATAACTTCTAAAGGTATTTAGGGGTGTTTGCTTTTTAAATTCTTCCTCAGTATAGTTATACTGCTTGGGAGGTGGAAGGATGGCTACCCCTTATGCGCGCACACTAGCTTCAATCACCTGTGTCTCATCCCGTCAGTCAGGAAGTAGGAGGTAGTTTCACTCCATCTATTTATGGATTCTACCTTTTCTCTTTCATCTCTCAACTTCACTGTTGAGCAGTTTTAGGCCTAAGCCAATTCAGGTGTTCAGCTCCATCACAAGACCCAACTTATGTTAACCAATTTAGAAGACCAGGAGTGGTTTGAGGAAAGGAAAGCCTTGTGGCTTATTACATTTTGATAAGAATGCAAAATGGTAAGTGTCATGAGATGGCAACTATGTAAAAATGAATGAATATGCATGTGGGTAAAGGATAGAAGGTAATTAGAAATTAAAAATTCTGATAGAGTGTTAGGACTAAAGATTCAGTTATTTTCTTTTTCAAGTTTCTAAAATACTGTGTTATTTCACATTTTGATTACTTTTTTTTCCTTTTGGAAAACGACCTCACCAACATGCCAAAACTCACCCACCCACTTGACCCTAAATGGAATACAGTCAGCCCTCCTTTTCTGTGCGTCCCACATGTGTGGATTCAGCCAAACCTGAATTGAAAATATTCAGGAGAGAAAAACAGATGGTTGCATCTGTACTGAACATGTACAGACTTTTGTTCTTGTCATTATTCCCTAAACAATACAGTATAGCAGCCATTTACATGGCATTCACATTGTATGAGGCATTTGTATTAGTCTGTTCTCATGCTGCTAATAAAGACTTACCTGAGACTGGGTAATTTATAAAGGAAAGAGGTTTAATGGACTCACAGTTCCACATGGCTGGAGAGGCCTCACAATTATGGCAGAAGACGAAGGAAGAGCAAAGGGACGTCTTACATGGTGGCAGGCAAGAGGGTGTATTCAGGGGAACTCTCCTTTATAAAACTATCAGATCTCATGAGACTTATTCACTACCATGAGAACAGTACAGGAAAAACCCTTCCCCATGATTCACTTACCTCCCACCAGGTCCCTCCCGTGACATGGGAATTACTACAATTCAAGGTGAGATTTGTGTGGGGACACAGAGCCAAATCCTATCAGTATTATAAATAATCTAGAAATGATTAAAGTATGCAGATGATGTGTGTGGGTTATATGCAAATACTACACTGGTTTATATCAGGGACTTGAACATTCATGGATTTTGGTTTCCACAGGGCTCCTGGAACCAATCCCCCACCAATGACAAGGTATGACCATATTTTACATCAGTGGCAATGAACATAAAGTGGCAAAATTCATGTGCATTTTTATTGGTTCAGGGCAGGCAAAGACTGACGGTTTCTCATACTTTATCAGAATCCTAGTTTTATTCTGCAGACACAAGGGAACACAGAGACTGAATGCCATTGGGTTATTAGAGGAGGATGCCAAAGGATCTAATTCCAATAAAGGTGAGTGGTTGAAACCCTAGCCAAGTTACATCTACTTCTCAAGTATGTCAAAAGAACCCGCAGTCATTCAAATTTCACTGCCTCTGGCTAGAAATTTATGTTTCAGCAATTCAGATGGGACACTCAATTCAGAGTATGGCATTTTCATAGTATATGAAGGAGAAAGTAAAGTAAGACAATTTCCCTTAACTTACTTCAGTAGGAGCTTTGAAAAAATGGAGTCAGCGCTTACGTCAGAGGACATAAGTGTTGCCTCAGGCTCACTTGGGTACTCTGAGTGTCTGACCACATCTGGGATGCCGTTGGGGATGTCAACTGGCACTTGATACTCAAGTCAAAACTGGTGGTCAAGGACAATGAGAGACCCGTAGGCAGCGGTCAGTAAAGCTGTAGATGCCCAACCTGTGAGGTACAGGTGCCCAGCTGCCTTCATGTGAACAAAGAGTGATTTGATGAAGATGTGAGCCTTGCTCTACATTTAATTCTCAACTTTCATAAAGACTCTTGGATGTTTAATAATAATAATGTTGCTTTGATACAACTAGACTGAGGCACAGTTTCAATCAAATTATTTTGTGAAATGAAAATGGCTTTAGTGCCATTTTTCTGATAATAAACATGTAGTATAAAATATAGCATTTATAAAATGTAGAAAATTTTGAAAAGTAATTTTTAAATGCCCCACATTCCACAGGTAACTTCTTTCAAAAAATGGGCATATTGCATATGTGTGCATGTGTGTGAATGTGTATGTACACTTATGTACTTTTTTTAAACAAATGGCTTTGTAGTATACAGACAGAATAAACAACTTCTCATGGGAATAAATATATATCACAATTTTTGTGCATAGCTATAACTCAGATTTTATAGATTTATTTAATGATCCCATATTGGTTATTGACAATTTTTCATCATTCAGCTTCAATCATTTTGAAACCATAGTTCAAACTTTTACAAACCCAGTTTGAATATTGCTTAAAAAATACCTTTCAAATGTTCCACGTTGTGTGATGAAGAGAAATGGTTGATGTGGGTGAAAAAACACTTATTTCAAGTAAAAATATA
Source organism: Homo sapiens (assembly GCF_000001405.40). NCBI lineage: Eukaryota > Metazoa > Chordata > Mammalia > Primates > Hominidae > Homo > Homo sapiens. The sequence continues at coordinate 137,290,867 of NC_000007.14, read as the reverse complement.
TGTTGTTTTTATTTTTTTTTAATTGGAAGAGAATAGGAAAGGGGAACATAACCCCATGTTTTGCTGAAACATTTTAAGTCAGCCCTGAAAATAAAATGTGGTTTTAAGGGAAGTCAAAAGCCCTTGAATGTCATCTACTGGCCACCCCAGCTCACCTCCAAATTCTTGAAGTTGGTTTTGAGTCAGTCACTTGTCCTATGTATTTATTTCTTGCACTATAAGAAGAGATAATAATAATAATTTGTCTACTCAACTTGGTTATAATAAGGTCCAGGTGATATAATGAATGTGGTAATACATTGGACACTCTAAAGCATTACTTACATATTATTAATATAACCATTATTTATTTATAATTCCATATGATCAGATGACCAGAGGAATTTGATGAACCTACTACTATTGATATTTTCTTGCAAATGTGTTTGTAGGAAATTGATTATATTTTTTACAGATAAAGCAAGCTCGTTTTCAAGTTAACCAGAAATACCCATTAAAGTCTTAATCACAGGTTAACCCTTGTTTCCTAAAAGTATTTAGAACACCATTTGTTTTTATTGCAATATGATACAGTTTGGCTGTGTCCCCACCAAAATCTCATCTTGAATTCCCACATGTTGCGGGAGGGACCTGGTGGGAGGTAATTCAATCATGGGGGCAGGTCTTTCCCATGCTGTTCTCATGATAGTGAATAAGCCTGAGATCTGACAGTTTTAAAAGGGGGAGTTTCCCTGTAGGAGCTCTCTCTTTTTGGCTGCTGCCATCCATGTAAGACGTGACTTGCTCCTCCTTGCCTTCCACCATGATGATGAGGCTTCCCCAGCCATGTGGAACTGTAAGTCCAATTAAACCTCTTTGTTTTGTAAATTGCCTGGTCTCCAGTATGTCTTTATCAGCAGCATGAAAATGGACTAATACACCATATAACAAATTACTATAAATGTAATGACTTAAAACGATTCTTATGATTAACGCACAGTTATGTAAATCAGAAGTTCAGGTATGATGTGATTGAGTTCTCTGCTCAGGGTCTTGAAACTGAAATCAAGATGGTGGTTGAACTGTGCTTCTTTCTGGAAATTTTGGGGAACAGCAAACTTACAAGCTGATTCAGATCATCAGCCATATTTAGTTTGTTGCAGTTGCAGGAATGAGGTACCTCTTTCCTTGCTGTCAGCTGTGGGCCACTTAGCTCATAGAGACCATCCTTGCCACGTGATCCCTCCATCTCAAAGCCAGTAGAATTTCCTTGGGCCAGCTCCCTCTCACACTTGAAATTTCTGACTTTCTCCGTCTCTGACCACAAGACTCAGATTTAATGGCCTCATGTAATTAGGTCAGGGCCACCTAGATAATATCCCTATTTTAAGGTTGACTGATTTGGAACCTTAATGTCATCTGTGAAATCCCTTTACAGCAACACTTGGATTCGTGGTTGCTCGATCGATAAGAGAAGTCGTGTGTTCTTGGGAGTATCTTTTAATTCTGCCTAACACACACCTGAAAGCCAAAGTTCTCTTCCAATGATTCACAGGACTGCTCTTTCCCTTTGATAAAAAAGAAACCCTCCAGTGTAAAGTCATTTGAAAGATAAAGTGCTAGGGTGCTGAGAGATCACATTTCAATACCAAGGCTCTAATTTCATGACAATAGCTATGTTCCCTTCTTTTATCAATCTTGAGAATATGTTTAGAGTCAAATATACCAAGTTTGATTCTTGCTTTTACCACTTCTCCTGAGTTGAGTGACATGCTGAACCTCTTTGATTCTCTTTTCGATCTGTAAATGGTAATAATACTACCTACTTCGCAAGGTGATTGCGATGATTAAATAAGACTATGTGTGCATATAAACACATCTTACCATAGCACCTGCATATAAGTGCAAAATAAATAGTAATCTTAACATTATTTCAGTAGGGAGGTTTATATTATTATTCAGTGTGGAGGCTTTTGTTATTATCTGATTTGAAGTATTCTCTTGGCGTTTTAAAATTAAATCCACCATCCAGCAGAAGGTATGATTTTGCCCCTGTTGTACTTTTACTGAAAGTCTTTTCCCCTAATAATATCATTATTAATGAATACGTTATGTATAACTTTAGTTTTCTTGAGGAATAATAGGTCTAAAGTTTTCAAACTTCAGATAAAAGGTTTCTTCCCCCCAAATAAATGTTTATTTCCATCTCTACACTTGATCTTAGCCAAAAGGCTGAGAAGCAATTTTTTTCTTTCCATCTCTATGCAAATATTTATTCTTTGATTTTAAGGTCCCAATGCTAAATTTAAAAAATACATTTAGCTTTAGATAAAATTCAGTAAATACATCTGATGATAAAAATCTGTGCTGTTTTCATTGGAGGCCCCTGGAATGTAGTCAGATATCCTTTAAAGCATAAATAATAATTACAAATCACATTTAACATATTAGAAAACTGGGTGGGCAAGGTGTGTTTCACGTCTCCTGAGAACTGAGGGACAAAATTGAGATGAAAACGAGGCAGAGCTCCTGAGTTCCTCTCATTATTTTAGCAAATGTTTGGCCAGGAAAATGAGGCAGTATAACCAATTCATAACTTTGTTGTATCATAAAATTTCTGAACGCCAATATGTCCAAATAATTAACTCATCTGAGCAAATTATTTGGGGCAACAGCTTGTTTATTAAACAATTCATTTATTAAGACTCACTTTGAGACCTTCATCTCACTAAACTATTATAATATGAACTTTGCTGAATCCTAATCAATTCTCTGCTTTGAAAGATTCAACTTATACCACTTGAGACCTGACCCCAAAACCCTGGAAATATCCTCTTTTACGTATTCCTTCTGAGACACTAAGATGTAGTCAAGGTTATCCTCTTTGCTGCTGCGGTAGGTTTAATAAAATTAGCTTTGCTTAGTCAATAGATTTTTCTGGTTGGTTTTCTAGGGGAACTCAAGTGTTGAAAGTGATTATCATATATATCTTTTATAATCTGGAAAAAACATTACTAAAGAAAATAAGTCATCTAATAGCGCCCCCCCTGGCTTCAGAATGAACTGTACTATAGACATTTTGGAGCACATACAATGTAAGCCCTTTTTTTCTTTATTCTTTCTTGACACAATATCAGATCTTTTATTGTCATCAAGTGATCAGTGAGAGAGTTCAAACTGAGGTGAGATCATCATGTATTTGTAAGACTTTTAATTATATGGAACATTTTGTCATATTGAATATAGGCACTGTCACACGTTCATGAAAACCTTCAAGTTTTAGTTTAGGCTCTTTATGGATGAGGGTCATATAGTATATTTTATATGTCCACAGAATCTTGTATATAACAGAATTAAACAAATTCTGGTTGTTGGATTAGGAGTTTAAGGACCAATTTAAGGTCACTCCCTTTTTACAATTCTCTGAAAAAAAAAATGCATATTTTGTCTTACTTATTTCACATCCTGGGTGACCCTAAGCAGAAAGGAACTCCATGTCATACCAACAATAGCCGACAAGCTTTAAATACACATAGTGATCAGGTTTGGGCCACTTAAATTACTTTTTACAAGTCCTCTGGAAATAGAAGTTATTTGAAAGAAGCACTATAAGTAGAGGTGACAGCAAATTGTTCATAAATTGTGCATGTGAAATGCCAAAGGAGGCAGCAGAAACATTTTTACTAACCAAACAGCACATATCACATCATCTGGGGGAACAAGCCTCGTTTATTCAATGTGCTGCTTTGTAAACATAGCACAGAGATTTCAGTCTATGAAATGGGATAGCTGATGATTACGTTCATGAAACACGAATGAGGGTTTTTACATAATAAATAGAATAATTAGGACTCAAATCAAGTTAAGTTCTTATCTGGCTTTGGTATTAACTATCTGTGTGGTTGGGAGTAAGTTATGCAATCTATTAAATCTTCAATTTTATAGTCTATTAACTGCAAATTAACAATGCCTGCCATGTTTATCTCACAGTGATTTTGTAGAATTGAGCACGATAGAATCATAGCAGTTGGGGGCTGAAAATTAGTTAAGGCTTATTTAGTCCAACTAAGTATGGAAACATGCTTTGAAGAAGAAAGTTTAGTACCATATATATGGTAACTTCTGCTTTTTAACTCATTCTGAAACTATTCTTCCAAATATTTATGTATTCTCCCAATTGAGGTGCTTATCTCTATATGTGCTTCACTCAGCCTGGTACCTGGGATTTATTATGCATTCACACTATAAATTTGTTCAGTCTAAATGAATAATTAAGTAAAAAAGAAATTATTTATCTTCGATGGACAGACTGGCTCACTTTTCTCCTGTTTTACTTTTATATGTGTTAATTTGGTTTACATATTCGTAAGTTGGATATGATGTTCTTATTCTACCCCTCTGGATATTATGATAATTGAGGTGAAAATAGGAATTGATCATAAGAAAGATCCCTTGCTGGAAGCTGGTAACATGAGTTGCTATTGAGATTTTCAGTGTAATGAAACAGTAGGCCAGAGGGAGCAAGTAACCATAAGTAGTGGGGTTTGTTTAGAGAGCTAAGGGTTCATGCCTTTAGGTACTAATTTTTCCAACTATCAAACCTTGTAGGTATAGTCTTATAAAAGGTACTGCAATACTTTCCCATATTGCTGATTACATAATGCCTTATAAATATACCTCAATGACTTTATCTATCTTAATTAATATCAGTATTGTGAAGTCTGTGGGTGCTTCTATTAGGGTAAACTGAGTTATTGGGGGTTATTTGACTCCACCCTAAATGACTCTAAACTAGGTGCATATGAGTTTTAAAAAATAATTTCCCCATGTTTTCTTTTATTTTGATTGGATACCAATATACTTGGCTGTAGCATTTATTTTCCTTCCTTCTATTTCCTACGTATGTGAAAACCAGATAACCAAGACTGTAGAATATACATAAAATTCAAAAGATAGTGATTGATATTCTAAGAGTATCAGCCACATGCTATTGTTTCATTGGGTTTGGCTGGTCAGTCTTTTAAAATTTACTCACTTATTCACCATTTGCCATGTGCCTAGGCACTTTACTGGAGACGGGTAGAAAGATGATATAGGACACATATTTCTAGATACATGAAGTTGCTGGATTTACACTCCAATTAAACAAAGATGTTATTATATGGTCTAAAGGAAATACTGTGATGTAGGTTAGCAACTACTTTATTTTTTTTATTTTTGAGGTGGAGTCTCACTCTGTTGCCTAGGCTGGAGTGCAATGGTGCTGTCTCGGTTCACTGCAACCTCCACCTCCCAGGTTCAAGTGATTCTCCTGCCTCAGCCTCTTGAGTAGCTGGGACTGACTACAGGCACACGCCACCATGTCTGGCTAATTTTTGTATTTTTAGTAGAGACGGGGTTTTACCGTGTTGGCCAGGCTGGTCTCGAACTCCTGATCTCAGGTGATCCGCCCACCTTGGCCTCTCAAAGTGCTGGGATTACAGGCGTGGTCTACCGCCCCTGGCCTAGGTTAGCAACTACTTTAAATTCAGTTAAAATTTGCAACTGCAAGGTAATAGTCTCTAATCTATTTGAGTGTTAGTTCCGGCTTCATAGTCACATCAGGTACATTATATTATAATCAGGGTTAATTCTGTATCCTATTATCTATGCATGAGTTGCTAGGAATTCAACCTCATTTCTCACTGAGAAAAATTAAATGAAATTTAGTGTATAGAATCCAGCTCAATATAAGGAAGAACTTTCTACCAATTTGAGCTTCTCCAAAATGGAATGTACTGATTTGCTCATTAGCTTTGCTTTTTTATGTATACTTACCATTTATATATATATATTAAACTTGTAGTCAGGTAATACCTTCAGTGTATCCTATGAACCAATGTGAAACAAATTACCTTCTAATATTTATTTAAGTTGTTGACTTAAATGTATTCAAATGCAGGATTTGAAAGTTATTCTCAGATGTTAATTTATTTCAAGTCAGTATTTACTTCATTGAGAATATAGTTAATATTGATTCGCTCACCAATGTAATTCCACATTTATTCCAATTTTGTGTTCCTGCTTGAACTAGAATCCTTTTGATGTTTTTATTCTAATTATTAAGTCTTTACGGAACAGGTGAAGGAGGGAATCTTCTGTCAACTTCTTGTAGCCACCTCTCCAAGTTGACTTCTCCAGAATGTAGTCATCTAACAGTGTATGTACCTCATAATATTATTGTCTAAGGAAAACACCATTATCTTAGTGGTATATTTTCAGGGTATTTGTCAAATAATTTCCTGAAACCAAGATACTCTATGGCAATAAAATCACTATTATTAACCACTTTCTCAGAGAACTAAATGAGGTTTATTTGGCATGACCAAGCCATTTTGATCTTTTAGTTACTCTTTGATAAATTTCCATGGTAGTTTTAGCCTTTAGGCTAATTATTTCTGAGAGAGAGAGAGGTCAGTGAGTGGGAGCATTTGATGCTTCCAAGGAAAGAAAGTTAGAAAAAAAGAAAGAAAAATAAAAGACCTCTTCCTTTTTGACATGGTAACTGTGCAGAACTTCAGAAGACCGGGAAGGGTCTTCCTGAAGGGTCAGGAAGCAATCAATTCGTACATACCATTATAAAATATGATGCTCGGCCCGGCGCGGTGGCTCACGCTTGTAATCCCAGCACTTTGGGAGGCCGAGGCGGGCGGATCACGAGGTCGGGAGATCGAGACCACGGTGAAACCCTGTCTCTACTAAAAAATACAAAAAATTAGCCGGGAGTGGTGGCGGGCTTCTGTAGTCCCAGCTACTCGGAGAGGCTGAGGCAGGAGAATGGCGTCAACCCGGGAGGCGGAGCTTGCAGTGAGCCGAGATCTCGCCACTGCACTCCAGCCTGGGCGACAGAGACTCTATCTCAAAAAAAAAAAAAAAAAAAAAAAAAAAAAAAAAAAATCTGATGCTCATTTTCACATTCATTTTATCAACACTGCATGCATTAAATCATTAGGTAGAAGGAGATTGAGTAGGACTATGTGTATGAGGGAGGAGGATGGTGAAAATGAGGTCCAAATGACCTTGTTAGAAGGAAAGAAAAGTGGGCTTTTAGAGGATACAGTGAGTGATCAGAATCACCGTCCCTGATTTTAGCATTTCTAATTTCTAATAAGTCACATTTCTTTCCTTCTTTTGGCATATTTTTTAGTAGCAAATATTTCACCATTGCGAAAAGTATGGTGAAGAATGCAAATAATGTAGCAGAGTGGATGGGGGTGGGTATCCTTATCAAACTATAAGGCCACTTGAAGTTTTAAACTAACCTCATGTAATGTTCTAGTTTTGGAAGATGTCACTAGGTCTCTAATGAAGTAAGTTTGCCAGGCTTCTAACAAGATTTTTCTCTTTCCCAAAGCAACACTCTGAATAATCAATGAAGCCTTTCCTTGATTTCTTTTCTCGTTTTTTCCTTTTTTTCAGTTCTTCTTTATTTTTTTAGTCAATGAGCTCAGCCCTAAATGAAAGCTGGAGTTGTATGAACTGAATCGGCTGGAAATAGTAGCTGAAAGGCGTGCAAATCAAAGCTGGCAAGTTCAGCTCTTCCGTTCTTGAAGGAGTAGCTAACTTCAATCCAAATGGCTTCCTGGGCAATTGTTCGATTATTCTAGGGTTTTGTTCCTCGTATGGAACCAGGCATTAATAACCTATTTTTTTGCCAGCTAAACCAAGAAAATACACATCTCATCTTTACCTTGCTGTGCCTTAGTACCCATGTGGACACTTCCTAGCAGTGTGGGAACCTTGTGGGATGGGATTTTACATCATTTGTGGAGTGGAGGTGGGAGTGGAGGGGGTAGCCTTCAGGCTCTTTGATATTTCCTGCTCCACTCTAGCCTAGCACACGACCTAAATTACAGACAGCGGAGAAACTAGGAGCTCTGGAAATCAAGTAGCCTCATCCTCATTCACTTTGGTACCTATGCTAAGGGCCAGGACTTCTAATATTTTTTGTGGGAGATACATATGTCTCCATACACACACATACAAACCTAGATTTTCTGGGGTAGAAATTATTTGCGATTTTGCTTTTGGAAATTATTTGCCTCCAACTAATTTATTTTTAGATCATCACTAAGTATATTGAAAAATCCTTGCAAAGAGAGAAAATCTAATCTAAAGATGACTTTTAAATACAGCAAACTTTCTGATTGTTAAATGTCATACTTTATTAATGTAATGCTTTGTTGTGTACCCATTTTTAATCACATTATTAATTCAACTGTTGGTATTTTCTTGTTTTAGTTACATCATTTTTTTTCTTTATATCTCAAATATTTTTAATGGCCTCCAAAAAGCCTAAGGTGCTGGCTGCTCTGACTATCATGGCTGTTGGACATGATGAGGGAGCAAGTTCCTGACTCTCTGTTCTGCTTCTCTGCTACTGCTTGTACACCTACCTCCTCATTTTCTAGTTCAGAATAATAAAGTATCAGTCATCTATTTAAAAATAATAAAGTCATCTATTTGTATAAGATTATGCTACAATATTAAAAACTCTCTGGATATATTGTATACACACATTAGCTAAGAAACAGGACCTTACTGTCATGGTATGCAGTTCATTCTGTTGAGGTCTTACATAGCTCATACTTTTGTAAGAATACATAGCTTCTCTAAAAACAAAAGTGATAGCTCTCTTCTACCACACAGTTAATGTTATGACAGGCAGAAAATTAAATACAGACTTTCTGAATGTTGTAATCACTGATATTTTCTATTCACATGAGCTTCTAGAACATTTAAAGCCAAATGCAGAGTAAGTCATTATAAATAGATTTGAGTACACACAGGTTTTATATTTTGACCTTACTGTTTAATTTTGTGATTGAGAGCACAGGTGTAGTTTGGTGTTAAGCAGGCCTGAGTTCAAACCCTGTTTCTAACACTTTGTAATCTTAGGCAGGTTACTTAAATTCTCTAACTCACATTTTCCTCACCTGTAAAACTGAAATAATATTGATTACTTTCTAAAGTTATTGTGAAAATAAAAGATATAAAGCTCTTAGCACAGGCAAAGTCTTTCATACATATTGGTTATTAAATGTTCCTATTCTTATTTCCCTTGGTCTTTATTTTTTTACTTTTAAATTGTTCTGGAGTGCATATATATCTTTAAAAGTGTCTTAAGCACTTATTTGAAGAAGTTGGGCTATAAATACATTAGCAAATAATTACCAAATGTTGAAATTTTTTATTGTTAAAGAAATTGTGGTTTAGAAGAGTTTCTCAAACTTTCATGTGCAGAAATAAGAGTTCAGCTGGGGATCTTAATCTCGTCAAAATGGAAATTCTCATTCAAAAGTGCTGGAGTAAGGCTTGAGAGTCTGCATTTCTAACAAGCACCTGGGTGAGGTCCACGCTACTGGCCCTGAGAGTAGCCTTGCACAGCAAGGGGTTCTGAGGAGAGGTGTAGGTATCATTCTTAGAGCTTTATAAAAGCACACAGTAGCTGGTTTTGTTCCTTGAACTCCTTGAATCATGAATGGAAGCAGTGAGATGGTCTCTTATTTCTTACTCTTTTATGAGTGAAAGCTTTATCACTTTAACCAAAATCTGAAAGAATCACATAGGATTCTATTTCTACGTTTTTTTTTTTTGAGTGATACCAGCCCCCTTATAGTTGGCACTTGGTCCCTTGACATTGGACAGTCTTTTCCTTTATATTCTATGAGCTCTTGAAGACTTTCATTAGGTCACGTGGCATATTTATTAGGCTGTTCTAACATAACTTGGCTGAATCACACAGGCTATCCAGTAGTCAAGAAATAGTCTCCAAACCAATGTTATCTTAAATGAATGATTATTTCTGAGACAGCTATGTGATATTTTAACTTCACAATTTCATTAAGACTCCTCTCATTAAGGTTATTAGTGGCTTTTTATTGCTAATTGCTAATCCCTATGGAGCACCTCTCTGAAGAATTTGGCCTTGGTCTTCATTCTTATTTTTTTGAAAATTTCCTTTTTTTTTTTTTTTTTGAGACAAAGTCTTGCTCTGTTGCCCAGGCTGGAGTGCAGTGGCACAATCTCGGCTCACTGCAGCCTCTGCCTCCCAGGTTTAACCAATTCTTGGGCCTCAGCCTCCCAAGTAGCTGGGATTACAGGCACGTGCCACCACACTCAGCTTTTTTTTTTTTTTTTTTTTTTTTTTGTATTTTTAGTAGAGACGGGGTTTTGCCATGTTGGCCAGACTGGTCTTGAGCTCCTGGCCTCAAGTGATCCACCTGCCTCGGCCTCCCAAATTGCTGGGATTACAGGCATGAGCCACCACGCACAGCCCCAGTTTGCATGGTTTCTGTTTGCTCTCTTTGCTTGTGTCTTATTACTCCTCTGGCTGCTACCCTTAAGTCCCCTAATTCACTTATATAACTAGAATTCTCGCCTCTTGCTTACTTCTTCAGTCCTTACTCTATGTCTTCTTATTCTATAGTCTCCTTGGGCAATACTAAATCCTCCTACTTACTCAAATATATTTTGACAATGCTTTAATTTCTATCTCCAGACTAGAGCTCTCTTCCAGAGCCATACCTACCAACTATTTCAACCCAGATGTCCTACTGGCATCTTAAATTAAATGTATCCAAACAGAACTTTACTACCTTTCCTTAACTTTACTTACTTACATAAGCCATAATTATTAATATTAAAAGTAGAGAGAGTAAAAGAATGTAAGTAATTAGATTTTCTAAGAATTAAATCACATTTAACATATGTCAGATGCTTAGACTATTTTCCTTAGTATAGCTCATAGCATGCATTACTTAGGGAGCCGTTTATGAACCCATATTCTGTATGTTGACAATTTATCTCTGGATTGAGGATCAGAAATCTGGGAGATATCCTAGATTTCTCCTTTCATCAAATATTCAATTAATTTGATAAGTCCAATAAGTTTATCTCCTAAAAAATTTAACTTATTTTCTTCTCAGCAACTTTTTTCAAAGTCACAGTTTAAGTCTGTAATGTTTGACCTGTACTATGTCAAGTGGCCCTCTGTCAGCCTTTCTGGCTTCAGCCTCATCAACCTCCACTCACTCTGCTTATTGCCTGCTGAGTGTTCTTTCAGAAATTCACATCTAATAATGGCCTTTCTTTGTTCAAAATTCTTCATGGATCCATATTTCTTAAAATATAGCGTCACTAAATTTTTTACGTAACCCTTGTATATGACAAGCAAGAAACATAAGCTTAGTCTTTTCTATCTCTATAGTTTATTTATTTCCAATTTTTCTCATGGATGCTCCAGCAATATTTAACTAATTGTTGACTTCTGAAATAGATCACACTTACTCAAATCTACATCTTTTCCTGAAGGTCCTTCCTCTTCTAACTTAATCTGCTATATTAGACTAAACTCAAAATTATGCTCCTCTGGAAGCTTTTCTGAAATTCTATGAACATACCTGGGTAATTATTAAATTCCAATTTAAAAGAAAATTTTAATACAGCAGTTTTCTAATTTTGGTGCATCTTAATTTCATCAGGAAATAATATTGAGTGTGATCAAATATTTTCCTCTAACTGATTAGATGACCATGCGATTTTTCTCCTTTATTTCAGTATTGTATTAAAGTGGCAAAATACATGGACATTCAATTGTTAAATCAACCTTGCATCCTAGAGTAAACATCACTAGCTATGATTTATTAGCTTTAGTTTTCTATTTGTTGGACTTGGTTTAATAATATTTTAAAAAGATTTTAATGTTTTTGTTTATTAGGATATTGGTATATAATTTCTTGTAATATGTTTTCAGGTTTTGGTATCAGGTCAGGTTCATTCATACTGACTTTTTTCTACTCATGTGAATTTCTCAGTTTGTTTTTAAATTTCAGATTATGATTCTGGATTGGTCCGTTTCTTTATTTTATTATTATTATTATTATTATTATTATTATTATTATTGTTCTGAGATGGAGTCTCACTTTGTCACCCAGGCTGGAGTGCAATGGTGTGATCTTGGCTCACTGCAACCTCTGCCTCCCGGGTTCACGCAATTCTCCTGCTTCTGCCTCCTGAGTAGCTGGGATTACAGGTGTGCGCCACCATGCCCGGCTAAGTTTTTGTAATTTTAGTAGAGATGGGGTGTCACCATGTTGGCTAGGTTGGTTTCAAGCTCCGACCTCAAGTGATCCACCTGCTTTGGCCTCCCAAAGTGCTGGGATTACAGGTGTGAGCCACCCTGCCCGGCCAAGTTAATCCTTGTATTTTGAAAGTTTGTTGTTTGCAAATCCATTTGGTATTGTTATGTTTTTCAGATCAATATAAGCCTCTCTAATTATAAAATAACCCTCTTTATTTTGTAAATTCTATTTTGAAGTCTAAATTGACTAATACTGTTAGAGCCACACGATCTTTCTCATGACTATTTCTGTGAAATAACTTCTCCCATCCTTTCAGTTTCAACCTTTTAGAAAATATATATATTTAAAATAGATCTCTTCTAGATAGCATACAATTGGGTCTTGCTTGTTTATCTAATTTGACAATCTGGCTTTTTGATTAGTAGTCATTTTTTTTTTTTTTTTTTTTTTTTTTTTTTTTGAGACGGAGTCTCGCTCTGTCGCCCAGGCTGGAGTGCAGTGGCGCGATCTCGGCTCACTGCAAGCTCCGCCTCCCGGGTTCACGCCATTCTCCTGCCTCAGCCTCCCGAGTAGCTGGGACTACAGGCGCCCGCTACCACGCCCGGCTAATTTTTTGTATTTTTAGTAGAGACGGGGTTTCACCGTGTTAGCCAGGATGGTCTCGATCTCCTGACCTCGTGATCCACCCGCCTCGGCCTCCCAAAGTGCTGGGATTACAGGCGTGAGCCACCGCGCCCGGCCCAGTAGTCATTTTTTAAAAAATGAATTTATGCTTAACATTTTAGTTTAGATCATGCAACATGCTGTTGCATCTATCTATCTATCTATCTATCTATCTATCTATCTATCTATCTATCTATCATCTCATCTATCTATCTATCTACATATATATTTTTTGGCTGGGCATGGTGGCTCATGCTTATAATCCAAGCACTTTGGGAGGCTTAGCCAGAAGGATCACTTGAACCCAGGAGTTTGAGACCAGCTTCAGCAGCATAGTGGTACCTTATCTATATGAAAAATAGAAAAATTAGCCAAGTGTGGTGACATGTGCCTGTAGTCCCAGCTACTTGAGAGGCTGAGGTAGGAGGATTGTTTGAACATGGGAGGTTAAGGCTGCAGTGAGCCATGATCACGCCACTGCACTCCATCCTGGGTGGCAGAGTGAGACCTTGTCTCAAAAAATTTTTTTTTCTTGCTTGGGATAACATTGTTTGACTATACTACAATTTATTCATCAATGTACCTGTTGATAGACATTTTGGTTATTACCATTTTTGGCTATTACAAATAAAGCAAGCTGCTATAAACATTTGTGTATGCCTTAGTGCAGACCTAAGTTTTCATTTTTCTTGGGAAAAGTGGCTGGGTTGTATGATAAGTGTATTTTAATATTCTTAAGGAAAGTCTAAAATGTGTTCAATAGTGGTTGCAATGATTTTATAGTCCTACCAGTAAAGTGTGAGAGTTAAAGTTCCACATTTTTGCCAACACTTGGTTTGGTCAGTCTGTGAATTTTGGTTAGTTGAGTGGGCTACATAGTGATATCATATTGAAGAGTTTTCCTAATAGCACTGGGCGTCTTTTCACATGCTCATTTGCCATCTGTGTGTCTTCTTTGATAAAGTGTCCAGTTTTTTTGCCCATGATTTTTATTAAGTGTTCTTATTACCATTGACTTGTAAATATTCTTTATGTGTTGTAGATAAAATTCATTTGACAGATACATATTTTGTAAACATATAGTTGTATAATTTATATATGTGTACTCACCTTGAATCCTGTAACCCATTACTAAACTCACTTATCAATTCTGGTAGTTTTTTTGAGTGATTCCATTGGATTGTAAATAGAATACTATTTCATTAAGGCTCTGATATTTCTAAGTATCAAACTGAGAAAACTGCTACAGCTTTTCAGACACAATCAAACTTTACTGAGTAAATATTTTTTGTGATTTTTTTTTTTCTGTTAAAAGCAATAATTGTGAAGCAAGTTCTCTGTGCACTGGTATACATCCTAGGAGAGGACTCTAAAGACTTCACCAATACCATGCACCAGTATTAGTTAACTTGCATGAGTCTGGTGAAACAAAACACTCACACAAGTGAAGCAAAGCAACTATATTACTCACAGACAGGCAGCAAGGGACAATAGAAGCCTGGAATCAATGGCAAGCCAGGTCCCCAACTTCATGAAAACTGCCCAAGGCAGGTGAAGTCTTGCGTACATGTGCCCCATATCACACTGCAGCTGAGGGGCCCTCAAAACCCATTTCACCCTGGTTTTATATCCAGGGGTAACCGGAATTTCCAAGCTAAAGCATTGCAGGACGTCCTCTTCTAAGAGGGATGAGAACAGAGCCTGGACTGTTCTAATAGTTTCTCTTTATCTCAGGATGCTGCATTCCCAGCACGTTCTGCAGTTGCCCTTGAACTACATTAGAGAAAGGAGGAAGAGCTGGGTCTCTAGGGTCATTCAGGGACTTGCCTTGCAATAATCAATTCCTTTTCTGGCACAAATTTAATAGTCTGTAACAGATCAATTAACAAATTTAGATCCGTCTTCAAAATTCTCACTTCCCAGATGGACTTTCATTAGGTGTTTGACCTTTGTATGACAGGTTTTTCTTTGAGTTGGGGCTTGATGCTGACCTGCGACATTTCTGCCTCACAAACATAACCAAGATCAGCCAAACAATAGTTATTTGTTACTTCCTCCCAAATACATAATAATGTGGGATGCCATTTGCTTAGTTGTATGGCAGTGAATTTGAAAACCTGCATGCTGTTTTGTTAATTATGTTTTTAATTGAGTCACTTCATCTGAACAAATAAAGCCACCAGTTATTAGAAATGCCATCTGAAGTCAGTAGCTAATAAAGCTATACTGAGTTGTTTCAGAAGTGTATCAAAATGTGGTAGAATCATGACAGAAATACCTTTTCATTTGAAGCTGAGATCTATACATTTTTAAATGTGGTTTCTTACTGAGTTAGGTTGAATGATTATGGATTTGTGTTTTTAGTCAACATGGGGCATTTATTTGCAACTTGCCAATACTAGAGAGTCTTGCCTTCAGAACCTAATTCAGTTTGCCAATACAATTTTTTTTTTTAAAAAAAGATTTACTGCCAAAAGTTGAGAAGTGTCCTTTTAATTTCCCACAAGAGATTTTGGCAAGAATATTATCATAAACACTTTGCTTTTAGTTACAGCATTTTTATGTCTCGCACAAAGATGTGGTATATAATCTTATTGGCTGAATCCTCTTAATGAGCCTGTAATCTTGTAGGGTTTCTAATATCACATGTAATTCCCATCTGTATCTCCCTCATAACTTGGGATATTATCTTTCATATAGTAGGTGGTCTACGAAATAGTTGCTGATACTAATGATAATTCTGGGGCTTCAGCTCATCTATACCATACTTTCTTCTTTTATTACTAAACTGACCTATATACTTCACACTGGTCTCTTGATTTCTCACCTGAAACTTTAGATTATTCTATTTCTTCCATTGGAAATGCTTTCCATTCTAGGTTTACTTATCAAAGTCTAAACCGTCTTAAAAGGCTGCATTATCACCCTCTGTGCAAAGCTGCCTCTGATGTTTTTTGGGGGAGATATACACTTCTTCACCTCCCCTCTCTTCCTCAAAGAACCACAAGGGCTACCATTGATGGAGAACTGAATACATGTCTCACAGGATGCCAGGCATTTTATATGTTATCTCACTGTACTCTTCAAACAAATTATAAGTGTGCATATGAAAACTCTGTGTTTCCATTGATGAGGATACTGACAGTAAAAGAAATCGACTACTTTGCCTACATATAAGAAGTGATGAAGCCAGTGTGAAAAAATCTGACTTCAAAACCTTTTCTCTTTCCACCATATTAAAATAGGCCTCTTATGCCTTACGATTTTCTGTCATAAATTCTTCATGATTATAATCATACTTGTTAGGCTATGTGTTTGATCTTTGATGACAAGATGAAATCATTTCAGACTTTATAAAGTACAGAATAGTTAACTATAAAATTTCTATTTTTAAATATAATTTCACAAATATTTTTTGAGTACCTAATGTGAGCAAGGCATCTTTCATACTAATAATAGATTTCATATTTACATCACCATCTGTGAGGCATTTTTCCTATTCTATCTTTTAAAAAAATACTGTTCTGATGAGAACACATGGACACAGGGAGGGGAACATCACACACCAGGGCCTGTCGGGGGGTGGGGGCCTAGGGGAGGGACAACATTAGGAGAAATACCTAATGTAGGTGACGGGTTGATGGGTGCAGCAAAGCAGCATGGCACATGTGTACCTATGTAACAAAACCGCATGTTCTGCACATGTACCCCAGAACTTAAAGTATATATAAAAAAAAATACTGTTCTGTGTCACTATTGTATCTCCTAACTAGATAGACCTTGGTATTGGGTAGACCAGTGGCCTTTAAATGTATTTTCTTTTTTTGACAAATGGACTTTTACAAGGAAGTCAGTGAGTAGTGAAGGAGGAGCTGCTCTAGGCACAGCTGGGGTAAGGAGGGGGCACTATTGGGTGTGGCAGGGAGGTCAGGGCACCTTCTCAGGCCTCTCTTAATGCCTTGCTGCAACCCTTGGTGCTTCCTTGTGGAAACACCAGTGCTCTGTTGATAAAAATAATAAAATGAAAATAAGAAAATAAGAGGCTATTTGTGTGTGTGTGTGTGTGTGTGCGCTTCTGAAATTTTGAGGTGTTAGTGCTTATTCTGGACTCCTAATTATAGTACTTTTGTAATAAACAAATAAGCAAAAGTGAGCTGAAGTACCTAAAACACCCACAAAACTGATAAAAATAAAGACAAACCAGGACAATAACCACAGAACTATGCAAAGGATATCTTGATGAACTCTTGAATATGGCAGCTGACCCCTTGGTGGTAACTTAGGGTTTTAGTCATGTTCATGCAACTCACAGCCTTTTCCCCTCTCCGTGGTCTTTCCTTGTCTCTTCTCCAGACTACTTAATGACTCTGTCTCTATTCCTTTCCCCCTCACAGCTCCCAGGATTAACTCATTTCCACTGTCTTCTTTTGAGGTCCATCCACTGTTTCTTGTTACTGTGTGCTCTAGACTCTACACATTTGTCACTGAATATTTTATAAATGCCACCTCCATTCATTTGCTTACATGGTCCTTCTACTTGAGTTTTCATAAGTATCCAGTGGTTTCATAAGTATTTGGTAGTTCCTCCTGTGTTCATTCTCCTTCCTGCTGCCTTGTCCCTTCGACTTCAGCCATGTTGGTAAATTTCCTGCAGCTTCCCCAGCCATGCTGAACTGTGAGTGAGTTAAACCTTTTTCCTTTATAAATTACCCAGTCTCAGGCAGGTCTTTATAGCAGTGTGAAAACATGCTAATACAACATCCAACATGAATTCATGCTAAGGAAAAAGTAAAGCCCAGTAAGGGAACAGAGATGTGTAAGTGGGTGTTATTTTAGATACCATAGTCAGTCAGTTACTATATTGGCTACCAAGGCCATTTTTATTCTTTATTTTATTCATTTATTTAACAAACATATAAATGAAATCTGTGGGTCAACACTGTTCTAAACCTTACAAATGAATAACAGAGAGATAATGTTCTCTCCCTTAAAGGATGTATTGATTACTGAAGGAAGATGAATACAAGTGTTTGTGTCTACACACACACAGTATTATATATACACAAACACAATCACAATCACACATGCATGCACAGAAAATTACATTATTATCCAAAGGCTTTCGATAGAACTTCATCAGTAGACAGTATTCTAAATGTCAGTTATTCTAATAGGACCTCAAGCGTCCATGACTTGAGTTACTGGTAGTTTTTCTCAGATGAGAATTTACTTATTGGCTAGTGTATGTGAATCAATCAAACAGCTAGTAAGGAACTATAGTGGACTTTCAGTATCTACCTTTCAGGACAGCTTTGTTATTCTCTACTTCCTTTATGTATTACAATTATAATGTGGGACATTATTTTATTTCTAGTTTCGTTTTTTTAGAGAGAAATAGCTCCTTAAAAGAAAGTCAATTGCTAGCATTGGTAATCAAAGAAGAGAAATTGAAGAGATTTAAAGACATGATAGTTACTAAATATAATGGTCTAGATGGCTCATGTCATTTCCTTTTCAGTTTTATATGCCACATTTTATGGAATCAATAATATGCCACGTGCACATTCAGGGTTGTGAATGAGGAGGGTCCGTGGAATGGATGTGGCACAATGTGCTCCAGAGATAGCGATACTGTCATCTTGGCAAAGGCTTTGTTGAGGGCGAAAGCCTTGAGCTAAACCTTGGACAGTGATAAGGATTTGCCAGGAAAGGGGATTGGGAAAGAATTTCTAATCACACAGGATAGCATGAGCAAAAGATCAGTTGATTAAAATGTTTCTGGGTTTAAATAATTATAAGTACTTCTTTCTGGCTAAAGATAGATAGATCGGGTGCAGGAGTGGAAAAGACAGACTGAAAGGTGCCTCCAAGAAGGAAAGCTTTTAGACAGTCTAGACATCTTGGTCTCAGCAGATTGTGGTTTAGAAGGAAATAAGAAAGACAACAGGAAGATGAATTAGGAAGATAGTACAATAATCTGGTAAAAAGAAGAATTGGATTGCTATTTTTACCCAAGGAACAGTCAGTGTTTGGCATGCTGGTATAGGGAAATTATATCCACTGTGTCCATTTATTGACTTTGTATAATTAAAGATGAAGGGGCAAGAGGGCTGCAATTGAAGTTAGAAAAGCTTATTGAGAAAAGATATTATGGGTCTGCTGTGTGCCAGGAACTGTGTTGCTTAATTTTCATACGTAATCTCTAATCCCAAAACTTTGTGGGGAAGATATTATACCCACGTCGATTGCTAAGAAAAATAAGTTTCAGAGAAAGTAAATGTATTGCTTCACATTCCCTAGCCAGAGTTGTGATTCTCACTCAGCTCTGACTTGGTCTAAAACTCTTATTTGCTCCCCTATACCACGTTGCAGCAGATAGACTTGAAAAGGATTAGGAGGAAACTAAACAATTCTGTGATTCTCAAAGTCAGTCTCCAGCTCTTTTCAATTATAATAAATTAAAGCGATAAAGGAATAATACAAACAGCCGAGTCTTCTTTGAACTCATTTGGCTCCCCAGAATAATTGAACAAACATACCTTTACTATCACAGTTATATTATAAAGAGAAAACCCAGTGTATTTCCTTCGAATACTTGTTTTGGTTGATTTATTTGTTTCTTTCTTACGCCTGTGTGCTTCTGTGTAATTAGAGATGAATTTGAAGTAGAAGACAGTTTTCATGAAACCTACTCATCCTTGTAAAGATTAATAGGGAACAGAGGTGATAAGACTCCATGCTTTTAGTCACAACGGATTTTCTACTATATTACCAAGTCAGAACACATGGGAAAAGAACACTTTGTGATATCATGTTTAAATTTAAAAAGGGACATTATTTTTCTTGGGAAATGTAAACATTTCTTGATTTGTTTGTTTTTAATTCTGAAATTATATGACATTGGATATTAATACAGATTATGAATTGGTACGATTTCAGGTTTGATCAGATTGCCTGCTAGTGAGCCAATAAGAGTGAGAAATTGTTTGATGTTGGTCAAAGCTAGGAAGATTATGTGGATGCAGAGCCTGCAGTAGAATGGGGAGAACAATATCAATCAGGAGAAATGGATGGCTAACTACTGAATTCCAGAAGAATGTTAAAAGCTTGGAGGCCTTCTTGTCTTAGAAGAGAATAACGAGGAAGGAAAAGTGAGAATTTGGAGTCCATGATGCAAACTATTTTCAGTAGAGATACCATACCTCACTTGCTCTTTCTTAGCCATAGGATGAAGCCACCCATAACCCCCTACCTAAATAGTCCTCCTTGGGTCACTCTTTATGATATCATTTTTAATTTTCTTGTCACAAATTT
This sequence comes from Homo sapiens, assembly GCF_000001405.40. Classification (NCBI taxonomy): domain Eukaryota; kingdom Metazoa; phylum Chordata; class Mammalia; order Primates; family Hominidae; genus Homo; species Homo sapiens. Next base: position 137,270,789 of record NC_000007.14, on the reverse strand, counting down.
TCCACAATCAGAAATTACCTTGTGTATGAATCTCTTTAGTCGTCTATTTTTTTCCATGTTATTTTCCAGCTTGCCCACTAAATATAAGCATTGTGTGGTCAGGAATCTTGTCTGTGTTGTTCAACTCCTTATTTTTATTGCCTAGAATAATGTATGCCACAAAGGCTGCAACTCTTACAAAGTTTTTGAATAATTTAGTAAATGGATACACTATTTGTAATGAACCAAATATCATTTAATATTACCATGAGTCAATATTTGTAAAGTGCTTAAAACAGATCATTGAATATGGTCAGTACTATAAATAAATTTGTTAACTAAATGAATACTGTACTTTCTTAAACTAAAATAAAATTATTTCTGGTGAATAAGAAAAGACAAGCATTTGACTGTATGACAAAAATAATCAGGACATTTATTAATAGCTAATACCTTATAAAAGAACTTCTAGCTATAAGTGGTTTTGTTCACTTTATAGGGAACTTCAGGGAAGTTAAATCTTTGGCCTTAACTGAATCCCTGTCTTAAAATTAATTGACAATCGAAAAAGGGAAATGCAAAATAATTGCCCTTCCCTTGTACTTCATGACATTCTGTACTTCCTATGAGAGGACAGTGAATTATAATTGGCTATTTATCTGTCACTGATGCTTTATCGGAGTGCAAGCTTCATGAGAACAAGCCAAAACATCTGTCTTATCACTTGTCACTGTCGTGTCTTGAGAATACCACCCAGTGGCTGGCATAGGGTAGGTGACTCCAAAACATTTAATGAAATAATGTGTTAATTTGGGGTGGAAAGAGGTGTCAAGATAGTTTTGGAAACTTCCTGAATCTTCACATAAAAATAGATGGAGCAGGCTGGGCGCGGTGGCTCACGCCTGTAATCCCAGCACTTTGGGAGGGAGAGGTGGGAGGCTCACGAGGTCAGGAGATTGAGACCACCCTGGCCAACATGGTGAAATCCCATCTCTACTAAGAGTACAAAAATTAGCCGGGCAGGGTAGCGCACATTTGTAATCCCAACTACTTGGGAGGCCAAGACAGGAGAATCGCTTGAACCCAGGAGGTGGAGGTTGCAGTGAGCAGAGGTCATGCCACTGGACTCCAGCCTGGTGACAGAGCAAGATTCCGTCTCAAAAAAAAAAAAAAAAAAAAAAAAAAATAGATGAAGCAGCTTGACAGATAGCAAGACCAAAACCCATGGTCAAGATTTAAAGCAAAAATCAGGATAAATTTTTCTCTCACAAACCTGAAAGCAAAAGTGAACGGGAGCAAACCACTAGTAACCACAAGACTTGCATGCTATTGGTATTTGAACAAAACAAGATAGAGAGAAGCAACATGAGACAGATCTGACAGGGGGAGAACCCAAAACAGCCCACACAAGTGCACTGTAGATCATGGTGAGCCAATGTGAGAATAAAAGCTGACCCTCCAGGACTCCCTTCTGGGGCAGGAACTCACTGTAAGGATAAACTGCGTGAACAAAATCAAAATTGATCAAGAGAGCAACAATAGAAACAAAAGAGAAAGAGAAAGACTAGATAAAAGTAAGAAGAGAACAGAACGTGAAAATCTCAGAAAGTTAGATACCATGTTTCCACCATTATATGAAAGAACAGAAGAACAGATTTTGTGAAATTAGAAAAGCTATGTGAACATAAATATGAACAAGAGAAATGTATTGAGGTCAAATCTCATACAAAGTAACTTAAAAGGAGAGAATGAACAGAAAAAGGGGAAGACCATTATTTATATGGCCAATTCAAGAATTTCTGAATATGCTCAAGAAACAGAACAACAAAAATCTTTGTAACCTACAGTTTCAAAACGAGTTACAAAACACTAAGAAAACAATATAAAATGTAAAAGAGCATCACAAATTATAATTAGAAAACTCAGCAATGAGGTGACAGAACTAGGAAAGAATTAAGGGGAAATAAGGGACAAGAGAGACCCTCTCATATTGTTTTATATTATTTCATACTCAGAAAAGGAAAGAGAAGCCAAACAAAAGGCAGGTAACCCAGCGCCTAGGAACCAGACCCGAAACCAAGGAACCAGATCTGAAACCAGGCCTGGGCCTGCCTGACCTAAGCCTGGTAGTAAAAATTCCACCCCTGACCTGACCTGGCAACTGTTGTTATCTACAGATTCCAGACATTGTATGGAAGGACACTGTGAAACCTCCCGTTCTGTTCTGTTTCACTCTGACCATCGGTGCTCACAGCCCCTATCACGTACCCCCTGGCTTGCTCAGTCGATCACGACCCTCTCACGTGGACCCCCTTAGAGTTGTTAGCCCTTAAAAGGGACAGAAGTTGAGCACCTGAGGAGCTCAGATTTTAAGACGCTAGGCTGCTGATGCTCCCAGCTGATTAAAGCCACTCCCTTCACTATCTCGGTGTCTCCTGTCCGCGGCTCGTCCTGCTACATTTCTTGGTTCCCTGACCGGCAAGCGAGGTGAGTAATGGACGGTCCAGGCAGCTTCTTAAGCGGCTTTAGCCTGCCCTGTGGAACATCCCTGCGGGGGACTCCAACCAGCCGGAGCGACGCGGATCCTGAGAGCGCTCCCGGGTAGGCATTTGCCCCGGTGGGATGCCTCGCCAGAGCCGTGTGTGGCAGGCCCCCGTGGAGGATCAACGCAGTGGCTGAACACCGGGAAGGAACTGGCACTTGGCACTTGGAGTCCGGACGTCTCAAACTCGGTAAGACTAGTCTTTGGAACTTGCCCACTCATTTGAGTGGAAGCGTGGCCTGATCACCCACTTTGTGCCTTTATGGGCTCTTTGGTTTTTGTTTTTGTTTTGACTTGGTTTGAATTGCTTGACAGGATTGATCTTGGGAACTTGCCTACTCCATTCAAGTGGAAGCATGGCCTGATCACCCATGGTATGCCTGTATCGGCACTTTGTTTTTTGTTTTTGACTTGACTTAGATTGCTTGATACTTTGGTTTTGGTTTTGACCTGGCTTGGATTTCCTGATACTCCGATTTTGGTTTTGATTCTGGTTTGGTGTAAACTGTAAAAGTGTGTGTGTGCCCTTTTTACCCGTTCTTTGTTTTGTAGTGTGCGTGTGGTGTGAGCGTGGTGTTTTGTCTCGAGGAGACACGGGTCAGGTACAAACTAAGCCCACCCCACTAGGAACTATGTTGAAAAATTTCAAGAAAGAATTTAAGGGAGATTACGGTGTTACTATGATACCAGGAAAACTTAGAACTTTGTGTGAAATAGACTGGCCAGCATTTGAGGTGGGTTGGCCATCAGAAGGAAGCCTAGACAGGTCCCTTGTTTCAGAGGTATGGCACAAGGTAACCTGTAAGCCAAGGCACGCAGACCAGTTTCCGTACATAGACAGTTACAGCTGGTTTTAGACCCCCTTCCCCCCAACAGTAGTTAAGAGAACAGCAGCATAAGCGGCTGGCAGAGGCAAGGAAAGACCAGCAGAGAGAAAGAGAGGAAAGAGAGAAAAAGAGGCAAAGAGAGAGGAAAAGACACAGAGGAAGAGACAGAGAGACAAAGAAGGAGTCAAGAAAAGAGAGAGAGACAGAGAAAGATAGAGGCAGAAAGAGAGGAAGAGACAAAGGCAAAAGGAAAGTCAGAGAGAGAGACAGAAAGTCAAAGAGAGAAAGAACAAGAGAGAGAAATATACAAGTAGTTAAGAAAAATACAATATACCTGATTCCTTTAAAAGCCAAGGCATATTTAAAACCTATAATTGATAATTAAAGGTATTCTCAGTAACCCTGTAACACTGTAATACCACTTTGTTGTCAGTGTAAACAAGGGCGTATCCGGAAAGCACTGAGGCCTTCCTATCAGAAACCCTTAACCCAGTAACCTGCGGATGGCCCAGATGTGTTCAATCTGTAGCGGCAGCTGCTTTGCTAACAGGAAAAAAAAAAAAAAAAAAAAAAGGCCATCTATACAAATTCTAAGTTAATTTAGACTAAACAGGCTCTTATTAATAGCAAAGAATAATTGAAATCCCAAACTTACAAGGTTTTCAACAAAAGTAAAATTTGCTAAAAGTTAACAGTGTAACATGTATTATAGTAACTTCTAATCTTGTGGCCTTCATCTAGTCCACAGACATAAAGAAAGTTCGCTTTAAAAAAAAAAAAACAGAATGGTTATCTTCAAAAAAAAAGGAAAAAAAAGGGGAGGCAGAATTTATGTAAAAAGAGTGTTATATGGTAAATTCTTGTCCTGAAATAAATTAACTGGTTGTTTTTTTAAAAAAAAATGTTTGTAATAAGTCAGAAAGTTGAGCATGTGGAAGAATTGTCTGCGAAAGTCGTGGAAGAAAAAAGTTATAAAAAAATTTATGCAAAAAATGTTGTATAATTTAAAAGTAATAAGGCCTCCTGAGTACTATTGAAGAAACAGTTTATGTGCAAGGTGTATAAGGAAAGTTAAATATACCTTTGGTAAAAGGACTATAAGGAGGCATAAGAATGTGGATTTTTACCTACATTAAAAAGTTAAAAAAAATCATTGTTTTGAAAGTTTAAGCAAGTTTTAAAACGTTAATTGTAAAGAAAATTCTGTGTGTAAACATATTAGCTAAACTTAAAAAAGTATCATCCAGTTTTTCTGTGAAATGGACATTAAAGTAAAAATGCAACAGGTTTTTCTTAAAGCACCAATCTCCTCTTTAACAAAAATTATAAAAGGTTAAAAAGAGTCTATAAAATCTTACTTATGATCAAACATTAAAAATTAGATAAATATGTCTACAAGGTTTTATTAAAATTAAGTTTAACATTAATAACACACTAATATAAAAGTAAAATTTAGCTTATCTAGTGTAAAAATCATACAAAAAGCATTGTTAAATGTAAAATGGTATTTGGCTTTCTTTGGTCTAAAAACTAATAAAAATAGGTGCTAAAGGAAACATTCATTTTACAAGAAGATCATAAAAGTTAAAAACTTAAAACAAACTTTGGCAATTAAGATAGCATACCAAGATGCAAATGCCTGGTTGGAATGGATCAAATATTCCATCTGCACGTTAAACAAAAGCAATTGTTATGCTTGTGCACATGGCAGGCCAGAGGCCCTGATTGTCTCCCTTCCACTAAGATGGTCCTCCAGTCGGCCAGGCGTGGGCTGCATGGTAGCTGTTTTCCAGGATTCTACAGCCTGGATTAATAAGTCATGCCAGGCTCTCTCTGCTATATCCCAAAGTCTGGTACCCTGCGGGTCAGCCCCTGAGGGCCATCCAGCCTCCGTCTCCCAACACTAAGTTCACTTCGTTGTCTCTCACGACAGGGAGGAAACTTAGCATTCCTTGGAGACCTGAAGGGATGCGATGAGCTTAAGAATTTTCAAGAGCTTATCAATCAGTCAGCCATTGTTCATCCGCAAGCAGATGTGTGGTGGTATTGTGGTGGACCTTTACTGGGCACTCTGCCGAATAACTGGAGTGGCACTTATACTTTAGTCCAATTGGCTATCCCTTTCACCCTGGCATTTCATCAACCAGAAGGAAAAAAAATAAGACATTGTAAAGTGAGAGAAGCCCCTTATAGGTCTTTCGACTCTCCTGTCCATTTAGACGCAGTTGGAGTCCCACGAGGAATACAGATCAATTTAAAGCTTGAAATCAAATAGCTACAGGATTTAATTCAATATTTTAGTAGGTGACAGTTAATAAAAATATAAATTAGATAAACTACATCTATTACAACCAACAGCAGCAAGCTTTTCATGAGTTAAAAGAAAAACTCAGGTCGGCCCCAGCCCTGGGGCCACCTGACCTGACAAAACTTTTTACACTCTATGTGTCAAAAAAAAAAAAAAAAAAATGGCAGTTGGAGTTTTAACCCAGACTGTAAGGTCCTGGCCAAGGCCAGTGGCCTATCTCTCAAAACACTAGAAGGGGTTTCCAAAGGCTGGCCCCCATGTCTAAGGTCCCTGGCAGCAATGACCCTGTTAGCACAAGAAGCAGATAAGCTAACTCTTAGGCAAAACCTAAAGTCCCCCCATGCTGTGGTAACTTTAATAAATACCAAAGGACATCATTAGCTAATGAATGCTAGACTGACTAGATACCAAAGCTTGCTCTGTGAAAATCCCTGCATAACCGTCGAAGTTTGCAACACCCTAAACCCAGCCACCTTACTCCTGGTATCAGAGAGCCCAGTTGAACATAACTGTGTAGAGTTATTGGACTCAGTTTATTCTAGTGGGTCCAACCTCCAAGACCATCCTTAAACATCAGTAGACTGGGAGCTGTACGTGGATGGGAGCAGCTTCGCCAACCCCTGCAAAGTGATTCTGAAGAAGACGACAAGCGCTGCTCCAGTCACACCCGGAAGCTGACTGGTCCACTCATGGCCGAAGCATGAGGAAACTCATCGCGGGACTCATTTTCCTTAAAATTTGGACTTGCACAGTAAGGACTTCAACTGACCTTCCTCAGACTGAGGACTGTTCCCAGTATATACATCAAGTCACTGAGGTAGGATAAAAGATTGCTACAGTCCTATTACTTTATGGTTATTATAAGTGTACCGGGACTCTAAAAGAAACTTGTTTGCATAATGCTATTCTATCCAAGGTATGTAGCGCAGTCTCTAAATGTTATGTTTGTGGAGGAACTGTAACAGGAGATCAATGGCCATAAGAAGCCTGAGAATTAGAGCCTACAGACCCAGTTCCTGATGAATTCCCAGCCCTAAAGAATCACCCTGATCATTTCTAGGTTCTAAAAGTTTCAAATATTGGACAATATTGCAAAGCTAGAAAAAGGAAAGAATTCACTCATTCTGTAGGATGACTTAGTTGCTTAGGACAAAAACTGTGTAATAGTACCACAAAAACAGTTACGTGGTGGAGTTCAAAACACACAGATAAAAATCCATTCAGTAGATTTCCAAAGTTGCAGACCATTTAAGCCCACCCAGAATCCCACCGGGACTGGACGGCCCCCACTAGGCTATACTGGGTATGTGGACATAGAACCTACGCTAAGCTGCCTGACCAGTGGTCAGGTAGTTGTATTATTGGCACTATTAAACCATCTTTCTTCCTACTACCCATAAAAAGAGGCAAACTCCTGGGCTTCCCTGTCTATGCTTCCTGCAAAAAGAAAAGCATAGCTATAAAAAAATTCAAAAATAATGAATAGCCCCCTAAGCAAATCATACAATATTATAGGCCTGGTACTTAGGCACAAGACAGCTCATGGGGATACCAGACCCCCATTTACATGCTCAACTGAATCATATGGTTGCAGGCTGTTCTAGAAATCATCACTAATAAAACCTGTCAAGCCTTGACTATTCTGGCCCGGCAAGAAACTCAGATAAGAAATGCTATCTATCAAAATAGATTGGCTCTCGACTACTTGCTAGCAGCTGAAAGAGAGGTCTATAAGAAATTTAACCTTACTAGTTACTGTCTACACATAGATAATCAAAGGCAAGTAGTTAAAGACATAGTTAAAAATATGACAAAACTGGCACATGTGCCTGTACAAGTGTAACATGGATTCGACCCTGAAGCCATGTTTAGAAGGTGGTTCCCAGCACTAAGAAAATTTAAAACTCTTATAATAAGAGTTATAATAGTAATAGGAACCTGCTTACTGCTCCCTTGTTTGCTACCTGTACTTCTTCAAATGATAAAAAGCTTCATCACTACCTTGATTCACCAAAATGCTTCAGCACAAGTGTACTATATGAATCACTATCAATCTATTGCACAAGAAGATGTAAGTAGCAAAAATAAGAGTGAGAACTCCAACTAATAAAAAGTGAGAGTCTCGAAGGGGGGAAATGAGGGACGAGAGAGACCCTCTCATGTTGTTTTATACTCAGAAAAGGAAAGAGAAGAGAAACAAAAGGCAGGTAGCCCAGCACCTAGGAACCAGACCTGAAACCAAGGAACCAGATCTGAAACCAGGCCTGGGCCTGCCTGACCTAAGCCTGGTAGTAAAAATTCCACCCCTGACCTAGCAACTGTTGTTATCTATAGATTCCAGACATTGTATGGAAGGACCTTGTGAAACCTCCCGTTCTATTCTGTTTCACTCTGTCCATCGGTGCTCACAGCCCCGTCACATACCCCCTGGCTTGCTCAATCAATCACGACCCTCTCATGTGGACCCCCTTAGGGTTGTTAGCCCTTAAAAGGGACAGAAGTTGAGCACCTGAGGAGCTCGGATTTTAAGACGCTAGGCTGCTGATGCTCCCAGCTGATTAAAGCCACTCCCTTCACTATCTCGGTGTCTGAGGGGTTTTGTCTGTGGCTCATCCTGCTACACAGTAACCTACTGTTTCAAAATGAGTTAGAAAACACTAAGAAAACAATATAAAATGTAAAAGAGCATCACAAATTATAATTAGAAAACTCAGCAATGAGGTGACAAAACTGGGAAAGAATTAGAATGATAAGAAATCTATTTTAGAAATGAAGACTAAACTAGAAGGGACACAAGATTGAATAAACACAAGTAATACCTTAAGATAAATTGAAGATAAAAAAGCAATTGCTTTTAAATAAAAAATATAAAAAGGATTTGAGATAAAATGACAAATATTGAAAATAAGCAAAGCAAAGATCTCATTACTGTCTGAAAATATTTAACCAAAATGAAAAACACCTAGTTATTTTTTAGGAAAATTGTTGTACTTTAAAGAAAAAAATCCCTTGGGCATCTCAGGTAAAATAATACTATATTTATAAGGGAAAGTAAAATAGATTCTGAATAGTCATAGAAACTCTTCCACAAGGCATGTCATAGAAACCAGAACTCTTTTTCCCCAAAACTAGCCATAGAACCTAAAGATATTATTCTAACTTCCCTACACCTTTCTGTGTAAAAACTGGCCATAAAGAAATTATCTGATGTACTTTGTTTGAGTATAAATCATAAGATCTCCATTCCAGAGAGGGCCCTGCCCCACATGCAGAGAAAGCAAAGGTACACAGAGAGAGACCAAGAAGACTCTAAACAGGCCGGCCTTGCTTGGTTTCCTCATTCAGCCTGTTGTTAGCACTAGATTATACCTTTTGCCTAATCATACTTCTACACAGCTGTCCATATTTTGTTGAGCCTAGGCATAAAAATAGATAGTTTTTCTCCTGAATCTTTGGGTCTTCGTTCTGAATGCTCCCATGTCACGTAAAAATGTGATCAAATAAATTTATATGCCATTTCTCCTATTTATTTACCTTTTCTCAGCGATTTTTAGGTAACCTTCACAGGGCAAAGGGGAAATTTTCCCTTGGCCCCTGTAAGTATGTAATGACTAAAATGTCTGATTACATAGATGTCAAGCAACTATAAAAATGAGAGCCAAAAGGAGATCATCTATGTAAAATCATTTTAACTGCTTTTAAAATTCATAATTGGTGGGTTTAATATTTATATTATTACCATGAGACTAATGTTTATGTAATGTAAGATAATCAAATCATTAATTTTATATTTAGTTCTATCATTTCCTTTGTCCTTTCCTCACTCTGCTCACAGAAAATGGGCTGGAAATAAAGACAAACTCATTGAAGCTGAGCATCCCTAGTGCCCAGATTTTGGTCTTAAAATATCATTTGTTATTATCAAAACGAACAAACAAAGATTCTTCAAAGATGGGACAATTAGAGCTTCAATAAAGATAAAAAGAATGTGATGGCTTAAAACCTATCAAATATGAATAAATGCATGAATTTATAATAACATTAAAAAAAGAAAAAGTGATTGGCTGTATTTTAATGATAGTAGAGAGCAAATTCATAATCTTGAAAACTAGATAAATAAAAGGAAAGAATCAAGCATTTATCCTATATATCTTTATGAACTTTAAACAGCTGAACAAAATATTAGATGAAGGAAAACATTTCTTTATGGAATTATGTTAAGTATTGTATGAAAATGAAAGACTAGAATGAGAATATCACCATTTTGCAACCCCCATCCATACTCATTAAGTACCAATGGCTGCTAACATCACAAAAGAGCAAAACCCAAATATTTTGTAGCTCCTGGTGAAAGAATGCAATGTTATTTACATTCTTACCAAAGGGATAGCACCTGAGTCTGATTAAGCCTCTGCATCCAACTGCCAATTTGCAGCTGAAGAGAATATTGAATTGCACCATGAATTTGCAATCATCAAAATCTGGAATATGGGATACTAATGATTAAATGGCCTGGGCTTTGTAAAAGTAAAAAGCAAGAAAAAGAAAGTGATGGAGGGTAATCCTGTATAGTAAAAGCAAATTGAAAGATGTATCAGTTTAAAAATAAAATAAAATAAATTAAAATTAGACAAGTCAAGGGAAGCACCCTTGAATAAAACCTTCAAATAATACAAATAAATAATTACTATATGAGTTACTTTTGGAGGGATGAGACTGTCATTGGGATGGGAAACATGTAAAGCCTTCTCACATGACTGGAAAAATCTTACAATAATTTGCTAAGCTCTTTAGTGGGTTTGTGTGGTTTTTCTATAACTTGTGTTTTGTTTTACAATAAAGAGGTCAGAAAATTACTATTTCACGAGAGTTTATGCAACTGAATCACACAATATCTAGAACAATCTGGCAATGTGAAACAAATAATGCAGAAGCATCACAAATCATTTACTCTCATATGAGGCTACTCTCAAAACTGATTGTTTCCAGCACTTCTTTGGTAAATTACACATCCCCAGGTATTGACAAAGGGCAGAGACAATCTTTTATTATGACTATTCATTCCTCTGTTTAATGCCATGTTTTGCTGATGTTTTCCACTAGCAAAAAGTGTAATGAGTAGTAGCTATTTTAAAATCTTAGGTACTTTAAATAAAAAGTGGGAGACATAATAGTTTTATCACATGAAGGGTATAATATGTAGTTGCAAAGTGAGATGTTTTTTCTTATTTCATACAAGTTAAATTACATTTACATATTTCCTAATTATCAACATTGCAACATTGGACCTCTTGACTTCAGCGAACTCAAAAGAAATACTGGGGATGAAGGTCCTTGAGTTCTTATTAAGCTTCGAAGAAGTAAAGGCAGATTTAATTTGTGTCCTGATAAGGCTGAACACAACTTTAGTTGGTCTCAATTAAATCATGTCTCTCTCTCTCTGTCCCTTTTTGTTTGTTTTGTTTTGCTTTTGGATAATACTAGATAAAACAAAGTATAATGCTTATTTTTTTAATAAAAAAAGCACTTCTTTGTAGTAAGTAATAAGAGTAAAGGGGTACACTAATTTTATTCAGCAACTAATACTGTATTAATATTCTGGTTATTTCTATATCTGTATCTTGTAATCTTCATGACAAGTCTCTCAAGTAATTGTTACAATCACCCCCATTTTGCAGATGTCAAAACAGTTCAATCTGTTGTGATTTGGTAATTTGTTCAAGGACACTCAAAAAGTAGGTGGTATAGCTGAAGTTTGAGCCAAAGGTTTTGCCTCCAGATCCTGTATTAATCCCCCAAATAGGTCGCTAAAGTACAGTTTCCAGCATCCTTTCCCTGTATTTACTTTAGATATTACCATCTTGAAAATTCTAGATCTCCTTAAAATACTAAGGAAAAGGGGAGCTCTCTTTTCCTAATTAGCTATTTATCCAGAAAAGAGATTGAGATTTAATAGATAAACACATTCTCCTAAAGTTGGTTTCTTTAATGTCTTTTAATCATTGAGTTTCAGATTTCATTGAGATAACTTAACAATTATTTCCAGACACCAGCACCCAAATATGGTAGTCTTCAACTTAATTGTTAATATGCAATTAAGTCTATTAGGGCAAGTACAAGAATGATTGCAGTAGGAAAAGGGGGTGAGAAACAAGTAAATTATTCAAAAGAATGGAGTCAATTTAGTAAGGCTTTATTCTCGCACTATTTTATTTTCCCCAGATTAAAAAAAATATGCCACGATCCTGATCACTTCCTTAGAATCCATATTTTTGCCTCTGCTCTCATTTGGCACTCAGTCTGTTGGAGAACAGGTAGGGTTAAACTTCATACAGGAAGAGCTTTTGCCCTCACTTGGTGCTAAGGACAAATAAACAATCAACTATGCAAATATCACAAGCAAGGGCAACTGTTATCTACCCCTATGTATACTAGTTACTCAAGTATTTACTACAACAGCAAGGCACCAGCAGGCTAGTTGGGTATTGTTTTGGGCATACTTGAATTTTTGGATAAATTTAATCATTGCATTTTTAAAACTCTTTACTCTCTTCTTTTAAATAACCTTTATTCATTTTCTCTACCCAGAAACATCTAAGCTCTCAAAATATAGGCTTAAGTAGAATGATGAACAAAATAGAAGGAAGGGGAGAAGAGGCTGAGAAGAACAGTGTTCTTCAATTCAAAGCTGTTGTTGAACACGTATTGTACACAGGTGACCCACTGTACACATGGACTTGTGTGCATTTATTTCATAGAAGATTTAAGTGCTGAAATCCACCATTTACTCAATTCTTAATGTTCTTAATTATTCTAAATTAACATTAGAGGCAGATAGAGTGTATTTCCATTCTACTTTCTCTCCAACTCCCATCTAGTACTTACCTTTCCTTCTTTCCAGTCAGCTCATATTTCAGTTATAATGACTTGTTTAGTAGACTATTCTATACTAAAAATTTTATTTGATTTGGAAATTATGGCCTGTGTGTTTTTTTCCTTGAAATCAGTGAATAGAACTGGATTAAGGAAATCTTTTTGAAAATAACGATGAAAACAAGAGTTTAACAATATAAAACTAGAAATGCTGAGGTTAAAACTTGCCAGTGATAGCACCTTGCCATGAATAACTCTGTGTGTGCATGTGTGTGTATATGTGTGTTATTGTATTATTTACAGAAGGTAGAGTCTTTCTATTTCTGCCAAGTTATCATATTTCTCCAGTGGGCTCTGAGGTGCTTCTGGCCTCTCTTCTTGCTGTAGGTATCATAGGACTATGGATGAGCATCCCATGGCTTGGGCAGAAAGTTCTCTCAAGAGTTCTGCGTTCTCCATGAGAATTTCCAAATTCTCACAGTAATCTAATTCTCAACAACCTAAATACTTCTGATATTTGTAAGTAACTGTTGAAAATGCAGGTAAATTTTAACTTGGAAAGAAATATATTGTAATTTAAAAGTTCTGAATCAAAAAAATAATTTGCCCTTTTAAACAATTGAAATGAAAAGTTTCTGCCAAAGTGACAGAAAGAAGGCTTTCAGCCAGCCTCTGGGGAAAGCTCAAAGACTTCCACTTTGGTTTACTTTACACCTAATAATTTTAAATGACATTTGAGTACATTATGAAAGATATAGTAGCACTGATGTACCAGTGCCCAACTCAAAGAACTCTGAAAAGACTTGCAAACCTATGAGTCTAGACTGGCTTCTTTTACCATTCACACCCAATTAAAAGCGCAGGAAAAGCCTCAGAATCAGTAGAAACTTTTCTGCGTGACCATTCATGAGGTATTAGGTTGGTGCAAAAGTAACTGCGATTTTTACTTTAAGGGCAAAAGCCATGATCACTTTTGCACCAATCTGATATAATAAGAATTTAGCCTCAGGAGGAAGAACAAAGCACCTTATCTTATATTGTAGAAAGTGCTGGAGATGGTGAGTAGCTAATCTAGGCTTGTGATTCAGGGAAAAAATTAAGGTTCAAAATATTAATTTTAATTGATAAGTGAAATATGCTTCATCCATATGTTGGAATCCAAAGTCATCAATTTTTAAAAACAACACTTATTTACATTCCCACCAACAGTGTAAAAGCATTCTTATTTCTCCACAGTCTTGCCAGCATCTATTGTTTCTTGACTTTTTAATAATTGCCATTCTGACTGGCTTGAGATGGTATCTCACTGTGGTTTTGATTTGCATTTCTCTAATGATCAGTGATGTTGAGCTTTTTTTCATATTTGTTGGCTGCAGAAATGTCTTTTGAAAAGTGTCTGTCATATCCTTTGCCCAGTTTTTGATGGGGTTTTTGTTTTGTTTTGTTTTGTTTTGTTTTTTATAAATTTGTTTAAGTTCCTTGTAAATTCTGGAAATTAGTTCAACCATTGTGGAAAACGGTGTGGTGATTCCTTGAGGATCTAGAACCAGAAATACCATTTGATCCAGCCATCCCATTACTGAGTATATACCCAAAGGAATATGAATTATTTTAATATAAAGACACAGGCACACATAGGTTTATTGCAGCACTATTACATAGCAAAGCCATTGAACCAACCCAAAAGCTTATCAATGATAGACTGGATAAAGAAAATTTGGTACATATATACAATGGAATACTAGGCAACCATAACAAGGAATGAGATCATGTCCTTTGCAGGGACATGAGTGAAGCTGGAGGCCATCATCCACAGCAAACTAACACAGGAACAGGAAACCAAACACCGCATGTTCTCACTCATAACTGGGAGTTGAACATTGAGAAGACATGGACACAGGGAGGGGAACATCACACACCAGGACCTGTTGAGGGGTGTGGGGTAAGGGGAGGGAACTTAGAGGACCAGTCAATAAGTGCAGCAAACCATCATGGCACATGTATACCTGTGTAACAAACCTGCACATTCTGCACATGTATCTTGGAACTTAAAGTAAAATTAAAAATAAATAAATTTAAAAAAACACTAATAAGAGACAGCATATACAATGCCACAGAAAAGGAGAAAAATTCACGGGCAAGGATATCATCTCAGATATTTTTCAATGAGGAAAATAAATTAGAGAAAAGAATAATCTCAACCCCTTATATACATGAAACGTTTTATTGTTCACACTAAAGAGAATGTTGAAACACCTAAACTAATCTAGTACTACCTCTGGAAAAAAAATTATCAGCCTATGATCATAGGACATTACAACCATTTTTATGTGAAGTATAACACACCACTAACACAGCAGATGGAGCTCAATAACTGCCAGGCAAGTTGCTGCAGCCATGATATGGTGTAGCCATTGGGAAGTGGGTCGTCCTGGAGCTTGGACTGAAACTTTCTCAAGGGTGTTTTGGCCAAGTGACCATATTGACACTAGGCTGTCACAGGTGGCTTCAAGTTCTAGGAGAGTCTTTCTAATGATATCTTGGGATTTTTGATTCACATCAAATGTGAGCATTTCCTATTATGAGTGAGTGTAAAGACTTCACCATATCCTAAGATTAGAGGATTTTTAGCACATGCGAATTTATCATTGTGTTTGATATGTATCACAGGTGTGCTAGCTCTACTTCTGGGATTCACTCTTTGTTAGATCAATAAATAATGGAATAATAAGATGATAGTGATGATTATGACAATGATTTTAAAAAGATCAGAGATGTTGGTTGTTGTGTATGCGTCTAAATAGAAACAGTAAACATATACTTGTATAGGTAATTCATTCATCATGTCTACTCAAATTGGTCTTGTGTACAGCAGTATCATTGCTGTGGTTGTTTCTAATATTGTCAGGAATTTTGAAGATGGCTGTAGTTGTCGATATTACCAAGTGATGCTATCAGCAAGACAGTAGGACTGTGTTCAAATGCATGCCTTCAAAGTTCTTTTGCTTCCATAATTTCTGAGTCATACTTAGCAAATGGTTGTGAAGTCTTAAGTGAAGAACTGTTGCGTTTTGTCAGTGAATACGTGATTGATTGCAGAAGAGCACTTATTTCAATGGCTGTTGGTAAGAATAGATAAAATTCTACCCAAGATAATTGATATGAATCTTCCTGAAATCTAACATTCCAGAAATGGAAAGTGGAGCCTTTTCATCAAGGGTTCAATGAATCTTCCTTTCTGACTTAGGTTAATGCCACCTTCTTCTCTTTCTCTGTTTATTCCTAGAATGCAGGCTCAACAGTACCAGCAGCAGCGTCGAAAATTTGCAGCTGCCTTCTTGGCATTCATTTTCATACTGGCAGCTGTGGATACTGCTGAAGCAGGGAAGAAAGAGAAACCAGGTAAGCAGTAGGGTTCTGAAGGCAAGATGCTTCATTGATTAATGTCCATCTAGTCTAATTACCTGCTTTTCCTTCCTCTCTTCTACTCTGCCTCTCTCCCTTCCTATTCCTCTATTCCTTCAATCTTCCCTTTTCAAAAATAATTACTTAGAGGAACCTAAGAAATATCCTGTCTTATTTTTCTCCCATTGTAAGTCTTGGATTGCATGACGATGATGATCATTAATATAATGATCAAATTAGCAGCTACTATGTATAGAACATTGACCGGTAATCAGGTGCTTTATTATTTACCTCTCTACCTCAAAAAAAAAAAAATGCACTGCAACTTGTTTTTCTCCTTAATTTCAGATTTACAGAGGAGGAAACAAGCACAGAGAAGATAAAGCACCTTCTCTATGCCACTCCCAAAGTCATAAGTAGGCTGTGGAACTGACAGTCTGTTTAAATCTGTGATGCACCATATTTGTATGATGTCATTCCTTCTACAAGGCAGAGAAAGGAACAACAACTTACACTGAAATGGCTCATTTGACAACTGTTATTTCTTTTTTTTTTTTTTTGAGTTGGAGTCTCGCTCTGTCACCAGGTTGGAGTGCAGTGGTGCGATCTCAACTCACTGTATCCTCTGTCTCCCGGTTCAAGTGATTCTCCTGCCTCAGCTTCCCGAGTAGCTGGGGCTGCAGGCATGCACCACCACGCCCAGCTAATTTTTGTATTTTTAGTAGAGTTGGGGTTTCACCATGTTAGCCAGGATGGTCTCGATCTTTTGACCTTGTGATCTGCCTGCTTCGACCTCCCAAAGTGCTGGGATTACAGGCATGAGCCACTTTGCCCAGCTGACAACTGTTATTTCTAATAGAATATTTTCTTCATTTTTAGGAGAACTATATTTTTGACCATCTCTTCTTTTATAGAAATGTTTGCTTCTAAAAGGAGATGCCACTAAATCACTTAGCACAGTCTCTGGCACATAGTAAGAGGGAGTTCAATTAATATTAGTTTTAGCTCTTTTCTCAGTTTTCTTTCTCTCTTCTCTTGATCATTCATTGGTTCAATAATTTGGTTAATATTCATCATGTTTCTACTATTCATTAGACAATAAGGATACAGATTAAAAAACACAGATCCTGCAATTAAGGTGCTCAGGAATGAACTTGGTTATATCTGGAAGTTAAGGAGTTTTCTGTATGTTGATTAGGTTTTCCTCCTTTCATTCAGAAAAAAAAGTGAAGAAGTCTGACTGTGGAGAATGGCAGTGGAGTGTGTGTGTGCCCACCAGTGGAGACTGTGGGCTGGGCACACGGGAGGGCACTCGGACTGGAGCTGAGTGCAAGCAAACCATGAAGACCCAGAGATGTAAGATCCCCTGCAACTGGAAGAAGCAATTTGGCGGTAAGCCTCATGCTACTGAGTTAATCTCCTACTCTGAGATAATTCTCAAATTTTTCCACCAAATGTCTTTTTAAGGATAAGTACTTTTTATTTTAAATAACTTTATCTTACCAGACACAAAGTGACCAGACTGGTCCCATTTCAGGCCAGGCAATTATTTGTTGTGGAGGCTGTCTTGTGCATTTTAGGGTATTTAGGAGCATCGCTGGCTTCTACTCGCTAGTTTCCGGTAGCATTCCTCACCCGCTCCAGATGTGAAAACTAAAAATGTCTCCAAATATCTATGGCCAAATGTACCCTGTTGGTCAAAATCATCCCTGGTTGGGAACCACTGCCTTTCCAAAGGGACATAAAATATATCCTTGATTCCTCTGAATAATGTTAATTGATCTGTCTTCTCTCTCCTTTCTTCTATTTCTAAGTTCCTTTGATTTTTCCTTTCCCCTTTTCTTATTTATTCTCCTGCTTCTCCATGTTTCTCCCTGTCACTTTCAGACCTTCTCTCCCATTTGATCCCTCCCCAACCTCCACACAGTTTCACAGATTCACTTACTGAGTTCAGCAGGGCTGCTCACAGCCACGTTTCATAAATCTTTCTCCCACTGACTGGAGTCAGTCTTATGCTGGCCTGATCTATCTATCTGAGACAGGATCTCTCAACACTTTCAACTTTATATCCAGTATTGAACCCTCAAATAACCTCTTCCACAATCCAGACTTTTTGTCTTTCTTAGCCATAGTGGGACATGATGCCTGAAATGTCCTATCTGTGTTCTATGGAAATGCATTGTGGCCCATAGACAAGTGAGGAAGGATAATGGATGTATACATGTATGTCTTTTTCTCCCTCTGTAATCTTTGGGGTATTTTTTATTTGAATGGATATAGACAAGTTCTATAAAAGTGTGATGGAGAACAGGTACATTTGGTCTTAAATTGTATATGGGCACCTTAAAAACCCACTTACAAAAAGTTTAAAAGGTATATCTTAAAGACTTACATTGAGAATATTAAATAACTCTCAAACTCAACAGTAAACAACAAAACAACAACAACAAAAAACAAAACAAACAAAACCTAACAGTTCAATAAGAAAGTGGGGAAAAAACATTAACAGACATTTTACCAAAGAGGATATATAGGCAACAAATGAACTCCTGAAAATATATTCAGCATCTTTTCCTTATTAGGGAACTAGAAATTGAAACCATAATGAGATATCACTCTACATCTATCAAAGTGGCTAGAATAAAAAATAGTGACAAGACGAAATGCTAGTGAGGGTGCCAAGAAACCAGATCCCTCATATGTTGCCAGTGGAAATTGTAAGGTGGTACAGCCACAGTGGAAAAAGAGTATTGCAGTTTTTTACGAAATGAAACATGCATTTACCATGTAACACAGCAGTTTCTTGGTAATTTATCTCAGAGAAATGAAAACTGATGTTTCCACAAAAACCTATACATGAATTTATATAGCAGTTCTATTTGTAGTAACCCAAGGCTGGTAACAACTCGGATGTCCTTCAGCTGATGAATGGTTAAACAAACTGGGGTACATTGGGACCATGGAATACTACTCAGCAATAGGAAGAAACAGACTATTGATGCACATGACTTGGATGGATCTTCAGGAAATTATGCTAAATAAAAAAGCCAATCTCAGAAGTTTACATATTGTAGAATTCCATTTATGCAACATTTTTAAGCTAGAAAAATGATAGAGCTAGAGAACAGATAAGGAGTTGCCGGGGATTAAGGAGGTGGGGAAGGAGGAAGGTGGCTAGGCCATGACTATAAAGAATGACCCACTGTTGTATTGGGACTGTATATTAATAGTGTATATTAGTGTGTATTAATGGTGTATATTGATGGTGATCGTATGCATCTACACATGTGATAGAATTGAACAGAAATCAATACACACGCATACACTCTGTATTATTTCTTATAGCTGCATATGGATCTATAATTATTTCAATAAAAAAGTTACAAACAAAAGTGTGCCTTTATTATCCTGGAAGTACGATAGGATCTTTCAAGGATTTCTGTTTGGTTCTACCCTGCCTTTAGCGGAGTGCAAATACCAGTTCCAGGCCTGGGGAGAATGTGACCTGAACACAGCCCTGAAGACCAGAACTGGAAGTCTGAAGCGAGCCCTGCACAATGCCGAATGCCAGAAGACTGTCACCATCTCCAAGCCCTGTGGCAAACTGACCAAGCCCAAACCTCAAGGTAAGTCCTTGCCATTATACCACAATTTTAATGGATTGATGGACTCAGGTAAGATCTGGAAAACCCACATTTTCCAGAAGGAAATATTAGGTGAATTACCTTAAGAAAGTGACTGAAAAACTCCCCTACACTGAGAGTCACAAAAATACTTTAAAAATACTTTGAAGCAGGCAGCCTGTGAGTGCAAATTGAAGTCCTCTGCATAGATGAGGGGATTGGTACAGTCTCCTAACCCAAATAAATAACATAGCAAAAGAAACCAGCAAAGACAGTTGTATGATGACCATATATTCCACACTCTTAATTGGAACTGTATCCTGACAAGAAAAACAAACTCAGAATGTTTATGACGGAGACAATTTTAAATCAAACTTCTCCCAGATTATCTGAAATATAGTTTTCACAAAATCAGGAAAATTATTTTACATTTTCCCTTTATTCACTGCATAACTTAATGGGTTCTGCATTTGTTTTCAGAGCCTTTATATTTTTTGAGTTCAATTTGGTTACCAACTACATTCATCACAGAATTTTTAAATGACAGAGATCTGTATCTCCCAGAAAGTCAGGCTCTGCTCTCTTGCTGGAGAAGGTAAAAACAATCATTATGGCCATGAATTCATACATACAAGGATCCCAACTGAGGGAAATAAACTCTTTCATCATGGATGTTATTGTCTGAATTGTGTTTTCCCAAATTCATATGCTGAAGTTTTAACCCCCTCACAATGTCACTGTATTGGAGACAGGGTCTTTAAAGAGGTAATTGAGATAAAATGCAGTCACAAGGGTAGGCCCTAATCCAGTGCAGCTGGTGTGTTTATAAGAAGGGAGATTAGGACACAGAAATACATAGAGAGAAGACTGTGTGAAGACAGAGGGAGAAGAATGCCATCTACAAGCCATAGGGAGAACCTTCAGAAGAAATCAGCCCTACAGATGCCTTGATCTTAGGCTTGTAGCTTCCAGAACTGCAAGACAATAAATAAATAAATTTCTGTTGTTTAAGCCACCAACTCTGTGGTACTTTGTTATAGGAGCTATAGCCAACTAATACAATGGGACTCAATGAACTCTAAATTCAAATACCTTCTTGGCCTCTACTCATATATTTTAACTCTAAGGTGGTCCTGAAAATTCATACTGCCAGAGAAATTGTAAGGAGAGATTCAGAAAAATGACCATGTAAGAAATGCTCATAATAAATAAAAGTAGAAAAAAAAAATCTGCAGAAGGTGATGGAGATTGGCTGGTTTCCTGCTGGTGGCCAGAAAGGACTTTATTTTTCACAGGCCTGGCTTTTTGGCCACTGCTGGAGTTGTCCATAGAAATAGTTATCTCCAACTTCAGGATGGCCAGGTACAGGCTGGACCTGCAGGTGGTGAGTCTAGGGTTCAGGCTGCCCTTTCCAGATCATGGAAATCTCTGCCTGTTGTCATATGGTTTTTGGAAGGCATGAAGCAGGGCTGGAGTGACTGCAGTGAGTACTTATGCAGACTTCCCAAATGTCATTTGTCCAGAGACAACCACATAAATCTAAGCAAAATCAGTGCCCTATCTACCAAGTGAAACATTTCCAAAAATGGCAAAACTCAGAGTTACTGTAGTCAAAATAATTTATTTTTAGTCCAGCTGTAGAACCAAAATATTCAGCATAAATACAGAATTGAAAGGAAAAGAAATTAAAGAAGCTTCCACATTCTAGCACAGTGATGCTCAACCTGGGCTTCACATTAGAATATTCTGTGGGAACTTGCAAAACTCCCAGTGCCCAAGTATAGCACAGACTAACCCAATCAGCATCAGTAGTTTAAAAATTGTGAATGCATCTCAGAAGGTTTCATGATGCAGCCAAAATTGAGAACTACTGCTCTAGTATGGAATCCATTGACAAGAGACCACACACACATGCATACACATGTAACACACACACACACACACACACACACACACACACGTGCACTGTCCTGTTCTTTCCTATGGGAAAGAGAAAATTCAACTTTATAATAAGGGAGAAAAAGTGGGGACATGATTAGGTGGAAGATGGTGGGGCTGGGTGAACACATAAAATGTTGAAAAGTTTGGAATAAATGGGACACAGCAGGGAACATGATTAAGATAGAACCCTAAACGATATTTAGGAAATAAGTGAAGTCTTCCTTTTACCTGAACTGGTGTATATTTCACCTTTATACAGTATCTCATCTAATAACATGTAATGAAGGTTAAGTTTGTTTCAGGCTTTCAGCTTGAAAAAATGACACTAAAAATATTTCAAGTGGATAGACATTCTGTAATATTCATACGTAAATAAATTATGGTATATAATTAATTGATATAATTAATTGAAAATATGATTACTATGAGTGATTCTATGTTTCAAACTACCAGTTATGCAATTTACAGGTCATTAAAATTCATCCTTCCCTTTGTGTATAATATACCTTTGTTATAACTAACCAATCTTTTCCATCTCAGCAGTGGAGAGTCTTATAAATGCTGTTTGGCACTGAGACACTCTGCAAAAAGAATGATTTCTTTTTTCTTTTTGATACAGAGTCTCACTCTGTCACCCGTGCTGGAGGGCAGTGAGGCGATCTCGGCCCACTGCAAACTCCGCCTCCTGGGTTCAAGTGATTCTCCTGCCTCAGCCTCCTGAGTAGCTGGGATTATGGGCATGCGCCCAGCTAATTTTTCTGTCTTTTTAGTAGAGACAGCATTTCATCATGTTGGTCAGGCTGGTCTTGAACTCCAGACCTCAAATGATACACCCGCCTTGGCCTCCCAAAGTGCTGGGATTAAAGGCATGAGCCACTGTGCCTGGAAAAAAGAATATTCTTATTTTAGGAGTTGAACCAGGGAGATGTGTCAGATATAAAATCTTTGTAGGGGACACAGACACACTCACACACACACACACATTCCATGGCATATTTTTCCTAGTTTAAACCAAAATGTAACGAGTGGCATATGTAAGTTGTATTTATTTTTGTACTATTTTTCTCAAATAAACTTGGATAGATATTATAGCTTTTCCTTTGCACGTCTCTAATTTTAAGATAGCTTACATTCTACTAATCAATGGGAAAGCAAATAGTAATGAATGGAATCTATACTATCATTATCATTATTCAGTTTCTACTCTATACATTGCTCTAGGTGTTTTCCATATGGTAACTTATAAAGTCCCATATATCCTTGCGGGTGGGTATTATTATAAAGGAAACTGAGGAACACTGGTTAATTTACTTGACCAGGAGTATATCTCTAATAAATGACAGTGCCAAGATTTGTCTAACTCTAAATTCATGTCATCTTTTGTATTCTGCTGATTTCTCACCTAAATCACAAAGGGGTATGAACTAACCTCCATGGGTTTTAATTTCCTTTGAAATAGGAGAAGGTGAATGTTGTCTTTTTTCTTTTTAATTTTTGTGGATATGTGGTAGGTGTATATATTTATGTGGTACATGAGATGTTTTGATACAGGCCTGCAATATGAAATAAGCATATTATGGAGAATGCAGTGTCCATCCCCTCAAGCATTTATCCTTGGAGTAACAAACAACCTAATCACACTCTTTGCGTTATTTTAAAATATACACTTATTATTGACTATATAGTCACCCTGTTGTGCTATCAAATAGTAGGTCTTATTCATTCTTTCTATTTTTTTGTACCCATTAACCATCCCAACCACCCATCACTACCCTTCCCAACCTCTGTTAACCATCCTTCTACTCTCTATGTCCTTGAGTTTGTTTCGATTTTAGATCCCACAAATAAGTGAGTACACGCAATGTTTCTCTTTCTGTGCCTGTCTTATTTTACTTAACCTAATGATCTCCATTTCTATCCATGTTGTTGCAAATGACTGAATCTCATTCATTTTAATGGCTGAATTGTACTCCGTTATGTATATGTACCACATTTTCTTTATCTGTTCATCCGTTGATGGCCACTTACGTTGCTTCCAAATCTTAGCTATCATAGACAGTGCTGCAACAAACATAGGGGTACAGATATCTTTTCAATATACTGATTCCCTTTATTTTGGGTGGAAGCTGCAGTAGTCATTTAACTAAACTTTTCTCAAAATGATGCATTTATAAATTATTTTCTTCCTTCAGGAAAGAGTACATCATCAACATTTTTTCTTATGTTAATTCAATATGTGAAGGAGATAGAAGTAGGGAACTCACTAATTTTGAATTGGACACTGGGGTAGGAGCTCCTAGTCATTTAATTTAAGCCTTAAAGCAACTTTAAGCATACATTTTATTTATCCTACTTTATATATGAAAAAGCATAGGCTCAGAAATGTTAGGCAACTCATTTGAGGTTTCACAGCTTGCAAGCAGTGCAACCAGATTCAAATTTAAAGTCAGACTGATACAAAAGACCCACTGCCTTTTCAACTGCACGATGCTCCTTCTTGGTATTATAAACCCATGCAACGCTGGTCACATTTATTAGATGAATCTTTATGTCTAGAAGCTTTAAAGGGTTGAGCTTCTGGGGACCTTGCCTAATGTCTGATCTAATATCCACATAACAAATGAGGACAGAGAAAATCAATGACTTATGCATGTCCATTCCGTTTTCTGGTAGTGGAGTCAGTTCCAGGTTTTGTTCTCTTTTGATGTCATTTTTCTGCCTTATTTCAAACATGAGAATTATAGGAAAGGGAATTTTTATAGTGATCAGTAAAGGGCATTGCAGTCATGAGGAAAATCAGTGGTTTTCAAAATATGAGTTTAATTACAGTCATGTGTCACTTAACAACAGGGATATGTTCTAAGAAATGTATCCTTAGGTGATTTCATTCTCGTGTGAACATCATAGGGTGCACTTATACAAGTGTAGATGTGTAGCCTACTGTGCCCCTAGGCTGTAAGGTATAGCCGATTGCTCCTAGGCTGCAAATCTATACAGCATGTTACTGTACTGAATACTGTAGGTTATTGTAACACAATGATAGGTATTTGTGTATCTGAACATGTCTAATTATTGAAAAGATATAGTAAAAATATGGTATAAAAGAAAAAAATGGTACATCTCTGTAGGGCACTTACCGTGAATGGAGCTTGCAGGACTGGAAGTTGCTCTGGGTGAGTCACTGAATGAACAGTGAGTGAATGTGAAGGCATAGGACATTAGTGTACAATACCATAGACTCTATAAACACAGTACACTTAAGCTACACTAAATTTATGAGAAGATATTTTTCTTTCTCCAACAGTAAATGAACCTTAGCTTACGGTAACTATTTTAGTTTATAAACTTTTAAATTTATTTTAACTTTTGACTCTTTTAAAATAAGACTTAAAGTTCAAAAACATTGCATAGCTATAACAAACGTATTCTTTCCTTATATCTTTATTCCATAAGCATTTTTAATTTTTTAAAACTTTTTGTTAAAACTAAGACACACACAGATTAGCCTAGGTCTACACAGGGTCAGGTTCATCAACATCACTGTCTTCCACCTCCACATCTTGTCCCACTGGAAGGTCTTCAGGGACAGTAACACATCATCTCCTATGATAACAATGCCTCCTCCTGGAATACCTCCAGAAGGACTTGTCTGAAGCTGTTTTACAGTTAACTTTTTTTTTTTACTAAGAAGAAGGAATACACTCTAAAATAATGATTAAAAGTATTGTATAGTAAATACATAAACCAGTAACATAGCCATTTATTATCACTCTCAAGTATTATGACTATACATAATTGTCTGTGTTACACTTTTATAAGACTAGCAGTGCAGTAAGTTTATTTACATCCGCATCACCACAGACATGTGAGTAATGTGCTGCCTTCCAATGTTAATCAGTGATAGGAATTCCTCAGCTCTACTGTACCCTAATGGGAACACAGTTCTATATGTGGTCCATCATTGGTTGAAACATTGCTATGTGGTGCGTAACTGTATTACGTATAATCTAGTCACTCAGCTCTTCGTCAGAAAGTGCCTTCTTTTCCTGTCTTTATCATTCTAATCAAACATATGATCAGGATCTGTTTTGTTTGTTTGATATTTGCTTGTTTTCATTTTAGAGAACTTCTTTGCTTACTTCCTGACCACTTTTGTTTTGGGAAATGGCCGTGGATTAATATGCAAACCACTTGGTTTCAGTGTGAAAATCATACTCTTTACATTTTAGAATGAAACATAAAGATGTTGGCAAGTCTGTGAATACCCAACATTAAATTGAGGAAAGGCTGGAGAATGTCTTTGCTATTTGATTGGTAATAATAAGGCTAAAAGATTAAGTGACTTGGTTAGGAGGCTTAATATCGAGAGTTGCTATCCAAACACCAGGGAATTACTAAATATCCCGCAGAGTTTGGTTAAAAATTGCCTTAAAATTCATCATAGTCCATTCTAACAGCATTACTTCTTGAGGTATAGAAGCAATCCTTCCTATTGCTATGTCAATGTTGAACAGATTCCACACTCTAGCCTCAGTCTGCAATTTTGATGATACTAGATGTGAAGTTGGAAACCCTTGTTTGAAGATTCTCTTGGGTTGGAATCCCACTTAATCTGAAGAGATCATTCTCAGCAAACTATTGCAAGGACAAAAAAAACCAAACATCGCATGTTCTCACTCATAAGTGGGAATTGAACAATGAGAACACTTGGACACAGGAAGGGGGACATCACACACCGGGGCTTGTTGTGGGGTGGGAGGAGGGGGGAGGGATAGCATTAGGAGATATGCCTAATGTAAATGACAAGTTAATGGGTGCAGCACACCAACATGGCACACGTATACATACGTAACAAACCTGCACGTTGTGCACATGTACCCTAGAACTTAAAGTAAAAAAAAAAAAAAAAAAAAAAAATTCTGAGGAGACCTTTTAGCTATCCACTTTGATATTTTATACTAAGAAGAAGAGGGAATATTCATGCTCTTATGCAGAAATAAGAATTGAAATGTGCACATCTGGAATTTAGCTTTCCTGGAGATGGAGGCAGTATTACTCTGGGAAAGGTTCATTGCTTGACTGAAAGATTGTAGCTGGAATTTGCTTAATGATTACCAGAGTCTGGCAGGGATAAATTGGTGAACAATTGTGTTGGACACTTGAGATTTTAATTTCTTAAGAAAAGAGATTGAGTTTAATTAATATAGATTAATTAAATTAGTTAAAACATTGTATCTGTCAAAAGCTTTTAGATACAGCGAGATCTACTCTAGCTCGTTAAGCAAAAGAGGTCTATTCAAGGGTATTATATAGTTCAAAGAATCTCCGGGAGGGCCAAAGATCTCGCTTGGATGCCGCAAGACCAGGAATAATGCAGCCAAAGTCAACAGATCCGGGAGAAATATCTACTCACACCACATGTCACTGATCTAGCAGAAACCTTTCTGCTGCAATTACTGTCTGTTCAGCACATATAATGCTTAGAACTGAACACTGGAAGGTCCGCCACAGGTGACCCTCCGAAACCAGTCACTTCTGCCCCCTTTCTTGAGGGACTATCCAATCTCCCCACATTTGGCCCCTGCTTCTAGTTGGTCACGTCTACCTCCACATCTCATTTAAGCGTGTCTGCTTAATAGAAATTTGGTCACATGGAAAATCCTGCTATGAAGGAGCCTGGAAAATGAATATTTAACTTTCTAGATTCTACCTCTAAACACAAGAAGGGAAGCTTCAAGGGTCTTGCATGGCATGTAGTGAGCAAATCTACCACAGTGTGCAAGAATGTCAGAATGTGGTGGGGTATATCATTAGACTTACCCCTCTCTCCTGTGGGGCTAGATGATGCATTGATGCTACTCCATGGGGAAAAAATTGCCAAGGGTAATCTTGCATTAGAACTGTTGAGTACACCATTGTACAGAGAGTTGGGTCTCTCCTCACTGGAATTACCAGTCACTTTTTATTTTCTGCGGGAATAATTGATCTGCAAACAAGGAAGAAAGTTGGAAAACAGAGTCTGTCTCTGCTAACGGCTTTGTATAAACTGTCAGAGCAGGCCGGGCACAGTGGCTCACACCTGTAATCCCAGCACTTTGGGAGGCTGAGGTGGGCGGATCACGAGGTCAAGAGATCGAGACCATCCTGGCCAACATGGTGAAACCCCATCTCTAATAAAAATACAAAAATTAGATGGGCGTGGTGGTGCATACCTGTAGTCCCAGCTACTTGGGAGGCTGAGGCAGGAGAATCGCTTGAACCCAGGAGGCAGACGTTGCAGTGAGTCAAGATCGTGCCACTGCACTCTAGCCTGGCGACAGAGAACTCTTCAGAGGTCAAATAACTCTTCTCCAAGCCACACGTGTTTTTCAGTGGTCCCCTTAGATGATGGCTCACTATGGAATTAGAAGATGGCAAGAACAAGCATCCCTGCCGGATGGACCCGTCCGTGGGGGTGCTGTGGCTCTATAGGCAGTCCTGTCTGTGTGGGTCAGGGGACGGTGCAGCCCATGGAGCAGGCTTCTGGTATTTGTCACTGGAGTGCAGAGCCAAGCTAAAGCAGGGGCTGGGGCTTGTGTGGGAGGCTCCAGTGAGAGCTGAGAGGTTCCTTCAGGCCACAGGTGATATTGCCTAATGATCATCTTGGAACATTCTAGTATCTTGGGTTATTGTTCACCTGGCAATTATTAGTTGTTACTTTTTAAATCAGATGCATAAATGAAGGGTGTTGTGAAGCCCTTTTTAGTACAGATAAGCCAGCTACCAAGTTTATCTGGAAAAGGGGAATTCTCAGATTGTTTTTGGGACTGGCAGAGATGGGCACACAGGGAGAGATGTCTATGCTACAGGTGAGTCAGGGAATGAATGTCAGTCCCTCCTGCTGTCCATACCAAGCCACACGCTGCTGTTACCAGATCCTTGTTCAATTTTCCTGCTCTCGATAACCTCAATTCTTTTTCTTCCTTTCCAGCTATTTCTGAAAGTTTTGCCATCTTGCTGCTCTTTTTTGGAAAGCCGCCTAGCCCTCTCTTGTGTTTGACAATTCATCTTTAAAGATCAAAAGAACAGAAACTGTTTAAGTGCAAGACTCAACTGTGTGCAGGACACAGCTTTTGGCAGCTGATTATTAAATGGGAAAAAAGGGGTCAGGAAAGTGATATTCCCAGCATTCTCAATTCTCTCCCCAGCTAAATAGATTCTTTTGTTAGTTCTTTTAAAGATAAAAGAAGTTCCCCCCAACATTTCTGTCTATGTTCTGGGCTCTGACATCCCTCAGGAGTGAGCATGGCAACACTGTATGGATGGGCTTTGCTAGGCTGGGAGACTTTTAACTGTGTTGAGAGAGGTGAGGGGGCAGAATCCCACCACAGGCTGGCCTGGGACTGGCTCCCTCCCCTCGAAGGCCCCCTGAAGAGGTTGATGATTACTGCCCTTGTACTTGGCCAGAAGAGGCAGCATGGGGTACCCTGTGGGAATTCTGTTCCTCTTGATCAGAGGAAAACACTTGTACTCCGTTGGGTCTCAAGTTTTTATTTCTTTTTTATTCTGCTTGTGAAAACATCTTTCAACACCTATGTTTTATTTTCCATCCATGATACCGTACTAGAAGTGGGGAGATCTAACTCTATCCTTTTCTTAGTAGAATGATACCTATTTTGTCTTCTCTAAATTAGAGTTGACAGTGAATATACCATAGGATCGTTATAAAGACAAAATGAAGCACTGTAAGTAAGAATGCTTGGTAAATATGCAGTATTTTAAAGACTATTTCCTTTCTTCCAAATGAATTTCTTGAAGTAGGTGTTTTACCCTCAGCACCTTTTCAGGCAAAAGGAGAATTATGGTGATTACAACAAAAGTGATTATAGTTTATATTTACGGAGAGCTTAGTGTGTTTTGAGTAAAGTTTAGTGCATTGCTCACACAGGGTGTCATTTAATATTCACAAAACTCTGTGAAATAGTTACTGTTATATTTATTTTTACATACAAGGAAACTGAGGCTATAGAGAATTTAGATAATGATATGGCTCTGTTTCCCGACACAAATCTCATCTCCAATTTTAACTCCTAGGTGTTGAAGGAGGGACCTGGTGGGAGGTGATTGTATCATGGGGGTGGTTTCCCTCTTGCCGTTCTCCTGATAGTGAGTGAGTTCTCACGAGAGTTGATGGTTTTAAAGTGTGGCACTTCCTTGCTCTCGCTGTCTCTCCTGCTGCCATGTAAAATGTACCTTGTTTTCCCTTCGCCTTCAGCCATGATTGTAAGTTTCCTGAGACCTCTCCAGCCATGCAGAACTGTGAGTCAATTAAACCTCTTTTGTTTATGTATTACCCAGTCTCAGGTAATGTCTTTATAGCAGTGTGAAAATGAACTAATACATATACCTAGCACAAGGTTATACCACTAATATGCAGAGGACTTAAATGCAAGGCAGTCGACTCTAGAGCTCCTGCAGCATGCACAGCTCCTTCTTCTGTGTCATTCCATACAGGTATCTAAGTTTCTTACCTAAGAAAGTGAATGAATTTTAGACCCACCCTGACTCCTTAGCAGGCTGTCTTGCTCGTGTATCTTCCTGGCTGGGCACTTGCCTGATCTTTCTCTAGACATTGCTTACAAACTTTGCCCCAGCCATACCAAACTCCCAAACTCCAGGAGACAGCAGACTGGGCCATGATTTCTTATGTGTCCATTTCTTTGCATCTGTAGTTCTTGAAACCTGGAACTGTTTTCCTTCTTCTTTTCTTTCATACATTTCTACTGTTCTTTCAGCAAATATTTTAGCGAGCAAGTGCTATGTGCTCTAGTTAGCACCAGGGATAAATTAATGACCTTACTGGTCTTACAGTGTAGTAGGAGAAGCAGAGGGATAAATTCCAGTGTACCACATAGAGTGGCAAATGCTATGAGACAGAGAAGTGGAGAGTCCTTTAGCATTGTTTCTAATGTATTCATGTTTTTATAAAATCTATTAAGAGCCTGCAATGGAGCACACAGTATGTTAAGTGCTAGTGATATTAGACAAACACGGTTCCTTCCCTCTGACTGCTGTGTTCTACTGGTGGTGGTGGTGGGTGGACAATGAAGGAAAAAGAGAAATAAATAATAATTAAATCAGTAAATACCTCTTGGCATAAGTGACCTTAAAAACTAAACAGAACCAAGTGATAGAGTGATGGGAAAGGAGTACGTGAGATAGAGTAATCGGGGAAAGCCTCTCGGACAAGGTAACTTTTGAACTTGGTTTGGAAGAGAGAGAAGGGGCTAGCCATACTGGTGTTCTAAACGAAACAAGCAGAAGTTCAAAGTCCTTCAGGCCAAAGAGAGCTTGTTTTGCTCAATGACTAGAAAAGGGATCAGTGTTAAAACTTGCCAGACTTCCCTTCCCAAATATTAAGTCACGGTCTCCTCTGAGAGGACATGTCACTCCTGTGATAAGGCATCCATTATGCTGTACCGAGGGCATGTTTCCCTCTCCTAACAGGCAAACTCTTCGTATACTACAACTTATTCACTTTTGAAAATTATATCATATACTATGCAGCCATAAAAAATGATGAGTTCATGTCCTTTGTAGGGACATGGATGAAATTGGAAATCATCATTCTCAGTAAACTATCGCAAGAACAAAAAACCAAACACCGCATATTCTCACTCATAGGTGGGAATTGAACAATGAGATCACATGGACACAGGAAGGGAAACATCACACTCTGGGGACTGTTGTGGGGTGGGAGGAGGGGGGAGGGATAGCACTGGGAGATATACCTAATGCTAGATGACGAGTTAGTGGGTGCAGCGCACCAGCACGTCACATGTATACATGTGTAACTAACCTGCACATTGTGCACATGTACCCTAAAACTTAAAGTATAATAATAAATAAATAAATAAATAAATAAATAAATAAATAAAAAAGAAAATTACATCTTATAGTCCCTAGCCCATGAGAAAACTCAAGGAAGAATACTGACTTGAATGAATGAATGATGTATCCAACTAAATTGTCCTGGTCTAGCTCACTAGGCTACATCATTCACACTGGCTTCAAAAATGTGTAGAGAAATCACTGTGAAGGCACAATGAGCTCACTTGGGATCAGAGTCATTTGTGTGTTTTACTCCCCCTCCTTATTGAAGAATTTTTGGTCCTAATTGCTGGGGCAGCTGTGAGAACTAGCAGCTATAAATATTTGTAGGTTTACTTCAAACTGTGTGTCTGCTTTCATCTCCCTGGGCACATTCCATGCTCAGAGGGTCATTAGCTGTGTACTCACAAAACAGCTATAGAGTAATTAGTACTAAGGAAAGCTGCATATTAGTTATTGGGTTTCGGGACCTCCTTTTTGCTTCCTGAAGCTTTTGCATTTCTGTCTTCTAACTTCCAAATTGAGGCTTTCTGCTTGTGTTTTAAGTTGTACCTGTTGTTATTTATTGAGTATTGTAAAAGTGTATCCTATTTATTGAGTATTTATGATATGACAGGCATTATACTAAGCCGTTAGCCTGCATTGTCTCACTCAAGCTGCATGGCAGCTAAAGTAGTTTTATTTGTATTTTACAAAATAACACACTAAGGTTGCAACTTGCACAAAGTTACCCAGACAGTGAATGATCAGTCTTGAACTTGAAGTCAGGACAGTCTGTTTCCAGAGTTCTTTTCCATTGTACCAGTGCTTCCCAAACCAAGTGATCACTGCCGGATCTCTTTAGGTATTCTAAAAGAAATTAATAATTTGTTTTTTGTTTCCATGATAATCCTAAACATTCGTATAAGCATATTCAGAGTTATTTATGACTGATTGAGCCCTGTTGGATAATTTCTGGCCTGAGCTTGTCTTTGTATAAAAATTACTCTGAAAACAAATGATCACTCTTAGTGCTGCATTTTCAATCTAGGGTTCTTTAAAGCAGCTATGTTCCTTGAGAGTAAGGGCGAACAGCAAGGTGACTTGTTAACCCAGAGCTCTCCCAGGCTGGGCCCTGGCCTGGATTCATGATTGTCTTCCCTCCGCTATGACATTCCTAGCAATTCTGGTGCTTCACCACAATTTGAGGGATGGCTGTCCTGGTAACTGGAACTGCTGGTGGGGACACTTGGCACACTCCCAGTCTGCTCTGCTTCTCACTGATGCAAACCTACAGGGAAATCAGAGCAAGCTTGTTGTTGTTCAGTGCACAGAGGCCATGAAAATAAAATAATAAAGACTTTTTCTAGAGGAGTAAACAATATTTGTAGAAGAACTCATCAGGAATCCAAAGAGCAAGAAGGAAGTAAAATTGTTCTAGCGTCCTAGTGTTCATGCATGCAGGCGGCAAGGCCCACAGATATTGATGGCAGGTTAACACATTCATGATCCTTTCTCTTGCTAGGCTTTCAAAAATTATTTTTACTCTTACAGAAAATAGAAAAAAACATTTTCAGATCTTCACCTAGATGTACAAGAGTAATAAATTAAGCTGCTCTGAAGGCTGCTGTCTAAAAACATGTAAAGTATAGAGAAAGATCTTCAGATCTACCTTTTGCTGCTGCTGCTATAGACAGATTGCTGGGTCTTTTGGGGCAGAAGAAATCACGTGGTGGGGAATAGCTCACCTGCTTACAGCTGGGAGGACATGTTTGAAGGGGGGTGAAAGAATTAATGCAGTAAGATTTGTGAAATCACTGGTGAGCATAAAACCTTATATTGCTTAGCACCTAAGTTACATATTTAAATGACTTAAAATTTAAAAATTATTTAATTCTGGAGGACAAATTTAAAAATAACAATAAACTAACATCCTATTTTTCACCTCTACAGCTAGTGAATATGCTCTGAAGGATACACAAAAATGAAATATAGTCTGAAATCGAATTCGCGGATGCATTAGTCTGCTAGGGCTGTCGTGACAAAGTACCATAGACTCAGTAGATTAAATATAACTTTATTTTCTCATAGTTCTGGAGTCTGAAAGTCTGAGATCAAGGTATTGTCAGGGTTGGTGCCCTATGAGGCCCCTCTTCCTGGTTTATAGACAGCTGTCTTTTCCTTGTGTCCTCACTATATGTGTCTGTGTTCAAATTTCCTCTTCTTGTAAATGCACCAGTCATATTGGATTAGGGTCTATCCGAATGCCCTCATTTTAATTTAATTGCCTCTGTAAAGACTATCTCTAAAATATGTTCTCACTCTGAGATACAAGGGTTAGGAGTTCAGTATGAATTTTCAGGAGGGATGCAAGTCAGGCCATAATAACTGATTCTATTTAACTATATCTATATCTATAATTTTTTGAACCAAAAGAAAGATTTATTTGGTAATGAATAGGAAAAACATTTATGGGACTGTACCTACTAAAATTTTAAATATACTGGAGTTCAAACTTTGCCCTTTTTTCACAGATTAAAATTTGATTTCCTAGTAGTACTGGCTATATTATATTAAACATTAGATATGATCATAGAAAATAATGATTAGCTAAGTGTGAACTACTTATTACTGTTTATAATACTACATTTCATTTCTAATTTACAATAGTTTATAATAAGGCAAATTTTCTACCTCTGCCCTCATTATTGCAGAAATAAGCTCCTCATTATTGCAGAAATAAGCTCTTAAATATTTAAATGTCATATTAGAGATAAATCGTTCTTTTGTGTTTAGGTATAGAGGTCGATGAATCTGTGGTGTGGGATGGTCACTGTCAAGAAGTATAAAATCTTGAGAGTGGTCTACAGATAGAGGAAGGGCAGAGGCTTTTGCTAAACAAAAGAAACTCGGCATTAAATCCACATCTGTGGTTTTCTCTCTCTCTGTCTGTGTATGTGTATGTGTGTCTGTAAATAACAAATAAGGATGGTATACATGTTTTGAGCTAAAACTAGGAGTTTAAATGACAATTTTCTACTTGGTATACATGTATGTATGGGTCAGATCAGGGACTGATCCCAACACGCTCATGTGTGGCTGATTCCCCCACCCCTGACTCTACTGTGTAAAGAAAGTGCATCCTGAATGGGCCCTTTATGATTTGGAGAAGCTATAGATATCTCAATTCCTTCTTATAGAGAAGGGAAAATGGAGACACAGGAGTGGGGAGAGTTTGAGAAGATGGTAGAGAGGAGTGTTTGGGTGAAGGGAGATGGATTCGTCTACTGATGCAACTGGTGAGTTGATTTGAAAAATAACTGACATATTGGGGACTTTTATTAATTTTGTTCTGCATGGTTGATGAAGTAATTTCATCTTCACTAAACCTTCTATTAAATCTACTTTATTCACTAGTGCTTTCATAGCTAAACTTTCTGTTTTTAGGAGATGCAGTTAAATGCTGAGCCGCCTCCCAAAGTGAGTGGGGGGGACAAAACAGGTTCCTGAAATTGTCTAGATGTGTTTAGTCTGCATCTAGACACAAATATATGTACTATCTTTTATTCACGTATACTTGATATCAGAAAGCAAATGAGTGCAGAAGAGCAGATAGTTGAGCAGGAGTAGAAGGAGTAGAAGGTATTGCTATGAAATAGAGTTGATGAATGAAGAGGAAGGTGGACAGTGAGGGAAAGAAGAGGTGTGGATGAAGCAAAGTATCAGCATGTGGGTAGCACTGAGGGGCAGTATGCATGTACACATGTTTTCCACACATATCGTAGAAGTAAATGCATTGAGTCCATAAAAGAGGAAATGAAACAATTGATGCTACAAAATAGGAAATCAAAGAAGAAACAACAAAATTATTGCATAGGCATTGGACTGAACTACATCTGTGAATAACACATTAAGCAAATGTTTAAAAGATGATACTTTTGATTTTTAACAGAAATATGTTTCTGTATTTTGCCACTTAATTTATGCTACTCATTTAAACTGAAATATTTGGAAATTGAATGAACAGTGCCACGTTAGGCAGCCTAGCCAACCAGTACCTGGATTTTAGTTCCTGAATCACTGAGCTGTATGTTCACAATTCGACAAGCCTTGTTATCAGTTCTGAGGCATAGCTGACGTGGGGCGAGGGATTAGGTAGTTCTAGATGACTAGGCAGTTAATTCTTAAGCACAGGTGAGTT
This sequence comes from Homo sapiens, assembly GCF_000001405.40. NCBI lineage: Eukaryota > Metazoa > Chordata > Mammalia > Primates > Hominidae > Homo > Homo sapiens. Next base: position 137,235,241 of record NC_000007.14, on the reverse strand, counting down.
ACTTTAAATCGGTTCACAAAGCATTAAAAGGATCTTGGTGATATGCAGGCTTTTGAACATATTTACGTTGCGATGGTACTGTTTGACAGGGATATGATCCTTTTTCTGTGATAAGTCCTTGTGATTTATTGAACAAGTCTCCAAAAGTGAACTTTCAGTGGTCTTGATGGTATGCCTCCAACTGTTCCTTTTCAGCTGTCTCTCTTGACCTCTGCAATGTGCATTTCTGAATGATTTTAGCTTCTTTTAGCTAAAATGAATTCTATCTCTTAGAAGGTGCACATTTTGTATTTCTATTCTAATCAATACTTCCTCCCACTGCTTTAATAACCCAAAGACACTTTATTTAAGTCAGCAGCGAACAGGGCCTGAGTCACTTTAGTTAAAATCTGGGCTCCCCTCAATCTGAAATCATTTCATCTCCTAATTTCCTTTTTAGTTTTTCTGTATACACAGCAGGCCATCTGAAAATAAGTAATCAAAGCAAGACCTTTTACTGAGAAAATGAGATAAGCTTATTTCAGAATTCTCAACTTTCTCACTTCTTGAAAAACATGTCCCCTTAAGGTCTTTGAACAATCTTTAAACAGATGTCTTTCTCTTAAGGCCCACTTCCAATCTGATTTCTCCCAGATTTTCTTAATATTGAAAGTGGGGAGTTGATGTTTACTTATACCAACTACATGGCAATTCTATTTCCAAAAGGCTTGTGAAAAGATAGAAAACAGATGATGCTTGTTGTCTGATTATTTGCCTTTCAAGAGTAACTTTGCTGTGATAGACTCATATAAATTGCTGATAAGAATTTAAATTACTACTTCCTTTCAAAAAATAAATTTCCCGACACATATCTGGAGTTTTTAAAATGTCCTGCCCTTGGATCCAGTACATCCTTTTCTAATAATCTATACTAAGGCAAAATTTAAGCATTCGATGATTTGTGAACAAAATCAGCATTGCATCATTATTTATAATAACAAGAGGTCAGAACTATCCAACTGATGTACAAAAGATGAAAGGTTACAAAATATATGGAGTAGGATAATATAAAGGAATATTACTTGGTCACATTTCAAAGTATATGCAATGACATGGAAAATAGATACAATTGAATTTTTAGCATAAAATACTATATCAACTGTCAATATATTCCTAAGTAAAGTCATAGAAAGAAAACATAAATAGAACTCGTTAAAAGTGTTGTTTCTACATTGTGAAGTTATGAGTAATCTCTCTCTCTCTATGTATGTGTGTGTGTATATATATACATATATATGTATATGTATACGTGTACATATACATATATATGTATACATATATACATATATGTATGTGTGTGTGTGTGTGTGTGTTTCTTTGGTTTTTATATGAGTCTGTAATACTTTTTAAATGAGACAAGTAATTAATATTTTTTAAGAAGAATGAAATAACCCCAAGAGGAGAAACCCTCCTTTTCCTTCAGGGTAAATCTACTGTAGGTATACTCTTTCTTTCTAGTAATTCATTCTCCTTGTGGCTGCTCTATTTTTCACAACACATGTCTCTGGATTGTAGTAGTAAATTAGCAACAAGAAAACCAGGTCTCAAAACCATAAAAATAGCTGCCACATACCCATGATCTTTAATATAAATATGTACTTTAAAGCACTTTACAATTTTGAAAGACTCTCCCATAAAGCCACCTTGAAAGTGTTGTTTGTAATGTCAGCTGTGTGAAGGCAGAGTTTTGTCTTGTTCACCTTTATACCCTAGCGTCTAAAACAGTGGAGATGGAGTGCATATTTGCTGAATCAATAAATTAATGTGTTTTGAACATTAGTGGTAAGATGAGATTGCAGAGGACATAATCTCACATGATACTAACACTGGCCCTCTGAGGAGGATATAGGTTTTATTATCCCCAGTTTATAGGAAACAGAGGCAGAATGATTGATCTGCACAAGATCACAGAGCTGGTAAGTGGCAAACATCTATTTGAACCAATTCTCTAGATTAGGGCTTAGTTCTTAGTATGATTCTAACAAAACTTCATGATTTTTTCATTGTCTCACCGTACCTAAAGGCCATGGTGTCACTTAATACGTTAGCATTTATCAAGATTTTGTTTTCTATTCAGCATAGAAAAAAACACATGGGCTCAGAATTGTAACACGGCTCATATTAATTTCTACTCATTCTTCTCACTGCATTTACTGTATTAGCCCATTCTCGTGCTGCTATGAAGAAATACCCAGAACTGGGTAATCTATAAAGAAAAGAGGTTTAATTCCCTCACAGTTCCACATAGCTGGGGAGACCTCAGGAAACATACAATCATGGCGGAAGGCACCTCTTCACAGGGTGGCAGGAAAGAGAATGAATGCAAGCAGGGGAGATGCCAGACACTTATAAAACCATCAACTCTCATAAGACTCACTCACTATCACAGAATAGCATGGGGGAAACTGCCGCCATGATCCAATTACCTCCATCTGGTCCTGCCCTTGACACATGGGGATTATGGGGATTACAATTCAAGGTGAGATTTGGGTGGGGACACAGAGTCAAACCATATCACTGCCTGTCTTCTTTCTTATCAGGAGTTGTTATGCATTCAAAGAATTTCCTTGGATAAATTCTGAGTTTTCTAGATTGAATATGGTGAACATGGCCCTTTGGATCCTATGATTCATAGCAATGTAAGAAGCCTGAATCCTTTCTAGAGTACTTTTTCTTAGTAAAGCCTTAGGACTTTCTGAACACTTTCAAACGTATCTTAAAACAATGTATTTGTATTTAAAAACCCCCCACAAAGTTACAAAAATACACACCTACTATTTTTTCTCATCTCTGTATCCCAATTATTATGAGTACTAGCCTCTATCAACTCAAAAACTGGCCAAAGAAAGGATGAAAGTTTGAAAACCCAGGAAGTTAAAATCTACCCAGGGCACTGCTGTGAGATTCCAGTGCAGTGATGTCCTGGTAGGAACAGAACAAGTCACCTTTCAGGCAGGTGCCCTTTACTTTCACATGTTGACAATGGCTCATTCTCTGTTTATATCCATTTCTGCTTTGCAGCCTCAATCCAGGCAGGGACAAGGGACATGTGGCCCGGGGTGTTATTTGATGTGTGGTGTATGTGTACTTCCTTCTCTTGATTTGGCTCTGTTCAATGTGAACTAAAGTGCCCTACTGTTCACATCAGGGTAGGAATCCTATTGGCTCTCAGAACCTTCTAGAGTAGCCGCTATATGACTTCAATAAAAAAGCACTTGGCTTTAACTAATTATAGCCCTGCTCCAGGCTAATTTGTGACCCACATCTCATAGTAAACATTTCTCTCTAACCTTGAAAGGCGACTAAACTGGGACAGTTTTACCCACAGAGTTTAATCAGGTCTCTATTCTAAAGACAAAGTTTTAAGAAACCTGGATAAATTTCATATACGTATGTTTGTAAGTTTTCTTCTTCATAAAATATTTGTCTTTAAAGATAGACTGAAATTTGACAAGATTCTAATTGGATTTACACTCCTTACTTTCCTTGAGAAATACTCTTTTCTATATAGTAATGGGTTGAACTATTTCCCATTCAAGTATTCATTTATCCACTCCGCATGCAACAAGTATTTCATGAATGCTTGTTATATCTCAGGCACAGAATATACAGTTGCAACATACAGATAGGGTCTCTATTGTCATAGGAAAGGAAAAACACATACCAAATAATTAGAGACAAAATTAATAGTTCAATTCTAGTTTTGGAAAAATCAATGGGAGGCACAATGAGAGTGTCTGTGCACGGAATCTGCTTATCTGAGAGCTCTTGGAGGGCTTCCCTGAGAAAATGCAGTTGAGGCTAAGATTTTAAGGATGACTAGGTGCTGACTGTGCAAATTGGGGTAGTAGGAGAAGGAACACTCAGGCCAAGAGGAAATAATATGAAAAGGATAAGATGGAAAGAAGCAAAGAAAAGTCAAAGAACCGTCATAAGGAAGATGGGTGAGACATATTATCACCATGTTATGGATCCATTTATTTTCACTAAAGCTTTACTAATCAGCTTTTACACACAAGGCCCTGTGCCATGGGTTGGAGGTACAACAGAGAGTAGAAACTGCACCCTCTCGCAGCTTGTATTTTGGTGGCAGTTACAATGCTAGAGATAGGTGCTCTAACAAGAGCAGGAAAGAGAAACAACTTCTAACTCACACTGCGAGGTCAGCAAACTAGAAGTGATGTCAATGCTGGTACCTGAAGGATGGGAGGCATTAATGAGACATGTCGTAGTGGAAGTGTGGGGTTGATGAAATGAAGAGTGAATTTGAAGGCCAGAGACTAGAGAGAAAAACAGACAAAGAGAAAAGATGTATTTGGGGAACTAAAATAAGCATAAGTATGAAGATGGAAGTAAAGAGGGGCAATGTGAATGTTTCAGTTTCTTCATCTATTACGTAAGGGCGTTGGACCACGTTCTTTCTAGGTCATAGATTTTGTGATACTATTTTAAACCCATCATGTATACTAGGTAAAGATTGAGAGGTTGTTAATAAGTTTTTGAGGCCACAGAGATAAGCAGTGACAAAGCTCATTTAGTCTTTCAGTTGAATGTACATAAAAGTCACAAAAAACTGCTTTCGATTGGAAGCAATATTACTGACCTGATTTTTTTTCACAAAAATTTGAACACTTTGTTATGTAAAAAACTAAACTGACCTTATTGCAAATATGAATTCTTCCCTCCTTCCACTACTTTTTACTGAAGACTCTTTATTTTTCTCTTTAGATTGAGCCCAGAGTAGACTCAAGTTCTGCAGGGTGTCCGGACAGTACCATGATTACTTGCCACTTGTGTCAGAAGAATAAGTTGATTGACATTGTACAGATTTAATAAGCAAATTGTTGATTTCCTGGTATTTAGCAAGTTGTCAATTAAGGAATAAGACACCAATGTCAGGTTCAGGGTTACCTAAGAATGTGCTCTTGCCTTTACCAAGAAGAATTTGGTGACAGATTCCTATTCCCAAAGTGTTCTTTGAAATGGACAACCTTACATTAACAGATCAAATAGTGTCCAATGTTCAGAATAATTTTAAGTTTTATGAAACTTTTATACAAAAACCTGGTTAGTATGTCATCTGCTCAGACTTATGTATGAAATAGGAACATGTTAGCCAAAATATGAAAATTGCTACTTAGATATCCACTCTACTGGAGACCTAGAAGATAACAAGTTCCTGAGGGTTTTCCAGGAAGGGACATGAGGAAACTGAGAGAGGGAAAACCAGAGTTAGGTCTCAGTTGAAATCCTACATTGTTCTCTGAAGATACCATCCTAATATACAGCTGTTGCCTAAAATGTTGACCAAAAATTGGGAATTATTACATTTTCAGACACTGAATAATTTTTCGGAAATTACACATAATGTCTCCTTTGATCTAAAATGTATCTTTCACTTGGAAATTCTGGTCATTACACCTCTCATAGGGTGAAAGAAAGATATTTGAGAAAACAAACAAAAATAGAGAGCGTGAAAAGTTAAATTTCTTTAGTATAGAAATGGGGCAAACTTGGGAAGTCATGAATGGAATGAATACAATTATGGACAACAATTTAGCCTGGGTTTAGAAACTGCTGACCCACTTGCATATAGTGTACCCTTGAAGTTTGAGTAAAGGAAGATTAGGACAATTACATTGAACAGAAATACTACTAGTGTGTAATGGACTTTGGAACCTACTTGAAGAGGTCATGAAGATAGTATATAGAAATGGAAAAGTTTCCAGCTCTACTTAAGTATGAGCTGAGAAATATACAATATTTCTAGTTGGCATCATATCATATCTTCTGTCTTCATAAGTCTTATGGTCCTCTTGGACACAGGCTGTATGCTCCAGTGAACAATGACCTCATCCCTGTTGGTCATTGTTTTTGTCCCAGTGACCCTATGTTGCTTAGCACATTCATTGACCTGCTCAATCAATATGCCTTGATAATGATTAAGGATTTTAATTATACAGGGTAATGATCTCTTGTTCTTGCTCTATTATCACCCTAATGATAAATGCTAACCTTAATTGAGCACATGCTATTGTATCATGTTCTGTTCTCAGTAGATTTTATAGAACAGGTTTAATTTGGATATAAACCGTATGCTTACTATCATATGCTATGGTACTTTTCATATGCCTATTTAAAGATGAGTAATCTAAGAAACAAATACATTAAGTAACTTTCTCAGTGTCTCACAGTAACTTAATGATGTGGCCAGGATTTAAACTTCAGCAGTCTGACTCCAGAGCCTGTACTTAACCAGTATATTTCTGCCACTACTATGGACCAAATTGGAGAAGTGGCTCAGAAATATTTAGCAATATCCCCTCACTTGCTAACCCAGTGATTCTGACCATTTTTGTCTTTGGAGCCAAATTAGATGTGTTCTATTCTACATTGCATTCTCCTGTTAGGAAAAGAGAAGTGGAAAGATGGTTGAATGGAAAAGAATGGAGTCTTTTGATTGAAATCCTCAATGTTTTACTTTCCTACAGCCTATGTTGACACATTCCATTTGTTTTACCCCAAACTAGGAGTTCCTGTAGGCAAAGCTCCAGAGAGAGTACATATGGTTTATAGCCGGTTCTTTTTACATAGATAGCTGGCCAAATATATAAGCAGAGGGCCGACCTGGAGTGGAACCACTTTGCAATTGTTTGCTCAGAAAATATACTATCAAAGAGTCCTACGGAAAGGGAATGGGGGAAATGAGGGGCTAAGCAGAGCTCTTGTAGTTTTCCATTGAGCAGTGACCTGGGTAATTTACTAAGAGATGTCTGCTGTATTTCTATTTTCTAAGCAGGACCCCAAGTCAATATCTTGCCTATCAAACAAAGGCAACCAGTAAGATAACAGGCATTTGTAGAATTAACACAGAAGCAGGCTATGTTCCTCCTGCCCACTCTCACAGGCACTCTTTTGTCAAAAGCAGACAGACAGACAGACAGACACACACACACACATGCACATACACATAGTGTTTTCTCAGTTTACCAAGAGAACTACCAAGAGCAAACAACTTGTGTATCAGTCTGGTCAATTATAAGAAATGTGGCTATTTCTTCCCTGCAATTTAGTAACTTGACATTTTTCTCTTTCTCTCTTTCTGTCTCTCTTTTTTGTAATCACAGCAGAATCTAAGAAGAAGAAAAAGGAAGGCAAGAAACAGGAGAAGATGCTGGATTAAAAGATGTCACCTGTGGAACATAAAAAGGACATCAGCAAACAGGATCAGTTAACTATTGCATTTATATGTACCGTAGGCTTTGTATTCAAAAATTATCTATAGCTAAGTACACAATAAGCAAAAACAAAAAGAAAAGAAAATTTTTGTAGTAGCGTTTTTTAAATGTATACTATAGTACCAGTAGGGGCTTATAATAAAGGACTGTAATCTTATTTAGGAAGTTGACTTATAGTACATGATAAATGATAGACAATTGAGGTAAGTTTTTTGAAATTATGTGACATTTTACATTAAATTTTTTTTACATTTTTTGGGCAGCAATTTAAATGTTATGACTATGTAAACTACTTCTCTTGTTAGGTAATTTTTTTCACCTAGATTTTTTTCCCAATTGAGAAAAATATATACTAAACAAAATAGCAATAAAACATAATCACTCTATTTGAAGAAAATATCTTGTTTTCTGCCAATAGATTTTTTAAAATGTAGTCAGCAAAATGGGGGTGGGGAAGCAGAGCATGTCCTAGTTCAATGTTGACTTTTTTTTTTTTTAAAGAAAAGCATTAAGACATAAAATTCTTTCACTTTGGCAGAAGCATTTGTTTTCTTGATGAAATTATTTTTCCATCTGAGGAAAAAAATACTAGGAAAATAAATCAAGGTGATGCTGAAAAAAAAAGTTGTTTTTGTGTTCAATAATGTGATTTTGTAACCCTACTCCTTTAGTCATTTATACTTCCCCAGTCAACTTATTAGCACAGAGAAATCGTCATACAAACTAGCTAAGTCACTCTTGGGCACAAAGGTCCCATAGTTTTTTTTTTTTTTTTTGTATTTTCTATCAGTAATTAATAGGTTAAATTGGTACTAATGAATTCAACAAAAATTTCACAATAGTCTAGGGTTTAGTGGAGCAGGAAAATGCTCTTATAGTGGATATATGTGGGCTAGCAACAGTCCAAATCAGGATCACTGTAATGATGTGCAAAATGGTAGTTTGGGCTTAGTTTCCATAAACCAAAAATTTTCACTTTGTTACATGCCATGAGTGCCAAAGGCTATCTGTACAACTTCGTTATCTGTTGGCCTCTAAGCACAACTTTTAAGTAAACAAATCTGTTCTCCTATTATTCAGGGAATAATAGAAAATTCTCTGGGATTATCTTTAAAGTATTTCTCTTGACATGCTCTTTAATTCTAAAGTGATAAGACTCAATAAACAAACACCTATCTACCAAGATAATTGCTAAGTCCGTTTTAGGAAATGATGATTTCAGTCTACCCTGGGCTACCTATAAAATATATAATTACATGCTGGTCTAATGATGCAGCCAAAGGGTCTTAGCAGCTAAACTACTTTTGCCATCTAGCCTAAGACTCTACTTGAGCTAGAAATGTTGAGCAGATCCATTTCTCCCCTCTACATCAAAGCCAACTGTCAGTGGGGAATAGAAAAAAAGGATGAACTTCCAGGCATTTTATGGACTGGTGCTTAATAAAAAGAGTGCCTAGTAAAGTGCAAATGATAGAAACATGAATAATAAATGTAGTCCTTTTACAAGCTGACCTTAATTGGAAAAAGTACTCATGGGGACGGATGGAAGAGAAAAAAGAAAGGCAGTGTCTTGAGTGGATTTTTTGACAGCAGAGTTCCAAAGGGATGGGATGATGGAAGAGCCTGTTGCAAATTTTGATAGCCTCTCAGCTAACATTGCTCCTCTAACACATTTAGCCAAAAACAGCAGCCCGTGAATCAGTAATGAGTTAAGGTGAGCTAGAACTAAATCTCCCAAGGGAAAAACAGTCCTATAAGTAACTGGCATACTCCTTTATTCACAGGGCATGGCAGGAAGCCAAAAGTGAAAGATTTCTCTGCTGTGTCAACTATTATACTTAGCAAACCCTAGAATAGCTCCCTGATTCTCCCCTAAAGCAAAGATTGGTATGCTAAGCTCCCTTATATAGAGTGTGAAATTCAACATCCCTTAAGTCTCAAGAATTATTCTACCCCAGTCTCAGCTTTAAACATCTTGTTAAGTCACACTTAAGTGTTGAAACATAAATGCGAAAGGACGAGCTCTCCAAATCTCTGATTCTCACAAATAGGAAAAAATAGATCGTCATCGGGCACTTCACAGTGTTTTTGAGCAAGCTCTCTGTTCTGGGCTTTATAAACTTCACCCTAAAGTTCATTAAGCCTTGAAGAAGGGAAGGAAAATGTAAAGAAGTCATCTGTGTTCCTTTAAATGGCCTCAGGGGGAAGACAGACTTTCCGTCCAATAATTGAGAGGGTAAAAAGCAACTTTACCAAGACGCAGGCAAAAACAAATCTTCCCTGATGAGAACGTGTCCTTATTCAGCTCAGAGTTGGTATCCCTCACACTTGTTCTCTGATAGACTTTCTAATTTATTCAGGATATATGAATGCTGTCATATTCTCCTATATATAGGTTGTGAAGAAGAGGATCTTGGATAGACATTTTGACTTCATACATTCCTGGAATGACATATTAACATCTTGTTAACTTAGTAGAAGTGGCACTCAACCAGAGTTTAAAGCTCTAAATATTTTTAAAGAGAATTTCTCCTAAATTGGGTGGATGGGAAGATGTGGATATGAAAAAGATTGAATAATTATACTTGACCGTGAGAAAACATTGAGAAAGAAAAGGCTATAGTTCTTTTCCATTGAGGAGGCAGATACTTCTTTAAGAATAAGAGATACAGATTCTGTAACATCTATTGGCTCCATAATTCTGAAGTCTTATATTAATTATTCTACAATTTCCTTAAGTGAAGAACAGAGGTAAATAGGCTATAGGAAGCACTGAAAAAGGAAACAGAAAATACTGTCTTTTGCAAATTGAATTATTTAAAAATAGTTTCCAAATATAAAAATTAGAACTTTATCTACATTGAATCATGGGGTTTTCTAATAGGGTGAAGCAAAGAGAGTTTCTTTTCATTAACCTCTCCAAAAACAATAAGGCAGATCAATATCCTTGGATATGGAATATCAAAGCATTCAAACTACTTTTTAAACAGTGATAAGAGCCTTGGAATACATTAATATAAGAAGACAAGGGCATAATGTTATTCTAAGCATCCAGCGAGGAATGCCTGCTTCAAAATTTGCAGACTCTAATTCTACCAGAAATAAAAGATATGGAGCATTTTTAATCAGAGGAAAACATGTCTTACCCTTAGAAACTCACCTGTCCTTTACTGTTTCTGTTCTTCCCAATCCTTTGTTCTTCTAAGCAAAGAAACAAAAGGAAAGTAAAAAAGCTTCATCCTGTTGGGGTCACAAGTAAAATAATGTAATTCATAAGCATTTCAGTACGAATGAGAAAAGCAGAGCTACTTTAAAAACTATTATTATTTAAAAAGAAAAATAAAGAATTAGCTCCCAACAGTTAATTTTTGTAAAGCGATTTTTTAAAAAAAGAACAAAACCATAACAGGCAGAACACTGATGTATTTCTTACCCCTGTATCTATTACAATGATTGTATTAAGTTACTCATGGGGTTGGCTAAAGAGGTTTATATGTAGATTATCACTTCATATTTTCTTTTGTTCTTTGAAAATGTGCATGGAAGCCATGTTATACGTTATTAGAGAATGAAAACATGAAAAATCTTGACCATCCTATCCCTCAATTCCTGGGATGACTTAGAGAACATATAGAGATTGTATCCACACATTCGACTTGCTCTTAGTGGAGATACAGATGTTACATAAGATAATTAATCACAGAGAATAATTTTTTCCCTTTTTTGATTTTTTGATTGTCAGATCCATCAAACATAGGGCAAAGCTTCAAGTATCTTTGTTTATGAGATTCTTGGATAATTACATGAACGCATCCCTTACTGTGAATAATCAACAGATTGAAATATTTGCAATGAATGACATGAATTTTAGACTTCTAAATCCTAAAAGTTGCATGCTTTTAAGGTAGTCATTTTTGCCTGATAATCTTTCTGTTAAAAAAAAAAAGGTACCACACTATTTTTTAAAGAACATGATAAATGTAAATGAAGCTGCTCTTGAAGACTTATTCCTGTCACCATGAATATCAGGTTATTATTTTTTGTTATCGCGGCAGTTGTGGTTGTAAATATTTTCCCATGTGTTCCTCATGGATCATAGGATTGAATGAATACTGCACCAGTATATAACCCTGAACTCAGTTTGAGGGAGAACAAAACTAGCAACAAGACCCTTCAGCAACATACAAAAAAAGAATGTATCTTCTTTTAAATTTTGTCTCTTAATGAAGATGGAATAAAGTATATACTACTCTCTGAGCTATTGGAGAGTATCACATGGTGACTTTTATAAAGAAATATACAATTAAATTTCAGGATTAAGCAAACATTTTTTCCCGGCCTTTTAGAAAAAATAATCTTTACTGTCCATATCCTTGGACTTGTCAGATATACTCAAGCATTAGCTATTATTTCTACATCAGCAACCACTGGTATTATGAGCAATCTCTGCCTTTTTCAACCTACATGTTATCTCACATGTGAAAACATGTTGAATCGATATGAAGGAGCACTACTAAGCATTGATCATTTTGGGAACAAATAGAAATTATTATTAGTTATCATAATAAAATTTATCTAATAGAAAAATGTACCATCATTGTTTGTAAATTAGCATTTTTGTTTTAAAGCCATACCATTGAAAAATGAACATTTTTTAAATATCATAGAGATAGAAGGTCCATATGTAACCTACAAAATGGAGAAACTTCCCTATGAAAATTATCTTGTAATAATACACCCTATTTTGAAAAATACCTTTCTATAAGGCTAGATACATTATAATATTATAGCATTAAAAAGTAAGATAAAGTTAAAAATACTAAAAGGGCCTGACCAGTCCTTCTGTTTATTAATTATTTCAGTGGTACAATCAACATATTCAGTTAATTACAATTATCTTCATAATGTGATGTTAGGCACTCTGGGAAGAAAACAAATGAAATTTAGAATTCCTAGCTCCCAAACTCATTTATTTGTAGATCCTGAATATACAAAGATTTTTTTTAAATAAAAAGAAAGCGTTTGTAATGTAAAATAATAGAAATATAAGGTTAGTAATTATTAAGATTGGACAAGACCCAAGAATTTCAAAGAAATCACTGGGCTGGAGTAGTTAGAGAATTCATAAAGAATTCAGGGTTGATATTTCCCTTGAAGGATGGACTGGATTTGGTGGAGGATAAAAGGGGCATTTTAAGAGTAAAGATATGAAAAAGATGCAGTTATATATGTTAGCAGCATACAACATTTATTTAGTATAGCTAAGCTGGTTTACTTAAAGTTTAAGGTAGTTTCTTTACAACATTTTCTACCATCATGTAAAATTGAATTTGGCATTGACAGGCAGCATCCCTACAACATACACATGCAGACATACAGACACACACACACACACACACACACACATAAATAATGAAATACAAGTTTTGGAAAATAATATTTTTAATACTACGTACTATGTACCCTGACATTTTTCCTCTCTTGTATTTCATTTTCTTAAAGTTGGTTACAATCCATTAAATTTAATTTATGATCTACTTATGGATCAAAATCTATGCTTGAGTTGTTTTTTTCTTACAGACAGTTGACATTTAGTCAGACTTTATCTCCTATGCAAGAATTGGTGTAGATACTGATTTCAGGACACCTTTCCTTTAGGGAAAGAAATATGCTGGTACAACCTCTGCCCAGTGGAAGGACTTTTCTTTTCCACTGCTTTACAGAATCATCCTTAGTGAGACCAAGTTATGTGGGCAAGAACCTAGAGTTTTTCTTTCCTTGTCCATTGGGCAGAAGGAATCCCCAAAGGGGCCATAGAAGTGGGAGAGAGGAGAACAGCAGTCCAGCAGAAATTGATCATTCCCCTTATTAAACCTTCTAAGTCTGCTTGTGACCAGATATAAACATGTTATTTATTTCTTCTAGTGGATGGGTGTTGCTAGACATACCCTAAGTATGGCCAGAGAGCTCATATATGCCAAAATCATGCTGGCCAAGTCGGATCACATGGTTATCTGATGTCCTGTGGATAGTAATTCAGTTTCTAGACTTAAAAGCAATCTGGAGTTATTCATCAAAAAGAGAATAGTTACTAGAGAGGTGGTGTTAAATGCCTTCCATCTGCCCATACAGGTCCACTCTGCACCATCTACATTCTGCTTCCATGTTCCCTGACCCAGGTGAATTTCATCAAGGGCCCCCCTTGCTCTCTACTGCCAGTTGGCTCTAGCCAATGAAGAGTATCACAAGGGAACAGAAGAACGGAGGGAAGAGAACTTTGGTTCCATAACTGTATCTCTTAAGTTCTTGGTACCTATCGGGAAGAGTCTCTCTTCTCTTCTTCTCTTCTCTCCTCTCCCCTCTCCTCCCCTCCCCTCCCCTCCCCTCCCCTCCCCTCGCCTCCCTTCCCTTCCCTTCCCTTCCCTTCCCCTCCCCTCCCCTTCTCTTCTCTCTCTCTCTCTCTCTCTCTCTCTGTCTCTCTCTCTCCCTCTCACCCTGATTGTATTTCTAGTATCTTCTCCCTCCTTACACTTCTTTGTGCACAGAAGAAGTAAATAGCACTCCTGGTTACCGCAGTTTCTGGGCATCACATTTATAAATAGCCCTTTGATTAAACTCTTTATTTGAACATGCCATCTATTACCTGCTAGGACTGTGACTGACATAGGAGTGTGATTTACTTTGAAACTCTAAAATATTCTGCTAATTATCTTTTTTGGGGGCTTTTGGTAAAAGTGAAGTACCATGCCTACCAAGGAAAAGAAATCCTTCCTCATGTGGTGTGCTTTTAAGATTAGCAAGCCCACAACAACTCAGAGTTAATTGCCCCCTCCTGGCCTGATTAGCAGAGTTTCTCCACTTCCTGCTAGGATAAAAGAGCTGATTTTGATGGAAACTTCAGTTGAACTTCTAGCATTCTAGAGTCCAAGCTTTCCAGAATCATTGGATCTTCCAGGTCACACAAGACAAGAGGAAAATCTACTTTTAACAACTGGAGTGCCTGCTTCTGATTTGGGACTCATTCAAATGTGTAGCTTTTCAGATACAGGTAAGTAGGGCAATTAAGACCCCAAATACTGCATATGTTCCCTCCAAAATCCAAGGGGGCCTATGAGATAATGTACTTTCTTTCCATTGTTAGGGTTTGTAAAGTCCATAATTTGTTCTTCATTTTGAAGGGGATATCTTCACAAGTCCCCACTCATTGTACCCAGGAAAATTTACTATGGTGACTGGTATTGTGAGTGATAGCACAAACTTTGAATATACAAATGAAACTTTTCCATTTAAAGGAACTGAATTGCAGGAAGATACTTCTTTAACACCCAATCCTACAAACTTTATATTACCTCTGAGTATAATACCAGATATACTCCTAGATTTACCTTGTGGTCAGCAGGGGGATGAAGATCCTCATGACAGTTAAGGAAGATTAGATGAGGAAGATGCATAATCATAAATTAGCATACTTCAAAAATGCTCTTTGAAAAGGGTAGCCATAAGTATATGAGAAAAGACCTACTAGCAAAATATTTAGAATTTATAAAGAGGTTTCAGTATTCATCTAGGGGAAGAAAGCATCAAAGATCTATAACCGAATCATAATGTTTGTCCTGGAGAGCAAATTACTATGACTCTTCACTTTGGGCATGTTACTTTTGCCATTACTTAAAAAAGAAATACCAAAACCCGCAATTGCTTTTGCACCAACCAAATAAATATGAAGTTCTGTTGACTATTGTGAAACAGTCTTCATTTGTAACACGCTCCTTTATTTTTGCAAGATTTAACTCCTGCCATTTGCACATTATCTTACCAATCCATCTAGAATATTTATTCTTTCCAACTTAAGTCATAGCAGCATGCTGCTGTAAATGCTGTAAAACTTTATAATATCTGGAGGTATGTTGAGGGAGCTGATGAATTAGATTGTGACATGGAGTCAAAACATTGGTGTTTTCTGTGTCTAGGGTAAAAGTGAAGTACCATGCCCACAAAGAAAAAGAAATCCTTCCTCATGTGGTGTGCTTTTAAGATTAGCAAGCCCGCATCAACTCAGAATTAATTGCCCCCTCCTGGCCTGATTAGCAGAGTTTCTCCACTTCCAGCTAGGATAAAAGAGCTTATTTTGATGGAAACTTCAGTTGAATTTCTAGCATTCTAGATTTCAAGCTTTCCAGACCAAAAGAGAATAACCAATAATGGAAATTCTGATTTATTTAGAGAATCATCACTCTATTGTCTCATAGCAGAGATGAAGGGAGAGATTCTGAGGTGTACTCAAGAGAAGAATAGGCAAGATGTGAATAATTGCTCTTACCTAGCATGCCTGAAATCTTTGACTGCCTTCCCTTTATATTAAGTTTAAATCTCTCTGGCCATCTAAGGTACTTTTTTTAGCAATATTTGGGTTCGGTTTTCATTAATCAAATGAGGAAACTTGACTAGAGGTGGAAAATTGAATTCAGACTTTCTGGTGAATTCATCCTTATCGAGAAACTATAATATATCCCAAATAAGATTCCATCCTCTTAGAAATTTCATTGTCCAAAATCTACTTGAACAAACACAATTCTATGTTAATTATATAGATTATGGTGATTAATTCCTGAAAATCTCTTTGGGTATATTTCCTTTTCCAAATTCTGATTATGCATTTCACCCCATAGACTACTATTACTAGTTTAAATTCATTAACTAATCCATGCTTTCCTTTAGTCAACATGTTTATTAAATGCTCAGCACTTTATAGATTCTGGGAATGCAGGAAAGAACAAAATTGACAAAAATCCGTGTTCATGGAATTTACATTTCTGTGGGGGACACAGAAGACAGTAATGCTTTGTTTATCTACTGCTGCATAACAAACCACCTAATGGTTTAAAACAGTAATCATCTTATTACTCCCTGATTCTCCCAGTGGTTTGACCAGACTTCTTGTGGTGGTTCTTTTGCTTTATGAAATGTCAGCTTGAGGGGCTGGGAGGTCTCCATCACATGTCTAACTTTGTGGAAATAGTTGAAAATTGGACTCGGATGGGATACTGAATGGCCAGGTCTCTTTCTTTCTCCATGTAGTCTCTTCCCACATGGCATCATCTCTCTCTCCATGGTCTATCTGCCAGGGTAACCAACCATTTTATGTGGCAGCATAGAACTCTCCAAAGCACACAATTGGAAGCCACCAAGCCTTCTTCAGGTTTAGGCCAGGAACTGACCCCACTCTATTTCTGCCACATTTTAATAATTAAATCAAGTCCCAGGTCCAGCCTAGATTTTAGGAGAGGTGACTACACAAGAAAGTGAATCTTGGGAGGTATAGTTAATCAGAGGACAAGGTTTGGAACAAAGTATACAAAAAAGTAAAATGTATGTTGGATGGTGGTAAATACAATAGAAAGAAAGCAGTGAAAAGTAATGCATAGTTTTGGGCAAGGGTTGGAATTTTAAATGCAGTAACCAGGCAAGGCCTCCTGAAGCAGGCAAATGCCGGTGATCAAAAGCCTGGGGGAGGCAAGGGAGCAACTCATGCGGTTAGCTGGGGAAAAGAACATTTCAAGCAGAGAGAGCCATGAGGGCAGTGAGTGCAAGAGCTGTGAGATGGAAGTTTCTAGCAAATTCCAGGAATAACAAGGAGCCGGTGAATGAAGTAAAGAAAGCAAAGGAGAAAAGGAGGAAGAGATCATCAGAGCAATGAGAAATGAGGCCCCATTGAGGTTTGGGTGCTAGAGGAATCATTTTATTTTTCTTGTGAGAGACACTCCTTCCTCATGCAAGGGACGCAAAGTAGGAATGTTGATGAGAGGTTTGGTGGTTCAGGTTTTCTGGTTCCTAAAATCCTTACTAATAAAACTCCTAAACAGCTTATATCCCATTATTATCCTCAAGATTCATGTAAGATATGTGTCAATTCACCTTAACAAATTTAGCAAGCGACATGATTCATTTCTGAGTTTGGTTTTCATCAACCTCCATCCTATGACAGCTGTCAAAAGAAAGGCATAGGGCATGGTGACAGGAAGGCTCTAGATTTTAGCCCATGCCTCAAGTTGAAAATTTTAACATTGAGCACATCATTTTCTCAGTTTAATTTATCCATTTATTGCAACAACTACTAGTTCAGAAGACTTTCATCCTTAGTATCCCAGGCAGTCCAGTCAATAACGTTATTTACCGGCTCTCCATTATATATCAGTAGCCTCTTAATTTCTCAGCTTAAAATATTAATATCAGTCCTATGGCTTTTTCATGACATATTAACTCAATAATTAATTCCATTCTCCACCCTTTTGCTTTTGCATTCAGCATTTTTTGACTGCAAGCAATAGAAACTATTCTCAAACTGAAGTTTGTGTGTGTGTGTGTGTGTGTGTGTGTGTGTGTGTGTGTGTAAAGAATTTTCCTAAAAGGATATTAGGTGGCTCACAGAATTGAGTAGAGGGCCGAAGGAGGGATAGAAGATCAGGAACACTGAGAAAGATAAAAGACACATGTACTTTGAGCATCTCAGCATCTCAAGAATTTCTCACATGACTCAGTTCCAATCAATTTTGGTCCCCGTGTGTCTTTGCATTCTTGGGATATTCCTCCTGAGAAAGCAACTCTGGTTGGCCTAACTTGGACTGTGTGGCACCCCTGTTGTCAAAACTTGATGGTCTTCAGATTGCCGGCTGTATTGGTCTGTTTCTCACGCTGCTAATAAAGACATACCTGAGACTGGGTAATTCATAAAGGAAAGGCGTTTAATGGACTCGCACCACATGGCTAGGGAGGCCTCACAATCATGGCAGAAGGCAAAGGAGAAGCAAAGGCACATCTTACATGGCAGAAGGCAAGAGGGCATGAGCAGGGGAACTCCCTTTTATGAAACCATCAGCTCTCGTGAGACTTATTCACTATCATGAGAACAGCATGGGAAAACCCACCCCCATGATTCAATTACCTCCCACCAGGTCCCTCCCACAATACGTGGGGATTATTACAATAAAGGTGATATTTGGGTGGGGACACAGAGCCAAACCAATCAGCAGCCCATCGGAATCCGACAGAAATGGATTAAGTAGGGCAGTTATTCAAAGAAAGGCACACTTGTAGAAATAAAAATGAAATATTAAAAATGAAGTATTAACATATTAAAAATTAAATTATTTTACATATTCAATATTAAAATATTGAACAATAAGAAATAGTGGGAAGTACACACTGACATGTGTCAATGTCTGTCCTGTACAGAAATGTGAATGCAAAGAAAAGGAGCTTATTAGGCAATGAAGAGTTATTAGTATTTCTACTAAGACTGAAGTGAGTGACAGTGTTTACACTTGAAGAATTTTAGTCTGTCACCTGGAAGTGGCTTATAATATAAATTTGAATAGTGAAGCACTTAAGATGGGAAGGCAATTTAGGAAGTTATTGGAATTTTCCAACTGAGAAATAATGAAGGCCATTTGGATCTGTCATAGATTTTGCCTCTGGCCACCCAATTATTTTCTCACTCGATTATTGCTTTTTCTCTGCTTCCATCACTGTTGCCATACTATTTTCTTTGTGATCCGAGGAGATCTGACTTAATAACACATTTTGCTTCATGCATTGGGGGCCTAATGTCATACAAAGTGGATACTGCTCAGAGAGTAAAGCCGATTTCGAGAGCTGACAAGTTGTCATAAACTTCCTGGTGTCCTGCTTCCATATACCTCCATTCCCATTAACATAAATCAGGTCACCCAGACTAGAAGACTCAGTCACAGTGTAAGCTTTGTGAACCATCCTTTCCTCAGTTATTTAAAATGATCTGATTTAATGGAAAATTCAGCATCAAGCCAGTCTTACTTCTGTCATGCTCACATTGCGCCCCAGGTATAAGAATTAGGGTCATGTGTTGTACCTGAGAGAGTTTCCAGCTTATTACCCTTTTCTACTCTGTCTTTAATTAACTTTCTTATATTCAGCCCAGTATTCTTTTTTTTTTGAGACGGAGTTTTGCTGTGTGCTGTGTCGCCAGGCTAGAGTGCAGAGGCACGATCTCGGCTCACTGCAACCTCCTACTCCCTGGTTCAAACTCAGCCCAGTATTCTAATCCTTATAAGACTGGACTCTGTTTTTTCTTTTAATTCCCCTCCCCTCAGGTACCATCATCAACTCAGGGGCAGGTTTGTTCTGAATCCCTTACCAGCTCTGGACAGACTTGTGTGATGCAAATTTTATCTCCAGGTTTTAAGGTATATCTCTGCTGTATTTTTGCCTGATCTTAGAATACCTGCTGCCATGTCCTCTGGGTTACATTTTACTTCTTGTTGGACTTCCTTGATATCAGCTTCTGGGCAACCTCTGGCTACTCCTCCTCTATCTTCTAGGTTCTGGGTTCTGTCTGCTCTGCTCGTCTTTCCTCCTACAGTACTGTCTGAAACTCCGTCTCCTCCCTCCTAACCTACCTTTCTTTTCCTTCCTTTTGGCAACTTTCATCCCTTTGTGGAGCTCCCTACTTCCAGATATAAGCTGTTCTGAATCTTCCCTAACTACTTGAATTTGTCTCCTTCATCTTCAGTTGTGTGCTGAGATAGGGAATTTATTTTAATGGAATGAAAATGGACAAAAGAGAGAGTAAAGAAAAACAGAAAAAGGGGATGTAAAAATTATTAATCTTGTCCACATACAACAATAGGAACCATTTACCTAAGAATCCTAGAGATACATAATACGAATTAATAGCTGGAGCTCAATGGAGACTGTCGGAGAACTAATTTGATAGAGAGAGGGGTGGGAGTTGCTAAAACCAAACTGCTAATTGTAACGTATGAGTTCTGAGAAGTTTTTGCTCCATGACCCGCTTTGGCAGTCTGGAGAACCCTACATACCCCTTCACAGAATAGTGTTTTTAAATGCTAGAGATAAATTATATTGGATTATAAATTATTTCAATGACATTGAAATAGAGTTGTCACCATATTAAGAAAACAAATTTTTGATAAGGAAGTATTTTGCTTTATTATTAACACATGAAATGACAGGGTCTAGAATTACTGAAAGTAGTGATACATACAGATGATACTTTTATATATATTTGTGAAAACTCTAACAAGATAATCTGCAACTTCTAGGTATGAAAAAAATAAAAAGTAACGTCGTGGTTTATTATCCACATTTGCAATGGAAGAAAATGTTGAAACTCAGTTTAGTTAGAGATGAGTGAAAATAAGCATGTTTTTCCTCCCTGCTTAAGTCATGTGCCCCAAATTCACTTCGGGTACCCATTAATTAAGAGCCCTGTTCTAATGAAGGCCACAAGCATAGGCAAGACTAGAGAGGTGTAATGCATCTATGTCAATTGCACACTGTAGTGGTCCTATTCACTACGTTTTCAGACAGGGGCCTGCCTTTTTTTCCCAAACACTAGCCTGTCTTCCATGCCAGGCCCCAAATATACCACTTTCTTTTCTCCGTAGTGCCGTTGGTTCCTCTGTCCTCTTTGCACTAGATTAACCATAGTGTTTTGTTCCAATTCTTTTTTTTTTTTTTTTTGAGATGGAGTTTCCCTCTGTCACTCAGGTTGGAGTACAATGGCACAATCTCAGCTCACTGCAACCTCCGCCTCCAGAGTTCAAGCGATTATCCTGCCTCAGCCTCCTGAGTAGCTGGGATTACAGGTGTGTGCCACCATACCTGGCTAAGTTTTGTACTTTTGTAGAGATGGAGTTTTGCCATGTTGGCCAGGCTGGTCTTGAACTCCTGACCTCAAGTCATCCACCTGCCTCGGCCTCCGAAAGTGCTGGGATTACAGACTCTTCCAATTCTTTAGCCAGCTTCCTTTATACTCATTATTCTGTGTTATATATTGATTTAGTTGTCAACAATTTTGTGCTCTAAAAAGGTATGTTAAAATCTCTGTTCAGGATAGATTTCATAACCCAATCCCCATCTGCCAATTCTTACACTTTACCATCTAATTGCTTAATTCTCAATTCTTAATTCTCAGTTGAACGTTTCTCATGTTCAACCTTTTTAATACATAGAAAGTTATGTACAATTATATATTATGCACATTTGCTGATGTGACAAATTCTGGTGGGTGGACATTAATAATAGTAAATAATAATATTTAAAAATACTTTTCCTTTCCTATAAATCAAATTCTATAATAAATTTCAAAAATGTAGAACGCTTTGAAAACAATATTAATAATAACTTTATTGAGTGCCTACTAGGTTCAAAATTCTGTTATAAGTACTTATTTTGGATTATCTCTTTAATTCTAACAACAATTCTGAGATATGAGGGCTAATAAGAGCTTCATTTTATAGTTAAGAAAACTAACATGCAGAGAGGTTATGTAACATGTCCGAAGACACTCACAACAGAAGAACATAGGAATTGTATCAATAATAACATGTTAGTTGCTTTTCCACCCACCGTTATGTGAAATAAAAATTATATAAACTCAAAGCTATATAAATATATACTATAGTAATTAGCCATATTTAAATCAAGACCACTGGACTCCATTCTGCTAGTCACGTATAAATTATTAGGTTGAATAACAGCTATAAAACACAGAATAAGAAAATGAATCTTCCAATGCCCTTAAGTAGGTAATATGTACAAATATCAACCTTGAATTGTATCTGTGCAGTAACTTCCACATTAATATGCCTTAATGCATACATTAATAGCAGCTATGAATTTTGCCATATTATATTTTCTGTTGTACTTTTTGTTTGTACTTTGTTATAAACATGTTTATGTTCTAGTTTACTTTGTTATAAACATGTTTATGTTCTAGTTTTTAAATATAAAGGAATTGTCTTCACTTCAATGATAAGGCAAAAATCATGAATTATTTTACAATAAAATAACAAAGATTATTTGTTTTATTAGGTTAATTCAAGGATTGTAGACTAGGGAAACAAGATAAAGAAAAACCATCTACAAATTATAAATGAGAATTAGATTCTTAGTGGAAGTTCTGCCCTTGTTTCTTTCTCTTTTTTTATTCATTTCTTTTTAATGGATCTATCAAAAAGAAAGTATATTAGGAAAAAGCTAATAACGCCTCAATATTTTCTTGAGGTAATGTTAACATTTTTATGCATATTCTTCCAAAATATTCCCCGTGTACACATATATTCAGTGGCCCTGAAGTATGCAGCCAACTCGGATTGGAGTGGGACATTCTGCGAGATCCAGCCAAGTCATCCCTGTTCACACTGATTCACGTCTTAAATATGAATTTATCTTCTCTGCTACCCTCATTATTCAAGGGCTCATAGAATTCCTGGTTTATTGACAATGCTTATAATATTGCCTCAAAAAACGGACACAATTCTCAGCAAAAAACAACAGGCACTACAATGCGTGAATCACCACAGGATTCAATGGTCCTAAAATATATACCATTGTCTGAAGCTGTTCATCCAATAGAAGCTTGTAATCACTTTTTAGAAGCTTAGTTAAGGTGTACACTTAGGGAATATACCTGTGGAGTTTTAGCACAGAATTCTAGGACATGTAAGGTGCCAGGTTTAGCAAATAAAATACAAGATGCCCAGTTGAATTTCAGTGTCAGATAAATAACGAATGGCTGTTTTAGTATAAGTATGTCCTCATTGTTACATGGAACATATTTATACTAAAAAATTATTCATTGAGTTTTCCCAGCACCATTTATTAAATAGGGAATCCTTTCCCCATTGCTTGTTTTTCTCAGGTTTGTCAAAGATCAGATGGTTGTAGATATGCGACATTATTTCTGAGGGCTCTGTTCTGTTCCATTGATCTATAGCTCTGTTTTGGTACCAGTACCATGCTGTTTTGGTTACTGTAGCCTTGTAGTATAGTTTGGAGTCAGGTAGCGTGATGCCTCCAGCTTTGTTCTTTTGGCTTAGGATTGACTTGGCGATGCAAGCTCTTTTTTGGTTCCATATGAACTTTAAAGTAGTTTTTTCCAATTCTGTGAAGAAAGTTATTGGTAGCTTGATGGGGATGGTATTGAATCTATAAATTACCTTGGGCAGTATGGCCATTTTCACGATATTGATTCTTCCTACCCATGAGCATGGAATGTTCTTCCATTTGTTTGTATCCTCTTTTATTTCATTGAGCAGTGGTTTGTAGTTCTCCTTGAAGAGGTCCTTCACATCCCTTGTAAGTTGGATTCCTAGGTATTTTATTCTCTTTGAAGCAATTGTGAATGGGAGTTCACTCATGATTTGGCTCTCTGTTTGTCTGTTATTGGTGTATAAGAATGCTTGTGATTTTTGCACATTGATTTTGTATCCTGAGACTTTGTTGAAGTTGCTTATCAGCTTAAGGAGATTTTGGGCTGAGACAGTGGGGTTTTCTAGATATACAATCATGTCATCTACAAACAGGGACAATTTGACTTCCTCTTTTCCTAATTGAATACTCTTTATTTCCTTCTCCTGCCTAATTGCCCTGGCCAGAACTTCCAGCACTATGTTGAATAGGAGTAGTGAGAGAGGGCATCCCTGTCTTGTGCCAGTTTTCAAAGGGAATGCTTCCAGTTTTTGCCCATTCAGTATGATACTGGCTGTGGGTTTGTCATAGATAGCTCTTATTATTTTGAGATACATCCCATCAATACCTAATTTATTGAGAGTTTTAACATGAAGGATTGTTGAATTTTGTCAAAGGCCTTTTCTGCATCTATTGAGATGATCGTGTGGTTTTTGTCTTTGGTTCTGTTTATATGCTGGATTACATGTATTGATTTGCGTATGTTAAACCAGCCTTGCATCCCAGGGATGAAGCCCACTTGATCATGGTGGATAAGCTTTTTGATGTGCTGCTGGATTCGTTTTGCCAGTATTTTACTGAGGATTTTTGCATCAATGTTCATCAAGGATATTGATCTAAAATTCTCTTTTTTGGTTGTGTCTCTGCCCGGCTTTGGTATCAGGATGATGCTGGCTAGTCATATGTAGAAAGCTGAAACTGGATCCCTTCCTTACACCTTATACAAAAATCAATTCAAGATGGATTAAAGACTTACATGTTAGACCTAAAACCATAAAAACCCTAGAAGAAAACTTAGGCAATACCATTCAGGACATAGGCATGGGCAAGGACTTCATCTCTAAAACACCAAAAGCAATGGCAACAACAGCCAAAATTGACAAACAGGATCTAATTAAACTAAAGAGCTTCTGCACAGCAAAAGAAACTACCATCAGAGTGAACAGGAAATCTACAAAATGGGAGAAAATTTTCGCAACCTACTCATCTGACAAAGGGCTAATATCCAGAATCTACAATGAACTCAAACAAATTTACAAGAAAAAAACAAACAACCCCATCAAAAAGTGGGCAAAGGATATGAACAGACACTTCTCAAAAGAAGACAAAAAACACATGAAAAAATGCTCATCATCACTGGCCATCAGAGAAATGCACATCAAAACTGCAATGAGATACCATCTCACACCAGTTAGAATGGCGATCATTAAAAAGTCAGGAAACAACAGGTGCTGGAGAGGATGTGGAGAAATAGGAACACTTTTACACTGTTGGTGGGACTGTAAACTAGTTCAACCATTGTGGAAGTCAGTGTGGCGATTCCTCAGGGATCTAGAACTAGAAATACCATTTGACCCAGCCATCCCATTACTGGGTATATACCCAAAGGACTATAAATCATGCTGCTATAAAGACACATGCACACGTATGTTTATTGTGGCACTATTCACAATAGCACAGACTTGGAACCAACCCAAATGTCCAACAACGATAGACTGGATTAAGAAAATGTGGCACATATACACCATGGAATACTATGCCGCCAT
This sequence comes from Homo sapiens, assembly GCF_000001405.40. NCBI lineage: Eukaryota > Metazoa > Chordata > Mammalia > Primates > Hominidae > Homo > Homo sapiens. The sequence continues at coordinate 137,210,166 of NC_000007.14, read as the reverse complement.
AAAAAATGATGAGTTCATGTCCTTTGTAGGGACATGGATGAAACTGGAAATCATCATTCTCAGCAAACTATCACAAGGACAAAAAACCAAACACTGCATGTTTTCACTCATAGGTGGGAATTGAACAATGAGAACACATGGACAGAGGAAGGGGAACATTACACTCCAGGGACTGTTGTGGGGTCGGGGGAGCGGGGGAGGGATAGCATTAGGAGATATACCTAATGCTAAATGACGAGTTCATGGGTGCAGCACACCAACATGGCACATGTATACATATGTAACAAACCTGCACATTGTGCACGTGTACCCTAAAACTTAAAGTATAATAATAATAAAATAAAAAAAATTATTCATTCGTTACCTAAAGTGTAAACTTAACTGTGCATCCTGCATTTTGCCTGGCAACCATGGGATATAGTGTATAAATTGAAATGACGGTCTTTATATGGTGCTGTGCCTCTGTGGTGGCTGAGAAAATGTACTGCTCAGATACTCTGCTAAGGGGAACATGATGTAATACTGGATAAGCAAGATTTCAATGACTTGCGGAAACTTTCTTGGGACAAAGGATTTAACATCCTGGCAAGAATCCCAGGAACCAAACTCACTGTTAGAGTGGCTCTTAGAATCCTGTAGAAAGCAAGGATTCAGTTCATAATGAGTGAAGCAAAAATGTCAGAGTTTTCAAGCCAGATAATAAAGAAAACTATTGAGAAGCTTAGAGAAGTACGAAGCTGAAATCAATATGATATGTGAGACCAGACAAGCCACAGAGGATCATGTTACGCTTTGGGCCCATGGGACATGCCATTCACCAAGGCCATCATGAATGCACTGGTAAGAGGAACCAGCTTCACTGCAAAATTCAGTGACTGCTCATGCTTAAAAGCCAACAGCCAGGAGGATGCAATTACCTAATGATGAGGAAAGCCCAAGGGGAAACCAACTGGACTCTACCTTTAGAGAATTTAGGAAATGGTTAATGGAACCTGGTGTGCTTAGCAGCAAAATTGTAAGGTAAGCCAGGTGATATCAGAGACATTGAATGTCTACAACCAGGAAAAGTTATGAATAGAAGAGCTGGGGGCACTTGTCCCTCAAAATAGTTATGATTCCTGGTTCAGTTCCTAAATCTGAGCTAATTTTTATATTTGGGACCCAATGACTGAAAACATGTTCAGGCCACTCGACTCACTTGAAGGAAATACTTTGCAACACTGTGGAAAGAAAAGACCAGGATGATCCCTTTAGTTTTTCCTCCATTGGATCTATGGGCACTTAAAAGGGTGACCATCATCATGGACCCTTGCTTGAGTTGGGGCTTATAGGAACAAGTAAAAACTGGTGCCCTGGATAAAGTCTGGGTCACAGATTGCATCTGCAGACCCACCCAGAGGTCATTTTCTGAGTCCCACAGTAGAGAGTTAAAATGGATATCCTTAGCAGTTGGAGTAATCCCTACATTGAATTCTTGGGCTCAAGTAAACACTATCATAGGAAACCTCTGAAATTGCCCTCCAACCACCATCAATACAGCTGATCAAAACCAGAGTTATATTCTCAAAGAGAATCATAAAGAGTATTGCCACCATTGTAATCCTGAAGGACGTGGTGGTGGTTCCTGCCTCTCTTTATTTTGACAGTCTGCCCCACTCCCTGCTGCAAAATAAAAGGACTTTGAACAATTTTTGTAGAAGACTGCAAGAAGTCCAAATTGAAGCTGCAGTGCCATACCTAGGGTCATTGTAGAGCAGATGAATGAGGCCACATGTACACTGCAGGCAGCCATTGATTTGACAAAAGTGTTCTTTTTGATTCCAATTAGGAAACAAATTAGAAAGAGTTTAGTTTTGTGGAACACATACTATTCATTTATAGTTTTGCCGCAGGACTATATAAATTCTCCCATTCTGTGTCATAGTCTGAAGGAGATTTGGACTCCCTGGACATCCCATAGAATATCAAGCCAATCTTTTATATCAGTAATATTGAGGAAACTAGGCAGGATGAACAGGAGGTGGCTAGCATGTGGGAAACCTGCTAAGACACTTATATTCCAGAAAGTTGGAGATATACCCTATGAAAATTCAAGGAACTGCAATTTCAGTGAAGTTTTTAAAGATCGAATAGTAAGGGGTCTGCCAGGATATCCATCATTCTAAAGCGAAACAAATTATTTCATCTTGCATCTGCTGTCACAAAAAAAAAAAAAAAAAAAAAAAGAGAGAAAGACATGGTAGGCCTCTTGGGTTATGGAAAATATGCATATTCCACCTAGCAGTTACTGCTCAGGTCCATATATCTAAGCCCTATTTATTAGAAAAGGGCTTAGTAACAGGTCCAGGGTGTAAGCACATGGCCCTGAAGCTTGGGCATTATAATCTTGCGGATGCTATGGCAGTGCAAATGTATGTGTAGAGTGAGAAAAGATGCAGTAAGCACCTGTGGAAAACTCTAAGGAAAGAATTACAAGACAGGCCCTTGAGATTCTGAAGCAAGGAAATTCTTGCAAATTTGTCATATAAAATTTACATCCTCATTGATGAAGTATGGAAGTTTCCATTACTCCTTTATTTTGTCAATGCTTAGTGTTGTCAAACTTTTAAATTTTCTTAAGTTATGAATATAAACTTGACTTTAAAAAATATGATTTTATACTATTCACATAGAAAATTAGAAAATTAACTTATTATCCAAACATCTTTGTCTCTTGTAGATGGCAGTCTTTTATTAGATTGAGGAAAAGTAGCTAAGGTCCAAGATTCCTTCCACTAAAATAATAGATGTTTTAATGAGGGAAATAACATTTTTAAAATATAGAAGGAAAGAAGCTTCAGAAGTTCTTATAACCTTTACAGTAATTGATACTTTATAATTGTTTCTTTTCCTATAGTGTACGATTATTCCTACCCCAGATTCCTTGAAAAATACAATATCCCAATTCTTGAGATTAGTTGCTAGGTAGTAAAATGGAAAAAAAAAAAAGCAAAGAAAAGAAGAAAAAGAAAAGAAAGAGAGAGAGGAAGGAAGGAGAGAGGAAAGAAAGAAAAAGAAAAAGAAAGAAGAAAGAAAAAGAGACAAAAAAGGAAGGAAGGAAGGAAGGAAGGAAGGAGGAAAGAAAGAAAAAGAAAAAGAAAGAAAGAAGAAAGAAAGAAAAGAAAGACAGAAAAAAGAAGGGAAGGAAGGAGAGAGGAAAGAAAGAAAAAGAAAAAGAAAGAAGAAAGAAAAAAGGAAGGAAGGAAAAGAAAAGAGAAAGAGAGAGAAAAAGAAAGAAAAAAGGAAGGAAGGAAAAGAAAGAAAGAAAGAGAGAGAAAAAGAAAAAGGAAGAAAAAGAAAGAGAAAGAAAAGGAAAGAAAGGAAGGGAGAGAAAGAGAAAAGAAAAAGAAGGAAGGAAGGAAAGCAAGCAAGCAAGCAAGAAACTTAGGTAACTGAGTTGTTTGGCATTCAAGACATTCAGGCCTATTGAGGATTACTTGCCCCTTGCCCCAAGTATTTGGTTATGTCTATGAGATATGTAAGTCTAGAAGATGCTAGAACATCTGAAAAAAGTAAAAATTATATTCACATATTAAATGAGATAATAGATAAATGACCATATTCTTTACCTTTCCTTTTAATGCCTGTTTTTATATTGAACAACCATTATTTGTGGCTGAGATTCTTCCACTTTGCAGGAATTTCTCTTCTCTAAAGCAGAAGTCATATATTGCGGGATCTGGCTAGCAGCCCGCAATGCAACGGGGCTCTCTCTTTGTTTCCAGGTGGATCGGCAGGTTGAGAAATAATAGACACACACAAGATAGTGAAAACTGGGTCCAGGTGGGTCACCGCCTTCTGGTCCCATGGTGCCAACAATGCACTGGATATACCAGCATTTATTATTAAGTTTAGTGAGGGCAGGGGTAGGTTAGTGAGGGATTTAGTGTCATTTGATTATGAGGTGAGATGGTCACATGGGGATGAAGTAATTCTTTAACATAACATTTGTATGCAGAAGTACAGTACATTTGTATGTAGAAGTACAGTACACAGAGATAAGAATTTACAATATAGTGTGTGCATCAGTAATTTCTAACAGAGCCTTAAAACAGAAACACAATCTTTCCATAACCTATGATTAGCAAGATATTAATCAGCAGTAACAATTTCAACAAAAGCTGGTTACAAACAATCCATGGAAACAGGACATGAAGCTAGACAACCGGTTAGACCAGAAATTCTCAGAAGGGAGTATGCCTTAACCCTAAAGAGGCCTAGAAGAGCCACGGCAAGATGAGGGCATTCATAGCGCTCTTATCCATATGGACAGGCACCCCCCCATGCATCCGTTTATAGGCTCTCCACAAGGGTAGCATTCCATTCCCAGAGCCATGAACATCTGCTTTTCTGGGATAGGAATCTTGGTGATGTGAAACCTCCCTGACTGCACGTCCATTCATAGGCTCTCTGCAGGGGGAAGCACATCACGCGCTGTTGGCTCATTCTGGCAGTCCAACCTGGCATTGTCTTTACACAATCCTGCATGCAATTTTGTATTTACAATAATCAGGAGCATTTCATCTTTTATACCATAGCAATAGTTTTAGGGGGTCTCCCTACAATCATAGACATTCCCCCAGGCTCTCATGGACCATGTTACCAATGACACTTTAATTAAGGAGCACACAGATTCTGTCTATGTGTGGGATAAGGTTAGTTTAGTCTGAGGAAGTAGATATTAATCTTTACATAAGACAGAAAATTAATTTCACATCAAAGTGAGTATTCTTGCTTGCAATATCATTATTTTTTCATTACAAAATAACACTAGTTTGGGAAAATTGTTTGTAACATGTATTTATCACTTTTTGTACTCTACTGTCTACTGTTTAGTGTTGGTAATATGTCTATGGTTCTCAAAAGGAAATCATGTCATTCACAAGAGTCATAAAAATGTTTTCTTTGAAATCCACCTTAAACTCAGCTCCTTTATTGGCTGTCATGAACTCTGCTTTATAATTCATAATTGTTTCTCTTTTTGGGCTTATTTTAAGTTACCACATTTCAATTTCTATTTCAATATCTGTTCAGTTAGGTACATTTGTTTATTACCTATTGTCAGTAGTTGGATTCTGAAGAGACAGTTTCCAAGAATTGGAAAGTATATTTTAAAAAGAAATAGATTACTTTCTGAAAGTTAATCTACAAAGTCAGTGCTCAGTAAGTCACATGCAAATGCAACTGACAAGGAAGAATGGCTGTTAGATCAAGGAATTGAGTGGCATAAGATTGATGTCACAATGTTGTCCAACAGGGATGTTCCAATTAGAACTAGGAGCAAGGAGGGTGTGAGAGGGAGGTGAGAAAGATGTCTAGGACAGAGAAAGGGAGGTTGCAGTATTCCACATTCCAGTGCAAGCACGAGGAGGCGCAGGAGAGGGAGACACTTAAGTCAAACACCTACCACATTCATATCTACTGACACGCCAGCACTGATTTCAAGGAGAATATATCCATACCGCATACAGGAAGAAAATCAACACCATGTCAAAGTTAGTATTACAGCCCAAGACGCAGTTATTTTCATAATTAATACATAGAGATCATTATTTTCTTAAGTCAGCTCTACAACATGGTTAATGTGAGCTCACACTGCCATATGTGGTCAATAGGAATATGCTGATAATTCAATCTTTGAGCTAGCCGGGGTCAGTTCTTGAGCCAAGGAATACGAGCCAATGTAATGCTACCCCAGAGGTTGATTTCTCACGTGCAGACTGCTTTTTCCAAGTAATAATGATATGTCATGTAACTGTTTTTGAAATTTCTACAGTTGATATAGGTCATTAAAATTATCAGACTAGAAAGTGCTTTATATTAAATCATTTAAGATATCATCAACTTTATGGTAATACAGTACATATTCATAGAAATATTTCCATCTTTTTTCTGATATCTGTTGAGATGAATAGAATTACACGCAAGTGAGGAAACACACCAAATCTAAATCACAAGGAAATCTCATTCCCAGTAAGTGGCCTATGAAACAAACTTCAATAATCTGCTGAAAGAAGCCTCTTCTCATATTTTATGGGAATAGAGAGAAAAGAGAGACTTCAAGATAATGAGGGAGAGAAGAGTTCTTACATATCAAGAAAAATCTTCAAGACTGAAATGGCACTTCTCACAGCATTCATATGAACTGCATAAAGGTTCGTAGAAAACGTGTGAATGGATTGTGTCATTATCATCACAGTATTAGGCTATGTTCCAGCTACTTAAGAGGTCAGTTTGAGAAAGCAAATTCAACGGGAGAGATAGAGAACGTGTAGCAAAGGAAGACTTATTTTCCTTCTGCCATCCTGTTGCATAATGGGTTCATTTTTAGTGATCCCCAATACAGACTAAGCACAGTAAGTATTATTAAGGAATAAAATATCTGGGTAACGTGGAAAAATATGACACATGTTATTTCTATCAACATCTTGACTAGTTGGATAAAATCCACAGCAATGTGTATTAGCCCTCTGGGCTTTCCAGAAAAATCTCTCACATATTTTTCTTATCCAAGAACACAAATCAAACTGTCCCATTTTATTTATGTAAATTATTTATTTATTTAAATAATATTTCAACATATTGCCAAATGAGTGTCTATACAGACACACATACACACACACACACACACAGACACATTTGGCTGCCTCAAAGAACAAAGCATGACCTATATTGCTGTCTTAGTCAGCTCAGGCTATTATAACAAATTACCATAGACTGAATGGCTTAAACAACAAATATTTATTTCTGATTGTTCTGGAGGCAGGAAAGTGCAAGATAAAGATTCTGGTGGGGTTTTGCTATATCACTAATATCTCTCTTCTGCAACTGCTTTTTAATGTTAATTGCAGGTTGTTTTGAACCCCATAATATCATTACTGCAAGAGGTACCCCCTTACCTGAAGTAGTTGAGAATGGTGTCTGTGCAACCGTGGTTCAGTTAAACTCTCAGCTTCATTTGGTAATTGTAGTGATTGTAGTCAGTGTCTTTTCACCAAACCTGGTTTCTATTTATACAAATTAAGTAAAACTTTAGTAGGATGTCCATGTATATCAGTTCTAGGGATATCAGGATCAACTAGCCAGTACCAAAATTTTCTGCCAAGAAAACTCTTCCTATTACTGATGCTGCCTCTGCTTCTCATCCTAGGATCCATATATTTCTTGTTTTGGGTAAATTAGTGCCTCCATATGGCTCGTGACACCCAGGAACCACATTGTCCTCATTGAAATCAGACTACCCAGTCTGATAGCAACATGTCTTACCACCAAACTTGGCCTATAGAGAATAGTCACAACAATATGCCAAGACTCCTCTCACTAATGTATTTTATACACCCCTAAGGTGGCTTATGATTTGACCAAATCCAAACATGTATTAATTGTGAGGTCCAATTCTAAAAAGAATCAAGTTTTCAAGGATCAATTTGATTAATTAATTTGCCCATTTGTTATTTTCGTATGTTTACACCTACCACATACTAGGCACTTTTCTAGGTCCTGAGGATAAAGCACTGAACAAAACAGATAAAATGCCCAGGTAAAATTTATTCTAGGGGATTCTAATACATAGTGGATCTTAGGGTGTAATGTGGTTTCTGGGGTAGAAAGAAGAGACTGTGGCAGTCAGGTAACACCAGGATTCTTTTAAATGGTCATAATTAGTGTTAAGTTATTGAAGTAGAAATCTAGATCCCAGTAATTCATTCAGAAGACCAATCATTTATATAGAAGATACTTGCAGAGTCTAGAATGATAAAATCTGCATTTTCCCAACAGAAATCTTCACACCTCAAAATCAGAATCATGCTTAATTGAAATTTAGAACTTTCTCTTCATTTTCTTTTTTAGGCTATTTAAAAGAAAAAAAATAATGCATAACATGATTTTTGTTACAAGACAGAAGGTACTTCACACAACAAAATGTATTCATGTTCTCTTCTCCCTGCTGATCTTGGCATATAGAAATCCCATTTATAATCAGTCTTAGTCACAATATTTTTTTTCTCCAGAGTTAAGAGTGTTTATATTTGTGTCTTTTCAGCTCCTACTAAAAATTCACTTTTTTCCCCAATCCATTTGTCCTAATATTAATTTCTCTTATTCTCCTCTCATTGCATCATTGCCAAAACATGAAATTGGGGAAACTAGAGTGTTAAAAATACTTTTCTACTTTTCCATCTTTTGATGTGCTTCAGCCCCAAATAACTAAACAAATAATTTAGTTCCATGAAGTATAGAACAGAATAGCTAGGGGAAAAGAGTAATTATTAAGTGGTCCTGGGAAACTCAATTTACTATTCTGAAAAAAAAGGGACTGTTAAAATTATATCCCCATCTCATATCTTAAATTATAATAAATATTAGATTAATTAAAATCTTAAACCAGAATGATGTAGAGGGGATGGGGATAAATAAAAGTGCATTTACTAGAAAGGTGATATCTGAAGATTTCCTCACTATTGCTTATTCTGCTAGTGTAAATCTCTCCTGCTTCCACTTTATAAGCCCAGTATTCAGCAAATTATACTGCCATTATGAATGCTTTGACTGGGTAGATACATATATGCATAGATTTGTAGGGGTATAGGTATGTACTATGAATATAGATGACAAAATGTGGCTGAGTTTACATTCTAAATTCTAACAGTATGGAACAGCAAAGTATATACAGAGGCAGGAGCTGGAGACAGAAGGAACCGCACAACTATGTGCTTCAGAAATAATTCTTGATAAAGGTTTTCTCGTTTGTATTAGATTCCCATAATGGCTGCAGCAAATTCCCACAAAACTGGTGGCTTAAAACAACATATTTATTCACTTGGAGTTCCGGAGGTCCCAAATCAGTCTTACTGATTTTAAATCACAGTGTCACCAGTGCTGTGTCCTTTCTGGAGTATATTAGTTGGCTTGTAAAGAATAGAAATTTGGGCCGGGTGCGGTGGCTCATACCTGTAATCCCAGCACTTTGGGAGGCCAAGGCAGGGGGATCACCTGAGGTCAGGAGTTTGAGACCAGCCTGGCCCACATGGTGAAACCCCATCTCTACTAAAAATACAAAAATTAGCCGGGCATGGTGGCAGGTGCCTGTAATCCCAGCTACTTGGGAGGCTGAGTCAGGAGAATTGCTTGAACCCAGGAGACAGAGGTTGCAGTGAGCCAAGATCATGCCACTGCACTCCAGCCTGGGTGACAGAGTGAGACCTTGTCTCAAAACAAACAAACAAACCAAAAAAAAAAAAAAAGAACAAATAGAAATCTATTTTCTCACAATTCTGGAGGCTGAGACATCCAAAAACAAGGCACCGGCAGATTCAGTGTCTGGCGAGGGCTGGTCTCTGCTTCCATGATGATGCCTCTTGCTGTGTTCTCACGCGGTGAAAGGGAGAAGGACAAAAAGGACTCAAGGGAACTAGCTAGTCATGGAGCCCTCATGAGTTAATCACCTCCTAAGGGACCTAACTCTTAAAACTATGACATTGGGTCTTAGGTTCCAACATACGAATTTTGAGGGGACACATGCATTCAACCATACAGTGGAGGCTCTGTAGGACTATCTGTTCCTTGCCTTTTCTGGCTTCGAGGTGATGCCTGCAGCCCTTGTCTTATGGCTTCTTTCCTGCAATTGTTTCACCAGCTTCTGCTTTCATTGTCACATCTCCTCTCCTGACTCTGATGCTGCTGCCTCCCTCTTTCACTTATAAGAACCTTTGTCATTAACCTGAGTCCACCCAGTTAATCTAGAATAACCTCACAGTCTCAAGATCCTTGACTTAATCAAGTTTGCAAAGTTCCTTTTGCCATGTAAGGGAGCATGTATACAGGTTCTGAGGATTAGGATGCAAACCTCTCTGAGGAGGCAATTATTTTGCCAAAGGCACAAATTAAATACAGAAAGAAACATAGTAAATATAACACAATGCACCCATCGATCATAACGTAAGGTAATATGACAAAATTTAGATCAAATTTACCAGAAATTTCAATAAAAATAAATGTTTTTTATAACCCAACCCTAGAATTGGCATGCAAATCAAAACTCAACTCTGTTCTATATAAGAGATACACTTAAATTACAGTATTTCCAAAATGTTAGTACTAAAGGAGTGAACAAAGAATTGATAGAAACAGGGAAATAATAAGAAGTGTTTTCAATCTTGATAACAAAGTAGAATTTACATTAAAAAGTATTAAAAAGGCAAAGTCTGACACATTTTAAATGCTAAAAAGCGCACTCCACAATATATATTTAATGCTAAAAGTCACTTTTCAAAACACCACAGACATAACGGTTATGAATACTTACATGCCAAATAATAGAACAACTGCAATATCAAACTGAAACAACATGAGATAAAAAGGATTTCTAAAAACCCATTAATAATATGGGATTTAATACACCATTGTCAATATAAAAGAAGCCAAGTAGACAAAAATTAATGTGGATATAAAAATGATCTAAATAACACAGTCAGTAAAGTAGAATTTTTCAGACATTTAACAAACATAATATTCTGACGATAGAGAATATATCTTCTCGAACACACCTGAAACATTTCTAAAAATTGACCGTGTATCAAGAATCATCATTAGTTTTCACAAAGTGGAAATATTTTGTGTGATTGCAATGCAACACAAATAGAAGTCAAATATAAAATCAATAATCAAAAAAATCTGTCTACTTGGAAATTCAACTGTTTTTCATAATAGAAATGTTTAATACTAGGAACTGAATAATTGTTATAACACTAACACTTATAACTTACTTATGTTACAACGATAACATTTATATTGTTGTAACACTCACACTTATAACAAACGTGAGAAGTAGCTATAGGATTCTTTTAAAATTTTATTTTAATGGACTTAGGGGATAGAAGTGCAGTTTTATTACATGGATAATTTGCATAATGGTGAACTCTGGGCTTTTAGTGTAAACATCACTCAAATAATGTATGTTGTACCCACTAGGTAAGAAATTCAACTTTTTATTAAATAACTCTTGAGTGAAAGAATACAGATGTCATAAATTTAGTTTATTTACAAAAATAATGATGATGAGAATCCTACATATCAGAAGCTATGGGAAACTTGTAAAGCAGTAACCAAAAGAAAATGTGTAACATTGTAGAATTATAGCAATAAAAGTAAAAATAAATGAAGCATCAATATTTAATAAAGAAAAGGAAATCAAAGGAAAGCACAAGGAAGAAAAATGAAAGAATAAAAGAGTAGAGAACAGAAAAACTTTAAATCAAATTAATATTCTATTAAAAATAATCAAAATAGACAAATCACTAGCTAACAACCTAACTTTAAAAAAAGGAGAAAACAAATTTGCAAAATAAGAAATGGCATGGGGGAGGAAATCCACTTCTGTCATGGCTGAACAAGCCTATACAGGACTAACCCTACATAAGATAACAACTACAAGCCATGAACAGATGACAAAACACAATTATTTGAAGGCATTTGAGAGTCAACACAGAGGTTTGGGAGGAAAGTCAACGCTTCAATATTTGAAAGAAAAACAAGGCACAGGTTAGTTCTTCATTTCTTATACTTTTCAGCTTTTGGGTATATCAGTCTTCACCATGCAGAAGGACATAATCTCTGTTGGAAAAGCTGCAGTTGTTTAAAAGTAGGAAATTCAGGGAAACCACAGCCAATGGACAATAATGGTAGAATGCTAGAAAGGAGAGAACCAAAGAGAGTGATTCCCAAGATTTATACAAACCTCTCCCCAGATGTCTGACGGACACTTGCCTCTCACATGTATTGGTAGACTCAAAACAGCCCATCAAAAATATCAAATAACTACTAAGATGTCAAATGGCATGCAAGACTTGGCAGTTTGGGTCTGATCAAGATAATTGGCTTCTAAAGTTTATGAACAAAAAGCTAATCTTTGGGAGAATATTACAGAATATAGTCATAACCCTTATAGTGCCCAGAAAAAGATTGTTTAAATTATTTAATATTCAAAGAAGGGAAAAAATTACTCATTTGCAAAAGATCATCAACAGACAAGAATATTCAAATATTGGAATTATCACTACACAGATTTGAAAGCAATTATAACTAAACTCATGATTATAAAGGAAAACATGGTTAACAATGAAATAGACTTTAGAAAATGTAATTTTAAAATGCTATTATTAAAATAAAAATTTTACTCTATGGGATTAACAAAAAAATGAAGATAGAGCAAAGAGTATATGAGATCAATAGCAATTAACTAAGCTGAAAATGTTAAGAAAAAAGTGGTTGAAAACAACCTCAAAACCTGTAGGATAACAACAAAAGTCTAACATATATGTAATTGAAGTTCTAGAAAGAGAAGAGAGAGAAAAGACTGAAGGGAAAATATTTCAATTGCTGTAAAATTTTGCTGTTTAGTGTAAAATATATTTTTTGTGTGATTTATTGCTCTAATTTTAGAAGGTTAGTAAACCCAAACAAGATACAGATGAATGAAATCACTAAGTACATGACAGTAAAACTAGTGAAACCCAATAAAAAAAGAATACCTTGATACCAGCCAAAGGAAAATAACATGTTACATCCCGGGAATAACTATTCAAATAGCCACTGGCTTCTCGTCTGACTTTATGGAGGCCAAAAGATAGTGGAAAACATTTTCAATATGCTGAGAGAAAAAAAGACCCAGAATATTATTATGAGTAAAAACATTCTTCAAGAATTAAAATTAAACATTTCCAAGTGGTGGGTAGAGAGAAAGAAACAGAGAAAGACATACACATACGCGTGCACACACACACACGCACACACACACACACAGACATAGAAACACAGAATGAATTTGTCTCCCACAGAATTTCATCATAAGATATGCTAAAGAAAAGACTTTGGGATGAAGTAGAATGATATCAGATCAAAATCTGGACCTTCAGGAAGAAATGAAAAGCACTGGAAATGATAAATATTGGAGGGAATATAAAAGACTACTATTCTTCATATTTTAAAAGCATGTTCTTTTAAAACAACAAAAATATTGTCTATTTAGTCTGTAATATATGTATATGTAATGCATATGAAAACTACAGCATGAAGTAGGATTGATACTTGCTTTCTATAAAGGAAAAAATGGTAAACATTTTGGCATTTCAGAGCATATGGTCTCTGTCACTCTTGGTGAACTCTGCCATTGTACCATGAAAAGTCATAGGAGATACATAAATGAATGAGCAGTGTTCTAACAAAGCCTTATATGTTACAGCCAATTCAGGGAATACGGATTAGGTATACTTTTCCCTAATCCTCCTGCTAAGTAAACTGAACAAATCTGAACATGATACACAGAACAAATGTAAAAATACCCTGAAAAGTGGAGAGAAGCCAAATTTCAGGACTTGAAGAACAACACAGTGGTGAGTTCTGTGGGTTTTCTATTTTTCTTTTTTTCATATATCCCAGACTTGAAGCTGAAGAAGCCAACAACCAGGATGGGTACAGACAAAAAACGGAAAAAAGGAAAGGAAAGGAAAGGAAAGGACAGGACAGGACAGGACTGGACAGGACAGGAAAGGAAGAGAGCAAAAGCATGCTTTATATAGCCGAAGGACCAGGAGCAGGACGGCCTAATGAAACAGAAAACATTTAGACAATAGCTGGTTTACTCCAGCCAAACACCACTGAAAACACTCTGATCCCACCCCTGATCCACACCAGCAAATGTGGACTGAGAAGCCCAGACTTGTGTGCTTGCAAGGCTGTAACAAAGCATCCCAACCTGTCCCATAAGTGTTCTAGAACCAATAAGTGGGTCCAGGAATGTCCCAGGATATAAGATAAATATACACAAATTTGTTATATCTATATAGTAGCAGCAAACATATATAATGTATATACACACATACACCATACATACGTACACAAATTAAAAATATGATAGTTTGCAATGACTCAGCAAATCTTTATTTGATTGATGTCTTTATTATGCAAATAATAAAGCAAATCTTTATTAGATTGATTCAGCAAATCTTTATTAGATTCATTTCATTCTTAGGTGTAAATCTAATAAAGAATATACAAGACATATGCTGCAAACTATAAAATACTAATGAAAAAATAAAAGATCTAAATAAATAGAAAAACATACGGTGTTCATGGAATAGAGAACTGAATAAAGTAAAAATATTAATTCTTTTTGAATTGATATACAGGTTTAATGAAATTTCTATCAAACTCCCTGCAAGAGTTTTTGTAGATATATGCAAGATTATCTTCATACTTATATGGAAAGGCAAATAAACTAGAATAGCTATTTTTTTTTTCCTGGAAAAGATAATAAAATGAGAAGAATCACTCTGCCCAATTTCAAGATGTATTATTTATCTACAATAATCAGAACTGTACAGTATTGGTAGATAGACATATAGATCAATGGAACAGAAAACTCAGAAATAAACTCACAAATACATGCCCAATTTGTTTTATATATATAAGACCTTCATTAAAATATAAGTAAAATTGTACAGTTTACTCATTTGAAGTGTATAATTCAATATCGTGGGTTTCTTTAAAAAAAATATTCAGAAGGTTGTGAAATTGCTAATACAACACATTTTAGAACATTTTCACCTGCCAGGAGCGGTGGCTGATGCTTGTAATCCTAGCACTTTGGGAGGCCAAGGCAGGTAGATCACCTGAGGTCAGGAGTTCGAGAGCAGCCTGGCCAACATAGCGAAAGCACGTTTCTACTAAAAATACAAATATTAGCCAGGCCTGGTGGTGGGCGCTTATAATCCCAGCTACTCAGGAGGTTTAGGCAGGAGAATCGCTTGAACCCGGGGGCAGAGGTTGCAGTGAGACAAGATCATGCCACTTCACTCCAGCCTAGGTGACAGAGTGAGACTCTGTCTCAAAAAAACCAACAAACAAATAACAAAAAGAAACCCCATTTTCATCACCCCAAAATAATGAAACCACATACCTATTAGCAGTCATTCCTCAATTACCCCAAATATCCCTCCCCTCCCCACCACGAATAATCACTAATCTAATTTGTTATCTGTAGATTTGCCTAGTCAAGATATTTTATATAAATGGAATCCTATAATGTAGAAATTAACATATAGAAAATGTGATTTTTAAAAGATATAGGTGTGGATATTTTAAATTTCCCTCCAAGCCCTGCTTTTGCTCTATCCCATAAGTTTTGATATGACATGTTTTCATTTTCATTCTTTCAAGAGTATTTTCTAATTTTCCTTGTGATTTATTTGACTCATTGGTTATTCAGGAGTGTTATTTAAGTTTCACATATTTGTAAATTCCCTGAATTTCTTTTTGATATTGATTTCTTATTTAATTCCATTGAGTGAAGAGAACATATTTTGTATGATTTCAGTGCTGTTAAATTTACTGAGGCTTGCTTTATGGCCTAGTAGAAGGTCTATCTTGGAGAAGGTCTATCTTATGTGCACATAAGTTGATGTTCTACTGTTGTCGAATGAAATCTTCTATAGATCTTGTTTAGGGTTAGTTGGTACATAGTGTTATTCAGTCTTCTATTTCCTTATTCATTTTCTGTCTAGTTTTTCTATCTATTATTGAAAGTAGGGTACTGAAGTTTCTGATTATTACTGTTGAATTGTTTATTTTTCCCTCCAGTCCTGTCAGTTTTGCTTCATATATTTGGAAGCCCTGTTGGGCAGCATGTATGTGTTCATAATTGTTTTATCTTCCTGAAGGATGATCCTTTTATTGCTATACACAGTATCTCTTTTCTCTAATAACATTTTGCTTTTTGAAAATCTATTTTTTTCTGATATTGGTATAGTCTCTTCAGGGTTGCTATGATTGGTCTTTGTATGGTTATACTATATGCATTTTCATCCTTTTGCTTTCAAATCTTTGTATTTTTGGATAGAAAGTGTGTTTCCTGTAGGCAATGTATAGTTGGGTTTTGTTTGTTGTTGTTGTTTCTGAGACGGAGTCTCGCTCTGTCGCCCGGGCTGCAGTGCAGTGGCGTGATCTCCGCTCACTTCAAGCTCCGCCTCCCGGGTTCACGCCATTCTCCTGCCTCAGCCTTCCGAGTAGCTGGGACTACAGGCACCAGCAACCACGCCTGGCTAATTTTTTTTTTTTTTTTTTTTTTTGTAATTTTAGTAGAGATGGGGTTTCACTGTGTTAGCCAGGATGGTCTCGATCTCCTGACCTCGTGTTCCGCCCGCCTCGGCCTCCTAAAGTGCTGGGATTACAGGCGTGAGCCACCGCGCCTGGCCGGGTTTTGTGTTTTTAATCAGACATATGCATTATCATTGGATTGTTTAATCTATTCACATTTAATGTTATTGATAAAGTTGTATTTATGGCTCTCATTTTACTTTTTGTTTTCTATGTGTCTTACTTTTTGTTCCTCTATCCCTCCTTCCCTGCTTTCTTTCGCACTAAGGGAATATTTATTGCATAATTTTAAAATTTATTTAATGATCTTTAAGCTATATTTTAAAAGTTATTTTCTTTATTGTTACTTTAGGACTTATCACATACATCTTAGCTTCTCAGAATTTACTCTCAGATTTATAGTATCTTAATTCCAATTAGATATATAAACATTACTCCTATATAGCTCTATTCCCTTTTCACAATTTTTGTGATATTATTGTTGTGTATAGCATACCTTTATAGTTTACAAACCCCAAAGTATATTGCTTTAACTATTACTTTGTACGATTTTATATCATTTAAGAAAGGTAAAAGAAGGAAGAAGAGCAAGTATATATGTATAAACTTTTTACTACCAGCCTGCTTATTTACTATTTGTTGTTTTATTTATTTGGTCTTGTGGATTCAAATTACCATTTGGTTTTATTACTTTCTTCCATAGAGCTTTGTTCTTGCATACTAATTCTGTGCTATTGTCAAATACATTACATTTCTATTTGTAATATTCTCCACAATATAAATATACATATGTACTTCTATGCAATTGCTTTTTAAATCAGTAAAGAGAAATAAAAAGAGACCTCTGCATTTATGCTGCCTTTTAAGTTACATAATCATCTTTACCAGTGCTGTTTTTTTCTGTGTATTTGAATTACTGTCTGGTGTCATGGGCTTTCAGCTTGAAGAATTTCCATTAATATTTATTAAAAGATACGTCTGCTAGAAACCAATTCTCTCAGTTGTTTATCCAGGATTATCTTTATTTTGCTTTCATTTGTGATAGTTTGCTAGCTATAAGACTGTTGGTTGACGATTTTTTATTTTAATATTTTATATCTGTTTTCCTACTGCCTTTTGCTCTCCATTGTTTCCGATGTTAATTTTATTAGGGTTCCTTGTATGTAATAAGTCATTTTTCTTTTGTTGCTTTCAAGATTTTTTCTTTGACTTTCGACAATTTTGTTATAATATGTCTGGGTCTGAATTTCTTTGTGTTTATCCTATTTCTAATATCTAGAATATATAAAGAACTTTCAAAAGTAAACACTCAAAAAGCAAACTATCTGATTAGCAACGGGCAAAAGAAATGAATGGGCCGGGCTTGGTGGCTCACGCCTGTAATCCCAGCACTTTGGGAGGCCGAGGCGGGCGGATCATGAGGTCAGGAGATCGAGACCATCCTGACTAACACGGTGAAACCCCGTCTCTACTAAAAATAAAAAAAAAATTAGCCAGGCGTGGTTGCGGGCGTCTGTAGTCCCAGCTACTAGGGGGGCTGAGGCAGGAGAATGGCGTCAACCCGGGAGGCGGAGCTTGCAGTGAGCCGAGATCGCACCACTGCACTCCAGCCTGGGCAACAGAGCGAGACTCCGTCCCCTCCCACGCCCCCCCACCCCAAAAAAAGAAATGAATGAATGGACATTTCACTTAAAAGGATGGGACATAAGCACATAAAAATATTCAACATCACTAGCCGTTAGAGAAATTTGAATTAAAAACACAATGATATATCACTCTGCACATATCAGAATGGATAAAATAAAAATAGTTGTAATCCTAAATGCTAGTAAGAATGCAGAGAAACGGGGTCACTCATATGTTGTTGATGAAAATTTAAAATATTACAGCTACTCTGGAAAACAATTAGGCAGCTGGTTAAAAAACTAGACATGCAGCTACCATTCAATCCAGCAATTGTATTTCTAGGTATTTATTATACAGAAATGAAGATTTAGGTTCACACAAAAACCTGTATGTAAATGCTCATAGGTGCTTCATTTGTAACTGGAAACAATTCAGATGTCCTTCAACAGGTGAATGGTTAAACAAATCATTGTACCCACAGCACAAAATACTGTTCAGCAATAAGGAATAATGAACTATTTTCACCTGCAACAACCTGCATGAATCTCCAGAGAGTTATGCTGGGGAAAAATGTCCAGTGGCGAAAGTTTACGTACTATATAAGTGTATTTATATATCATTCTAGAAAAGACAAAAATTATAGAAAAAGAAAGCAGATTATAGCATGAATGGATATGGAAATGATAGCAGCATATGGGAACTGGGCAAGATTATAGAAGGGCAACATGAGGGATCTTTGTTGTGATAGAAATATTCTCCATTTTGACTGTTAATGTCAATATGTTGTTTGTTCTATTCTACTATGGATTTGCAACATGTTACCATTGGGTAAACCAAGGTAAATGGTGCATGGGACTTCCTTGGATAATCTCGTAAAACTTCATGTGAATCTAAAATTATATAAAAATGGAAGTTCTATTTAATATAAAGCATTTCTTTTTTATTTTTTTTCAAAAATAGAAGGTGGGCCAGTTATATGGAGCAAAATGAAGAAGTAAATACAGAAATTTAACAATAGCTAAATCTGGGTTAAGTGTTATATCAGCGCTCTTAGTACTCTTGCAATTTTTCTAAGGTTTTACAATTATTTCTCAATATAAAAATTAAAAATAGCCAAAAAAAAAGCCAAAACAAAACAGAAGAGCAAAGAGGTGTTGATAAAGCAAAAAAACTAGCTCCATATACATGCTCATTGTCAGGAACACAGAATCATGCAGAGAAGAGATGGAAAATAGCATTAGAAAGTATTTTGATAGATTGTGCAGTGTTTTGACTTGTAGACTGAGGAGCTTGGATATCATGCACTAAACAGTAGAATATTAGTAAATAATTTTAAGCATGTGAATGACATGATCAAAGTGGAACTTTGAGAAACATTGATCTAGCAGTGGTGTGCAAAGGAAGAGATATCAGGTCAGAGAATAATGCAGGCGGGAATGCAAACTGCCTAGCAGTGTAGTCAGAGGCAAGAAATTATGTGAGTGAACACTAAACAAATAGAAAAGCTTTTATGGTGTGTAAAAATCAATTTCATGTGTACAAAATAGGAGAGAAACTAGCTTGAACAGCTACTGATATAAAAATAAATAATTAAAACCCTAGGGATTTTAAATTAAAATAAGTTCAATATGAACCAGGAATATCAAAAGACTCCTAAAAAATCCAATACTAGAGTCTTCGTTGATTCTAGTAGAAATGCATTGTCTGTATAAGAATGATAAAATTCCACCACATTTTACCTTTATCAGACAAAAACCTAAATAAAGTGCAAAGTTCTTGCAGCACATTTTAAATAAGCATTTTGTTGCTTTTACTTTGTCTGTAGTTTTGAGTTTATAAAAGAAATATAGGGTATTGGGAAATGATGACCTGGCTTTTAACAAGCATTGTAAACAAGACTTTCACATTCTGAGATCAAAGAGTGGGGAGACAGAAAGAGAAGACTGATTGGTACTAACAAGAGACTGAATTTACTTCGGATTGCAGTATGTGTTAAGGAAGCTCTGAGATAATGTTGACAGATGAGGAAGACGTCTTATGTATTTTCATGATGAAATTATTCCTGCAGGTACCTCCACAGGGAAGTTTTTTGCTTGAAAAATTTTATCTACTTTGGGAAGCCACTTGCTTAGACAGTCATCCCAGCTCTTTGTTTCTCAATCTATTTTGGGAGACACAACTCCCATGTGCGCGTGATGGGCTGTCCTACTCATCTTTTTTTGTTTTCTGTCTTCCTCAACTGATTTGACAAATAGTCCTATTTATCAGTTTATATAACTTTCTTCTGGCAATAGCTTTGCCAGCCACTGATATTTTAACCTCAGAATATTCCTGGTTAATGTCTTCTCTGCTACCATCTTAAGTTCTGTATAATATGTACATACTGAATGGTATGATTAATTTGTAGTTACAATATTTACATGAAATTCTCTGTTTTCATAGAAATCATAAACCAAAGTGTGTCATTATACAATTTAGCGCCTATAAGGAGAGAACCATTAATGGTGGTTTTTCTCAAAACAACATACCTTTCTGTGATCATTGTACCAATATACCCCAGGGATTCAGGCTTAAATTTCAGTGTCAGGTATCATTCATCCTTTTCCCTCATCATTGTTATCCGTTTTTCATGAACTTTTTGGTAATAATGTAATTTCTATAAGATTTAAAATATACAATGTCTCTCATAATCAAAAATGTGATTTTGGGGAGCTTTCTTACTTACTTAAGGTAAACTTACCTGCTTATAATAATGTAAAATTTTTTAAATTTGTGGTTTACAACTTTAAAAAACTGGCATAAAAGTGATGAACAATAGAGTCTGGGTTCTTCAGTGGTTGGATGGTTGACATGACTGGAAAAGTCAACAAAAGAAATTAGTTGGAAACAAAGATGAATAGGAAAATTTCAATTCTAGTCAGATGGTTATCAAAAACCGTGATGAAGGCCTCACGTGGTGGCTCACACCTGTAATCCCAGCACTTTGGGAGGCCAAGGCTGGTGGATCACCTGAGGTCAGGAGTTTGATACCAGCCTGGCGAACATGGCGAAACATGGTCTCTAACCAAAAATACAAAAATTAGTCAGGTGTAGTGGTGTGTGCCTGTAATCCCAGCTACTCGGGAGGCTGAGGCAGGAGAATCACTTGAACCCTGGAGGTGGAGGTTGCAATGAGCCAAAATCGTGCCACTGTACTCCAGCCTGGGCAACAGAGTGAGACTCTATTTCAAAAAACAAAAACAAAAACCAAAACAAAAGAAAACCCATGATGAAATGTCTTAGTGAGGTCACTTGAGTCAGCATTTCAAGACATAATTAAAGAATAGCTTCTCACTTCAACCTCAAACCTCCATTATCCTCAATGTTCATGGTTGACTCAAGAATAGGGATCTCATAGAATATTTGGGCATTCTAACTCTAATGAAATTGCATTAGTATGCTTCTCTTAAAATTCCTATTTGCTCCTCTAGTAAAATTTTCCCATGTTACTTTGTAGCATCACTATCATAGGACTTATATATTAACCCACATATATTGGTTCGTGTGTTTATCTTTCTCCTAATTCAGGCATCTCAAGTGGAGCATGTTTTTATTACTCAAGTGTTTGTAACATATTTTGTAATTTGGGTCAATAAAATACTGAAAGAGAAAATTTTTCTAAATAGATAGCAAAAACAATTTCATATAAGTTATTTAATTACATAAACATCGTATCTCACAACTATTCATTTGTTTACATATTCTCTAAAAGAAATACACATATTGTGGGAATTAGTGTTTCCCTATGATTTTTTTTTGTTTCTTTTTATTTTGGCTTATAGAAATTGATAAGAACAATATGAGAAACTCCCATATATCTTTTATACAGATTCACCCATGATTTAAATGCTGTCTTGTTTGTTTCATCATTATCTGTCTATCTATCTATCTATCTATCTATCTATCTATCTATCTATCTATCTACCTATTATCTATCTATCTCTCATCTATTGATATCTGTTCTTAAGGTCTTTTTCTCCATCTCAGGGATATTTTTAAAAACAAAACAAAACAATTTTTGAATCTTTTCCTCCTGAGATTGTCTCAGCGTTCTTCTCTGGGAATTCCCAATGGTTAAATTTTGGAACTTTTGAGTGGTATAGTTCATATATTTTCACTTTTCTCTCATATTTCCATCTTTTAGTTCTAATTTCATCTATATATTCTAGAAAGTGTCAAGGACTATGTATTACATTGTATGATATTAATGGATTTCTTAATGTTGTGCCAAACTTGCATTCCTGGAACAAATCAGGTTTGGTTTTCTTAATGTAGTGCTGAATCTGTAAATATTTTATTTTATATGTTTGCATTGAAATTCATAAATTAATCTATATTTTCTTTACTTTTATTCTCTTTACTAGATTGACTTCATAACTTCATTAAAAAGTTGAGAAAATATCTTCATTTTCAGTAGTCTGGAAAAATTTATATAGAGTATTGAAAGCTTTAGTAGAATTTCTATGTGAATTCATCTGAACAAGGTGCTAAAATGCCTACAAAGTTGAGTAGTTTTCCAAGAATTTTATTGATTTCTTCTATCTACTTTGGTCTGTTTAATCTTCCTCTATCTGATGGAGTCAATTTTTGTGCTCACTTCGTTCACATGTACTCTAATGGAGTCAATTTTGTAAACATATATTTACTTAGGAAATTATCCGTTTCATCTGAGATTCAAAATATTTGCATAGAATAGGCCGTTGTGGTAATTTTTTTTTTATTATACTTTAAGTTTTAGGGTACATGTGCACATTGTGCAGGTTAGTTACATATGTATGCATGTGCCATGCTGGTGCGCTGCACCCACTAACTTGTCATCTAGCATTAGGTATATCTCCCAATGCTATCCCTCCCCCCTCCCCCCACCCCACAACAGTCCCCAGAGTGTGATGTTCTCCTTCCTGTGTCTATGTGATCTCATTGTTCAATTCCCACCTATGAGTGAGAATATGCGGTGTTTGGTTTTTGTTCTTGCAATAGTTTACTGAGAATGATGTTTTCCAATTTCATCCATGTCCCTACAAAGGACATGAACTCATCATTTTTTATGGCTGCATAGTATTCCATGGCGTATATGTGCCACATTTTCTTAATCCAAGTCTTTGCTACTGTGAATAATGCCGCAATAAACATACGTGTGCATGTGTCTTTATAGCAGCATGATCTATAGTCCTTTGGGTATATACCCAGTAATGGGATGGCTGGGTCAAATGGTATTTTCCAGTTCTAGATCCCTGAGGAATCGCCACACTGACTTCCACAATGGTTGAACTAGTTTACAGTCCCACCAAAGTGTAAAAGTGTTCCTATTTCTCCACATCCTCTCCAGCACCTGTTGTTTCCTGACTTTTTAATGATTGCCATTCTAACTGGTGTGAGATGGTATCTCATTGTGGTTTTGATTTGCATTTCTCTGATGGCCAGTGATGATGAGCATTTTTTCATGTGTTTTTTGGCTGCATAAATATCTTCTTTTGAGAAGTGTCTGTTCATGTCCTTTGCCCACTTTTTGATGGGGTTGTTTTTTTCTTGTAAGTTTGTTGGAGTTCATTGTAGATTCTGGATATTAGCCCTTTGTCAGATGAGTAGGTTGTGAAAATTTTCTCCCATTTTGTAGGTTGCCTGTTCACTCTGATGGTAGTTTTTTTTTGCTGTGCAGAAGCTCTTTAGTTTAATTAGATCCCATTTGTCAATTTTGTCTTTTGTTGCCATTGCTTTTGGTGTTTTAGACATGAAGTCCTTGCCCATGCCTATGTCCTGAATGGTAATGCCTAGGTTTTCTTCTAGGGTTTTTATGGTTTTAGGTCTAACGTTTAAGTCTTTAATCCATCTTGAATTGATTTTTGTATAAGGTGTAAGGAAGGGATCCAGTTTCAGCTTTCTACATATGGCTAGCCAGTTTTCCTAGCACCATTTATTAAATAGGGAATCCTTTCCCCATTGCTTGTTTTTCTCAGGTTTGTCAAAGATCGGATAGTTGTAGATATGCGGCATTATTTCTGAGGGCTCTGTTCTGTTCCATTGATCTATATCTCTGTTTTGGTACCAGTACCATGCTGTTTTGGTTACTGTAGCCTTGTAGTATAGTTTGAAGTCAGGTAGTGTGATGCCTCCAGCTTTGCTCTTTTGGCTTAGGATTGACTTGGCGATGCGGGCTCTTTTTTGGTTCCATATGAACTTTAAAGTAGTTTTTTCCAATTCTGTGAAGAAAGTCATTGGTAGCTTGATGGGGATGGCATTGAATCTGTAAATTACCGTGGGCAGTATGGCCATTTTCACGATATTGATTCTTCCTGCCCATGAGCATGGAATGTTCTTCCATTTCTTTGTATCCTCTTTTATTTCACTGAGCAGTGGTTTGTAGTTCTCCTTGAAGAGGTCCTTCACATCCCTTGTAAGGTGGATTCCTAGGTATTTTATTCTCTTTGAAGCAATTGTGAATGGGAGTTCACTCATGATTTGGCTCTCTGTTTGTCTGTTGCTGGTGTATAAGAATGCTTGTGATTTTTGTACATTGATTTTGTATCCTGAGACTTTGCTGAAGTTGCTTATCAGCTTAAGGAGATTTTGGGCTGAGACAGTGGGGTTTTCTAGATATACAATCATGTCGTCTGCAAACAGGGACAATCTGACTTCCTCTTTTCCTAATTGAATACCCTTTATTTCCTTCTCCTGCCTAATTGCCCTGGCCAGAACTTCCAACAGTATGTTGAATAGGAGTGGTGAGAGAGGGCATCCCTGTCTTGTGCCAGTTTTCAAAGGGAATGCTTCCAGTTTTTGCCCATTCAGTATGATATTGGCTGTGGGTTTGTCATAGATAGCTCTTATTATTTTGAAATACGTCCCATCAATACCTAATTTATTGAGAGTTTTTAGCATGAAGGGTTGTTGAATTTTGTCAAAGGCTTTTTCTGCATCTATTGAGATAATCATGTGGTTTTTGTCTTTGGTTCTGTTTATATGCTGGATTACATTTATTGATATGTGTATATTGAACCAGCCTTGCATCCCAGTGATGAAGCCCACTTGATCACGGTGGATAAGCTTTTTGATGTGCTGCTGGATTCGTTTTGCCAGTATTTTATTGAGGATTTTTGCATCAATGTTCATCAAGGATATTGGTCTAAAATTCTCTTTTTTGGTTGTGTCTCTGCCTGGCTTTGGTATCAGAATGATGCTGGCCTCATAAAATGAGTTAGGGAGGATTCCCTCTTTTTCTATTGATTGGAATAGTTTCAGAAGGAATGGTACCAGTTCCTCCTTGTACCTCTGGTAGAATTCAGCTGTGAATCCATCTGTTCCTGGACTCTTTTTGGTTGGTAAGCTATTGATTATTGCCACAATTTCAGATCCCGTTATTGGTCTATTCAGAGATTCAACTTCTTCCTGGTTTAGTCTTGGGAGAGTGTATGTGTCGAGGAATTTATCCATTTCTTCTACATTTTCTAGTTTATTTGCGTAGAGGTGTTTGTAGTATTCTCTGATGGTAGTTTGTATTTCTGTGGGATCGGTGGTCATATCCCCTTTATCATTTTCTATTGCATCTATTAGATTCTTCTCTCTTTTTTTCTTTATTAGTCTTGCTAGCAATCTATCAATTTTGTTGATCCTTTCAAAAAACCAGCTCCTGGATTCATTACTTTTTTGAAGCGTTTTTTGTGTCTCTATTTCCTTCAGTTCTGCTCTGATTTTAGTTATTTCTTGCCTTCTGCTAGCTTTAGAATGTGTTTGCTCTTGCTTTTCTAGTTCTTTTAATTGTGATGTTAGGGTGTCAATTCTGGATCTTTCCTGCTTTCTCTTGTGGGCATTTAGTGCTATAAATTTCCCTCTACACACTGCTTTGAATGTGTCCCAGAGATTCTGGTATGTTGTGTCTTTGTTCTCGTTGGTTTCAAAGAACATCTTTATTTCTGCCTTCATTTCGTTTTGTACCCAGTAGTCATTCAGGAGCAGGTTGTTCAGTTTCCATGTAGTTGAGCGGTTTTGAGTGAGATTCTTAGTCCTGAGTTCTAGTTTGATTGCACTGTGGTCTGAGAGATAGTTTGTTATAATTTCTGTTCTTTTACATTTGCTGAGGAGAGCTTTACTTCCAAGTATGTGGGTCAATTTTGGAATAGGTGTGGTGTGGTGCTGAAAAAAATGTATATTCTGTTGATTTGGGGTGGAGAGTTCTGTAGATGTCTATTAGGTCCGCTTGGTGCAGAGCTGAGTTCAATTCCTGGGTATCCTTGTTGACTTTCTGTCTCGTTGATCTGTCTAATGTTGACAGTGGAGTGTTAAAGTCTCCCATTATTAATGTGTGGGAGTCTAAGTCTCTTTGTAGGTCACTCAGGACTTGCTTTATGAATCTTGGTGCTCCTGTATTGGGTGCATATATATTTAGGATAGTTAGCTCTTCTTGCTGAATTGATCCCTTTACCATTATGTAATGGCCTTCTTTGTCTCTTTTGATCTTTGTTGGTTTAAAGTCTGTTTTATCAGAGACTCGTTTTGCAACTCCTGCCTTTTTTTGTTTTCCATTTGCTTGGTAGATCTTCCTCCATCCTTTTATTTTGAGCCTATATGTGTCTCTGCACATGAGATGGGTTTCCTGAATACAGCACACCGATGGGTCTTGACTCTTTATCCAATTTGCCAGTCTGTGTCTTTTAATTGGAGCATTTAGTCCATTTACATTTAAAGTTAATATTGTTGTGTGTGAATTTGATCCTGTCATTATGATGTTAACTGGTTATTTTGCTTGTTAGTTGATGCGGTTTCTTCCTAGTCTCGATGGTCTTTACATTTTGGCATGATTTTGCAGTGGCTGGTACTGGTTGTTCCTTTCCATGTTTAGTGCTTCCTTTAGGAGCTCTTTTAGGGCAGGCCTGGTGGTGACAAAATCTCTCAGCATTTGCTTGTCTGTAAAGTATTTTATTTCTCCTTCGCTTATGAAGCTTAGTTTGGCTGGATGTGAAATTCTGGTTTGAAAATTCTTGTCTTTAAGAATGTTGAATATTGGCCCCCACTCTCTTCTGGCTTGTAGGGTTTCTGCCAAGAGATCCGCTGTTATTCTGATGGGCTTCCCTTTGAGGGTAACCCGACCTTTCTCTCTGGCTGCCCTTAACATTTTTTCCTTCATTTCAACTTTGGTGAATCTGACAGTTATGTGTCTTGGAGTTGCTCTTCTCGAGGAGTATCTTTGTGGCGTTCTCTGTATTTCCTGAATCTGAACGTTGGCCTGCCTTGCTAGATTGGGGAAGTTCTCCTGGATAATATCCTGCTGAGTGCTTTCCATCTTGGTTCTATTCTCCCCATCACTTTCAGGTACACCAGTCAGATGTAGATTTGGTCTTTTCACATAGTCCCATATTTCTTGGAGGCTTTGCTCATTTCTTTTTATTCTTTTTTCTCTAAACTTCCCTTCTCGCTTCATTTCATTCATTTCATCTTCCATCGCTGATACCCTTTCTTCCAGTTGATCGCATCGGCTCCTGAGGCTTCTGCATTCTTCACGTAGTTCTCGAGCCTTGGTTTTCAGCTCCATCAGCTCCTTTAAGCACTTCTCTGTATTGGTTATTCTAGTTATACATTCTTCTAATTTTTTTTCAAGTTTTCAACTTCTTTGCCTTTGGTTTGAATGTCCTCCCGTAGCTCAGAGTAATTTGATCGTCTGAAGCCTTCTTCTCTCAGCTCGTCAAAGTCATTCTCCATCCAGCTTTGTTCCGTTGCTGGTGAGGAACTGCGTTCCTTTGGAGGAGGAGAGGCGCTCTGCTGTTTAGAGTTTCCAGTTTTTCTGTTCTGCTTTTTCCCCATCTTTGTGGTTTCATCTACTTTTGGTCTTTGATGATGGTAATGTACAGATGGGTTTTTGGTGTGGATGTCCTTTCTGTTTGTTAGTTTTCCTTCTAACAGACAGGACCCTCAGCTGCAGGTCTGTTGGAATACCCTGCCTTGTGAGGTGTCACTGTGCCCCTGCTGGGGGGTGCCTCCCAGTTAGGCTGCTCAGGGGTCAGGGGTCAGGGACCCACTTGAGGAGGCAGTCTGCCCGTTCTCAGATCTCCAGCTGTGTGCTGGGAGAACCACTGCTCTCTTCAAAGCTGTCAGACAGGGACATTTAAGTCTGCAGAGGTTACTGCTGTCTTTTTGTTTGTCTGTGCCCTGCCCCCAGAGGTGGAGCCTACACAGGCAGGCAGGCCTCCTTGAGCTGTGGTGGGCTCCGCCCAGTTGGAGCTTCCAGGTTGCTTTGTTTACCTAATCAAGCCTGGGCAATGGCGGGCGCCCCTCCCCCAGCCTCGCTGCCGCCTTGCAGTTTGATCTCAGACTGCTGTGCTAGCAATCAGCGAGACTCTGTGGGTGTAGGACCCTCCGAGCCAGGTGCGGCATATAATCTCGTGGTGCGCCGTTTTTTAAGCCTGTCGGAAAAGCGCAGTATTCGGGTGGGAGCGACCGGATTTTCCAGGTGCCGTCCATCACCCCTTTCTTTGACTCGGAAAGGGAACTCCCTGACCCCTTGCGCTTCCCAAATGAGGCAATGTCTCACCCTGCTTCGGCTCGTGCACGGTGCGCGCACCCACTGACCTGCGCCCACTGTCTGGCACTCCCTAGTGAGATGAACCCGGTACCTCAGATGGAAATGCAGAAATCACCCGTCTTCTGCGTTGCTCACGCTGGGAGCTGTGGACCAGAGCTGTTCCTATTCGGCCATCTTGGCTCCTCCCCCGGTAATTTTTAAAATTAGTATTATTTTTAATTGACAAATCATATGTATATACATTCGTGAGGTACAATGTGATGCTTAGATATATGTGCACACTGTGGGATGATTAAATCAAATTAATTAACATGGTCAATAATAATGTATTATATATTTTAAAAGAACTAAGGCACTTAATTTTAAATGTCTGACCATAAAAATGATAGGTAAACAAGGTGATAAGCATGTTAATTGCCTTGTGGTAATTTTTAAATTACCTCAAGTTAATGCTGAAATTAAAATAGACTTTTGTGGTAATTTTTAATTTCTTGTTTCACTGGATATTTCCTCCTTACAATTTCTTAATTTGTTCATTTGTGCTCTTTCCTTATTTCTTCTTGATCAAGTTAGGTAATAAATTGCCTATATTTGTATTTACTTTTTAAAAAATAACTTCTATGACTTGGCTTACTGTTCTACTACCACAATAATTTTTGCTTTTAACTTTTTTTAACCTTGTTTCTTATGTTTTCTTCTGATTTAATTTGTTGTTAGTTTACTAGATTATTGAGCTGCTATTTAACTTTACTAGATTATTATTATTATTATTAATATATATTTTTATTATACATTAAGTTCTGGTGTACATGTGCACAATGTGCAGGTTTGTTACATATGTATACATGTGCCATGTTGGTGTGCTGCTTTACTAGATTATTGAGCTGCTATTTATTTATACATATTCTTTCATTTTTACTAATAAAAGTGTTTTATGTATTTAATTTTCTTCTGATCATTGCTTAAAATATATTCAATAAATTCTGATAGGTAGTGTTTCTCTTGTCATTTATTTTTAAAGAAATTCTGTACTTTTTTGTTTTCCCTTGTCACCAAAGAGTTGTTTAATAGGAGATTAAAATTTTTTGTTAATAATTTTTGATCTTATTGAATTGTGATAGGAGAGTACTATATCTCTACTTTACAAAATTTTCTGACTTTTTATTGTGAACTTTGATTTTGAACTTTATGTTTGATCATTTTTGTGAATTTGTGTATTCTAGGGTGTACATTTTGATACATATCCATATGTAGATTGTTTATGTTCTTTAGTTTTTCTGTCTTCTTTTTATTTATTGACCAATTGCTCTGCTTTGTACTGAGAATGGTACATTAGCCTCTCATTATTTTATTTCTAATTATGTCATATTGAATATCCTATAGTTTTTGCTTCACGAAAGTGGTTGATATGTTGTTTAGTGCCTAGAGATTTGTAGGCATTATACCTTCATTGTGACTTGTGGTGTTTAGCATTAAAAAGTACTCTCTCTGTCACAACTGATGTACATTGGCTAAAATTCTACACTTTCTGATTTCAGCATTGCACCCCTCATTTTCTCATTGCTACTGCTATTATATCATTCATCTTTGGTCTTTCTAAATCATTTAGTTTAACATATACAGCATTCAGTTATTTCTTGTTTTGTGTAATAAATTGAAAAATTTTTTACTAGGTAAGTTAAGCTATTCACATTTATTAGTATGATTAATATGATTTGACTCAGTCTGCCATACATTTTATAATTGTTTGTATTATACTTGCTATCTTCCTTTTACTACAAGATATATATTCTTTCCTCTTTGATTCGTAAGAAAAATAAGGCATCTAGGAAGATTTGCATTTTTTTTCTAGTGGTCACTTTTGTACTTATTTTTGTTTCTTAAATTTTTTATTTTTAATTTTTGTGGGTACATAGTGGGTGTATGTATTTATGGGGTACATGAAATGTTTTGATTCACCCATGCAATGTGAAATAAGCACATCATGGAGAATGGGGTATCATCCATCCCTTCAAGCATTTATCCTTTGTGTTACAAACAATCCAATTACACTCTTTTGTTATTTAAAAATGTACAATTAAGTTATTAATGTATTAATGTAACAATTAAATTATTATTGACTATAGTCACCCTGTAGTGGTATCAGATAGTGGGTCATATTCATTCCTTTGAACTATTTTTGTTTTTTACCCATTAGCTATCCTTACTTCCCCCTCAAACCCTCACTACCTTTCCCAGTTTCTGGTATCCATCCTTCTACTCTCTACATCCATGAGTTCAATTGTTTTGATTCCTAGATCCCAGAAATAGGTGAGTACATGCGATGTTTGTCTTTCTGTGCCTGGCCTATTCCACTTAATATAATGACCTCCAGTTCCCATCCATGTTGTTGCAAATGACAGGATCTCATTCATTTTTATGGCTGATTAATACTCCATTGTGTATATGAATCATATTTTCCTTATCCATTCATCTGTTAATGGACACTTAGGTTGCTTCCAAATTGTAGCTATTGTGGATAGTGCTACAAAAAACATGGGAGGGCAGGTATTTTTGATATACTGATTTCCTTTCTTTTGGGTATGTACCCAGCAGTGGGATTGCTGGATCATATGGTACCTCTATTTTTAGTTTTTTGAGGAACCTCCAAACTCTTCTCCATAGTTGTACTAATCTATATTCTCACCAACAGTGTACAAGGGTTCTCTTTTCTCCACACCCTTGCCAATATTTGTTATTGCTTGTCTTTTGGATATAAACCATTTTAACTGGGGTGAGATGATATCGCATTGTAGTTTTGATGTGCATTTCCGCAAATCAGTGATTAATAATTGTGATGGTTAATAATTATTGGTGTGATGATCAATAATTTTGAATATCTTTCCATATGCCTGTTTGCCATTTGTATATTTTCTTTTGAGAAATGTCTACTCAAATCTTTTGCCCGTTTTCTAAAACGGGATTATTAGATTTTTTTTTTTTTTTTTTTTTTTGCTATAACGTTATCTAAGCACCTTATATATTCTGGTTATTAGATTAGCCCTTGTCAGATGAGTAGTTTGCAAATATTTTCTCCTATTCCATGTGTTGTCTCTTCACTTTGTTGATTGTATACTTTGGTGTACAATCTTTTTAACTTGATATGATCACATTTGTTCATTTGTGCTTTGATTGCCTGTGCTTGTGGGATATTACTCAAGAATTTTTTGCCCAGACCAATGTCTTAGAGTGTTTCCCCAATGTTTTCTTTCTTTTTCTTTCTTTTTTCTCTTTCTTTCTTTCTTTCTTTCTTTCTTTCTTTCTTTCTTTCTTTCTTTCTTTCTTTCTTTCTTTCTCTTTCTTTCTCTTTCTTTCTCTCTTCCTTCCTTTCATCCTTTCTTTCTTTTTTAATTAATTAATTAATTAATTAATTTATTTATTTATTTAGACAGAGTCTCGCTCTGTCACCCAGGCTGGAGGGCTGGAGTGCAGTGGCATGACCTCGGTTCACTGCAACCTCTGCCTCCCGAGTTCAGAAATTCTCCTGCCTCAGCCTCCTGAATAGCTGGGATTACAGGTGCCCACCACCATGCCTGGCTAATTTTTGTATTTTCAGTAGAGACAGGGTTTCACCATGTTGGCCAGGCTGGTCTCGAACTCCTGACCTCAGGTGATCCACCTGCCTTGGCCTCCCAAAGTGCTGGGATTACAGGCATGAGCCACCGCACCCAGCCAGCTCCCCAATATTTTCTTGTAGTAGTTTCATAGTTTGAGATCTTAGATATAAGTCTTTAACCGATTTTCAAATATGGTGAATGATAGGCTTATAGTTTCATTCTTCTGCATATAGATATCCAGTTTTCCCGGCATCATTTTTAATATATTTTTTATATGGTAACTCTATTTTTTTCTTTATTCCTTCTTAAAAGGAAAAAAAACTGGGATATGTATGCAGAATGTGCAGGTTTGTTACAGAGGATACGTGTGCCATGGTGGTTTGCTGAACCTATTGACCTGTCCTCTAAGTTCCCTCCCCTCACTCCCTATGCCTCAACAGGCCCTGGTGTGTGTTGTTCCCCTCACTGTGTCCATGTCTTCTCAATGTTCAACTCCCACTTATGAGTGAGAACATGAGTTGTTTGGTTTTCTGTTTCTGTGTTAGTTTGCTGAGGATGATGTCTTCCAGCTTCATCCGTGTCCCTGCAAAGAACATATTCTCATTCCTTTTTATGTCTGCATAGTATTCCATGGTGTATATGTACCATGTTTTCTTTATCCAGTCTATCAGTGATGGGCATTTGGGTTGGTTCCATGTCTTTGCTATTGCAAATAGTGCTGCAATAAACATACGCCTAGCAGCATTAATTGAAGAGACTGTCTTTTCCTCAGTGTATGTTCTTGACCCCTTTGTCAAAAGTGAGTTCACTGTAAGCGTGGATTTATTTTGGGGTTCTTTATTCTATTCCAATGGTCTATATGTTCATTTATATGCCAGTATCATGGTGTCTGGGTTACTATAGCTCCATAGTATAATTTCAAGTCAGGAAATGTGATTCCTTCAGTTTTGCTTTTGTGCTTAGCATAGCTGTGGCTATTCTGAGTCCTTTTTCATTCCATAAAGTTTTGGAATTTTTTTTCTATTTCTGTGAAGAATGTCATATTTTGATAGGGACTGCACTGAATCTGTAGATTGCTTTGGGTGGTATGGACATTTTAGCAATGTTTATTCTTCCAATCCATGAACATGAAATATCTTTCCATTTCTTGTGTCCTCTTCAATTTATTTCATTAGTGTTTTATAGTTTTTATTGTAGAGATCTTTTACTTCTTTGGTCACGTTACTTGTTAGATATTTAATCTCATGTGGCTATTGTAAATAAGATTACTTTTTAATTCTTTTTCATATTGTTTACTGTTGGCATATAGAAATGCTACTGATCTTTCTATGTTAATTTTATATTTTTCAACATTGCTAAATTTATCAGTTCAAATAGTTTTTTTTTGGAGTCTTTAGGTTTTTTCAAATATAAGATTTCATAGTCTGCAAACAAGGATAATTTGACTTCTTCCATTTCAATTTGGATACTCTTTCATTCTTTCTTTCTCTTGCCTTATTGCTTTAGCTGGGACTTCCAGTACTATGTTGAATAACAGCAGTGACAGTGGTTATCCTTGTCGTGTTGCAGATCTTAAAGGAAAGACTTTCAATTTTTTTCCCTACTCAGTATGATACTATCTGTGGCTCTGACATGTATGGCTTTTATTATGTTGAGGTACATTCCTTCTATATCTATTTTTTAGGGTTTTTATGATGAAAGAAAGATGTATTTTATCAAATGCTTTTTCACCATTAATTGAAATAATCGTATGGTTTTTATCCTTCATTCTGTTGATATGATGTGTCGTATTGCTTGATTTGTGTATGTTGAACCATCCATGCATCCCAGGGACAAATTCCACTTGGTCATGATGAATGATCTTTCTAACGTGTTGTTGAATTTGGTTTGCTCATATTTTGTTGAGGATTTTTGCATCAATATTCTTCAGATATCTTGGCCTGGATTTTTTCTTTTTTTGATGTATATTTGTCTGGTTTTGGTATCAAGGTAATACTGACCTTGCAGAATGAGTTTGGAAGTATTACCTTTTCTATTTTTCAGATTAGTTTGGGTAGGAATGGTTTTAGTTCTTCTTTAAATATTTGGTAGAATTCAGCAGCAAAGCCATCAGGTCCTGGGCTTTTCTTTACTGGGAGACTTTTTATTGTGGCTTCAATTCACTTACTTGTTGTTGATCTGTTCAGGTTTTGGATTTCTTCCTGGTTCAATCTTGGTAGGCTGTATATGTTTAGTAATTTGTCTATTTCTTCTAGATTTTCCAATTTATTGGCAAATTGTTTCTCATAGTAGCTACTAATGATCCTTTGAATTTCTCCAGTGTTAGTTGTAATGTCTCCTTTTGCATTTATGATCTTATTTATTTGGATTTTCTCTCTTTTTTTGTCTTAGCCAGTCTGGTTAAATTTTTGTCAATTGTGTTTAACTTTTCAAAAAACAGCTTTTTGTTTCCTTAATCTTTTGTATTGTTTTCTTTACTTTAATGTCATTTATTTCTGCTGTCATCTTTATTATTTATTTTCTTCTACTAATTTTGGATTTGGTTTGTTCTTGCTTTCCTAGTTCTTTAAGATGCATTGTTAGATTTTTATTGGAAGTTTCTCCTCTTTTTTAATGTAGGCACTTATAGCTATAAACTTCATTCTTAGTACTGCTTTTGTTGTAGCCCACTAGTTTTGGTGTGTTATGTTTTCATTATAATTTATTTCAAGAAATTTTTCAGTTTCCTTCTTAATATCTTCATTGGCCCACTAGTCATTCAGAAGTATATTGTCTAATTTCCATTCAGGGTAGTGGGCTCCCTTCTGGCCCAAGGCAAGTCCAGAAATGCCACCCAAGAGTCAAGTCCTAGAATCGGTTACCTCAAAGACCTGCTTGGTGCTCTACCCACTGTGATGGACCTAGTACTTGAAGCCAGCAAGTCTTAGAGGGGCACCCAAGACCCCTGGTGTAGAACCTGGATACTGCTGCTTTTAATTCAAGGCCCAAGGGCTCTTCAGTTAGCAGGTGATGGATATTGCCAAGACTGTGTCCTTCCCTTCAAGGTGGTAGGTTTTCTTCTGGCCCAGGATGTATCTAGAAATGTCATCTTGGAGCTAGGGCTTAGAACAGGAGCCTCACAGCTCTGGCTGGTGTCCTATTCTGCTGTGGCTAATCTGGTACCCAAAATACTAGAAAAAGTCCTCCCCACTCTTCCTTCTCCTCTTCTAAAGCAGAAGAATGGGGTCTCTTTGGAGCCACAAGTTGTGCAGCTAGGGTTAGGGGAGGGGTGACATCAGAATGCCCTTACTTGCCCTAGCTAGTGTCTCAGTAGGTCCTGTGCCCCCACCCCCCACCCCCAGTCCACTGTCTCTGGGCCCAGTTTAGACCTAGGACTCACCTAAAAGTTGCAGTCTTTGTGACCTGTACTGCCTTTTAAGTTTACTTAGAGACCCAGAGCCCTTTCACCCTTGGTGGCAAGGTTTGTGGTAACTCAAGTTTGGACCCCTGGGATCAGCAATTCCCCTCTAGCTAAGGTTGATTTAAATGTGCCCTCCAGGGGAGGGCGTCAGCTGAATTTGATCCAGTTTTTCTTTCTGCTCCAATATTAATAGGATAGCACTGAGTTCAATGCCTCACATTTCTGTGCTCTCCCTCCCCCAGCACCCAGAGACACTCCGGGCACCACCCTCAATTGCCAGGGGTTGTGGTAGAGTGGTGTCAGCGATTCAAGGGTGTTTTTTCTACCTCTTTAGTGCCTTTTTCAGTGATAAAAAGTTAAAAGCAGATATTGCTTTCAATTTGATGTTTGATTCTTATGAAGGTGTTTTGCTTATTTGGATAACTGTTAAATTGGTGTCCTTTTAGGTGGGACAATGGGTGGAGCCTTCTGTTCCACTATCTTTACTCCATCTCTCCACGTTTGAGCATAGTCTTGATCAAATTATGCTGAGGAATGCTGTTGTGCAGTTTTCTTTTTTCTTTTAAAATATTATTTATCGATTAAATATTAGGAAACTGAAGTAGCCTCCAATATAATCTTAGATGTGTTTTTAAAAATATAATTATCTGTTATATTTAAAAAAACTTGGATTTCTATAGAGAGATGCATGCAGTCAATTCTTATTATTTGTGGTCTTTATGTGCTGTAAAGGTGCCATGGACACTGAATTAGTGGATACTAAGCCATTACTCCCAGAAGAATTATAGAGACACGTTACTGTGAGCCTCTGTTCACAATATTTTCATCAATCAATCTATAAATAACCTTGTTTTATGTTTGTTTCTGTTTAAAGACACCTTCTTCAATATGGATTGTGATTCATTAACATTGAACTCAGATTCAATGATTACTACATCTCACGCTTGAACAAAGAATATCTAACACACATATTTTCTCCAGAAGGCACATCAAAACTTCTTGTGCTTAAGAACACTAGACAGCAGTTCAGCACTATACTAGGGGACCATTTAAACAGTGAATTCACCAAGAAAAAACTCAATCAGGTGAAAAATGTAGCTCTAAATATGCTGTGAAAAAGGACATGTTTTTATTAGAAGAGATAAAACAGGAAAGCAAAGCGTCACCTTTTTCTACCACAGTTGGGAACTTGAAGTTGGGCCACCCAAACTTTTCACCGCGTTGAGCATGCACATCTATGAATGACTGTGAAAGTGCTGCAATTATTTATTTTCAAGTTACAAATAAATTTTAGGGAGTAGACAAATTCGCACATACAGAGTTTATGAATGAGGATCGACCATATATGTGGTCAGTTTGCCCTGTAAACTGTAGATCCTCAAGCAATAGAAAATTAGTTTTATCCCAAGGCAGGCAGATCATGAGATCAGGAGACTGAGACCATCCTGGCTAACATGGTGAAACCCCATCTCCACTAAAAATACAAAAAATTAGCCGGGCGTGGTTGCAGGCATCTGTAGTCCCAGCTACTTGGGAGGCTGAGGCAGGAGAATAGCATACCCTGGGAGGCATAGCTTGCAGTGAGCCGAGATCGCGCCACTGCACTCCAGCCTGGGTGACAGAGTGAGACTCCGTCTCAAAAACAAAAACAAAAAAAAGAAAGAAAAAAGAAAATTAGTTTTTACCTAAATAACTTTAAAATATATTTTTCTTTATAGCAGCATGATTTATAGTCCTTTGGGTATATACCCAGTAATGGGATGGCTGGGTCAAATGGTATTTCCAGTTCTAGATCCCTGAGGAATCGCCACACTGACTTCCACAATGGTTGAACTAGTTTACAGTCCCACCAACAGTGTAAAAGTGTTCCTATTTCTCCACATCCTCTCCAGCACCTGTTGTTTCCTGACTTTTTAATGATTGCCATTCTAACTGGTGTGAGATGGTATCTCATTGTGGTTTTGATTTGCATTTCTCTGATGGCCAGTGATGATGAGCATTTTTTCATGTGTTTTTTGGCTGCATAAATGTCTTCTTTTGAGAAGTGTCTGTTGTGGGGTGGGGGGAGGGGGGAGGGATAGCATTGGGAGATATACCTAATGCTAGATGACGAGTTAGTGGGTGCAGCGCACCAGCATGGCACATGTATACATATGTAACTAACCTGCACAATGTGCACATGTACCCTAAAACTTAACAGTATAATAAGAAAAAAAAATATATATATATTTTTCTTTATTATCTTAACCTGAGGTCTTTAAACAGAATAGAACATTGTGATTACCTAGAGAACAAAAACAAGCAAACATTTCAAACAAAAAAATAATGATGTCAGGACATATCTTTGAACAATTGAACTAGAACAATGTGGCTTTGGGCCAGGAATTATTAGCTGTAAATGCAATTTTGTTACTTACAATATTGGTTTAGAACAAATATTGTCATTCAGGGATGTTGGGCGGGTGTACTCATTGAGCAAACATCTAACTATGCAAGTACACATTGCAATTAGTAAAGTAGATATAAGCCCAGCACTGTAGTCAAAGAATATCACCCTGTCCATATCTATTGTATACTGAAAATAAAAAGTATAATTCCCTTGGGGAACATTTGTCTTCCATGCACTTGCTTTGTTCTATCCCAGTTTATGAAGCAGAGTTTGAAGAATATGCATGATGCAATGAATTATGCCTGGAATAACCAATGTCCTCCCAATCGAGTGCACTCTTACAGTCTTAGACATTATAGTCACTTTAGCTTGGAGATTGTTATGATTAGACTTGTTCTAGAATGTTCTACTCTTGTCTATTTACCAGGATTCAGTACTGAATACGTTTGCCTTTCTTGCCAAGGTTCCTGGACCAGCCTGCATTGTATGATTTTCCCTTCTTGAAACAGAAAATAATACTGACATCAGAATAGAGGTGCAGAAAGGGAAGAGTGGAATAATAAAAACTTTGCTGTTGACTTCACATTTTTGTCTTTAAAGTTGTGGGACACATATATATTGTAAAGTTGTATTTGGTTCTGTGACCTATAATTTGGAAGTAACTCAACTCCTGAAAAATACATGCAAAAAATGACAATAATTTCTTCTTTTTTTTATTCTTTGTAATGTCAATCCCATTACCTCACAAGGTAAGGAAACTTTTGCTCTGATCCTTGGTGAGGCTCCATGTTGGATGATTAATATGTTTTCTTTTTATAAAGCCAAGCAAATGTATTTTCTTTGTACAGTCTTCAATGGATTTGGGAATAGTCCCACGAGAAAACTTGCATTAACATCCAAGCTGTTGTAATTCTTGTGTGACTTTGAACTTAACCTCAATGAACCTAAGTTTTTCTATCAGCAAAAATAGTGACAATAATACTACCTCTCCTAAGCAATTCCTGAGAAATAATCTATGAAAAGCAGTTAGCACTACTTGTGATAGCTAGTAGGTGTTTAAAAAGTATTAGTTAGCATAGTTATTATTAGCTTTTTATATTATATTGTTTTCTGGATTAAAAATTATGTATTTCAACAGTGAAGACAGTATTCTAAATGTCCTTCATCTGGTAATCTTCTGGCTAAAGAGCATTTTTTGTGTGAGAGACCTTGCTCATCTATGGAGGCAGAGACCGTTTTAATTTTTTTCTTTTGCTTTATCCTTAATATCTGACACATCTGTAGGCACCCATATTGTGAATGGCCAGGTAAGGTAATGACTGGATCAATATATAAATCGATATAAATCAATTGAATTGAATATAAATCAATTTATAGAGGTTTAATAGAAAAGTATAAATATTTAGCAGAATTTCAATTTAGTTCTGCTAAATATTTATACTTTCCTGTTAAACTCCGTTTTTTCTAATGAATTCCAGCACCTCTTCTTCAGGTGATACTTAGAAGTGCCCCATCTACCCCATCAAGTCTGTTGGCTACTTCAAATTCATGCATTTTACTTCTTCAGGGGCCTCTTTCCTAAGAAAACATGTTAAATGAAGATTCATCAGCTTCAAAATATAGACAAGATGTATTTAAGTAATGGAGGGAAAGGCTTGATGGCTCTCCAATCTAAAGTGTGTCCAATATATGTATTTTTAAATTATGGGATAATAAAATATTAAGAAGAAATTCCATGTAATTTTCATAGTTATATATCAGCCTCTCACACCATAGGGTGAATTGATTCATTTTTCATTTACGTTCATGTTCTGATTAAATAATTGAACATGCCCTACTCTGAAACACCAGAACAACTCTGGAATACAGCTGAAGGTGCCAACCTTCATTCGACTCTTGTTCAACCCATATCTCTTGGTAGTCCCCTGATAATCATGTTCCTTTCACATCAGTTTCTTCAGGCAACAGAGTATTTCCCTACATGGGTATCACTCCTACTTTATTGGTAAAGCTATAGGAGAGGAAGGAAAAGAGAAAGAAAAACACAGAGCAAAATATCAACAACCCACATTTATTGAATCAACATTTCTGTAGAGGGAATCATAAATAAATTATAATGCTTTCTCCACATAATTCTGATGATCAGTTATAATCATGAAGCTTTCTTTGGGAGCCTTCTAAAATGTATCCATTCAAGGCCTCCAACACTTCCTGAAAATTCAGATTCTGGGGTACATCTGATAACTACACTGAGGAATTGAGAGATTTCATGAGAAAAATACTGCAAAGGAGTACAAGAACTCTCAGTGTTTAGTAAACATCATCAAGGCTTCTAGACCAGCTCAGTTCAACAGAAATATAATGTGAGCCACCAAAGCGAGTAACCTATAATTTAAAAATTTCTAGTAGCCACTTTAAAAAAAAGTAACAAGTAACAGGTGAAATAAATTTTAGTAATATATTTAACCCAATATATCCAGAGTATTATGTTTTCATATTAAAGTATAATTTTTACATAATCTTTTTCATATTTAATCTTTGAAATTTCATGTGTATTTTACACTTACTGCTGATCTCAATTCAGACTAGATCTTAAGTATTCAGGAGCAACATGTGGCTTGTTTGCTGTATCGGAAAGCACGGCTCTAGAGACAGGTAAATGATTAGAAGTAAAGCCTAATAAGCACAGTATAGAACACAGCATTATTTAAATTTTCACTATGCACCTCAATCCTCTATCCTCAACATTTGAATTGTTTTAGGAAAATATTCTACAGAAAAGTAAAACTCAAAACCAAACATGCTTGAGTAAATTAGAATTTGAGAATGTTCAGACAGTCCCATTGCTCTTCGTCAAGCGTCCTCTCTCTCACAATCCCTGTATCGTAGCCACAGGTGTTGGATGTAGCCCAAGTTGAGAATCCCAGCTGTTTCACAGGGGCTCTGGCAAGTTGACAGCTGCTTTATTACCAGAGCTTGAAATTGAGGCCAATAAACTTAGCACACAGGGACCTGAAGTCCGGTTTGCGGAGACAAGGCCACCATCATGTGGAACGTGACGGAACTGCAGTAAGATTCACGTTCCCATTGCATGGAGAAGACTCAAATGACCTAAGTCATCAGTGCATCCCCACTGGGACAACACTTCAAGAATGCCTAATTAACATACCTAAGAAACGTGCAAAACCTTGGAGATCCAGAGAAGGTTCAGAGAAGGCCAATTCCTATTTCAAAAGAAACAAAAGACAGACTGAAATAGCTAAATCATGCAAGGTCAAAATCAATAAAAATCATAAAATGTAAAATGAGGACTTACACACATCCACCTGCTGAAACCAAGGCTCACTGAATAAGAGTTCAAATATAATATTGGGTTAAATCTACGATTTTGATTGGAAAACTTTTAAAAAATCCTTATTGTAAGAGGAGATAGATTTTAAAATAAAGTACTATAGGATGATGAGTTTATCTTTTTGAAGAATAGGCCAGTATAGTAAATTATTAGGAAGGTTTGAAATGACAAGATGTATTTTGAATGGCATATTGCTTTGGCAATATTAAGGAATTTAGACTGTTTCTATGCCAGTTCTATATAGTCTGTCTTCTGGTTTCATAACACCCTTACATTGTACATGTGTAAGACAATGAGAAAGTTTCAAAATATTCAAACATATAAAAGATAGGCACATATTATTGTGAAGTTGATAAAATGGTCAGGGTTTGTCTGTTGATGAAAATGAAAGACCATCATGTAATACTAAAAAACATGGTACCTGCCAGGTGCGGTGGCTCATGCCTGTAATCCCAGCACTTTGGGAGGCCGAGGCGGGCGAATCACGAGGTCAGGAGATTGAGACCATCCTGGCTAACACAGTGAAACTCTGTCTCTACTAAAAATACAAAAAAATTAGCCGGGCGTGGTGGCAGGCACCTGTAGTCCCAGCAACTCGGGAGGCTGAGGCAGGAGAATGGTGTGAACCTGGGAGGTGGAGCTTGCAGTGAGCCAAGATCGTGCCTCTGCACTCCAGCCTGGGCGACAGAGCGAGACTCCGTCTCAAAACAACAACAACAACAACAACAAAAACAAACAAACAAAAAAAGTGGAACCACAGAGAATATTAGCGTGTTTTCACTGTATCTTCCACTGAAAGACCTGTGTTTTCCTTTCCCAGAAACAAGATCCCCAAACACACGATATTTGCTCCCTGAAAACTTCAGAGTGTATTACTAACCCTATGTTTTCTGAGCCTGTAGAAAAGATGATGTGAGCAGGAGCCAATATGGGTTTATTAATTAAGAATATGTAAGAACAAATTATTCTGTTTTGAAAAGGTTGACATGTAGGGTATGATAATTTCTACACAGCATTTAACTAAAGGTTACTCTTGTTTCTTGGTTAATAATATGGCGAAGTATTGTCTGGATCACCGTCCTACAAATTTGAGCAATTTTTCCAGACAAGTTTAGTTCTTTTTGTACTCAGGGCCATTTCTAATAGAATATTTGTAACCTCTCTGATTTATCTTGTCCTTTTAATATTATAGCAATGACATGACTTAATGCTTAGAAAACATGGTTATCAAATTTGCAGATGACATAAAATTCAGAGACTAGCTAATATGATAGATGTCACAATCAAATTTTAAAATGATTGTGCAGGCTTAATACAAAATGATGACATTTAACAAAGATAAATGATCTTGCATTTTAGTTAAAACAATAAATTTTATAACTAGATTGGGAAGATCTTTCTTTGAAGAAATTTATATAAAAATGATCTGAAACTTTTGTTTATCACAAAATACAAGTTTGGTAACACCCACACAATTTTAGTTTACTAAGATAGACTTCTGGGGTCCAAACCAAATTTGGTGATAATCCCCCTGAACTCCGTCTTTAACTGACAACATTTTGTTAATTTCAGGGCCACATTTTGAGAAAGAAACTGACAAATTAAATGGTATATGGAGAAAGAATTTTGAGATTTATAGTGCTGTAGAAGCCACTTATAAAAAGATGCTTTTAAAGAAAATGTAGTTATTTTCAGGACAGCATAGTGTTTATGTTCATAAATTATGAAATAAAAGAGATCTGAGTTTAAGTCCCAGAATAGCCATTAACCTTGGCAATCTGACCTTGGGTAAGGTGTTTAATGTTTTTCAGCCTCAGTTTCTGCATCTGTAAATTGTTTATAATAATGATGACAAAGAGGATATATGCTAGCAGAAGTTAGATTTTTTTTTTTTTTTTTTTGAGACGGAGTCTCGCTCTGTCGCCCAGGCTGGAGTGCAGTGGCGGGATCTCGGCTCACTGCAAGCTCCGCCTCCCGGGTTCACGCCATTCTCCTGCCTCAGCCTCCCAAGTAGCTGGGACTACAGGCGCCCGCCACTACGCCCGGCTAATTTTTTTGTATTTTTAGTAGAGACGGGGTTTCACCGTTTTAGCCGGGATGGTCTCGATCTCTTGACCTCGTGATCCGCCCGCCTCGGCCTCCCAAAGTGCTGGGATTACAGGCGTGAGCCACCGCGCCCGGCCAGAAGTTAGATTTTAAAGAGACACTGCAAAGTAGATATATTCCGTTTAGCTTTGTGTGATAAAACCACTGGAGGAAAGGGAATTTTGTTTAGTATATTGTAATAATTTGAATTACCCAATTGAGTAGTTGAGTTAATCTATTAAATCACCCAAATTATCTGTATAGGTAATGAGCTCTTGGCCACTTGAATAGCCACTGAAGCTATTCAAAGGTGTCTCAGTTAAGAGCTTGCAGGGGATTTCTGCTGTTAGTTGGAGGTTTGAGGATATATATGACAATATTTATGACCAGTAATTTCAATGAGGAAGTTGCACAACCAAGAGACAAGCAGGTGACCCGCCTCTGAGTCTCTGAGTCTAATGAAAATAGACACACACCTTCAAACAATTACATTACCATGTGTTAAGGAATAAGCATGGAGCACTAAAACAGAACAAAGGAAGAGCACCTGCGATATCCACAGTTTACCTGTCTGATAGGATTTCTTTAGCTCCATTGCTCATTTTTGTTCTTATTTGGAATGTCACCCTTTAGAATGAAAACAACAGAAAACC
The DNA here is from genome assembly GCF_000001405.40 of Homo sapiens. Classification (NCBI taxonomy): domain Eukaryota; kingdom Metazoa; phylum Chordata; class Mammalia; order Primates; family Hominidae; genus Homo; species Homo sapiens. Next base: position 137,166,322 of record NC_000007.14, on the reverse strand, counting down.
TTCAAAGTATTTATTGTCCTGCAACACATTCTCTTCTCCCAAATCTTATTCTGGCATTCCGTACATTTCTTTCTCCCACAAACCCTTCCTGGGCTCTTCCTCTTTAAGTCTCCCCACCTCATATTCATAAAGAAGTAGAAGGAAAAACAAAAATGCAAAAACTAACCTACATCCTGTTTTCTCTCAAGGCCTTCATTTTTTCTTAATAGACCAAATGTCATTGTTTGCTTAGGAGTAGGAAACAGCCATTTTGGGCCTATAATGGAGATCTAAAATCTCTTTTGCCAACAGCTTTTTCTAGTTATGTGACGTTAATATAGTTTTATTTTCCCCGCTGATTTCTGAGCTTACATTTTGACTGGACTTGAATGTTCTACAGCTGCTTTGCTTCTTTGGAAAAAACACAACCAGTTTTCTAGCTTTATTCCCAGGTTGTATGGGTATCCAGTCCTATCCTGTCTCTCGGACTGCTACTCCTCTAGGTGTTCAGTCATAGGGGCCACACCATAACATTCCATTTTGGAAGGGACAGAGGGAAATTATCTGTTTCTCTTAACGTAACCATTTAATTTATTGTTTTGGGGGGATATTTGTGAAGAGGGTGACTTGGCTGCTGATATCTCTCTCTGTAAAAAACATATTTCTAGCATTTGAGAGCACTCTGCATTTGCATGCAAAACAAGAGAAGCTCACCTCTTTGTACAGCCAAGTGGGATTGCTACAGACTTAGGATGCTGCTGCTTAAAACGGATTTTTACCTAAGCCGTATCATATCTTGTTTTTCCACTTCTTCCTTTGACTGCTGAATCCATTCCACATTCAGTGTACAGATTGACTTGGTAATAAAGATAGATAATCAATCACTAAGCTGGCAGAAAGACAAGGAAGGCATCCCGGCAGAGCCATCTGATCCCTGAGGAGAGAAGGATGTATGGAAGTTGGTGGCTGGCCAGAAGGAAACATTCCCTTGAGCATGAAACAGGGACATTTTTCTCTTTGTACAGTTCATATTATCAGTTTACATTTGAATCCTTGAAGTATTACAAGAGTTCCTGAGCAGTAATTTACCTTCCAGATGTTTTGGTTATTTTTTTTTCAATCTTGGTTTAATTTCTAGGTTTATTTTCTAAGTTATCAAAGCTTATTGCATGATAATGTCTGCATTTTGCAATTTATCAAAGCTTTTTTTATTTTTTGAGCAAAAGAGGTGTGATTTTTTTTGTATGATCAGTCTTTGCCAACATACCAAGGACTCGTAAATAAATGTTCCTTAATTTTCATTACTTAATATGACTAAAGGAGATGGGTAGTGTGAAGAGGAACTGGATAATTTTAAGCCGTGGCTAACACAAAAACCATAGCCAAATTGAATGATTCTGTAGGTGCACTAACCAGTTTACAGAATAATGTAACTAAAACAGCATAAACCTGGGGAAGACATCCTACAGCCCTTTTAGTTTCTCAATTCTCTTTGTTTCTCTAGTAAATTTTCTGTTAATTCATCTCGGGTTTGCGAATACACAGTTTTACTGCATTCAAATGGTATTGAGTTTGCTTTGTTGTTTCCTGACACTATAGCAGTAGTGCAAGTAAAATCAGATTTTGTTGTTTTGAACATAGCTAGATTTTATATTTTTAACATTTTCTTTTTCTTTTCTTTTCTTTCTTTTTCCATCATCCAAAGTCTTTAATAAGAGGATAGGATCTATAGTTTTTGTAGCCTCGGCTGGCCAGTCGGCCTCTGGTGCGCTCGAACTTCCGGCCCTTGGAGCGGATGTATGGTTTGGTGTGGCTGTACGGGGTTCCCGGTGCCTTGCCAAAATGCCGGTACACCTCTCAGCCCTTGCGAGGACCAGAGAGCAGGACGGTGCCACAGCCTTTCGGGGCATCAGGGGCCAGCTGGTCAAAAGTGAGGATCTTGCCCCCGGCCCCGAGGATGCCGCTGCGGGCCTGGCTGGTCATGCGCAGTGCACACACCTTCAGTTTGGGCACCTCCTGAACCCGTACGTCATCCGTTATGGTCCCCACAGCCACAGCCTTTCTGTTTTCCCGGTCAGGAAGCTTTATGTTCTGGATCATCCAGGAGAGGGACAGAGGTGGTCGGTTGGTGCGACTCATAAACAACCTCTTCAGCACAACCTGGTTGAATGTGGAGTTGTTCCGTCTGACCAGAAACCTGTACAGTTTGACCAACAGCCTCAGGTAGACCAATATCCTGGCTTTTGGGCTCCTTGCGCTGAACCTATCAGTCCTTGTTGTGGTGGATGTCAACTCCCATGATGGCGCCTTCTGTTTTGTGTGTTATTATTTTTTCCCTTGAGCACGGATAGGAGTTTCTCTTTTGCCCTGTAACTAAAAGAAAAAAGTTACATAGATTAAAGTGTGGCTTTCTTTTCACTGAGTTAATCTGGCATGTGATGATCCCACCTCATTTTTACATTTTTTTAATGTTTTATTTTTAATTATTATGTGTACATAGTAGGTATATATATTTACGTGGTACATGTGATGTTTTGATATAGGCATACAGTGTGTAAAAATCACTTCAGGGCAATTGGGGCAACCATCGCCTCAAGTATTTATCATTTCTTTGTGATAGGAACATTAGAGTTCTACTCTTTTAGGTATTTATAAATATGTAGTAAATTACTGTTGACTGTAGTCACTCAATTGTGCTACCAAATACTATCTAACTATATTTTTGCACCCAGTAATCATCCCCACTCCCCGAGTCCTTTCCCTCTACTACCCTTCCCAGCCTTTGGTAACTATCATTCTACTCTCTATCTCCAGGAGTTCAATTGTTTTAATTTTTAGCTCCCACAAATAAGTGAGAACATGTGAAGTCTGTGTTTCTGTGCCTGGCTTTTTTTTCACTTCACACAATATCCTCTAGCCTCATCCATGTTGTTGCAAATAACAGGATTTTATTCTTTTTATTGCTGAACAATAGTCCATTGTGGATAAATACTACATTTTGTTTATCCATTCATCTGTGGATGGACACTTAAGTTGATTCCAAATCTTGGCTATAGTGAAGAGTGCTGCAATGAACATGAGAGTGCAGTTATCTCTTCAATATATTGATTTTATTTTTGGGGGATATATACCTAGAAGTGAGAATCCTGGATCACATGATAGTTCTATTTTTAGTTGTTTTGAGGAACCTCTATAGTGTTCTCCACACAGAACATTTATGTTTTTCTTTTCTTTTCTTTTTTTTTTGAAACGGAGTTTCACTCTTTCACCCAGGCTGGAGTGCAGTGGTGTGATCTTGGCGCACTGCAACCTCTGCCCCCTGGGGTTCAAGCGATTCTCCTGCCTCAGCCTCCAGAGTAGCTGCCCGCTGCCACACCCTGCTAATTTTTGTATTTTTAGTAGAGATGGGGTTTCACCATGTTGGCCAGGCTGGTCTCAAACTCCTGACCTCAGGTGATCTACCCACCTCTGCCTCCCAAAGTGCTAGGATTACAGGCGTGAGCCACCACACCCAGCCACATTTATATTTTTCTAATTGTTTGTTTGATTTTTAGCTAAGGAAATAGCAATTGTGTTTTTTTGTTATTGTTTTAGATTCCATTCTTTTTTGCATATTGAGGAACAACTGTTATCCTTAGTTTGCATCTTTCTTATTTCTTCTCATTATCTATTGTGTTCTTCATTGTTTTCTCTTTCCCTCTGGCTTATGGGAAACTTGTCAAGTTTGACCAGTATGTCACCAACTCAATATTCTACAACGCCAATTCTGCTTCTTATTGCTGCCAAAGAAGATTGATATTTGTCTTTTCAGCTGTGTTTTCAATTTCTGTGAAATTATTTCTTATCCCACCCGTCTCTCATCCATTGTACCTTGTTATATCCTTGAACTAGCCTTTGCTCTCTTTTTGGTTTTCTTACTTGTTTCATAAAAGTATTTTTATTTAATTTCATAGAAGTAGACTGCTTTGTAGTTGTGTGTGCGTGTGTTTCAGGATGCACCTAAATTTGTAGAGGTTACTCTTTCTATAAAATTCTTTAAGTTGAAATCAATTTTTAAAAACCTCAATATTTTTATAGACTCCATGCAATAGTAGATATTTAAATTTTCCATTCCTTCATCTAGAAATAAGAGTTATTAGGCCGGGCGTGGTGGCTCACGCCCATAATCCCAGTACTTTGGGAGGCCGAGACGGGGGGATCACGAGGTCAGGAGATCGAGACCATCCTGGCTAACACCGTGAAACCCCGTCTCTACTAAAAATACAAAAAATTAGCCGGGTGTGTTGGCGGGCACCTGTAGTCCCAGCTACTTGGGAGGCTGAGGCAGGAGAATGGCGTGAACCCGGGAGGCGGAGCTTGCAGTGAGCACAGATCGCGCCACTGCACTCAAGCCTGGGTGACAGGGTGACAGAGCGAGACTCCGTCTCAAAAAAAAAAAAAAAAAAAAATAAGAGTTATTTTCCAGACACATTTTTTTCCAGGTACAAAATGCCTTCTCTATCCTATCTCCAAAAGGGATTTTTTTTTTTTTTTTTTTTTTTTTTTGCTTCATAGTTGGAAGCCTGAAGTTTCAAACTCTGTTCCAAGTGCCTAGCGGAATTTTATAATAATAATAGCTAACATATACATAGCGTTCACCATATTCTAGGCATTGTTCCAAGACTTTACATATTTTCATTCATTTGATCCTCCCAAAAGCCCTATTAGGTAGATGCTAATATTTTCCCTATTTTACAGATAAGAAAATTTAGGAATAAGGAGTCCAAGTAACCTTTGGATACCACATGGCTGATAAGTGGGAGAGCCAGGATCATAACCCAGGATGTTTTAGCCTTAGACTCTACCTCCTTATCTTACTGCCTCCTTAGACTCTACCTCCTTATCTTAGACTTTACCTCCTTATCTTACTACCTTAGACTCTACCTCCTTATCTTAGACTCTACCTCCTTATCTTACTACCTCCTTACTATCTTACTATAACTTCTCTACTGTAGCTTATGTTCGTGTGTGTGTGTGTGTGTGTGTGTGTGTTTGTTTTCCATATTGAAGGTTCATAACCTTTTTGGATCTCAGTTATCTCAATGAAAAAACAAACGAAGTACTCACTAATGTGCATTCAAAATTTTGCATACAGTCTTATATGATCTTGTATACTATAGATCTCTGGTTCCCCTGGGTTTTGATTCTCTGCTCTAATGGATCAAGTGCACTCTGAACACCCCAATGCCAGGGCTGTTCCTGATGCTCTTGAAGATTCCTCAAAATATGTCATCCATATTCCCCTTACATCCAGATTAATTGTTTTCTGGAAATTGTATCCCACTAGCTGAAAGAGAGATCTTGGCCAGATAAGAAGAGGAATGACAGTCAAATAACCTGGAAACAAAGTACTCATGAGATAAGGAAATTTTTGACTCACTTTCTGGGGATTATTGATTCAAGGGGGTAAACAAGGTGACAGCGTATTAACGTTCTCTCAGATTACTCAGAAAATCTTGTATTCTTTCTAGTAATTTTGTGGCAGTTTGTAACAAGTCATATGTTTCATTAATTACAAGAACAGTGGGAAAAATCTGTGGTTTCAGTTTTACTGTGTTGTGAATGTGTACACTGTTTCTCATGATCTCATAAACATATTAGTAGAAATGAAGGCAATCACTGCTCACAAGGAAGAATCCAGGTTTCAAGGGGCCTAGAGCTTTTGCAATCTTAAGGATCATTTTAGGTTCGAATACTAAATTATGAGTATCAATTAGGTATAAAAGTGAATATTTATTTAGAAAGAGAAAGGAATCACAGCAATTAAGCATTAAAAAGCTGACAACGGTTGATTAAATAATCATGATTTTTCATTATGGAGGTTGAGGTCAGCCTTCTGCTTGTCAGTTTTTGACGTTTCTGGTTAAGCGAGTCATGCAACATCTATGTTTACTGCTCATTCATCTTGCAAGTAGAAACATTGTGTATAGACATTTGTATATGTACCATATATCAGCTAGGCACTCACAGGGTATAAATGTTATAATGCAAGTTATATTTTTTCTTTTTACACTGAGCAAAGAACCATATGTAGCAATAAAGCCATTTGTTCAATAGAACTATATGATCATAAAATTTTAGAGCAAAGATGGATATAGTAGAGTGGATATGACTATATCAGTGACGTTTTTGATTTCAGTATGAGTGAAAGAATGTTAAACACTGTCATCAAAAGTGGATTGTTTAGTATTACAACTAGACTAAGTTAGATATCAAGTAATCCAGATACAAGTTTATTGCTATAAGATGAACTTTTTAGTTTTTTTATGTTTAGTTTTGAAAGTAATTTTAACATTTGCATTATGATGAGAATTTTTGCTTATTCAAAGCTATGACCTTACTTGATTTATATTTTAAAATATACTATTTACCATCAAAATATTTGAAGATGTTATTTCTTTTAATTATAAATAATAGAACTAAATATGAAAATTTCAAGATAAAACTTTAAAAGACAGATGTTTTACGGAGCACAAACGTATTTCTGATTTGTAGAACTAGTGACTTTTACAGCTGTCCTTCAGCCTTTTTCCATTTAAAAGTTGTCAGGCAAACAAGTTTAAATTGTAAAAAAAATGTAATAAAAGACAGGCAAACCTCAAGCCTTTATTTTGGCTTTGTTTCTGTATATTCTTCCATATTAATACTTTCTTACGTCTATTCTCTATAAAATAAATGAAAAATCTGGTGTATGGACAAAACAGAAGTCAAGCATCCAATATTACAAGAAAATTCAGCTCCATCCTTCTTCTATCAGTTAAATTTCTTCTTGTCCCCATTTTCAAAGCACTGACAGTAAGTACAGGACAAAGAGCTATGGTAGTTCAGACATTTTAGAAAAAGTTCTTGTTATTTCACTATCTTTTCCCATTAAAGCTACTGTAATTCTCAGCTATTCTACAGCTAAACAACAGAAGGCAGTGGTGGTTTAAAGCAGTTTTAGAAGATTTAGTAGCAATTGGTGTTTAGCAATTGGTCTCACACTGGTCTTTGAAATGCCAAAAGTAAAGCTCCAAGAAAATAAATAATTCCTTCTGTTTTTTAACTGAATAAATATTTATTATGAATCTTAGTGATGTTGTGGGAGATTCAAAAGAAATATTACAGGTGTTTAGAGGCTCGTTAGAAAAAAAGACACATAGGAAACCAAAGTTAACAATTCAAGATTTCAGTCGGGTGCAGTAGCTTACTCCTTTAATTCCAGTACTTTGGGAGGCCAAGGCAAGTGGATCGCTTGAGTTCAGGAGTTCAAGACCAGCCTGGTCAACATAGTGAAATCCTGTCTCTACTAAAAATACAAAAAGTAGTCAGGCATGGTGGTGCATGCCTGTAGTATCAGCTACTGGGGAGGCTGAGGCAGGAGAATCACTTGAGCCCAGGAGGTGGAGGTTGTAATAAGCCGAGATTGCACCACTGCAATCCAGCCTGGGCAACAGAGGGAGACTCCGTCTAAAAAAAAAAAAAAAATCCAAGATTTCATTCATCAAATGTGTATTTCATGAAGGACACTGTACTAGGTTGGGAATGCAATGATGGAAAAAGACAAATTGCCAGCCCTTGAGTCTCATGGTCTGATGGAGATTAATAAAGACCTTGACCTCAAGGTGGGGCTGATTGTGAGAAGGGATGGGTCAAGAGCTCTATTCACATTTGGTTACTAGGGAGTGAAAATGGGTGTGCACCAGGAGTGATAAGAATGAGGTCTTCAAAGCAGGAATTTCTGCTGAGACTTTGAAAGGTCTAAGTGACATGTTTGGTATAGCTTGATGATGGAAATTTCAATGCCAGAATAGAGTCTGGATTTGAGCTGAAAATAAGGACCTTTTCCAGTTTTGAGTAGAGGAAAATAACATTAAGATATTGAGGACATACATTTTGATACTCCAAAATCCATTAAAACACATTAGGTGAATATGGAAAGTCATGTCATCAATAACATTCTTTTTCAAAGTTTCTTTTGATAGGAGAATTACACTTACCAAAGGGAAAAGGCTTAAAAGCTTACAAAATAGAATTCACGACTTTAAGGTCAATAATTCTACATTCGGCAGTCAACTAAAATTTGAGACAGTACTGTCATATGCCAGGCACTTGCCAGTACACAACAGTAAACAAAATAAAGGAGGGGTCTTCTCTCATAGAGTTCAGGAGTCTAGTAAAGTTAGCCACTATTTGTGTGCTATGCTAAGCAACTGATAATGCATTTTAATTACCATTGAGGGTAAAGCACCATTATTTCTGTTTTACACAAGAGGTTAAGAAGCTTGCCTATGGTCTTACAGCTAGAGACAAAGGTAGAGATTTTCAATATTTTAGTATGCTGTCTACAGCAGAGCTGTGGCTTCAGAAATTTACTAGTACACATTTAATTCCCTTTAACTGGGTTATTTTTAAAGGCTATTTAAAAGCAGAAAATTGTTAACCATGGCTTCTCTTCCAGCAGTGGCATGGGAAGGGGCAGCAGGGTTTATGGAGGAGTGTTTGAATATATTACATATACATATATACACACGCATATATATGTACATATATGAATAAATTTCAAAACTCTGTGTCTTTTGAGAATTTGATTATGTCTAGGTGAACATATCTTTAATATATTTGGGGTTCTCTGGGCCTCATGGAATCAGATATTAATTACTCCAGATTTGGAAAGTTTTCTTTAGATACACTTTCGGCCTCTTTCTATGTTCTTTCTGAAATACCCAACACATGTATATAGGTTCTCTTGACAGTGTCTTATAGTTTCTTCATTATTTTTTATTTTTAGTTTTTGTTCCTCTTACTGGGTAATTTCAAATGACCTATCTCAAGTTCATTGATTCTTTCTTTTTGAGAGTCTACTGTTGAAGCTCTTAATGGAATTTCCTGGTTTACCTATTGTGTTCTCTAGCTCCAGAATTTAATGATTTCTATCTCTTTGTTTTACTTCTCATTTTGTTTATGTATTGTTTTTCTGATGTCATGTAGTTCTCTATATGTATTCTCTTGCAGCTCATTTGAGCTTTTTCAGTAGGATTATTTTGAATTATTTGTCAGGCAGTCCATACATCTCCATTTTTAGAGTTGATTACTGATGCTTTGTTATGTTTCTTTGACAGTGTTACATTTTGTTGATCATTCATGATTCTTATGGTCATGCATTACTGTCTGTACATCTGAAAAAGTGGGTACTTATTCCAGTCTTTACAGATTGCCTTCAGTAGAGAAAACCCTTCATCAGTCAGCTTATTCAGAGATTCTGTTCACACAATATGGTGTGATCAATGGCCAGGCTAGCCTGTTACCTGGTTTGTAGCAGTGGACTTAGAGCCTATATGTTAAGAGCCAGCCTGAAGTGAAGATTTACAGGTGCTTGAGCCTGACCTGGATGGATTCTAAGTCTTCAGATACCAGCCTGGAGTATGAGGCTGTGGGGACCTGCCTATTACTGAGTTTTACTGAGGTGGGGCTTGTGTTGGGGTAAGAGGAAAATCTGCTTCTCATTTCATTCTCCTTTCCCATGCAATAGGTATCTGAGCCATACTGCCTGGGATGAGTGAAAGAATAATGTGGGTAATGAGAAACTGTTTTTATTCCCTTCAATCAGTCTTTTCTTATTTATTTGTTACACCCAGATGCTGTAATCTTTCACTTGGTTTTCTTAGCTCTTGTGAAGGTATTATTTTGTGTTGATAGTTGTTCAAATTGATATTTTTGTAAAGTGCTGAGCACTAGACTATCCTATTCTACCACCTTGCTGACATCATTACTTATCTTGGTGTCACACAGCTCTATCAGACATCTGAGGTCCTGTTAGAGGCAGGTTTCTCATTCAGGTGAAGGTATCTGAAAAACCCTTATGCAGACTGTTGCGTGCCACTATTTTCCCTCTTCAGATGGGTTAAGGATGCCCTACTTTCAAGTCATCCTGGAGTAGCATCTGCCACAGCTGGCCCTGTCACAAATGTTCGGTGCTCCACAGGGTACACCAGCCTAGGCAGAGGCCACAGGGGAAAAGCCAAACTGCTCCTGGAAGAAGTACTTGGTAGCTTTAATTCTGGAACTATATCTATTTATCTATCTAAATACTTGGTAGCTTAATTCTGGAACTGTCCTCTACCTATTTATCTATCTATCCATCCATCATATATCTCTTTACTAAATATTAGTAATAAGATTAACTTTTATTGAATTTAATAAGCCTCTGTGCCTTTTCATAAAAATAATATTTTATATTGAAACTAAATGTATTTTAACTTGAAGAGTTTACTTTAATATCTAATAGGCACAAAGAAATTTGTTTAACTTACTTTTTAAAAATATTATCTGATTTACCAGATATCTGCATGTTCATGACCTGCTTTTCTTCTCAAATGAAAACAGCTTCATTGTATTTATTGTGACATATGTTTATTGTAAAGTTCAAACTATAAAAATATGAATAATAAAAAACTGCCTGAAGCCCACCAGTTATTAATTTATGATAGTAATAAATATCTAATAGATAGATGAGTGTGCATACACATTTATACATATTTAAAACTATAGTAGTTATATTTTGTAACCTGTTTTATACACTGTCTTTTTAATTCAAAACTGTTACATAAGACATTTAATGTCAGATGATAGAGATTTACATTGTCATTTTCAATGACCATAGAGAAATGTATTGTTTAAAATATTTAAATAAGCTGATCTTATACTTTTTCAAAATGAAACAACTTGAGAGTGAAAGGGAACCCTATTTACAGTCATCATGAAACAAGAGCCATGAACTGGAATTGTCCTAGGAAAACCAGGATACATGACTGGACTCTATTTAACCAATTCCATAATGCTGGACATTCAAATTGTTTCTAGTTCTTGAAACATTTTGAATGTGATGAATTATCTGCATGTTATCTGCAAATTTGCATGCTTATCTGATCAGCAATTTAGGAAATGTACCTGTATGTGACTTCTGAGTCAAAGGATATATAAACTAAAACATTGGTAAATGTTTCCAAAATACTTTTCAAAAGTTTATGCATATTTATACTCCCATTAAAAGTACCAGGGAGGATATTTCCCTCACTTTATCTTCAAAGTAGATAAATCAGTTTTCTTAATCTTTGCCAAATTGATAGGTAAAAAGTAATGTCTTGTTTCTAATTTTTATGTTTTGTTTTTGATTAGTAAATATTTTCTTTTTTTTTTTTTACTACTTAGTGCCAATTTTTATGTATATGGCAATGTATGAGTAATAAGGGGTTAAAAGAGAAAGAGAAAGTGTCATCTGTTCTTATACTTCACCCATTTTTCTTTCTAACATACTTTTTTTTGGTTTTCATTGATTGTAGGAATTTTTGTGTAAATGGATATTTATCCTTTTATGATGTAGTATTATAATTTTTAAGTACATAGGCTTTGGAATCAATCCAAGCTTAGTGCAAACTGTAGTGCAAGAATTACTAGCTCTAGGACTTTGAACAAGCTTACTGAGATTTATGTATCTTTCATTTGTAAAATAGGAATACAGAGTTATTGAAATGATTAAATTAAATGATGCCTATAAATGATAAAAAAACATAAAATAATAATGATAATAAAGGTAACTACTAAATTCACTGTTATCAAAATTATATTGCAGGTGTATATTTCCATTTTGTCAGTAGCACCTTAAATTTTTTAAGCTACTTACGTAATTCAAAATTTCTTGCTCTTCTTTTAAAAGTCAGTAGGATGTTCAACATTTTTCTTTACATTTTCTTACCTTAGATGTCATGTCTTATAGAGGACACCACTAATAAGAAAATCATTATCTATATTTTCTTCTGAAGACTTTATGTTATGATTTGTGCATTTTGAGTCAACTGAAATTGAATTTGCTATTGTAAGTAAGATAGAGCTACAGTTTTTTCTTTTTTTTTTGCCCTAGATGACTACCCAGTTGCCCCAGCCACTATTGAAAAGTCAGTTGCCTTTCTCATATTGAACTAACAGTTTTGTCATACACTAAGTTATATTTGAGTCTATTTCTGAACTCTCTGCCCATCAGTTTATTTACTTCTGTTCAATTGCCATACGTTCTCCGTCTCATTCTACTGCTTGTATTGCAATCTCCCTCCACACTTCCGTATGCTTTCCAACTGTACCAGACTCTAATTTCCCAAATATGTCTTCCTATATTTCACACTTTCATACCTAATACTGTCATTCAGTTTGCCTTAAGAGTGTTCTACTCCCTTCCAACACATACTTATCATGTAGCTTTTTGGCGTCTTCGAAGCTTCAGTACAAGCATCACTTCTACTAAGCAGTCTTTCCTTAGAATCTAGTCATGTTTTGTTATCCTTTTTCTGTACTCTCATGGAACCATATCAATATTTCTACCAGGATAGTTTTCACATGGTAATCCTTGATTTACACATATTGATTGTATGTCTTCTCCCCTAGAAAGTGTCCAGAGACTGTGCCTTATTCAACTTGTACCCCCAGTGCCTGAAGCATAGGAGATGTCCAATAAATATATTTCTATGAATGAGTTATTTTGGTTTATTAAATGTTGTAAAATGTTCAGTTAAAGGAAAACATGTTGTTCCCTTTAATAACTCAAAGCAGTTTCAACTAAAGGCCTGAACCACATAGTAAATTATAGAAACAAGAGAAGTGAGCAAAAGTTCCACTTGTGTTAATTTTGCTACAGTTGGAAGAAGAAGTGGGTGATTTCATGGCCAAAAGTAACATCTTTCTACTAAGGAACAAGCAAACACACACACACACACACACACACACACACACACTCGCACACATATACATACATACATATATATGTATGTGTATATATATTCATATATATGTATATATATATTCATGTATATGTGTATATATATTCATGTATATGAGTATATATATTCATATATGAGTATATATATTCATATATGTATATATATACATGTATATGAATATATACATATATGAATATATATACATGTATATGAATATATATACATATATGTATATACTCATATATATGTATATATACACATATATGTATATATACTCATGTATGTATATATACTCATATGTGTATATATACTCATATATATGTATATATACTCATATATATGTATATATACTCATATATACGTATATATACTCATATATGTGCATATATATACATATATACACATATATGAATATATATTCATATATGTGTATATATATTCATATACATATATTCATATATATGTATATATATTCATATATGTGAATATATATACACATATATGTATATATACATATATATGAATATATATACATATATGTGTATATATATTCATATATGTGTGTATATATTCATATATGTGTGTGTATATATATTCATATATGTGTGTATATATATTCATATATGTGTGTGTATATATATTCATATATGTGTGTGTATATATATTCATATATGTGTATATATATGAATGATATATGCTCAGGGGAATATATATATTCATATATACATGAATGAGATATGCTCAGGGGAAAGGAGCAGGAACAAGGTGCATCTGTCCACTATATTTTACTTTTTTGATTTTGTTAATGGCCCTGAAAACAAAATTCAGATATTGGAGCAAAGAATATGAATTTGATGAAAAATTTTATATTATTTTAACGGGGAACAAATGGAAAAATTTGTTCCCCATTAGGGAACATGGAGGGACATTTGACTTCAGAGGCATATGGCACTGTGGAGTAGTAAAAGCTCTTCTATGTCCCTGGTGATGGAATGAAGTAGACAAGACGTGAAGGGTTTTTGCGCCATAATCATTTCTCGGAATAGTGAAGCTTAGCCAAACAGAACAGAACAAAAATTAAAAAATTGTGTCTAAGTCAAAGAAGTTATAACCCAAAATTATTTCTGATTCTGAGTACATAATTCTTTTTGTTCAACAAATATTTACATTCATATTACATGCCCCAAACTGAAAATACAGCAAAGAGCACAGCAAGGTCCCTACCCTCATTGAGAATACAGAGTTACCTGTGTTTAGTCTGGTGAGGAGAAACATGTCAATGGTGGTCTAAACTAAAAGTGAGAGTAGGTAGAGGATAAATTATGTATATATTTATATTTTCCCTTGGTCTTTCTATACTATAATGAACAAGTTATTAAATGACTTGTGCTTTCATGATTACTTATTTTCCAAAAACATTTATTACTGTTTTCTTCCCATTTTATATCCCCACCCTGTACTGTACATGTCCTTTCCCTAGTAATGGCTACTGATATTATAGATCTGGCTGCTCAGAGAGACCAGGAGCCTTCTCTAAAGTGGTTCTCAAACCCTGGTGTAGATAAGAATATATTATGGGGTTTTGAAAATGGACTTCTCCTCTGAGTATTCTGATGCAGTAAGTCTGAAATGGAATTCTGTCTTCTACGGGTACCCCAAGTTGAGAACTACCACTCTGTGGAATTGAACAAGTATACTTAGTGATTGTAGATGACATCATTACTTAGAAAATGAGGTGGTGGTGTTTGAAGAAAAGAACATTTTTATTACCTCTACATTTTATATACAACATATATAATTTTGACCATCAACAGCTAGTAATAGCTATCTTCCCCAGGTAGTCAGACCTAGAAATGACTGGCGTCTAGTTCAATAGCTATATTTTAAGGTCTGATCCATCAGGGTATAAGTGGTATGCTGAGTTTTATATATGTTCCACTCTCCATCCTATTTAAAGAGCCATTAAATCATTAACAACCAAATGAATCATACCAATGATGTCATGCCTTTTCCCGCATGTGTGTATACCTTTACTGTTGCCTGACTGGCAAATCTTTCTTTCTCTCTCTCTCTCTCACACACACAACCCCCCCCCGCCAATGTGCTCACGCATACTCACTCAGGCACAAAATTATCTATCTTTAGATTTTTGTTGGACTCTTCTCTTTTGTAAAACAATCAGCATAACAACTGAAAAAAGAATTTGAAAGAAAGGAATATTTTTCTTCCTCTTCTCCTCTCTGGCTACCTCCCAGCAAACTAAGCTATGCAGTTCTGGATTCTGTCTGACACATCTTAACTACTGACATTTAGCAGATGCTTCTCGAAGAAATGGGGGAGGGTGAAGGTGAAGCAGGGGTGTGATATAAGTAATTAGACTAACGATGTCTCAATTATCAAGATGTTCCCACAGTGTCCCCTTCTGTTAGCAAATCTGGAGCAGGAAGCCTGTCTTTAGGAAAGGAAAGGTTGAGTAAAAAGATACATTAATTTGAAAGTTAGAATTTCTAAGTTTAGTATTTATACCCCCCAAAAGGGCAGATAATTGTAAACTTTGATCTATACAAGATCACTAAACTGGTAAAAATAAAGTTAGTTTATAATAGCCCCCTCATCTCCAGCCCTTTGCCATGGCTGAGAGGATAATATGATTGTCTCCACTGATGTTAATGTTAACTGATTCACCTCCTTCTTTCTCTGTGGGCCTCACTAAGTAGTTATTCTTTGGTAGAGCACAAAGAAGTCCAGATTATGCTGCTCAGGTCAAAAATTTAGTGTATTCTGTTCATTTAAGAGTAACTATACCCTCAGGGTTGGGTTGCATCACTGTAATGTAAAAATTAGTAATGTTGGCTGGGCTTTTCAACATATCACATATAAACTTGAGAGTAATTAGTTCCTTACCATTATCCACTATTTGGATTTGTAAAGAGAGAAAATAAGTACTCAGCAAGAGAGAGCAAGCATGTAAAAAGCCAAAGTGGAGGCAAAATATATTTTAAGTTCAATAATGCATGCCACTCCAGGCCTGTTCCTAGAGTCTTGCTGAATCCTTTACTTGTTGTCTAGGAAATCTTTCTATATACAAGGGCAAGATTTTGAAATGGGCAAAAGAGATTGCTGGATATCATTTCAGTGAAATGCTGAAACCTCCAAGGATTGTCTGATCCTGTAGAGGTGTCTGCCTTCATTTTATTCTGTTTTTAACTAGGCTGTTTCACAATGCTGACAAGAAGTTAACCTGTAGAAATCCAATAGCAATGCAAATGATTCCTGTCCATAGAAATCCAAATTATGTCTGGTGGAATGCAATTGATTATCAATCTGTGGATATTAAATATGAATCAGTTTTATTAGTTTTTGCATCCATTGTAAATGTTTCAGCATTTCTAATAAGACTGAGTGTGTGATACTTTGAGTGCTTTTTGAAATAGTTACAGCATCTATGATTTCTCTTATTAATTAATGAGTTAAATAAAATCTTCCAAATCTTCCATGTGTTTACATCTGTATGTCATGTTTATATGTCTTTTTAAGAATTGTCCTTTGTCGGCCGGGCGCGGTGGCTCACGCTTGTAATCCCAGCACTCTGGGAGGCCGAGGCGGGTGGATCACAAGGTCGGGAGATCGAGACCACGGTGAAACCCCGTCTCTACTAAAAATACAAAAAATTAGCCGGGCGTGGTGGTGGGCGCCTGTAGTCCCGGCTACTCGGGAGGCTGAGGCAGGAGAATGGCGTGAACCCGGGAGGCGGAGCTTGCAGTGAGCCGAGATTGCGCCACTGCACTCCAGCCTGGGGGACAGAGCAAGACTCCGTCTCAAAAAAAAAAAAAAAAAAGAATTGTCCTTTGTCATCCTTTTTGTGAATGCCACTTTAATTTAGTTAGAAGAAATTTGTTCGTTGCAGCACCAAAGGGTTCTAACTATTGCATAGAGTACCTTTCTTGCTTGCTTTTTTTGTCTGTTTTTTTTTTTTTTAACTAAGACAATCTACTTGACAAAACAAACCATCATGAGAAGGAGGTTTTGACACTTTAAGCTTAGAATAAATTGAAGTGTGTCTATAAAAACATGAAATATTCTTTTTGAAAGTACCATATAAATGCTAGTGCCTATTGCTAATGAACAGAATTGAATGGTATTAAGAGAAAAGTTATTAAGCTTCAGTGATACTCCTTCATATTGTGTGTAACCACCACAGGTATTGCTTTCTTTTTTTAAGTCAATGATTTTGAGTTTCATTGTCTTTAAATAGTACTGGAGACTGCAAAATTCTAATTTTTGATGACTTCTTCTCCAGCATTTTTTATTCATGTTCAAACCTCCTGTTATAACATTACCTAGTGACAGAACTATTATGATTTCTAAGATTGTAGTTTATTTCATTTTATCTTGGTTTTGGTGCCTTAGTTTCCAAAGTAAATTATCTAAAAGACTTCACTCCAAGAAGTGTTACAGATGCTGTCATGCATTGTACTATGTGTCCATTTTGTTAGTTTCAAAGTCTGACTTCTCCTGACCTCATCCTAAGATTATGTGCTCTATTCCATTTACAGTCCCATAGTCCCATAACTGCTGGATGTAATGAGTATAATTCCAGCAATCTGGCAGTGCCACAGTAGAAAGCATTGATGGGTCTGAATTTGATTCATGAAGGCTCTAGAGACTGTTGTTTTGGCATTTTAAGATCAAAACACCTCTTAAGACAGATGATTCTTCCTTCTCTGAAATTGAGGGCAGAGTCTGGAATGGAATCAGTGAAGTTCAACATAAATGAAATGTAACACATTTTAATTAATAGTATTACCAGGCAAACTTTTTAAAGAGAGTAGCAAGACAAGTTCATAGAGCAATGCATTTTCCTTGTGTCTTTTTATCAAGTGTCGACCTCTGTGGTAGTGAGAATTCTAAAATGCACCCTAAATTCTCATCTGAACATACATGCCAGGTATAATCTTCTCGGTTTCACTGTTGTTGGGACCAATGAACATAACAGGATACCAGGTCATTGATTAGGCTATTAATCAGTTGGCTTTGAGCTAATCAAAAGGGAGATTGTCCTGGGTGGGCCTAACCTGATCAGGTAACCCTTTTAAAAGAAGGTCACACACTGGAATCTCTCTCCCACTCCTTTGGAAGAAAACAAATGTGGTGAACTGCCTCTGGTGAGCTCCATTTGGCTAAGACCTGAGGCAGCTTCTAGGACCTGAGGGCACTCCTTGGCTGACAGCAAGAAAACAGGGCTTCCGTCCTACAGCCACAAGAAATTGAATTCTGCCAGCAACATACCTGAGTTGGAAGAGCACCTTGAACTCCAGATGAAAATGCAGTCCTACCAACATGTCGATTTCAACCTTGTGAGGCCTTGAGCAGGGGACTCAGTTATGTGTGCCCTGCCTTCTGACCTACCAAAACTGTAAGATAATAGATGGGTGTTGTTATAAGCCAGTGAGTTTGGGCTAACTTTTTACACAGCAAGAGAAAACTAATGCAACCACTCTTCAGAAGTGGTCATTACAGACAAGGATATGTTGGTGTAAACTCAGGTTTCCTCAGGAAACAATATGTAGGGGCCCTTCAGAGAGAATCCACGGGAAGCCAATTCAGTGGAGTGGAACACAGCTTGTTAAGGATGCCCTGAGGAATTTGAACACAGATGCATTCTCTAGTTTGGCAAGGTGAGTCTCCCCTGAAGTGGAGCTTCTCATGCACGCAAAACTGGGAGAGGAACCATTTTCTTCCCACAATTTCTTGTGGGCTGCTCCTTTTGTAAAATACAATAAACATAAATGAATACAAAATATAAAACTTTTTTAAAAGGACATTCAAAATATAAACTCCAATTTTTTGTCATTCAACAGATACAGATTTACTCTGTGAAGTTGCCATGCCACATTCCAAATGCTTACTCTCCATGTTGGCACTTATCTCCTTTGAGACCAGTTACGAACAGCAGACCAACCCAATATGTGAATCGCATTCTAAGGAGCACTGCTTGGAGAGGCACCAAATTCCACCAATGCCCTCTCTGCTTCTATGCGTGGAATGTACATCTAGCATTCAGCAAAGATAACTTGCTATGTTCAGAGAGGACCATGCCTAATTATAGGTATTTTCTATTTTGGAGCTAGCTGGTCATTTTTTAGTTCAGTGTAGATACTCCCCACACTTGCAATCAAAAATATAAATGGTAGCTCCAACTCCACTTTTTAATAGCCATGTGATCCTATAAAGTTATTTATGCTTCCCAAACCTCCTTTTTTTCTTCTTTGTAAAATGGCAATAATATCAGTAACATATCTCTTATGGTTGTGAAGATTAATGAGGTAGCAGGTATGCATGTGTTTTGTAAGCTGTTAAGCACTTTATACATGCATGAATTAATAGTATTTCTATTCTTAGAGTTTCCCTCAATAACTCATTCCAGCATGCTCTGCACAGAGGTTGGGAAATGAGAAAAATCTGGCCATGCGCTCTAAACAACTTGATTTTACTAACAATTTCTGGGAATCACTGAGAACCGTGTGTGTGTAAATGGCAGATACTGAAAAGATCTCTTTGTTACATTAATAACAGGCTCCTCCGAAACTCTTGTTTATGTGTAGAATGTTTCTAATTAATAACATAAGCAGGAGTAATGGTCATTGAATTCCATCCTCTAATCATGGCCTCCATTCTGCAGCTATTCTCACGGGTATGTGAGGCAGGCAGTATTTGTATTCAAAGAACATCTGCAATACTCTGTCTAGTACCATCAGCAGGCATTGTGGCATCTTAACATTACAACTTCTAGAAATGGAACAGGGAGAGGAAGACAGCCACATCAGGCTTACAACAGGAATCCCAGCTCTGCCCGTCAGTAACAGGAATTTGCGTGGTCAGATTGCTCCGACAATGCATTCGTTTTAGACATAAATACAAAAACCATTTTAGATTATTACTCATAAGGTTAAAATTCTTCTCTGTGGTTACCTTCAACTTTTTACCTTTAAAAGAATCACTTTAAAGTAGATTTATTACATGATAGTCTGGTTTCACTTAGAGAATTAAAAGGCAGAGACAATATTATAACGTCTTAGCTGGTTTTTTTTTTTTTTTGCCACTGGATAGAAATTGAATTATGTCTTCAAATATATTTTCCAGTTTACTATCCCATTGCCTATTTCTTTTAATCTTTATGAGTGAACCTACAAAAACAAAATCCCTCAGAGAGGAGGCAAATCCCTGTGGCTAACACTCCATGAGTCACTTTGAATATTTGTTATGACCTCAGTATCATACTATATCCATGCCTTCTGTATTATCTAAACCTTGTCTTACAGAGTCATTAAGAAAATTGAGTATGTTTTGAGTGTGGGGGAGGCCTAGAAATAATATAATTTGTTTAATGAGAGAGAACATTCCTTAGACACAGTGGCTGCAATTTGTGAGACCTACAATTCATTAAACAGTCCAAGTGGGCACATTCTTGTGCAAAGACCAACGGAATGTTTCTTATTGGTCAGGACAGCTGAATTTCTGCTGCTGATAGTGACATCTTCCAGAATATATCTGCAAGGAAATGTCCTTCTAAATTACAACCTAGTAGCCAGTAAGTTCTGTAGTAAGACTAAATATAAACAGAATTCAGGAAAATGGTGAAATAGGAAAAAAATATTAATGATAAGAAAAAAGTGAGAGATGAAATTTTAAGGGTAAATTTCTGTGTATATTGTGTAGTGAGTGGGAAGAACGAAGAACCCAGAGATTCTCTAGATTCTCTCAGCTTCTCTGAACTCTATGTAGCTTTCTCAAATCAGAACTTCTCTTCCTGACCTAACTCAAATTATTTTATTTTGCTTAGAATTTCATTTCATTCAAGTGATAACTCTATTAAGAACAAATGGGACAATGATGACTAGAGATACAGTTCAACAAGCCCAGTTGGACAAGAGCTCTTAACTCTGTTGCCTAAAATACATTCATTGGAATCCTGGAATACTCTTTAAACACTATTGCTGTATTAATAATGATATT
Source organism: Homo sapiens (assembly GCF_000001405.40). Classification (NCBI taxonomy): domain Eukaryota; kingdom Metazoa; phylum Chordata; class Mammalia; order Primates; family Hominidae; genus Homo; species Homo sapiens. Next base: position 137,145,539 of record NC_000007.14, on the reverse strand, counting down.
ATAATCCAAGACATACTTCTAGCAAGCACTTTCTGTAAGTCTTAGAAAAGTCTTCTAAACAATACGTCTTGTCAATATGTGATTGCTGCTACTGTGAAATAAAGACTGGGCAGAGTGAGAAGCCAAGGATATGCAAAATTATAGCCACATTCTTATGTAGGCTACAACTCTAGTCTGCTATCCATGGAGCTGAATCACGGGATGAGAAAGGAGAAACCAGTAACAGGGCTTTTCAAGGTGATACCAAGAACACATCAAAATGGTAAGAAAAGCCAAAGCATAGATAGAAACAAGAATTTCAAGTAAGAAAGCTCTCTGGGGCTGGGCGTGATGGCTCACGGCTCTAATCCCAGCACTTTGGGAGGCCAAGGAGAGTGGATCACTTGAGGTCAGAAGTTCAAGACCATCTTGGCCAACATGGTGAAACCCTGTCTCTACTAAAAAAAAAAAAAAAAAAAAAAAAAATTAGCTGGCCATGGCGGCACATGCCTATAATCCCAGCTACTCAGGAGGCTACAAGAATCACTTGAACTGGGAAGGCAGAGGCTGCAGTGAGCTGAAATCGTGCCACTGTCCTCCAGCGTGGGTGACAGAGTGAGACTCTGTCTAAAAAAAAAAAAGGAAAGAAAGAAAAAAAAGAGAAAGAGAGAAAGATATCTGGTTTAGACGTAAATACCTTGAGAATTCAGCTAAAAATGTTATTTTAATTAAACTGTTCATTCTGATTCTCCTCCCTTCATTGCATCAATCTGTTTTCTGGTCCAAAGTATTGCAGGGCCAGAAGAGCAAGGCCTATGTGAGCACGGGCATATCAGAGGATCATTTGATTAAAGTTAGTGATTGTAGACAGAAACTTGGGGGTAATTATCTGCAAATAGATGCTTTGATCCAGACATACTTTTTCAAGTTTAAACCTTGTGAATGCTTCCTATTTCATTTTTGTTTTGATTCTGAAGATCCCAGTAATTCGCTGATGTATTAGTCCCAAATTCCTCTACCTTTGTTGACATTGCTCTCAAGTCTCTGACTCTTGGTTTGCAGTTATCTGCAACCCTTAATTGTCAGTTTTGTTCTGACCCTGGTTTTCTATCACCTGCTCTAATTTTCTTGTTTTTATTTTTTTGGTAGGCTGGGACTACATTCTTGACTCTTTTCATCTATGTTGCATTAAGAAGCCCAAATAGCTTCAGCTCTTTATGCTAACCTCTCTCTATTGTCTTACCTGGAACTGTATAAAAATATCAATAGCTTCTGCCAGCTTTTAGTTTCAGCAAGACTTCAGGTTCTGCCTGGGGACACTATAATGTAATAATAATAAGATATTCTTGTTAATAATTTTGGTGAGGCAGTGTAAATAAAGTGTATAAAACTCTCCAGGGGAAAAGCAAATTGTAATAACCCGGGGCATTTGTTTATTAAGTGGAAGAAATAAAATAATTAGGAGGAAAGATTTGACACATAAGTAGAAATGGGTTGTTATAATATTTTTGATACATAAAATTTATATCATTGTTAAAGGTCTGAAAACAAAATATGATGAATTGTTGGCAGGAAGATATCACTGAAGAAAATAGATTACAACACTTGGGAATAAGTTACATAGACACCATTTTTCTTGATGAAAGGAATAATTTGTCATGATTTGTGTTTTAAAATGGAGTAGTTTGTGTGTGGAGGAGGGGGTGAGAAGCCCCTTTCAATAAAAATTTATAGGTGATGTTCTGATAATGATTAGTAGCGTGCAAGGTAAAATAACATTCTACATGAGAGATTTTATAATGTAACTTTTCACCAGATTCACTGAAATATCATTTATATAAAACAAAATTTACTGATTTTAAGCACGCAGTTAGATGGATTTTGTAATGGAATACAGGCCTGTAATCAGATCCAAAGTCATTACGTAGAACTATTACTTGTAAGTTTTTCACACATGCCCTTTATTAAGTTACAGAAGTTCTCTTCTAATTCTAGTTTGCTGAAAGTTTAAAATTTTATTTTTAATTTTTTTCTGGGTACTCAGTAGCTTTATATATTTATGGAGTACATGAGATATTTTGGTAGAGGCATGCAATGTATAATAATCACATCATGGAAAACTGGCTATCCATCCCCTCAAGCATTTATCCTTTGTGTTACAAACAATCCAATTATACTCTTAGTTATTTTTAATGTACAATTAAATTATTACTTAATTTAATATGTTGTGTTATCAAATACTTAAGAAATGGATGTTGATTTGGTAGGCAGAGGCAGGAGGATAGTGTGAGCCCCAGAAGTTGAGACTTCAGTGAGCCGTGTTCATACTACTGCACTCCAGCCTGGGTGACAGAGTGAGACACTCTCTCAAAATAAACAACAACAACAACAACAACAACAAAAAAGAAATGGAAGTTGAATTTGGTCAAAAGTATTTCTGCATGGAAATTATTATATGTAACTTGGTTTTTTGTTTGTTTTTTTTGGCTTATTAATATGGTGATTTGCATTGACAGATCCTCTGATAAACCAGTATTGCATTCCCAGGATAAATTCCACTTGATCATGATGTATTGTCTTTTTAAAAATATGTCATTGAGCTCAATTTTCTCTAAGTTTCTTTAGATTTTTAGTATTTACACTCATGAGGGATATTGGTCTGTGCTTTTCCTGTAATATCTTAAACTAGTTTTAGAATCAGGGTAATGTTATTTTTATAGAATGAGTTGGAAAGTGATATGAATTGAACTTTTGTGTTCTCACAAAATTTATTTGTTTAAGTCCTAACTCCCAGTGTGATGGTGTTTAGAGATGGGGCTGTAGGGAGGTAATTAAGGTCAGAGTGAGGTCAGAAGGATTAGAACCCTCATGATAGGATTAGTGCCCTTATAAGAAAACACATGGGGGAATTTGCTTTCTTTCTTTCCCTTCCTCTCTGTGTGTCCAGAGGTCTTGTGGGCACACAGAGATGGCAACTACTTATGACTCAAGAGTACTCAGAATGAATCTTATATTACTCACATCTTAACCTTAGGCTATCTAGCCTTCAGAACTCTGAGAAATAAATTTCTGTTGTTTAAGCCATGCAGTCTTGGTATTTTATATGGCAATCAAAGCAGACTAAGGCAGGAAGCATTTCTTTCATTTAAATTTTCTTCAAGAGTTGGTGTATAATGGGTATTATTTATTTGAAATGTTTGGTTTTCTTCTCCAGTGAAGCTATCTGTATCTGGAGTTTTTCTTGTGAGAAGTTTTTTTTTTTTCCTACAAATCTAACTTAATAAATTGATATCAATATATTAACATTATTTATGTATTCAGTTATCAGTGAGCACTTATACTTTGTGACTTTCAAGAAATTTATTTGTTCATTTTATCTAGGTAACTGAATGTATGGTGTTAAGACTATAAAAATATATTTTCTTATCATTCTTTTAATGTCTGTAGACTCTTCAATGATGTCACTTCTAATTCATGATATTTCTAACTTATGTTTTCTCCCATTTTTTCCCTAGTAAGTATGACTGAATGTTTATCACATTTATTACTCATTCTAAGAACGAATTTTTGGCTTCATTTATTTTTTCTTTTGTCTTTTCTATTTTATTGATTGTCACTCCAGTACTTACTCTTTCCTTTCTACCACAAATTCGAGCTCTTCTTTTTCTAGTTTCTTAAAATAAAGGTGAAGTCATTAATTTGGTACCTTTATAGTATTTAATGCCCTAAATTCTCCTCTTATTAATAAGTACTGCTTTAGTGGCATCTTATAAATTTTGGTACATTGTATTTTAATTTTTATTTTGGTAAATATTTTTGACCCACTCTCAATTTCTTCTTTTATCTATGAATTATTTAGTTTCCAAAATTTGAGGATTTTTTAAATATTTGACTGTTATTGATTTCTAATTTAATTTTCTTGTTATCAGATGTCATTGTATACATTAACCCTTTAAACTTTATGGATAGAATATAGTCCATCTTTGTAAATGTTCTCTGTGCTTTCAGAAAGAATGTGTATTCTTCCGTTTCTGGTTCTGTGTGTTTTATAACTCAATTAGGTTAAGTCAGTTGGTAGCACTGTTCAAGTTCTGTAGATGCTTAATAATTTTCTGTGTGCATTTAATGTCAATTATAGGGGGATACTGAAATATCTGACAGTACTTCTAGATTTGTCTATTTCTTCCTGTTTGATCAGTTTTTTTGTTATATACTTTAAAGCTGCATTATCAGGTACACGAATATTTGAGATTGTGAGGTCCAATTCATAAAATTATACCTTTAACATTATGTAAAACCTTCTTTTTCTCTTCTTCCCTGGTAATATTCTTTGATCTGAAATATACTTTCTATATTTATATAACCAGTGTAACTTTCATTTTATTAGAGTTAGCATGGCATAGTCTTTACATTCATTTACTTATTTTATTTTTGTCTTATATTTGAAGTGCATTGTTTTTTTGCAGAAAGAATATAATTGGGTCTTGCTTTTTGTTCCATTCGAAAGTTACTGCCTTTGAATTGGCAGTTACACCATTTATATTTAATGTAATTATTTATAAGATTAGATTTTTAAAGAGTATGATCTCACTATTTGTTTTCTGTTTATTCCATCTGATCTTTGTTTACTTTTCGTTTTTTTCTTGACTTTGAGTGGATTATATGAATGTTTGTATTATTCCATTTTATCTCTTTAATTTGTTTATTAGCTATAATTTATTTTGCATGTTTAGTGTCCATAGTTTGTATCTATGATTTAACACAATCTATTTTCAAATAATATTCATGTGTTGTGTAAGAATATTACAGTAATACATTGCAATTTCTCCCTTCCTGATGTTTGTGCTCTTCTAGTCATATACTAAACCAAACACTGCATTGTCATTCTTTTTTTCCCCATTTTTTGACTGTTATTTTAGGCTTAGGAGATATATGTTCAGATTTGTTACATGGGTAAATTGCTTGATGCTGTTACAAATTATCCCATCACCAAGTTAGTGAGCACAGTACTTGATAGGTAGTTTTTCAACCCATGCCCCTCTCATACCCCCTCCTCAAGTCATTTCCAGTGTCTCTCGTACCCATCTTTATGTCCATTTGCACTCAATGTTTAGCTCCTGCTGGTAAGTGAAAACGTGGTATTTGGTTTTCGTTCTGGCATTAGTTTACTGTGGACAATAGCTTCCAGCTGCAGCCATGTTGCTGCAAGGGAGGTGTTTTTTTTTTATTTAATGGCTGTGTAGTATCCCATGGTGTATGTACCACATTTTATTTATCCAGTTCACTCTTGATGGGCATCTAGGTGGATTCCATGTCTTTGCTATTGTGAACAGTGTTGCAAGGAACATATGAGTGCATATGTCTTTTTGGTAGAAAAATTTATTTTCCTTTGAGTATATACTCAGTGGTGGTATTGCGGGGTCAAATGGTAGTTCTGTTTTAAGTTCTTTGAGAAATCTCCATACTGCTTTCCACAGTGGCTGAACTAATTTACATCCTAATCCGCAGTATATAAGTATTCCCTTTTCTCCACAACCCCACCAGCGTCTGCTATTTTTTTACTTTTTTATAGTAGCCATTCTGACTTATGTGTGAGATGGTATTTCACTGTGGTTTTGATTTGCATTTCTCCAATGATTAGTGATGTTGAGCATTTTTTTCATACTTGTTGGCTGCATGTATGCCTTCTTTCGAGACATGTCTGTTCATGTACTTTGCCCATTTTTATTTTTTATTTTTTATTTTTTTATTTATTTTATTTTTTATTTTTATTTTTATTTTTATTATTATACTTTAAGTTTTAGGGTACATGTGCACAACGTGCAGGTTACTTACATATGTATACATGTGACATGCTGGTGTGCTGCACCCACTAACTCGTCATCTAGCATTAGGTATATCTCACAATGCTATCCCTCCCCCCTCCCCCTCTCCTCCCACCCCACAACAGTCCCCAGAGTGTGATGTTCCCCTTCTTGTGTCCATGTGTTCTCATTGTTCAATTCCCACCTATGAGTGAGAATATGCGGTGTTTGGTTTTTTGTTCTTGCGATTGTTTACTGAGAATGATGATTTCCAATTTCATCCATGTCCCTACAAAGGACAATGAACTCATCATTTTTTATGGCTGCATAGTATTCCATGGTGTATATGTGCCATATTTTCTTAATCCAGTCTATCATTATTGGACATTTGGGTTGGTTCCAAGTCTTTGCTATTGTGAATAGTACCACAATAAACATATGTGTGCATGTGTCTTTATAGCAGCATGATTTATAGTCCTTTGGGTATATACCCGGTAATGGGATGGCTGGGTCAAATGGTATTTCTAGTTCTAGATCCCTGAGGAATCGCCACACTGACTTCCACAATGGTTGAACTAGTTTACAGTCCCACCAACAGTGTAAAAGTGTTCCTATTTCTCCACATCCTCTCCAGCACCTGTTGTTTCCTGACTTTTTAATGATTGCCATTCTAACTGGTGTGAGATGATATCTCATTGTGGTTTTGATTTGCATTTCTCTGATGGCCAGTGATGGTGAGCATTTTTTCATGTGTTTTTTGGCTGCATAAATGTCTTCTTTTGAGAAGTGTCTGTTCATGACCTTCGCCCACTTTTTGATGAGGTTGTTTGTTTTTTTCTTGTAAATTTGTTTGAGTTCATTGTAGATTCTGGATATTAGCCCTTTGTCAGATGAGTAGGTTGTGAAAATTTTCTCCCATTTTGTGGGTTGCCTGTTCACTCTGATGGTAGTTTCTTTTGCTGTGCAGAAGCTCTTTACTTTAATTAGATCCCATTTGTCAATTTTGGCTTTTGTTGCCATTGCTTTTGGTGTTTTAGACATGAAGTCCTTGCCCGTGCCTATGTCCTGAATGGTAATGCCTAGGTTTTCTTCTAGGGTTTTTATGGTTTTAGGTCTAACGTTTAAATCTTTAATCCATCTTGAATTGATTTTTGTATAAAGTGTAAGGAAGGGATCCAGTTTCAGCTTTCTACATATGGCTAGCCAGTTTTCCCAACACCATTTATTAAATAGAGAATGCTTTCCCCATTGCTTGTTTTTCTCAGGTTTGTCAAAGATCAGATAGTTGTAGATATGTGGTGTTATTTCTGAGGGCTCTGTTCTGTTCCATTGATCTATATCTCTGTTTTGGTTCCAGTACTATGCTGTTTTGGTTACTGTAGCCTTGTAGTGTAGTTTGAAGTCAGGTAGTGTGATGCCTCCAGCTTTGTTCTTTTGGCTTAGGATTGACTTGGCAATGCGGGCTCTTTTTTGGTTCCATATGAACTTTAAAGTAGTTTTTTCCAATTCTGTGAAGAAAGTCATTGGTAGCTTGATGGGGATGGCATTGAATCTATAAATTACCTTGGGCAGTATGACCATTTTCACGATATTGATTCTTCCTACCCATGAGCATGGAATGTTCTTCCATTTGTTTGTATCCTCTTTTATTTCATTGAGCAGTGGTTTGTAGTTCTCCTTGAAGAGGTCCTTCACGTCCCTTGTAAGGTGGATTCCTAGGTATTTTATTGTCTTTGAAGCAATTGTGAATGGGAGTTCACTCATGATTTGGCTCTCTGTCTGTTGTTGGTGTATAAGAATGCTTGTGATTTTTGTACATTGCTTTTGTATCCTGAGACTTCGCTGAAGTTGCTTATCAGCTTAAGGAGATTTTGGGCTGAGACAATGGGGTTTTCTAGATATACAATCATGTCCTCTGCATACAGGGACAATTTGACTTCCTCTTTTCCTAATTGAATACCCTTTATTTCCTTCTCCTGCCTAATTGCCCTGGCCAGAACTTCCAACACTATGTTGAATAGGAGTGGTGAGAGAGCGCATCCCTGTCTTGTGCCAGTTTTCAAAGGGAATGCTTCCAGTTTTTGCCCATTCAGTATGATATTGGCTGTGGGTTTTTCATAGATAGCTCTTATTATTTTGAAATACGTCCCATTGATACCTAATTTATTGAGAGTTTTTAGCATGAAGGGTTGTTGAATTTTGTCAAAGGCCTTTTCTGCATCTATTGAGATAATCATGTGGTTTTTGTCTTTGGTTCTGTTTATATGCTGGATTACATTTATTGATTTGCATATATTGAACCAGCCTTGCATCCCAGGGATGAAGCCCACTTGATCATGGTGGATAAGCTTTTTGATGTGCTGCTGGATTCGTTTTGCCAGTATTTTATTGAGGATTTTTGCATCAATGTTCATCAAGGATATTGGTCTAAAATTCTCTTTTTTGGTTGTGTCTCTGCCCGGCTTTGGTATCAGGATGATGCTGGCCTCATAAAATGAGTTAGGGAGGATTCCCTCTTTTTCTATTGATTGGAATAGTTTCAGAAGGAATGGTACCAGTTCCTCCTTGTACCTCTGGTAGAATTCAGCTGTGAATCCATCTGGTCCTGGACTCTTTTTGGTTGGTAAGCTATTGATTATTGCCACAATTTCAGCTCCTGTTATTGGTCTATTCAGAGATTCAACTTCCTGGTTTAGTCTTGGGAGAGTGTATGTGTCGAGGAATTTATCCATTTTGTCTAGATTTTCTAGTTTATTTGCGTAGAGGTGTTTGTAGTATTCTCTGATGGTAGTTTGTATTTCTGTGGGATCGGTGGTGATATTCCCTTTATCATTTTTTATTGAGCCTATTTGATTCTTCTGTCTTTTTTTCTTTATTAGTCTTGCTAGCGGTCTATCAATTTTGTTGATCCTTTCAAGAAACCAGCTCCTGGATTCATTAATTTTTTGAAGGGTTTTTTATGTCTCTATTTCCTTCAGTTCTGCTCTGATTTTAGTTATTTCTTGCCTTCTGGTAGCTTTTGAATGTGTTTGCTCTTGCTTTTCTAGTTCTTTTAATTGTGATGTTAGGGTGTCAGTTTTGGATCTTTCCTGCTTTCTCTTGTGGGCATTTAGTGCTATAAATTTCCCTCTACACACTGCTTTGAATGTATCCCAGAGATTCTGGTATGTTATGTCTTTGTTCTCGTTGGTTTCAAAGAACATCTTTATTTCTGCCTTCATTTCGTTATGTACCCAGTAGTCATTCAGGAGCAGGTTGTTCAGTTTCCATGTAGTTGAGCGGTTTTGAGTGAGTTTCTTAATCCTGAGTTCTAGTTTGATTGCACTGTGGTCTGAGAGATAGTTTGTTATAATTTCTGTTCTTTTACATATGCTGAGGAGAGCTTTACTTCCAACTATGTGGTCAATTTTTTCTTGTTTATTTAAGTTCCTTATAGTTTCTAGATATTAAACCTTTGTCAAATGCATAGTTTGTGAATATTTTCTCTCATTCTGTAGGTTGTTTACTCGTGATAGTTTCTTTTGCTGTGGAAAAAGCTCTTTAGACTGCATTTGCCAATTTTTTGTTTTTGTTACCATTGCTTTTGAGGGCTTAGTCATAAATTGTTTCCCAAGGCTGTTGTTCAGAATGGTATTTCCTAGACTTTTTTATGGGGTTTTTGTAGTTTTAGGTTTTACATCTAAGTCTTTAATCCATCTTGAGTTAATTTTTGTATATGGTGAAAGGAAGGGGTCTAGTTTCAATCTTCTGTATATGGTTTGTCAGTTATCCTAGAAACATTTATTGAATAAAGTCCTTTCCCCATTGCTTGTTTTTGTAAGCTTCGTTGAAGATCAGATGGTTGTATGTATGTGGCCTTATTTTTGGTCTCTCTATTCTGTTACACTCGTCTGTTTTTGTACCAGTACCATACTGTAGCCTCATAGCATAGTTTGAAATTGGGTAACATGATGACTCCAGATTTGTTCTTTTTGCTTAGTATTGCTTTGATTATTCAGGCTCTTTTTTTTTTTTTTGTTCCACATGAATTTTAAAATATTTTTTCTAGTTCTGTGAAGAATATCATTGGTAGTTTGAGAGGAATGGCACTGAATCTGTAAATTGCTTTGGTCAGTATAGCCATTTTAATGATATTGATTCTTCTGATCCATAAGAATGGAATGCTTTTCCATTTGTTTGTGTCATCTCTGATTATTTTGAGCAGTGCTTTGGAATTCTCATTGTAGAGATATTTTACTTCCCTGATTAACCATATTTCTAGAAATTTTATTCTTTTTGTGGCAATTCTGAATAGGATTGTGTTCCTGATTAGGCTCTTGGTTTGGCTGTTGGTGGTGTATAAGGATGCTACTGATTTGAGAATGTTGATTTTGTATCCTGAAACTTTGCTGCAGTTGTTTATCAGCTGAAGGAGATTTTGGGTGAACACTATGAGATTTTCTAAATATAGAATCATGTCATCTGCAAACAGGGATAGTTTGAGTTTCTCTCTTTCTATTTGGATGTCCTTTATTTTTTTCTCTTGCCTGATTGTTCTGGCCAGGACTTACTATATGGAATAGAAGTAGTGAGAAAGGGCATCCTTCTTTTGTGCCAGTTTTCAAGGGGAATATTTCCAGCTTTTGCCCATTCAGCATGATGTTGGCTATGGATTTGTCACAGATGGCTCTTATTATTTTGAGGTATGTTCATTCAATACCTAGATTATCGAGAGTTTTTAAAATGAAGGGATGTTGAATTTTATCAAAAGCCTTTTTTGCATCTCTTGAGATAATCATGTGGTCTTTGTCTTTAGTTGTGTTTATGTGATAGATCACATTTATTGATTTTCATATGTTGAACCAACCTTCTGTCACAGGGATAAAGCCTGCTTGATTGTGGTGGATTAGCTTTTTGATATGCTACTGGATTCAGTTTGCCAGCATTTTGTTGAGTCTTTTTGCATCAATGTTCCTAAAAATGTTGGCCTGAAAATTTCTTTTTGTTGTGTCTCTGCCAGGTTTTAGTTTCAGGGTGAGGCTGGCCTCATAGAATGAGTTGGAGAGGAGTCCTTTCTCCTCAATTTTTGGAGTAGTTTCAGTAGGAATGGTACCAGTTCCTCTTTGTGTATCTGGTAGAATACAGCTGTGAATACATCTTTTACTGGGCTTTTTTTTCATTGTTAGGTATTTATTATTGATTTAATTTCAGAGCTCATTATTGGTATGTTCAGGGAGTCAATTTCTTCTTGGTTCAGTCTTGGGAGGGTTTATGTGTCTAGGAACTTAACCATCTCTTCTAGGTTTTCTAGTTTGTGTGTATAGATGTGTTCATAGCATTATCTGATGGTTGTGTGTATCTCTGTGGTATCAGTGGTAACATCGCCTTTGTCATTTATTTGGATGGTATCTCTTTTCTTATTTATTAGTCTAGCTAGCACCCTATCTGATTAATATTTTTAAAAAACAACTCCTGGATTCATTTGAATGGTTTTTCATATCTTGAGCTCCTTCAGTTCAGCTTGGATTTTGGTTATTTCTTGTCTTCCGCTAGCTTTGGAGTTGATTTGCTCTAGCTGTGATGTTAGGTTGTTAATTTGAGATCTTTCTAACTTTTTGATGTGAGCATTTAGTGCTATAATTTTTTCTCTTAACACTGCCTTATCTGTGTCCCAGAGATTCTGGTATGTTATATCTTTGTTCTCATTAGTTTCTAAGAACTTGTTGATTTTGGGCTCAATTTTATTATTTACACAAAAGTCATTCAGGAGCACGTTTTTTAATTTCCATGTAGTTGCATGGTTTTGAGCAATTTTAAAGTCTTGATTTCTATTTTTATTGTGTTGTGGTCCAAGAGTGTGTTTGGTATGATTTCAGTTATTTTGCATTGGCTCAGGATTGTTTTATATCTGATTGTGTGGTTGATTTCAGAGTATGTGCCATGTGAGGATGAAAAGAAAGCATAATCTTTTTTTTTTTTTGGTGGAGGGTTCTGCAGTAGTCTATCAGATCCATTTGGTCCAAGGTTGAGTTCAGGTACTGAATATCTTTGTTAATTTTCCGCCTCTGATCTGTTTAATACTGGCAATGGAGTGTTGAAGTCTCCCACTATTACTGCGTGGGCATCTAATTATCTTTGTAGGTCTCTAAGAGCTTGCTCTATGAATCTGGTTGCTCCTTTGTTGGGTGCATGTATATTTAGGATAGTTAGATCTTCTCATTGAATTGAATCCTTTACCGTTATGTAATGTTCTTTTTTGTCTTTTTTTTAAATCTTTGCTGGTTTAAAGTCTGTTTTGTCTGAAATTAGGATTGTGACTCCTGCTTTTGCTGATTTCCATTTGCATGGTAGATTTTCCTCCATCCCTTTATTTTGAGCCTATGAGTGTCATTGAATGTGAGATGGATCTCTTGAAGACAGAATACCACTGGGTCTTGTTTTTTTTTTTTTTTTTTTTCATCTAGCTTGCCACTCTGTGCCTTTTAAATGGGCCATTTAGCATGTTTACTTTTTTTTTTTTGATATTTATAAGAATAGCAGATGTTTATTGAAGGAATTATCACTATTTCCTGCGAAACAATTTCATGACTCCAGTTTTATAACATCAGAGGCTATTAAAGACAGTCTGGTGACTAAAAACAACCTGACAATATGGGCATCTTTTAAATTTTATATTAAATGGAAAAAACAATCAAGAAAGGAAGTCTTGCTGAGGGTACAGAGCTGCAATGAAATTTAGTCTTAAGGGATTTAGAGTCAACAACTACTAATTAATCCTAATTATTCAGCTACTTAAAGCTGTTTTTTACTTCAATTTTCTTCCAAGTAAGACCTAACACAGGACACACCATCTATGAAAAAAGATTTCTAAGTCCAGGGTGACACTTTCCTCTCTAACAGAATTCTTTGTCTTACATATTGCCCTCTAATCAAGGCTAGATAAAATGAGATTTTCATATTTTCCTCTCAACTAAAAAGAGCGTATGTATTTTTATTCTACACAGGAGCAATTCTATATAACCAGGATGTCTGTGGCTAAAATTATTGCCTCTTTATATTCCTCAGGAATATTCAGGGTATTAAAACTGTAAGTGAATAAATGTGATTAGACAAGAAACCAAATAACAAGAATGAGCAATACACAGTAGTTTAGTGATGTATATTTCAAAAGCACTGGGTTGGGTTCTTATGGGTTTTTTTGTTTTGTTTTGTTTTGTTCTGTTTTGTTTTTGAGACAGAATCTTGCTCCGTGGCCTAGGCTGCAGTGCAGAGTTGTGATCTTAGCTCACTCTAACAGTGAACTCCTGGGCTCAAGTGATCCTCCCACCTCAGCCTCCTGAGTACCTAGGACTACATGTGTATGCAACTATGACTGATTAGAGCTGAGTTTCTGATGGAGAAGAGAGAAGAAATGGCAGTACAGAGAGGTACATGAGTTGAGAGACACATAAGCTAGCAATTGAGGAATGCAGAGTAAGCACTGCCCTTGGGGAACAGCCAGGTTTCCATTGGAACAAGAATGTGAAGAAAACACATTCATTCAAGACCAGCCTGACCAACATGGCGAAACCCCGTCTCTACTAAAAATACAAAAAATTAGCTGGGTGTGGTGGCAGGTACCTGTAATCCCAGCTACTTGGGAGGCCGAGGCAGGAGAATCGCTTGAACCCAGGAGGCAGAGGTTGCAGTGAGCCGATATTGCACCATTACACTCCAGCCTGGGCAACAAGAGCAAAACTCCACCTCATAAATAAATAAATACATACATACATACAGGTGGCTCACGCCTGTAATCCCAGCACTTTGGGAGGCTGAGGCAGACAGATCTCCTGAAGTCAGGAGTTCGAGATCAGCCTGGCTAACTTTCAAGGTTAGTATTGATATATATCAATTTGATCCTGTCATTGTGTTGTTTGTGTGGTTGCTTTATAGTGTCAATGGTCTGTGTACTTAAGTGTGTTTTTGTATTGGTTAATAACTATCTTTCCTTTCCATTTTGCTGCCCAGTGAGAGGGTACTGGATGGGTATCCCACATAACAGTCTGGTCACTTTCTTAGGGGTGCTACAGTATGCTGGGGGTCCATTCCACTTTGTAGTCACCTTGGATTTTCCAACACCTGAAGGTATCAACAGTGAAGGCTGCAAAAGAGCAAAGATGGTGTCCCGCCCCTCCCTCTGGAGCTTCATCCCAGGGAAGTCTGAAACTGCTGCCAGCTGGAAAATACCGGTGTGGGTGGCTAGATACCCTAGATGGGAGTTCCCACTGAGTGTGGAGGAATAGATAGGGGACCTGTGTAACAAGGCAGTCTGGCCACTTTTTCCATAGGGTGGCTGCACCAGAGGCAACAATGGTTATGGATAGGAGCTCCATCTCAGGGAAGTGTAATGCTGCCACACCAGTAGCTGGCTGGAGTTGCACGTCAGTGGGTCTTATCCTGTGAAATGTTGTGGAAGCAGGACCTGTAGATCCTCACTCCTCAACCCCCTGGATTCAACCCTTTGCCTAAGGGTAAGCACAGGGGTCTAACCCTGCTTTGCTGGAGTTGCATCTGCTTTTGTTGGGAAGCCTGAATATATACAGCTTCTGGGGCGCTGCATGTGCCTGATTAGCTGCTCAGCCAAAACTCCACGTAGCTCTGTGTGTCAGATTGCAGGTCCGGTGGAGTGGGTTCATGAGGGGATCTCCTGACCCAAGGGTTGCAAAAATCCATGGGAGAAGTTTGTGTGCCTGGGATTGCTCACTCAACTCACCACTTCCCTAGGCAGGGAGGCTCTCCTGGCTCCACGTTACTCCTGGGTAGGTGGTCATTTTGCCTTGCTTTTCTTTGTTCTCTGTGGGTAGAGTTGTTTGCTTGATGCATTCCAATCCATGTACCTGGATGTTTCAGTTGAAAGTACTATATTTACTCACCCTTTCTACTTCTCTCTATGAGAATGGTGCATACCAGCTGCTTGTAGTCAGCCATTTTGGCCCATCTCCATGTCTAATCTTTTACTCTTACCCAGTGTGTTTTTCACTCATACATTGTAGTTTTCATCTTTAAGAGTTTGATTTGGGGTTTTTGCTATCTACTATGTCTGAAATTTTGTGAACACATTGTAGTTTTTACCTCTAATAAGTAGTTTAATAATAATGCTAGTAGTAGTGATAATAACTCTTTTAATGTACTGGTCTGTTAATTCTAATGTCTGCTTGAGCTTTGTTTTTGTTTCAATTAATTGATTTATATCCTTGCTCTATGTCATATTTCCTATTTTTTTTTTGCATGCCTGATATTTTTTGGTTGGAGGAAAACGTTGAGAATTTTACCTTATTGGGTGCTAGGTATTTTGGTGTTTTCATAAATATTATTAATATTTAACTTTGTTCTGGAATGCAGTTAAGTTGCTTGGAGATAGTTTGATCCTTTTGGTTATAACCTTTACGATTTTTTTTTTTTTTTTGACAGAGACTCGCTCTGTCGCCCAGGCTGGAGTGCAGTGGCGTGATCTCGGCTCACTGCAACCTCTGCCTCCCGAGTTCAAGCGATTCTCCTGCCTTAGCCTCTCGAGTAGCTGGGACTACAGGCACGTGCCACCATGCCCAGCTAATTTCTGTATTTTTAGTAGAGACGGGTTTCCCCATGTTGGCCGGGATGGTCTTGATCTCTTGACCTCATGATCCACCTGCCTCAACATCCCAAAGTGCTGAGATTACAGGCGTGAGCCACCGTGCCTACTCAACCTTTACAATTTTTTTAAATGAGACCACAGCACTGCTCAAACTACTTTTCCTTAAAAAGAAAAGTACCTTCATGTGTGCTACACAATGGCTTATAAATACTAATTTTTCAGCCTGTCTGGAAGGAACAAGCACTATTCTCTGCCCTGTATGAACACTGAACACTCTCACCTCTTATGCTTTTAAGTGCTTTACAGTGGTTCTTTCCTTGGTCTCAGTTATTTTATCACATGCATGTGTTGATCAGTATTCAGTTGAATAGTCCAGGGGGACCCTTTGTAGATTTCCAGTGTTATCTCTGTACCACTCTCTTTTCTCTGTTACTCTATCCTGAAAAATCTTCCTAGATTCTGAGTTCTGCTTTCTCAACTCAGCAAGTCTGTTAGGATTTTTCTGTGTTCCTCCTCTCTGTGCCAAAGCCTGGGAATTCTTTCAAGGTAGTAATATATGCAATCACTGGGTTCACAATATTTGTTCCATTTCTCTGGAAACTGTCCTTTGCTGTCTGATGTCTAGTTTTTTTCAAAACATCATTTTGTGTTTTTTATCCATTTTTTTTGCTTGCTGCCAGTGGGAGATTGGAATCCAATATTTTTACTACATTTTGACCTGGTACGCATATGCTAAACTTCCTGTAATCTCTGACTGGATAGTCCTTCTGGCTCAGATTGGTAAGATTTCCTAGATGAGCCAGAATATGAAGTTGGAGAGAGGAAAAGGACAGGAGAGGGTCAAGAATTCCACGCATTTAAAGTAGAAAAACAGAAGAACATAAGAGATAGAGATACGTGGTATACTACCACAAATCAACAGACCTCGACGTGTTTTGCTGATGTGTACATAATTTAATTTAGCACTTGACAGCATTGTTTTCCAGACAGAAAGAATCACAAATGTGATTTGTAATTTGAATCTGGAAAATAATTTCTTGGATAAGTGATGAGAAAAAGCACCAAGGTATTTCCAAGGTGGAGATAGTACAAAATAAGAAACTGATATACTTGATTTCTGAGATACCAATCTTTTGAAAAGCCCTTCATAGAGTAGGGCACTTAGTTTATCCAGCTCTAAATTTAAGGCAGAGTGGGTGGAAGGGATGAACTTCATGATTGATTATCAAATAGCCTGTATATCTCAGTTTTCTATAACTCTAAGATAAGTTACACTTTATATGCAGTGAGATAGGAAATAACTATTTTTTAATTATGCCAATAATGTAGAGATTTTAAAATATTTTCACTGTTTGATTATGAGTTGGAATGGCTAAAATAGTTTTTTTGGAGCCCTAATTGACATAATCAGCAGAGTTGGAACTAAGCCACCTGTGAGCTTGTGTAAGCAATGCAATGGGCCTTTTACTCTTATCATATTTTAGTTTCGAGTCAGTGTAAATATGTAAAGGAGAAGCCATACCTGGAAAATCCTTCTGATTATAGAAATGCCCTACTATGGCAATTCGCTGCTATTACACATCCCAGGGTCCACATTAACCATGCTCACTCTGTCTTTAATCAGAATTATTGTTGACGCATGTCTAAAGATCATGGCTATTAGGAGCCCAATTTCAATTTTTACAATACACAAACTTGCATTTAAATGCCCAGTTAAAGTATGATACATTTTAAATAATAAGTTGTACGTTAAAATTTTATTATTATCTTCTGTTTTCTTAGGTAATTGAAGATTATTTGGATTAAATTCTTAAGCATGTATATTCACAGTATTACATAACATAACAAAAAAAGAAAATTAAATATTTTTGAGCTTATCAGCACTTGATTTGACTATTGCATGTAGTGTCAAGTCCATTTGTACATTTTTCTGTAAGTAAAATTCTTGAGAATGTAGCGTGTTTAAGCTTTTTAAAATGTACCATTATAATTGATCATTATATTTTAAGGTTATATGTTGTTTTGTTTCCCATACTGTTGTATACTGTTGCAGCTCTTTGCGATATAATTTTTGATGAATAATATATCAACTAGTTGAAATACTACTCTCAGTTACATGATCATCTGCCTATATTTAGCACTGACTTATTTTTCAACTTTTCACTGTTGCATAAAACATTATGAGTAACATTATGTGAGTATCTTTATGTCATTTGATTATTTCCTTGAGATTAGTTTGGTGCACTTCCTGTCCTTTGTCCAGTAACGTAGTATAGCCTCAACAACAATATTACTTTTCCTTATGCATGTGACCTTTACAAAATGTCCCTAGTTGACCTTACCAGCCTTGTCTTACAGATTTCTCTCCCTTGACCTTATTTTTCCATCACATCAAACTCTTCCCCGCTCCAAGATTATAGCTCTGCACCTGGTGAAAGCACACTATGTGATACCATGTGGTAGTATAAAACAAGATCGGTCTATCATCTATCTATCCATCTAATGCAAAAGAAAGATAATGTCGAAAGGAAAAAATAAATGATTTCAAACATTTATATTCTAATACCATTTATATAAATTAAACACCACTTAGAGATTGCTTTTTAATCATTAGGAAGGACTATTAAGAAAAATTATTGTAAACTTAGAAATAAGGAAAAAGGATGACAGCATGACCTTCATTATCATGCTATGCTAATAAACTTGCTTAAAAATCTACTTGCTTTAAGGGCATATGCTTTTGCTGGACTTACCACTGATTAGCAGCAAACAAATTACAACTCTTTAGAGTTAGATGTTAATTTGTAGGAAGCTAATTACATGGCAATGATTTTTTCCATAAAAGAAGATAAATCTAAAGGTTTTACATTTTCTGTCTGTAAGATGAACTAGTTTTGGATTTAGTTGCGTAATCTTATTTCAGCATTATTTATTTTTGCTTTCCCTGAATGTATATGATATATATTCTGTTTATTATGTTTCTTTGAGTCAGGTTTGTCATCCTCCTAATTTCCTCATTAAATTTTAGCATATGTTCATTTTAACATACAAAAATGTACATAAACTATACACAAAAATAGCATCACCAATAAATGTATTAAATATGCATTTGACTTTAGAATATGCATATTTATAAAGTATATAAAATATTAGAGTATGGTTCTCTTAGGGGATGGAAATAGAAAACATTTTTAAAAATATTATTCTACAGGCTATTAATTCCACAGAAAGATTTCCATAGAATAATAATCCCAAAAGGTAAAATACCAAGTTACCAAGGTCAGAAATGATTGCTATTTTATAGCACTTGTTTGAGTTTATAAAACAATTTTTATGTAAAAGGAATAACTGTAAGGAAAATAATTGTATTAAAACAGCTGTTTAATTTTGTGTCATAGGACACTTTTTAAACAATTTAGTTCAAGACTTTTTTGTTTGTTTTAATTTAACATTCCTTTACATATCTTATTTTAGGGATCATATGTTGAGAACCGATGCAGTGATAAATGATTCAATCATTTTAGCTTGATAGTAACATGGTATTTATTTTTTAAATGTAAATTTTTAATATGTATTAGATATTCTATTTCCAATAATGAGGAACTAGCTTAAATCATACTAATATACCTGCAGGAAACAAGTATAAATTCTTGACAAAATATTTTATCTAACTATTAAAAGGCAAGCATAGCATAAAAGCAGGCAGGAACAAGAGAGGCGTCAACTGTGAAAAAAAATATACTGTATCGAGTGATATTCACAGGTAAATGGCTTTTTGTCTGAGGGCAATTCCAGCTGCCTTAGAAGGAGGTAACAAGAACTCAGAGTAAACCATAGCCTTACTAGCTTGAAGATATGGGAGGCATAGTTTGTGACTTCCAGAGCCACTGGAAAATTAGTTGGAAAGTCTGGAAAAGGAGAGTATCACATTAAATCTGTGTAAATACTCCACCTTTCTTTCTTTTTTTTTTTTTTTTTTTTTTTTTTTTTTAGTGCATGCATTAGGGAGACACCAACAGTAAACAGCAACAGCTAGAAGTCTGAAGAACTGAATAGAGATTTCAGCTGCCACTTACCATGGAGGAAACACACCAAGGGGTCTGAGTTTAGCTAAGTTAACTGGCTGCTAAACTGAAACAAAAGTCAACACTTTTCAAAGAAAACAAACTCAAATCCAGAGTTTCTACAATGTATTATCCATAATGCACAGTAGCCAGTAAAAAATTACTAAATATTTAAAGAAACAGAAGAAAAAATATAACCTATGTTACAAAGAAAACATAGTTGGTAGTAATCAAAGATGAGACAACACAGGTAATAGAATAGCAGGCAAGGATTTTAATGCAACTGTTATTAAGGTTATGAGGACTTAAAATTTAAAAAGATCTTAACAAAAATATATTGTATATTTCAAAATAACTAGCAGCAGAATTGGAATGTTCCTAACACAAAGAAATGATACATGCTTGAGGTGATGCATACCCCAATTACCGTGACTTGATCATTACGCACTGTGTGCTTTTATCAAACTATCACATGTACTCCATAAATAATACAGGTAGTATGTATCCATAGTAACGCAAATAAAAAACTTTAAAAAGGAGGCTGGGCGTGGTGGCTCACGCCTGTAATCCCAGCACTTTGGGATGCTGAGGCGGGTGGATCACAAGGTCAGGAGTTCAAGACCAGCCTGGCTACAATGGTGAAACCCTGTCTTTACAAAAAAAAAAAAAAAAAAAAAAAAAATTGCAGAAATTAGCCGGGTGTGGTTGTGGGTGCCTGTAATCCCAGCTACTCGGGAGGCTGAGGCAGAGAATTGCTTGAACCCAGGAGACTGAGGTTGCAGTGAGCTGAGATGGTGCCAGTGCACTCCAGCCTGGGCAACAGAGCGAGACTCAGTCTCAAAAAAAAAAAAAAAAAACAACTTAAAAATAAAAATGATCTTAATGAATAAAAAATGGGAAACTCAGCAGTGAAATTAAAACCATATGAAACAAACAGATGGAAATTACAGATCTTAAAATTATAATAATATCTAAAATAAATCTTTATTATATATGGCTTAAAGCAGATTAGAGATTTCAGATGTCTGTCTTGCTAATTGGTAACTGGTAAGAAATTATATGTGGTATCTTAAGAGGAAGAAAAGAAGAGGAGAAATAGGTTTTGGAGCACATATTATAATTTGTTTCTGCATATTCAGGATAAATTGCTAATAGAAAATCTGAATTATGAGGTCAGAAGCTCAGGAAGAAGCCCAGCATTTGAATTACAGGTTGACTAGCTCATCATTTAGTATGCAGATTGTATTTGAATTCATACAACTGAATACAATCACCTAAAGAATGTTTGTCATCTAAATATAAAGAAGATAGGAGATAAGCAGTTGATTAACACCAAATGTGTGTATTATATATATATGTATATATGTATGTATATATACTTCTTAAAGCATATATATACTTCTTAAAATGTTATACATATGCGTACTAAAAATAATTTGTTGTAAATCCATTGACTTATATTCAAAGTGACGAGATTTCTTTTTGCCATATATTTCTGTATTATCATAATTTATAATATTTGTTTTTTGTTCTTGTAACAAATTTCTCTGCAATTTTAGCTTAGATTTTACATTTAAATGTGTTTGGTGTTCACCAACAATTACTTCTTACCATAGTTTCTATATTCATCTTTTGATTATCTGGAATTTATTCTTAAATCATTCTAGAGGGTATTTTTGTTTCTTTCTTTTCTATTGATGTATGTTGCATTCTATGGCTTGAATTGTCCTGCAAATTTCTTGTGTTGCTACTTAGTCTGCAATGTGGCAGTATTTAAAGATGGTGCTTTAAGAGGCGATTGAATCATGAAGACTGCTCTCATGGATAGATTAATACACTCATGGATTAGTGAATTAATGGGTTGATGGATTAATGGTTTATGGGAATGGAACTGGGGAAGAGGATAGGAGACCTGAGCTAGGACACTCAGCCCCCTTTCCATGTGATGCTCTGCACCACCTCAAGAGTCTGCAGTCTCCACCAGTAAGAAGGCTTTCACTAGATGAGATCCCTCAATCTTGGACTTCTCAGCCTCCATCACTGTAAGAAATAAATTCTTTTTCTTTACGCATTACCCAGTTTGAGCTACTCTGTTATTAACAACAGAAAACAAACTGAGATATTGAATTTCTTTAGTCGCTGTATTTTTTAGACAGTCTGCTTAATGCTTTTCTACTTTAATGATAGCTTGGATGGAGATCAAACACTTGGATCCAGTGTTTTGATGTTGAGAGGCACGTGTTGCCCTGAATTTTCTGTCTTTACAAATTACTGGAAATTTTGCCAGAAAACCTATTAATATCTTTCCATCTTTTAGGAACTAAATATTATTTCCAGTCTGTCTTCTTAAGGATCTTTCTGTATTAAAGTTTTCCTGGCACTTCTTGGGATCATTCGTTGGTAGAGCAAGCTTTATTTCAAGAAATTAATCGTTAATTATACTTTTTTTTCCTTTTTTTCTGTTATCTTCATGGACACTGGATATATTTTATGTTGTCCCTTCTTCTTGTACTTCCCTTATGTTCCTGCTTTTTAATTGATCTCCTTTCCTTTTTATTTTCCCGTTATTTTCTTCATGCTGTTTTCTATATGTTCTTGATTGTGGTTTCAGTAATGTCTTTTTTTTTTCCCTCCTAATGTGATTCCATTTCTATAACAAGTACAGTTTATCTCTTTTATTTCCCAAGCCCCCTGAGCTTTGGAAACTAAATGTTTATCTCCTTTTTGCGTTTCTTATTTAAGAGCCTGCATGAGTGACTTGAGTCCTTTTTGTCCTTAGGCAATGGATTCGTTCGTTTCTTAATTTTTAATTTTTTAAAAAAATGTCATTATTTTAAATAATTTTTTTTTCAATTTACAAAAAACCAGTGGTACTTTTCTGACAACTAGAAATGTACTTCATTTGGGGGATATATTTCTTTTTTTCTTTTTACCGGGAGTGTGACCGGCCCATAATCATCTATTTTTGGTTTTTACTCATCTCTCAATGGAGACTGTTCTTGATGGAGAATAGATATAGTAATTCAATGGTGGAGAACAGAAAGACATAGGCATCTTTGATCTTCCTTGATTGCCTTTGAACATACTTTCATTCATGTTGTTGCAGATGCGAGTCCTGCCCCAGGCTAGAAAGAAGTCACTGCAGTGAAGCCTTTCATATAATAGGTATTTTTCGTGGTTATATAGCATTGATTTGTCGTTGACTGACCAAGATTGGAAACCTCAGAACTTCCTGACTCTCACGTATTGTCCTACATTTTGTCACAGTTATTAGCCTACTTTTTACAAAGATATTGTGTCTGCAGGTTTAGTGTTTGTTTCTCTGCTTCTTCTGCCAGTGTGGAATGAAGAACTGGTCTGCTCTTTTAATAAAAGAATAAATGACTTAGCATTTATTCCCATAGCATTCATTCAATAAATATTTATTAATCATAGAATGTCACTTTTATGGTACAAAAATGGCACAGCGACTTGCTGGCACAGTCAGAACTTTCTCACTCTGGACCCCCAAATCCCCATCTCCTGCTCAGCTTTGTAATTATGCTGAAGGATTTGGTGAGAATGCACTCCATGCAGATGTCATAATCAATTGAAAATCTATGAGACTGAGCTTGTTGTGTATAAAAATCAGCAAAAAGTCCAACAAAACAGGGATAATTGAGTGTGTTCTACACTAGTTGAAATCGTCTGAGGCCTGCTCTGTGTCCTGTCTTGGTTTCTTCCAACAACCAGGTCTGATTTTCACTGTCCTCAGCAACTCTGCACTGTGGTTTATACTAGCATTTGTTTTCTGACTTCCTTTTCTGTTAAAAGCTGTAGGCTCTGATCTGGTGCCCAGCTTTTTCCCCGCAAGCAGGTGCTGCTACCTGATTCTGATCCAAACACAATATGAAGCTTCTTTCTTCCACAATTCCTTTTTCACTCTACATCTTTTGAAGAAAAGAAGAAATACAAGATTTCATTGTTGTTGTTTGTTTGTTTTTGTTTTTTCAAAAAAACTGTTTCATGTGGTTCCGAGGAAAGCGTAAAACGTCAAGTTGATCCCCTGCCTCTCGATTTTCTAGCAGGAATTTACCTTGGAATTTATCACATTTCTGAGTTTGATCGTGTCAGTGTAGCAGAGCTGGTCAGGTTTGGTGATGCTGACTCATGCTCACATTTTCACACAAAATACAAAAGTTGAATGCTGATTTACTAAATTTCACTGGAAATTATGGCAATAAAGAGACAGAATGTTTATATCTCCCTAGTTGGTGCATTTTTTTTCTTGTGAACAGGCTACATATAAAGACAACTGATCAGAAGATAACTTGGTGAGCATGAATCAGAATAAAATTATTTAGTATGATGTCAAGAATGTTTAGTGGTGTCAGACCTAATGCCTTGGTGCTTCCATCTCTAGCATAGGACATCATCTACCAGGAAGACAGAATGCCTGTGATATCCTGAGTCTTCCAACACTGTCAGAGCTGAAACAATCTTAGCCAACAATTGCATCCAATTCTTTTTCCCCATGCTTCTTCAATAGGAAAAAGAACAAAAACTGTTTTAATTTGGTTCATGCATCATTATAATTTCTCATATTCTTTGTTTTCCTTCCTCCAGGCATGTGGCATGATTGCACATCCTCATCTTGTCGAAGTTAAGTATTATCATGTGATTTGCTTTGGCCAGTTAGTTGAGAGTGGAAGCCATTAAGAGCCAGCATGTGGTTTGCAACATTCTCTTTATCTTGCCAAAGTGATTAGTGAAGATTCCATTAACCTGTTTCTCTAAGTGAGGATGAGCAGGAGAAGAGCCACCATCAACCCAAAATTATAAGCAAAATATAAAACTTTGTATTTTTAAATCACTAACATTTGGGGACTGTTTGCTACCATGGCAAGATCTGGTTCATGCTGACTGATAGAGCTCCTAGTACACTGATATAGGGAGTGCTATGAAACAATTTCAATATGTGGTATTGACTTAATGGGTTAAATGGTAGATAGCAAGGACAATTTATTACAGACTAAAAGGGTAAGAGTCCTTGTTATGGAATGGCTAAATACTTGGTAAAAGGGGCAACTACAGAAACTTAGCAGGCAGTATGAGACATTCATATATGCTCTAGGCCCATAGTTAAGTTGAGAAAGACAGAGAGGCAAGGGGAAGAGAAAGCAAAAAATATTCAAAGTGAGAATTGTGACTCAAAAGAAACGGGTGTGGTCATTGCTCATAGAGCCAACTGCAATAAAATAGAGAAGCCAAAAATATGTTTGAGAGAATTGTGCTGTCAAAAGAGTCAACATTCGAAACTAAAATAGACCATGACTGAGACTTAAAAAGATCCTGGGGCTCCCAACTATCTACAGGCAAGAAGTGAGCTGAGGGAATTGCTCAGGTTCCAAGAAGAACATCTTGCTGATGTCCGATTCAGATATAGCCAAGGAGGCTTATGTAAAAAGAGAAGAATCACATAGCATGTGGATCCAGGGAGAAAATTCAACAAGTTAATGATTCCCAAAGAGGAGAATCAAGGACTATTCAAAAATCATATCCTACCAACTTATGGGGGAATCCTCAAAATGTCTTTTCAGAAGCTTTTCAGGATTTCTATAGATAAGTCTCTGTTATGTGGGACCAGTGTATGCTATGTGGCTCCCATTCTTCTTCTAGAATATTTACTGCAATTGTCTGTCATGGTTTCCTTATTATATTTAGGATTTTGGAAGAGTCCATGGGTCTTAAAATCAAGAAGATTCACATCCAGAACTAATATCAAGATATTATACAAGTCTATCCTCATTCTTTTATCCTAGGTTGTAAAATTGATGCCATGACTGGAAAGACTTTTGGATTGCTTCCCTTGGTGGAGGTGGAGGACATATTTTGTATATGGGAAAAATAGAGAGCCAAATGTTTTCTTACCAGAAGTCTAGACTGTGGAAGTCATTAGAACTGTTGGCGGATCTTTTAGTTCTCCCCCTTCTGCAAACCTGAGAGGATTGGAATCCTTCTATCTTTGATGATAGCCATGGCCATTAGGCTTGGCTTTGGTTAATGAATTATGAGTAGACATAATTTGTGTGACTTCCAGAAAAAAAAGTATTTAATAGCAATTACGTGTTTTGTTATGTTCCTCTCTCCCTGGTGACTGGCAAAGTCCCAGATGGTGGAAGCTCCGCCATCTTGAGTTCCTGTGTGACTGAGGTGAGATGAGCATGTTGCATGAGCAATAAGTAAAACAAGCAATGTTTTAGCCACTTGAATTTTGGAAGTGTTTTTACTGTGGCACAACATAATACAGCCTGAATGTTCTAACTTCAAACTAGATAGCAACAAATAAAAGAAATATGTCGAGGAATTAATCCATTTCTTCTAGATTTTCTAGTTTATTTGCGTAGAGGTGTTATAAATGGTGCTGGGAAAACTGGCTAGCCATATGTAGAAAGCTGAAACTGGATCCCTTCCTTACACTTTATACAAAAATCAATTCAAGATGGATTAAAGATTTAAACGTTAGACCTAAAACCATAAAAACCCTAGAAGAAAACCTAGGCATTACCATTCAGGACATAGGCATGGGCAAGGACTTCATGTCTAAAACACCAAAAGCAATGGCAACAAAAGACAAAATTGACAAATGGGATCTAATTAAACTAAAGAGCTTCTGCACAGCAAAAGAAACTACCATCAGAGTGAACAGGCAACCTACAAAATGGGAGAAAATTTTCACAACCTACTCATCTGACAAAGGGCTAATATCCAGAATCTACAACGAACTCAAACAAATTTACAAGAAAAAAACAAACAACCTCATCAAAAAGTGGGCGAAGGTCATGAACAGACACTTCTCAAAAGAAGACATTTATGCAGCCAGAAAACACATGAAAAAATGCTCACCATCACTGGCCATCAGAGAAATGCAAATCAAAACCACAATGAGATATCATCTCACACCAGTTAGAATGGCGATCATTAAAAAGTCAGGAAACAACAGGTGCTGGAGAGGATGTGGAGAAATAGGAACACTTTTACACTGTTGGTGGGACTGTAAACTAGTTCAACCATTGTGGAAGTCAGTGTGGCGATTCCTCAGGGATCTAGAACTAGAAATACCATTTGACCCAGCCATCCCATTACTGGGTATATACCCAAAGGACTAGAAATCATGCTGCTATAAAGACACATGCACACGTATGTTTATTGTGGCATTATTCACAATAGCAAAGACTTGGAACCAACCCAAATGTCCAACAATGATAGACTGGATTAAGAAAATGTGGCACATATACACCATGGAACACTATGCAGCCAGAAAAAACGATGAGTTCATGTCCTTTGTAGGGACATGGATGAAATTGGAAATCATCATTCTCAGTAAACTATCACAAGAACAAAAAACCAAACACTGCATATTCTCACTCATAGGTGGGAACTGAACAATGAGATCACATGGACACAGGAAGGGAATATCACACTCTGGGGACTGTGATGGGGTGGGGGGAAGGGGGAGGGATAGCATTGGGAGATATACCTAATGCTAGATGACGAGTTAGTGGGTGCAGTGCACCAGCATGGTACATGTATACATATGTAACTAACCTGCACAATGTGCACATGTACCCTAAAACTTAAAGTATAATTTAAAAAAAAGAAAAAAAAAAAGAAATATTGTAGCACATTTTCCTCAAGATTTCTGGAATCCCAAACAAAATATTAGCAAAGGAAACTCAATATTTACCAAAAACGCACTATAAAAAAGTTAGATGCATCTCAGGAATGCAATGATGTTTTAATATAAGAAAATGTGTAAATTTAATTCACTGAATTAATAGATAACTGGAAATAGCCATCTCCTCATCTCAATAGACACAGAATAAATAAGTGACAAAATTCAAGAGCCATTCACAGTAAAACTCTCAATAAACTAGAAATGGAAGGAAACTAATTTAATCTGATACAAGAAAACAACAAAAAATTCTTCAACAGGCACAATTATAAATGGGAAACAAATTATTTTCTTTAGATTTAGAAATAAGACAGGCATTCCCACTTTTCTACTTCTATTTAATCCTATATTAAAAGTCCTAGAATTTGGAGCGAGATATTTATCCAAAATATTTATCTAAGCTATCTAGCCTAAAATAAGGGCATAAGAAGAAAGGAAGAAATAAAAGTGTTATTTGCATATAAACCTGTTTTCATAGAAAATTTAAAATACCTAGAGATGAGTCAATAGAATTTAAGCAAGATTGCTAAATTTAAGCAGATTGATATTTGTGTGTGAGATTTGTGTGTGTTTATCTCACACACAAATATCAATACATATCCAGTCACCAGCAACAAATAATTAGAAAGCATAACAACAAATAAAAAAGATACCACCATTTATAACAACAATAAAAACTACAAGAATAAATCCACCAAATGATGTTCAAAATGTGCACATTAAAATTATATAACTTGATGGAAGAGCATTAAAATTACTTAAATGGAAGGAGTGATATTATATGTTAATAAATAACAAAATCTAGTATTGTAGTGATGGTAGCTCCCTCAAAGTGATCTATAGATTAAATACATCTTCAATGAAAATCCCAACAAAGACATTTTATGAAAATTGACCATTTGATTATAAAATGTTTATGGTGCACAGGGGACCTCAGTAGTTAAGATAATCTTAAAAAGTGTCAAGAGAGGAAAACTTGCTCTAACAGATATAAAGACATAAAATAATAGGGAACGAGAGATTGAAGTATTAGGACATGGATAGGAATGTTGATGAATATAAGTGAAAAAGCAATAACCGACCCAACCACAATTGGAAATGAGGTATATCTCAGAGATACATTGCCAGCCAAAGGAGAAATATAGGCTTAGTTAATGGGTGTGGTGTCTGTACACATGGAAAAAAGTGAAAATAGATACTGCAGTATGGCATACTGAAACATCAGTCCCAAAGGGACAAAACCATTTAATATCAAAACCATAACACATCTAAAAGAAAATGCATGAAGTAAGAATAGACAAGTGTATTAAATAAAATATAAGAAGTATTAGCTTTAAGTGAAACAAAATTGATAATTTAGACTGTATTAAAATTAAGGGATTATCTTTATGAAAAGGCATCTTAAAGAAAGGTGGAAATGTAAGCTGTAAGTTAAGAAAAGCTATTGCTATATATAAAGTTGAAACAAAATTAGTATTGTTATCATTACTGATAATAACAATAAGAGATATTCAGAATAAAGAGAAGAAAATGAGTAACACTAGAAATACTGACAATGGCTATGAGTAAATATAATACAAAGAAAAACTTGTATAATCAATAAATTGAGAAGTTTATCATCTCTGGAAATCCAGTAATCTAGAAATGCAAATCACAATCTCAATACAATAGTATTTTACAACTATTTCCTTGTCAAAAATGAAGATATCTGAAAATCCCACATATTCCAAAGGGTATGAATGAATGAAATCTTCTTAGACATTAGGGTGAGAGTGTCAATTGTTAGGACCCAGTTTGATGGACTAGTTTGCATTACCTTTGGAAGTTGAACATTCGCATATTCTGTGATGCAGAACTTCTACTCCTCTGTGTTGCCAAGAGAATTTTAGGATATATGGTCCAGGATGTGTGCATAAGAATTCATAATTTCCATGTTCATAATAACAAAACTCTGGTAAAAGAAGTGTTCATTGAGATAAATGAGTATAAATTCATATAGTCACTAAACAATGTTATACAGTATTTGAAATGAATGAGCTCCAATTACATATA
Organism: Homo sapiens; assembly: GCF_000001405.40. Lineage (NCBI taxonomy): Eukaryota > Metazoa > Chordata > Mammalia > Primates > Hominidae > Homo > Homo sapiens. Next base: position 137,116,334 of record NC_000007.14, on the reverse strand, counting down.
ATAACAGAGAAATTTTAGTTCTATAATGCTAAGTGAATAAAAGCAAGCATTAAGAACATATAACATGTTGTTTATGTAAAGTTCCAAGACTAGCAATAAAACAAGATATGTATGTAAATTATGATGTTTAAAAAAGGCCAAAATTTAATAAACTTAAAATTTAGGATGAGGGCGATATGAGATGTGTTATTGGAGGAATACACAGGTAGATAGATATGATATTGATAACACTTTAGTTTTTAGTTTGGGCAATGTATTTATAGGTATTCACTATTAATAAGTGAAAATTTTAAAAATCCAAATAAAATCAAGAGATCTATGAATGGACCATTAACAATAAACATGGAACAAGGATTATATTTACTATACTTGACCTAATTCTGTGCATCTGTTTGTGTATTTATGTTTAAAAAATAATTACAAATATATTATACACACACATGCACACACACACACATAATATTCACTTCCTACAAAGGTTAAAACAGTAAGGTCTTGGCCAACTCTCCTGACTATTTCAGCCGCCCAGATCCCCAAAAGCAGTACACAGTTTTCTTTTCTGAAAAGTCTTTTCCTCATTATTCATCTTCTTTCCTGCTTTCAAAATTGTGTTGCAGTCTCCTCTATTGTTTACCTTGTCTTCCATTCCCTTTATCCTGTGGGTTAACACTGAAACAAAAAAGCCCTTCTACTATTCTTTTACTGGGATTTTCAGAAGATGACATACTTTCTATTTCTATTCAGTGATTTTTAACCATGTAAGTCTAAAACATGTTCAGGTGACTCCAAGCCAGTCCCTGCTTTAGGGGAGGTTGGAATATATTCTTCATAGACAGTTCTTTTCCTCCGTACGTGTGTGTGTGTGTAGGTAGGTAGAATCATAAAATAGATAAATACAATAAAATATAAATGATGGCATAAATGAGCAAGTAATGTTTATTTTATAAGGTGAAAAAGAAAACTGATGGATTATCTAATATACTTTGGACACATTGAGATTCACGCTTCTGTCTGACTTTGAGGTTGCATTAAAAATATGTACACAAATGTGAAATAAATGGGGAATATAAATCTATACAATAAAAAAGTGAAAAATAATAAACCACCTGACTTAACTATGAAAAACATTGGCATGCTTATAATGTTATTAATGTGGAATGACTACAAATGAGTATTTTGATAAAAACATATTTTTTGAAATAGAGTCACTGTGAGTGCAGGTTTAGTAGTTGATATAAAAGAAATAAGTTCTCATTTTCTATGGTAGGAGATAAATGGAAAATCAGACATAATAATGTGGCTTATTTGAAAATAAGGCTCTAAATACTAGAAGGTCCTATAAGCTCCCTCAAGAAGCAGAATATTTGAGCATGTGGGGAAAGCAGGAGATAACTGGAATTCATTTTAATGTCTCATATATTTTTAGGTTTATTTTATTAAAATCTTTGCTTATGTCTTGCAATGGCTTGAGAGCCAGAGTCCCTTGTAGAGGTATTTTCAGTTCTCAGGATGTTCCTCTTTCCCATGGTTTTGAAAAACTTTGTCACCCAGCATAAGGCCTATAGTGCTCATACCTTTACTTCTTGAATACATACAAACAATTTCAAAAGTTATTTATTAATCAGTTAGGAAGAGGCAGTGGCGCAAGCTATACATTTTGAAATATGGATATAAAATGTATATGAGATATGGAATTATGGCTATAAGTACACTCCAAATAAATCCAGACATAATCAACTGGCCATGGATTCACAGGAAAAAAAATGCATGACAAAGTATGATGTAAACAGCTAAATGTTATAAATGTTATAAAACATAAAGTCTCTTTTCATGTGCAACTGTATATTACTTATACAGGGGTACAAAGAATGTAAAGAGAAGCTTTAAAAACCACAAAGAACTTAAATACACATGTGTATATATATAATATATATATATATTTACACATACATGCACACATATACAGGGTAAGAAAGAACCATTCCTAGTCACAAACATTCACATCCATATGTGTGTGTATATACATATATATGCATGTTTTATGTGCATTGATAGTCAAATACAATGAAGAAAAGAGAATTATTTCATAGTACATACAAATGTATTGTTATTGTTAGACTTGTAGACAGATGAGCAGAAACTCATTTTAAATCCCACATACGGTTTGACTATATTTATAAATATCACAGGCTAACACCCCCCCCCCACACACACACACACACATAGGTACAGAAATAAAAAAAGTGGTCTGCCCTTAAAAGTATTAAAATATTAATACTTATGGATATGTGATGATAACTAGGCATGAGTGACGTGATCGATAGATAGAATGAGGAGATATCTACACATCAAAGCAGTAGGGTAGGAGAGAATGAAATTAGAAAGATTTACAAAAAATAACAGTGACATTAAAATGTTTAAGGTACCATCAGAAATTAGAAGTGTTCTGTGTACAAACTAATCTTACATCTCTAGATATATGGAAGTGTTTTTTTAATGTCTGTTTACTTTTCTTAGCTTATAAAAATGTGTGAGCCCCAATCTGGGAAGTTGTGAAATAACAATCAAGAATAATAATTGGTGTCAGAATGGTGTTGTCCAGCACTGGGATTTCCTTTAAAGAATTAACCTAACAGTGGAGAACTTAGCAAAACCGAAGTGTGAATTTTCAGTATTAGAAGACTGAAGATTTAAGGCATGTCTGGGATTGAAGATTTAAGGCAGAAATAATCAGAAATCGCAAGGGAACACTTTTTGTTGTTGCTATTTTCAGTGCATTTTCACTGATTCTTATCAACATATTGCTCCTTTTTCCTTTCTGCTCTTTTGACAGAGAATATCTGCAATTGCTTGTAATATAGGTATTTTCCAGTATACACGATGTAACGTAAAAACATGTGCACACTGAGGAATAATAGTTTTGTATCCATTGTCCTGTTGTGTAGTCTCGAAATAACAATTTTGCTTTGTTTCTTAATCTATAATACTGAGGACCTTAAAAAGTACCTTTTAAACTCAGGTGTTAAAAATTTCACAAGGTATTTGTTACCTGAAATATGTAGATTACTTTCTTTCTGAAATTCCTTAAGAGGGAAGGTAGATAGATGGGAGCTTAATATCCATGCTATGAATCATGATGCATTCTCACCAGGAACAATATTGCAGCTGTAGTTGAAAGTTGTTTACATGAAGCTCACATGTGGACTTCAGATAAATCAGCAGTTTTCAATGGGGATAACATCAATTCTTAAAAGATACTTTGTTGGAGTAATCATGGTTGTCACAATATTTTAGGTGCTACTGGCATTTGGAAGGGCTTAGGAGTATTAGACTGTTAGACATTTAAATGGTTAAAAAAAGAAAGAAAAGTTGCCGATAGTAGAAGCCAACTCATGTAAATAGAAAAAATTTACAAGATTGTTCACTATTTTAGAATATTACTGACAGAAATATCACTTATAATATTTGGTTCACTAATACACACCCCTGTATCACTCAACAATTTTAACCACATAATTCAGTGACTTGACATAGAACTTCAAATCTCTGACTACTTGATTATGTTTTTCTGTGTAGTTCATCCTAATTTTACATCATGAAATACAAATTGTTTTATTATAAATTACTTTCCTTTGGCTAGACTCCAATTATCCAAGTATTTTAAAACATAATTTAAATTTATTAAAACTCACCAAATATGTTTAAATCCAAAATCAAAAGCCCTGAACTTCCAAAAGCATTGTTAAGAATTTGAAAAGGCAAACCACAGACTGAAAGAAAATATCCATAATATATATATCTGATTTGTATCCAGAATAAATAAAGAATTTTTAGTTCTCAATAAGGAGAATACATACACCAATGAAAGTTTTAAAATCCAACAAAGATATGCACAGATATTTCACTAAGGAGGATACAAATAGCCAACAGGCAAAATACGTTTAATATCTTTAGTCATTAGATAAATACAAGTTAAAATCACGACAAAGTAAGATGACACAGTAAAATGGCTATCATTGAAAAGACTGACAAGGTCAAGTGTTAGTGATGAACTAGTGCTCCTGAAGCTTTTACCAATTGGTGGGAATGCAAAATGGCACAGCCATTATGGAAAACTGTTTGGCAATTTCTTATAAAGTTAAACCTATTCTTTTCACACGAACTTGAAATCTTACACCTAAACATTTTTTCCAAGTGAAATACATCATGTGTCCCCACAACAACTTGTACAAAAACATTCGTAGCCGCTTTAATAATAGTAACTCCAAAGTGGGGAAACAAAAACAAACCCAAATTCCCATAACAGGTAAATTATACATAAATTGAAGGATATCCATGCAATTTAATATTATTCAACAATGGATGGTATTTGAATCAAGAAAATGGAACACATTACTGAAACAATCACTTGGATGAATTTCAAAACATGCTCTGTTAAGGAAGCTAGACACAAAACAGTTCAAATTATTTCTGTGTATATGAAATAATTGAAAATACAAAACTCATTTACAGTGATAGAAAGAGGGTTAGTGGTTGCCTCAGGCTGTTTATGGCAATGGTGATGAGCTTAAGGGAGCAAGAAGGAATGTTTTGAGCATCAATATATTTGATTCTAAAATAGTTTAACTTTAAAACTATTAAAGCAGGATATAGTTCAGCTTTTTTTTCTAGATGTCACAAATAAGATGTGACCAGACAGTACCAATAGCTTGCTCTTGCTCACTTGCATGTTTGTCCTTATATATACCATGTGCTTATTATCATCAAAGTTACCTCGAAGTTTATGGCTTTATTTTTTGTTGCACACATTATTTCCATATATTGACATGGTCTCTGCCTTCACAATTACCAACACATGGCCAACCATAGAGCTCTGAAATCTGACTTGAAACTCATCTCTTTCAAAAGATTTCTTCAATTAACCTCTCCTTTCTGGAGCCTTTATTCAACATGACCCAGGATTTAAGAAATAATCCTTAATTTATGCTGCAGGATTTTAACATACCTACCGATTTTTTTTATGTTACATCTAGGACTTGTGTGGCCTTTTGTCACTATTATCTATACTATTAGGACTCAATAAACAATTATCTGCTCAATCATTGAAAAATAATATATCTCTATCTATCAGAAATATATATGTATATATATGCACACACACCATTTCTGTAATATATATGTACATATGTATATAGTATTTCTGATATGTACACATACAATTTCTGTAATATTTATGTGTAATATATATACTACTTCTGTTGCATGTATATTTGTGTGTGTGTATATATATATATATAGTTTGAAACTATATATATCTTTCTTGGAAAGAGTTAGTGTACTTTTTTTATCTTGTATGTCCTTGAAAATATGTGCTATTAAACTGTATGTTTTGCCAAACTCAGATAGATTTCTTCTGGAATATTGTCTAATTTTCTTTTCTCTCTTTGTCATCTCTTGGGTCAGTGATAGATGGCTGAGTTTTGCTTCTTTAAATCCCAAATCCCAACTGAAGGTATTGCTTCATTACACTGTCAAATGCCTCAATGTCTCAATGCCATTATACATATTTCATAACTTCCTAGGTTTACACATACTTCTATTCCTTGTCATATTTAGTAATCTCTGAAGTATCTGCATGATTCTCTTTGGGGCAGTTTCTCTCCCATTTTCAATTTTCTTTCTACTGCCTACCTATGTACTATGAGAACTCCCCCACCCATCCCCTGCCCAGAAAATTGCTTCTGTGTAGAAGATCCTGCTATCTTGGGTAAAATGGTCAGAAAGTACAAACTGCAATCTGGTCCTTTCTAAACGGAGATCTGATTACCCAGCTGGCTCCAGAGAATACAAACATTTTCACTCTGGACAGTACTTATCTGTTTTTTGCAAGTACATCACTTTGGAAAGCTACTTGCTCAGCTAATCTGTAACTGTCATGGAAATGTAATTTTTCCCTCCTCCAAACCAATAACAGGCACCTGGTAAGACTGCCTTATGCACCCATGCATTCAAGTCTAACTGTTTCCATGGAAACCTTTAAAATCCCATGCAAGGTTCCCAGCATTTTGCCATATTTCCCTTTTCTTTATGCTACTCTCTCTATCCATTTCTTTAGTGTCCTTGCATGCGATTACAGCACTCTGCCACTACTCTGTAATAGATTTCTCTTCCATTCTTGCCCTTGTCAGTGATTCATTTTTGCCGCGTTAGGAGGGCAGAGACTAGAGCTTATTCACATGTGTAGCCTCTTCAGTACTTAGTCCGGCATCTTAGACTTAATGGGCATGCAAAGCATATTTGTTGAGCTGCATTAGATTAAGAGCTTATTGTCTTAATCAGTTTTACTGATTAAAACATGCTCATTAAGAACTTCTTCAGCAGAATGATTGGAAAGATAAAATGAGCCTGCTGACTGAATATAGTGTTTAAACCACCAATTTAGATATTTCCAAACTAAATTTAAATTTTCAGTCAGTTCTCCCTCAAATCTTAAAGTCTGTACAATTTAGAAATGAAGGAAAGCAAATTAATATTGATTGAGAAGCTATTAAATAATATTTTAATTTCCATTTCTCTGTGAATTAAGTATTGTTATCCACGATTTACAGATAATAAACTTAAGGTCACAGTACTGAATAACTTTTCAGAGAGACCACACAACCAGTAAATGATGGAGTGCTTTTTCATCCAACATATTGAGTGTCCCCCTTGTTTCCTTTTAGGCTTACTTTTATGAATTTAAACATAGGGATCTTCAATCTGAAAATAATGAAGGTCAATTATAATAACATAGCACCTCCCTGTGAGCCATACGGTGAGAACTCACAATTATGCAAAACATTGTCCAAGAAGCATAATTTAAAGGCAAAGCAAACAACTAAAAAAAAAAACTAAAACCATTAGTCACAACAAAAAAGGCAGTTCTGATGTTGGTAAGGATATGGAGAAAAGGGAACGTTTATACATTATTTGTGGGTAGGTAAATGAGTACAACCTGTGTGGAAAACAGTATGGACATTTCTCAAAGCATTGAAAACAGAACTACCATTTGACCCAGCAATCCCAGCACTAGGTGTTCACCTAAAGGAAAATAAATTACTATATTTTAAAAAAGCACCTATACTCATATGTTTATTGCAACACTTATTCACAATGGTAAAGTCATGGAATCAGCCTAAATGTCCCTCAACAGATTATTGGATAAAGAAAATGTGGTGTACATATATTATACCGTGGAATACTACTCAGCCACAAAAAAGGATGAAATCATGTCTTTTACAGTGACATGGATGAACTGGAGGCCATTATCCTAGGTGAAATAACTCAAAAACAGAAAGCAGAAAGTCAAATACTGTATGATCTCACTTACAATTGGAAACTAAGCAATGTACACAAGGACATACAGAGGGAATAATAGACATTAGAGCCCCCAAAATGGGAAGGTGGGAGGGGGTGAAGGATGAGAAATTACCTATAGAGTACAATGTAACAATGTACACTACTTGTACATTGTGCCTGTAGTGTACCCATCAAACTAAAAGCCTAGACTTCAACACTATGCAATATATATATGTAACAAAACTGTACTTTTACCCCCTAAATCCATAAAAAATAAAAATAAACAAGTCCTGGAAAAAAGCAGTTGTTGAAAATTCTAAACTTTACCTGTGTTGAGGTGGGTGTGAATGCTTGGGATCATTGGTTTAGACATTTGATCCAATAAGGAAACCAGTGGCACACAGAGGATGCTGAGAATGAGGAGATATGCAGGCAGCTAAAAGTAGAGAAGTCAGGAGGTATAATAAAAGCTGACTGAAGAATTAGGTATGTATACTATCCTAGACACGTTAGACAGGGAAGAAGAGCTTTAAATGGTTCAAAAGTCTTGAAAACCATGATCTCACTACAATATATGTAATATTTATAATAATTATTCTGAATTATTTCAAAAATGGACATCCTAAATGGCAAAAAATAATAAAACAAGGAAGTATTGAGGGAAAATAAAGTTTTTTAAAATTATACTTTAAGTTCTGGGATACATGTACAGAACATGCAGGTTTGTTACATAGGTATACACATGCCATAGTGGTTTGCTGCACCCATCAACCCGTCACCTACGTTAGGTATTTCTCCTAATGCTATTTCTCCCCTAGCCCCCTACCTCCTGACAGGCCCCAGTGTGTGATGTTCCCTTCTCTGTGTCCATGTGTTCTCATTGTTCAACTCCCACTTATGAGTGAGAACATGTGGTGTTTGGTTTTCTGTTTCCGTGTTAGTTTGCTGAGAATGATGGTTTCCAGCTTATCCATATACCTGCAAAGGACATGAACTCATCCTTTTTTATGGCTGCATAGTATTCCATGGTGTATATGTGCCACATTTTCTTTGTTCAGTCTATCATTGATGGGCATTTGGGTTGGTTCCGAGTCTTTGGTATTGTGAATAGTGCTGCAATAAACATATGTGTGCATGTGTCTTTATAGTAGAATGATTTATAATCCTTTGGGCATATACCCAGTAATGGGATTGCTGGGTCAAATGGTATTTCTGGTTCTAGATCCTTGAGGAATTGCCATACTGTCTTCCACAATGGTTGAACTAATTTACACTCCCAGCAATAGTGTAAAAGTGTTCCTATTTCTCCACATCCTCTCCAGCATCTGTCGTTTCCTGACTTTTTAATGATTGCCATTTTAACTGGAGTGAGATGGTATCTTATTGTGGTTTTGATTTGCATTTCTCTAATGACCAGTGATGATGAGCTTTTTTTCATAGTTTCTTGGCCACATAAATGACTTTTTTGAGAAGTTTCTGTTCATGTCCTTCACCAACTTCTTGATGGGGTGGTTTGTTTTTTCTTGTAAATTTATTTAAGTTCCTTGTAGATTCTGGATATTTGCCCTTTGTCAGATCAGTAGATGGCAAAAATTTCCTCCCATTCTGTAGGTTGCCTGTTCACTCTGATAATAGTTTCTTTTGCTATGCAGAATCTCTTTAGTTTAATTAGATCCCATTTGTCAATTTTGGCTTTTGTTGCCCTTGCTTTTGGTATTTTAGTCATGAAGTCCTTGCCCATGCCTGTGTCCTGAATGGTATTGCCTAGGTTTTCTTCTAGGGTTTTTATGGTTTTAGGTCTAACATTTAAGTCTTTAATACATCTTGAGTTAATTTTTGTATAAGTTGTAAGGAAGGGTTCCAGTTTCAGTTTTCTGCATATGGCTAGCCAGTTTTCCCAACACCATTTATTAAATAGGTAACCTTTCCCCATTGCTTGTATTTGTCAGGTTTGTCAAAGATCAGATGGTTGCAGATGTGTGGCGTTATTTCTGGGGCCTCTGTTCTGTTCCGTTGGTCTATATGTCTGTTTTGGTGCAAGTAGCATGCTGTTTTGGTTACTGTAGCCTTGTAGTATAGTTTAAGGTCAGGTAATGTGATGCCTCCAGCTTTGTTCTTTTTGCTTAGGATTGTCTTGGCTATATGGGCTCTTTTTTGGTTCCATATGAAATTTAAAGTAGTTTTTTTCAAATTCTATGAAGAAAGTCAATGGTAGCTTGACGGGAATAGCATTGAATCTATAAATTACTTTGGGCAGTATGGCCATTTTCATGATATTGATTCTTCCTATCCACGAGCATGGAATGTTTTACCATTTGTTTGTGTCCTCTCTTATTTCCTTGAGAAGTAGTTTGTAGTTCTCCTTGAAGAGGTCCTTCACATCCCTTGTAAGTTGTATTCCTAGGTATTTGAATCTCTTTGTAGCAATTGTGAATGGGAGTTCACTCATGATTTGGCTCTCTGTTTGTCTATCATTGGTGTATAGGAATGCTTGTGATTTTTGCATGTTGATTTTGTGTCCTTAGACTTTGCTGAAGTTGCTTATCAACTTCAGGAGATTTTGGGCTGAGGCAATGGGGTTTTCTAAATTTACAATCATGCCATCTGCAAACAGAGACAATTTGACGTCTTCTCTTTATATTTGAATACCCTTTATTTCTTCCTCTTGCCTGATTGCCCTGGCCAGAACATCCAATACTATGTTGAATAGGAGTGGTGAGGGAGGGCATCCTTGTCTTGTGCTGGTTTTCAAAGGGAATGCTTCCAGATTTTGCCCATTCAGTATGATATTGGCTGAGGGTTTGTCATAAATAGCTCTTAATATTTTGAGATACATTCCATCAATACCTAGTTTATTGAGAGTTGTTAGCATGAAGGGGTGTTGAATTTTATTGAAGGCCTTTTCTGCATCTATTGAGATAATTGTCATTGGTTCTGTTTATGTGATGGATTACGTTTATTGATTTGTGTATGTTGAACCAGCCTTGCATCCCAGAGATGAAGCCAACTTGGTTGTGGTGGATAAGCTTTTTGATGTGCTGCTGGATTTGGTTTGCCAGTATTTTACTGAGGATTTTTGCGTCGATGTTCATCAGGGATATTGGCCTGAAATTTTGTTTTTTTGATGTGTCTCTTCCAGGTTTTGGTTTCAGGATGATGCTGGCTTTATAAAATGAGTTAGAGAGGAGTACCTCTTTTCCTGTTGTTTGCAATAGTTTCAGGAGGAATGGTACCAGCTCCTCTTTGTACCTCTGGTAGAATTCGGCTGTGAAGCCATCTCTTCCTGGGCTTTTTTTTGTTGTTGTTGTTGTTTGGTTGGTAGGCTATTAATTACTGCCTCAATTTCAGACCTTGTTATTGGTCTATTCAGGGATTCGACTTCTTCCTGATTTAGTCTTGGGAGGGTGTATATGTCCAGGAATTTATCCATTTCTTCTAGATGCTCTGGTTTATTTGCGTTAAGGTGTTTATAGTATTCTCAGATGTTAGTTTTTATTTCTGTGGGATCAGTGGTGATCTCCCCTTTATCATTTTTATTGTGTCTATTTGTTTCTTCTCTCTTTTCTTCTTTAGTAGTCTGGCTAGCAGTCTATCTATTTTGTTAATCGTTTCAACAATCCAGCTCCTGGATTCATTGATTTTTTGAAGGGTTTTTCATGTCTTCTCTCCTTCAGTTCTGCTCTGAATTTAGTTATTTCTTGTCTTCTTCTAACTTTTAAATATGTTTGCTCTTGCTTCTCTAGTTTTTCTAATTGTGATGTTAGGGTGAAGCTTAGTTTGGCTGGATATGAAATTTTGGGTTGAAAATTCTTTAAAAATGTTGAATATTGGCCCCCACTCCCTTCTGGCTTGTAAGGTTTCTGCAGAGAGATCCATTGTTAGTCTGATGGGCTTCCCTTTGTGGGTAACCCGACCTTTCTCTCTGGCTGTCCTTAACATTTTTTCTTTCATTTCAACCTTGGTGAATCCAACGATTATGTGTCTTGGGGTTGCTCTTCTCGAGGATTATCTTTGTGGTGTTCTCTGTATGTCTTGAATTTGAATGTTGGCCTGTCTTCCTAGGTCGGGGAAGTTCTGGATGATATCTTGAAGAGTGTTTTCAACTTGGTTCCATTCTCCTCATCACTTTCTGGTACACCAATCAAATGTAGGTTTGGTCTTTTCACATAGTTCCATATTTCTTGGAGGCTTTGTTTGTTCCTTTTCATTCTTTTTTTCTCTGATTTTGTCACACTTTATTTCATTAAGTTGGTCTTCAGTCTCTGATATCATTTCTTCCACTTGATCTATTCAGCTTGTGTATGCTTCACCAAGTTCTCATGCTGTGTTTTTCAGCTCCATCAGATCATTTATGTTCTTCTCTAAATTGGTTATTCTAGTGAGCAATTCCTCTAACCTTTTATCAAGGTTCTTATCGTCCTTGCATTGGGTTAGAACATGCTCCTTTAGCTTGGAGGACTTTGTTATTACCTGCCTTCTGAAGCCTACTTCTGCCAGTTCGTCAAACTCATTCTCTATCCAGTTTTGTTCCCTTGCTGGTGAGGAGTTGTGATCCTTTGGAGAAGAGGTGTTCTGGTTTTTGGAATATTCAGCCGTTTTTCACTGATTTTTCCTCATCTTCGTGGATTTATCTGCCTTTGGTCTTTGATGTTGATGACCTTCAGATGGGGTTTTTGTGTTGACGTCTTTTTCGTTGATGTTAATTCTATTCCTTTCTGTTGTTAGTTTTCCTTCTAATAGTCAAGTCCCTCTACTGCAGGTCTGCTGGAGTTCGCTGGAGGTCCACTCCAGACCCTGTTTGCCTGGGTATCACCAGCGGAGGCTGCAGAACTGCAAAGATTGCTGCCTTTTCCTTCCTCTGGAAGCTTCTTCCCAGAGGGGCATTTGCCAGTTGCCAGCCAGAGCTGTCCTGTATGAGGAGCCTGTTGACCCCTGCTGGGAGGTGTCTCCAAATCAGGAGGCATGGGTGTCAGGGGCTAACTTGAGGAGGCAGTCTGTCTCTTAGCAGAGCTCGAGAACTGTGCTGGGAGATCCACTGCTGTCTTTAGAGCCGGCAGGTAGGAACATTTAACTCTGCTGAAGCTGCGCACACAGCTGCCCCTTCCCCCAGGTACTCTGTCCTAGGGAGATGGGAGTTTTATCTATAAGCCCCTGACTGGGGTGGCTGCCTTTCTTTCAGAGATGCCCTACCCAGAGAGGAGGAATCTAAAGAGGCAGCCTGGCTACAGCGGCTTTGTTTACACTGTGAGGGGAAAACTGCCTAGTTAAGCCTCAGTAATGGTGACTAACCGCCCCCCACCAAGCTTGAGCATCCCAGGTCGACTTCAAACTGCTATGCTGGCAGCGAGAATTTCAAGCCAGTGTATCTTAGCTTGCTGGGCTCTGTGGAGGTGGGGTCCGCTAAGCTAGACCACTTGGCTCCCTGGCTTCAGCCCTCTTTCCAGGGGAGTGAACGGTTCTGTCTCGCTGGTGTTCCAGGTGCCACTGGGGTATGAAAAAAAAGCTCCTGCAGCTAGCTTGGTGTCAGCCCAAATGGCTGTCCAGTTTCGTGCTTGAAAACCTGGGTCCTGGTGGTGTAGGCACCCAAGGGAATCTCCTGGTCTGCAAGTTATGAAGACCATGGGAAAAGCTTAGTATCTGGGCCGGAATGCACCATTTCTCACAGTGCTTCCCTTGGCTAGGGGAGTGAGTTCCTTGACCCCTTGCCCTTCCCGGGTAAGGCAGCGCCCCACCTTGCTTCTGCTTGCTCTCCGTGGGCTGCACACACTGTCTACCCAGCCCCAATGAGATGAGTCAGGTACCTCAGAAATGCGGAAATCACCCGTGTTCTGCGTTTATTTGGCTGGGGGCTGCTCCTATCCAGCTGTCTTGCCCAGGTCCCCTGGAAAATAAAGTTTTCAATAGCATGTTCCTTCCTTCATTTTGTGTCAACTAATCATTATGTCCACACTGAAGGTCAGCACTTGGGGCAGGCACTGGGAACATAACAGTGAATGCATAGAGGTTAGTCTTCTAATGGAGAAAATAGATATTGTAGAATTCATCACTAAAATAAATAAGAAATCACAGTAGCTTCCATGAAGGGAAAATGGAGGATATTATAATAGACAATACATTAGTTTGGGAGCTTGGAAAATTTAACTGAGACTTTAAGGACATGTAGGATTTAATGAAGCACACACCATGAGGAAAGACTTCTAGGCAGAAGGAACAGCTTGTGTAAAGTCTCTGAGTTTGGAAAGAGGAATGAAAAGATAGATATATGAAGACAAAGTGATGTGAAATAATTTACTTTCCCCTTCTTTTTGGAAAAAAAAATGAGATGATACTGTGAGTTGACTCTATTTTTCTATTGCCTAAACTTAAATCCATTTTAATTAAGTCAAATACCTAATTTAGGATTAGTGGTGTAAATCTAAATCTAGAAAAATAAACAAAATTGAAGGGGAGATTGTCTCTGGAGTACAAACTGGTCTTCCCCTCCCTTGAGTTAGGAAGTACAATGTAAATGCATGTATTTCAAGGATTGAATATCAGCAATATTATCTTCAAGTGAAAGATGACATATGTTTATCCAGCAACGCTTATGGTTTCTTTCATTTCCATTCTACCTAAAATCTTTTCAAAGTTTGTCCTAGAAAATCATTAATTAATCTCTCTCTCTTTTTCTCCTACACACACGCGGACTCTCCATTGGCAATGATTTGCCAGACAGTGTAGGAAGGTTTCCTTCTTCCACCTTCACAGGCAGCTTTTCTATATATTTGTTTTGTCTTCTACCAAACACGATACGGGCATTAAAACCTTAGTGGGTGCAGCACAGGTAATCATGTAATTTGGGTTATAATTTGCTTAACCTTAGAACCTCCTTAAATATTTCATCCTGTCATAGATTTTGTAATAGCGCATTTATGAATGGTTGGAGTTAAGAAATATAGAAGAAAATAGTAATTATAAAATTTAGAGCTTTATTGTATAAAGGGATGAAACAAGCTGAAAAGATATTCCTAAAAAAATTTCAAAAATTTATGGATTACAGAAGCTATAAAGAATAAACTGGAACATTTAGAAGAGATTACTTTGAATTTGAGGTATTCCATCATATAAGAATAACAATTATGGCCGGGTGCGGTGGCTCACGCCTGTTATCCCAGCACTTTGGGAGGCCGAGGCGGGTGGATCACGAGGTCAGGAGATCGAGACCATCCTGGCTAACACAGTGAAACCCCGTTTCTACTAAAAATACAAAAAATTAGCCGGGCGAGGTAGCGGGCGCCTGTAGTCCCAGCTACTCGGGAGGCTGAGGCAGGAGAATGGCGTGAACCCCGGGGGGCGGAGCCTGCAGTGAGCCGAGATAGCGCCACTGCACTCCAGCCTGGGTGACAGGGAGACTCCGTCTCAAAAAAAAAAAAAAAAAAAAAAAGAATAACAATTACTACTAGAGAGTATGAAACAATACCACACAAGAATACACATAATATTGGTAGGATGATCTGGATTAAAGCATTCTAAATGACAGTATTTATGAGAGAAGACAGAAAGTAACCATATTGATTTTGAAAAGGGATCATAATTTGAGAAATTACAAATATACAAAAAGTAAAATGCAAACTTATGAACATATTTCTGCCAATAAACTAAAAGTCTTTGAAAAGATGGACCAGTCATGAGATCTATTTTTCATTATATCAATTCAATAATTTAAATAATTGATCAATACTCTTTTTTTTTAGATGGAGTCTCTCTCTGTCGCCCAGGCTGGAGTGCAGTGGCGTGATCTCGGCTCACTGCAAGCTCCACCTCCCGGGTTCACGCCATTCTCCTGCCGCAGCCTCCCGAGTAGCTGGCACTACAGGTGCCCGCCACCATGCCCAGCTAATTTTGTTGTATTTTTAGTAAAGATGGCATTTCACTGTGTTCGCCAGGATGGTCTCGATCTCCTGTCCTTGTGATCCGCCCGCGTTGTCCTCCCAAAGTTCTGGGATTACAGGCGTGAGCCACTGCGTCTGGCCAATCAATACTCTTAATACTTGCTACCAAGAGACTTCAGAAACTGCAGTGAAAATGAATGCAAAAATTCTTGTCAGGTAGTGGAGTAGAAAATATTTTATCCCTGAAAACTCATAACCATGCAGATTTTCAGCTAGAATTCCCACTATCTGTGGTGTTTGAAAAATTGTGGTTCTTGAAGTCAAGAGTTTAGTTTAGATAAAAATTTTCTCTGAATGAAGTTACCTGAACTTCAAAGTATTCCTCAAAATAAATTCTGAAAAATGTGTTCATATAGCCAAAAAAAAAAAAAAAATCACAAAACACTTAAGGAAAACATAGCATAAGCAAAACCCAGCAGAAACAATAGACTGAGAAGTCAGGCTTGCAAATTGGAATATTCAGACATAAAATATCACATACATATGCTTAAAGTACTTAAATGTAAAGGGTTTCAAAAGAATTGCTTGCATTCAGGAGGCGGAGGTCGGAGTGAGCCGAGATCACACCATTGCACTCCAGCCTGGGCGACAGAGCGAGACTCTGACTCAAAAAAAAAAAAATACAGGTTAGGAACAAAATTCCTAGAACTAAAAATAAAGCATAATCATTAAAAGTGAAACAAGCAAAAAAACAAAACATAAGTTGTAATAACATAATAGATACAACTAAAGAAAGAAGTAGTAGAATGGGAGATAGGTATAAAGACATGATCTATAATGTAGCCCAGAGAGAAAACAAAGATGGAAAATAAGAATTGAAAATAATAAGGTGACATTAGAGATAGAGTGAGGTCTAATATGTTTTTTAATCAGAGTTCAGGAAAAGAAGACAAATAATGTGCTGAGGCAACATTTGAAGATCAAACATTTTATGGAACTTATGAAAGACACTAAACTACACATTTAGGATACAATGTAAATCTCAAGTCACATAAATTAAAAAATAATTCTTAACCTATAAAGTATGGTAAAATGAAAATCATTGATAACCAATCTCAAAAACAGTCATAAGTAGATAACTTTTTAAGGAACAGCAATCAGTTTAATAGCTAACTTTAAGAGCAGTGGAAGTCAGAAGAAAGTACGATAAAGTAATATCTATGAAATTACTACCTATGAATATTTCTAGTGAGAAAAATAACTTTATTCCTGGTATCATGTACTAACTGAAGACAAGAAAATTTTAGTCAAGCAAATTGTGAATGTGCTACTAGAAGAGCAATACTGAAGGCAAGAAAGAAACAGAAAGAGAAAACAAAACAAAAAATCAAAAACACACACACAGAAAGTGAGGTGATAGAAAGAAATCCTAATATACCAGTTATTTACAATAAATACAGGTGGACTAAATTCCTTTTCTTCATTTCACTTTACACATTACATTTCTGTAAAGAGTGGGGATTATGGGAGCTACAACTCAAGATGAGATTTATTTGGGGACACAGCCAAACCATATCAATATTGAAAAAGAAAAAGTAAAAAATACCTCTATTCCCAGCTGACATGATTTTTTTTTCTTTCAAATTTTTATTTTAGGTTTAGGGTACATGTACAGCTTTGTTACAGGAATAAATTGCAAGTCACAGGGGTTTGGTGTACAGATTATTTCATTACCCAGGTGATTAACATAATACCTGATAGGTAGTTTTTCAATCCTTACTGTTCTCCCATCATCTACCCTCAAGTAGGTCCTGGTGGTTTTTGTTCCCTTTTTTGTGTCTGTGTACTCAATATTTAGCTCTCATTGATAAGTGACAATGTGTAGTATTTGATTTTGTGTTCCTGTGTTAATTCACTTAGGATAATAGACTCCAGCTCCGCCCATGCTTCTGCAAAGGACGTGATTTTATTCTTTTTTATTGCTGTGTAGTATTGCATGTTGTGTATGTACCACAGTGTCCTTATCCTCTCCACTGTTATTGAATATTTAGGTTGATTCCATGTCTTTGCTGTTGCGAATAGTGCTGTGATAAACATAGGAGTGCATGTGACTTTATGATAAAATGACTTGTATTCCTTTGGGCATATACCCAGTATACCATATTGCTGGGTCAAATGATAGTTTTATTTTAATTCTTTGAGATATCCCTACACTAAAACTTTCCACAATGGCTGAGCTAATTTACATTCTGACTGGTAGTGTATAAGTATTCCCTTTTCCCTGCAACACCACCAGCGTCTGTTATTTTTTGACATTTTAATAACAGCCATTGTGAATGGTGTGAGATGATATCTTATTTTGGTTTTGATTTGCATTTCTCTAGTGATTAGTGTTGTTGAGCATTTTTCATATGCTTGTTGGTTTTGCGTATATCTTCTTTTGAAAAGTGTCTATTCATGTTCTTTGCCCATATTTTAATGGAGTTATTATTTTTTGCTTGTTAATTTGTTTAAGATCTTTATATCTAGATATTAGACCTTGGTCAGATGCTTAGTTTGCAAATATTTTTTCCAATTCTATAGGTTCTGTTTACTGTTAATAGTTTCTTTTGCTGTGCAGAAGCCCATGGGTTTAATTATTTTCCATTTGTGAATTTTTGATTTTGTTGCAATTGCTTTTGGACTCTTTATCACAAAATCTTTGCCATAGCCTATGTCCAGAATGATAACTCATAAGTTTTCTTCTAAGGTTTGTATAGTTTTAGGTTTTTTATCTGATTCTTTTTTTTTTTTTTTTTTGAGACAGAATCTCACTCTGTCGCCCAGGCTGGAGTGCAGTGGCATGATCTCGGCTCACTGCAAGCTCTGCCTCCCAGGTTCACGCCATTCTCCTGCCTCAGCCTCCCGTTATATCTGATTATTTAATCCATCTTGAGTTAATTGTGTATATGGTGCAAGGGAGCAGTCCAGTTTTGCTCTTCTACATATGGCTAGCCAGTTATATCAGCACCATTTATTGTGTAGAGAGTCCTTTCCCCATTACATTTTTTCTCGATTTTGTTGAAGATCAGAAGATCATTAAGTGTGTTTGTAGCCTTATTTCTGGGTTCTCTAACCTGTTTTTGTACCAGTTCAATGCTGTTTTTTTTTTTTTTACTGGAGCCTTGTAGTATAGTTTGAAGTCAGGTAATGTGATGCTTCCAGCTTTGTTCTTTTTCACTTAGGATTGCTTTGACTATTCGGGCTACTTTTTGGTTTCATATAAATTTTAGAATTTTTTTCTAATTCTGTGAAGAATGCCATTGGTAGTTAGATAGAACTAGCATTGTAGTTTTAAATTGCTTTGAACATTGTGGCCATTTTAACAACATTGGTTCTTCTTATCATGGATTTGTTTTTACATTTGTTTGTTTTGTTTCTCTCTCATTATAGAGATCTTTCACAAGCCTGGTTAACTGTATTCCTAGGTACTTTATTTTCGTGTGTGTGGCTATTGTGAATATAATTGCATTCTTGATTTGGCTCTCAGTTTGGATGCTGTTGGTGTACAGAAATGCTGCTGATTTTATACATTCATTTTATATCCTGAAACATTGCTGAAGTTGTTTATCAGATGTAGGAGCCTTTGGGAAGAGACTTTGGGATTTTCTAAATATAAAATCATATCATCAGTAAAGAGAGATAGTTTTATTTCCTCTTTTTAAAATTTGGATGCATTTCCTTTCTTTCTCCTGACTGATTGCTCTGGCTACAACTTCCAGTACAATGTTGAGTAAGAGTGGTGAGAGTGGGCATTCTTGTCTTGTTCTGGTTATCAAAGGGAATGCTTCCAGATTTAGCTCACTCAGTATAATATTGGCTGTGGTTTTGTCATAGATGGCTCCTACGATTTTGAGGCATGTTCCTTCATGGCCTAGTTTGTTGAGGGTTTTTAACCTGATAGAAAGTTAAATTTTATCAAAAACCTTTTCAGCATTTATTTAGATAATCATGAAGTTTTTGTTTTTAGTTCTGTTTATGTGATAAATTGAATTTATTGATTTGCATATGGTGAACCAACCTTGCATCCCAGGAATGAAGCCTACTTGATCATGGTGGATCAGCTTTTTGATGTGCTGCTAGATTTGGTTTGCTAGTATTTTGTCAAGGATTTCTGCATCTGTGTTCATCAAGGATGTTGGCCTGAATATTTTTTGTTGTCATTGCTGTGTCTTTGCCAGGTTTTAATATCAGGATGATGCTGGCCTCATAGAGTGAGTTAGGGAGGAATCCTTCCTCCTCATTTTTTTGGAATAGTTTGAGTAGGAGTGGTACCAGCACTTGTTTATACAGCTGTGAATCCATCTGGTGCAGGAGTTTTTCTAGCTAATGGCCTTTTTATTACTGATTCAATTTTGGAACTTGCCATTGGTCTGTTTAGGGTTTCCATTTCCTCCTAGTTCAATTTTGGGAGGTGGTGTGTTTCCAGGAATTTATTCCTTTTTCTAGGTTTTCTAGTTTTTGTGCGTAGAGGTTTTCGTAATAATCTCTGAGGTTTATTTTATTTCTGTGAGGTCAGTGATAATGTTCCCTTTGTCATTTATGATTGCATTTATTTGGATCTTCTCTCTTTCTTTATTAGTCTACGTAGCAGTCTATCAATTGTATTTATTCTTCAAATGAATCAATTTTTTGTCTCATTGATCTTTTGTACTGCTTTTTGCATCTCTATTTCTTTCAGTTAAACTCCGATTTTGGTTATTCCTTTCTTCTGCTAGCTCTGTGGTTGGTTTGCTCTTGTTTTTCCAGTTTTCATAGATGTAATATTAGGTTGTGAATTTGAGATCGTTGTAACTTTTTGATGTGTGTGTTTGGTGCTATAAAATCTCCTCTCAACACTGCTGTAGCTGTCTCAGAGATTCTGGTATGTTGTATCTTTGTTTTCATTAGTTTCCATAAATTTCTTGATTTCTGCCTTAATTTCATTGTTTACCCTAAATTCATTCAGAGGCATCTTATTTAATTTCCACATAATTGTATGATTTTGAGAGATCTTCTTAGTATTGATTTCTATTTTCCTTGCACTATAGTCCTAGAGTGTGGTTGGTCTGATTTGGATTTTTTTTTTAATTTGTTAAGAATTGTTTTACAGCCAAGCATATGGTCAATTTTAGAGTACCTTCTATGTGCAGATGAGAAGAATGTATATTATGTCTTTGTTGGGTAGAGTGTTCTGTAGATATGTGTTAGGTTCATTTGGTCAAGTTTCAAGTTTAGCTCTCTAATATCGTTGTTAGCTTTCTGCCTTAATGACCCGCCTAATACAGTTAAGGGGTGATGAAGTTCATTATTATTGTGTGGTTATCTAAGTCTCTTTTTAGGTCTTTAAAAACTTGTTTTATGAAACTGGGTGCTCCATTGTTGAGTGTATATATATTTATGATAGTTATGTCTTCTTGTTGAATTGAACTCTTTATCATGCCCTCCTTTTGCTTTTTTGATTGTTGTCAGTTTAAAGTCTGTTTTGACTGAAATTAGACTAGCAAACCCTACTCTTTTTTGTTTTCCATTTTCTTGGTAGATATTTCTCCCTTCCTTTACTTTGAACCTATGAGTGTCATTGCATGTGAGATGGGTCTCTTCAAGACAGCAGAGAGTTGGCTCTTGCTTCTTTACCAAGTTGCCACTCTGTGCCTTTTAAGTGGAGGCACTTAGCTCATTTATGTTCAAGGTTAATATTGATATGTGTAGATTTTATCTTGTTATTGTGTTGTTAGCTGGTTGTTATGAAGACTTGATTGTGTAATTGCTTTATAGTGTCAATGGCCTATGTGTTTAAGTGTATTTTTGTGGTGGCTGCTAATGGTCTTTCATTTCCATGTTTAACACTCCCTTAAGAACCTCTGCAAGGCAGGTCTTGTGGTAACAAATTCCTTTAGCATCTGCTTGTCTGAAAAGAATTTTATTTCTCCTTTACTTATGAAGCATAGTTTGGCTGGATATGAAATTCTTGGTTGGGATTTTTTTTTCTTTAAGAATGCTGAATATACACTGCCAATATCTTCTGACTTATAGGGTTTCTGCTGAAAGGTCTGCTGTTAGCCTGATGGAGTCCCTTTGTAGGTGACCTGCCCCCTCTCTTTAGCCACTTTGAATATTTTTTTTCTTTCACATTGACCTTGGAGAATCTGATAAATATGTTGTCTTGGGGATGGTCATCTTGTATAGTATTTCATAGGGGTTCTCTGAATTTCCTGAATTTGAATGTTGACCTCTCTATTGATGTTGGGATAATTTTCATGGACAGTATCTTCAAATCTGTTTTCTGTGTCACTTGTTCTCTCTCCTTCTCTTTCACAGACACCAAGGAGTCATAGGTTTGATCTCTTTACATAATCCCATATTTCTTGGAGGTTTTGGTCATTTTTTTTTCTTTATTTTTGTCTGAGTTGATTCAAAGAACTAGTCTTTGAGCTCTGAGGTTCCTACCTCAGTTCGGTCTATTCTGCTGTTAGTACTTCCAGTTGTATTATGAAATTCTTGTTTAGTGATTTTTTCAGCTCTATTAGATAGGTTGGTTTTTTTTTTTTTCTTTAAGTGGCTATTTTGCCTTTCAGCTCTTGTATTGTTTAATTGGATTCCTTAGCTTCCTTGGATTGGGTTTCAACTTTCCGCCAAATCTCAATGATCTTCATTGCTATTCAGATTCTGAATTCTTTGTCTGTCATTTCAGTCATTTAAATCTGGTTAACAACCATTGCAGGTGAGATTGTGTGGTCATTTGGAGGTAAGGAGACACTCTGGTTTTTTGAATTGCCAGAGTTCTTGCACTGCTTCTTTCTCATCTTTGTGGGCTAATGTTCCTCTAGTGTTTGACATTGCTGTCCTTTGGATGGGGCCTTTTGCTTTTATATTATCTGATCCTCTTGAGGCTTTGACTGTGGTGTAATTTGGGTTCTGTCACCTGGCTTTATTAATGAATAATTTCATGGGGCCAAGACTCAGCTTAGCACTCCTGAGCTGCAGGTTGTAACACTGGACGGCTGGAACAATACCCATGGCTTTGTTCTCTGGCACTTTAAGATTAAGCACCTGCTGTGCTAGAGAGGTAGAGGTGTTCCGGGTCTCCTGGCAATAATACTCCAGTGGTGAGTGCCAGCAAAAGCACTTTGGTCAGGGCAGTGGCAATGGGGCCTGCCTTTACGTGCGTGCTTGGTGGCAGGATGGCAACATGGTGGGTCTGCAGTCATGCTGGTGGTGGCAGGGCAGTGGGGTGCACACACACCAATGAGGGTGAGGTGGTGACATCCACACGTGTGCATGTGCTGGTGGCAGTGGGGTGGTGGCATGGCAGTGTCATACTTGTGTACTGGTGATCGCAGGGCAGTGAGGTCTATGCACACAAGCAAAGCGGTATGGGGAGGCTGTTGGCAAGTGGGCACCAGCAAAGTGGTGGTGGGAGGCTGTGGGTGGGTGTGCATCAGTGGGGGCCCATCTTTTGAAGCTCTCCAACAGTTAGGTGGGGTATACTGGCAAAAGAGCTATGGCGGTGGCTGCAAGGAAATGCTCCAGTTGGGCATCAGAAGCTGTGCTGCAAGCAAGTGTGGCCACACAGGGACTCCGGGAGAGGCTAGCAGATGAGGGAGCTCAAATCAGACTGGCCCTAGAATACAGGCAAGACAGCTTGGCTTTGTCCGGGTCTGACAGTCAACAAAAGCTAAAACCACTTGGAGAAACGTGGCAAGCCTTGTGGGATGGGTGTCCCTGGCTGTGCTCCACTGCAGCTGTTCCTGCACCAAAGTCTCTGTGCTCCACACAGGCTGGAGTCCTGTTCCTTCCACCTCTCTAGGCAGCTCTTCTTGTCAGCTCATACATCCATTGGGGTTACTGGGTCTCCTGCAGCTAGGATTCTGGAGGTCCATAGTGAGACTTGATCACTCCTTGCCTATTTAACTCATCACTTCTTCAGGAGCTGCTGGATTCCAGGAATGAGTCCTGGTGCAGGGTTCTCAGCTTCCTCCCCCTTTATCCCTCCCTCTGTCTACTCTTCCTTCTGAAGATCTGCTTGGAATGCCAGTCTTCTTGATGCTCTGGTCTCTCAGTGGGAGATGCTCTTCTTGGCTATGCCTAGTTGGCCATTGTGGCTCTTTTTACATGATTGTTTACAGAGAAGTCTCATGGAATATACAAAAGAAATCTACTACAACTAATAAGTTTAGCAAGGATACAGGATATAAATTTAATACAATAAAATCAATAGCATTTATACATAATGTCAAAAAAATTAGAAATTGAATATAAAATAACTTTCAAAATAACAGCAAATATATGACAAAAGAGCTAATCAAACAAAAGATATGAAAGACCTGTATACAGAACACTACAACACACTGCTGAGAGATATTAGGGAAGATCTTACAAAATGGAGAGATATACTGTGTTCATGAGTCAGAGGATTCAATTATTATTTACATATAAATTATCTCCACATTGATCTATAGACTCAGTACAATACCAACCAACAAATTAGCAGGCTTTTTTTTCTTTGGTAGACATTAACAAACATTCTAAAATTACATGGAAATGTAAAAGACCTAGAATATTTTTAAAAACTGAAAAATTAGAACCAATTGGAGGACTAACATTATGTGATTTAAAGACTTAAGCTTTAGTCAACAAGACCATGTGTTATTGGTGCAAATAGAAAAATGGAACAAAATAGAGAGCGAAGAAATATATGGAAGCACAAAGATGTCAAGATAACTCAGTAAAAAAGAATATTCTTTTCAACAAATGTTGCCAGAATAATTGGATACTCGTAAAAAATTAACTCTTATTTATACCACTTACTATATACAAAAATCAACTCAAATTGGATCATGGACCTACATGTAAAATCTAAAACAATAAAACGTATAAACAAAGAACAGGAAAAAAAACTTTATTTGAATTAGAAAACACTTTGTTAGACATAACTTCCAAAGCCCACCATGTAAAAGAGCAAATTTAGTGAACTTCATACAATATAAACACTGCTACCCTTCAAAGGACACTGTTAAGAGAATAAGAAGTACATTCACAAACTGGAAGAAAATATTTGCAATCATACAATTGATAATGGACTTTTATTCAAGATATAGAAAAAGTCCTCAAGACTCAAAAATAGACTTCCACTTTCAGGAAGATGGAGTAGGCATAATTTTCCCTATTCCTTGCATTATGTATAGCTAAAACCATAGACACACTTGTATAAAACAAGCATAATGATTCTGAAAGTTGGAGATAAATAGGCAACCCAGATAAAGACGTTGGAACCTGTGGAATTTCTTAGGTTTTCTTTTTACCTCCAGTAACCCTGACTGGTAGTAAAAAATGCCATTTCTCTGCCTCTCCGCTGTGTTTGTAAAGATCATGTGGTGAGGAGCCTGAACTTTCCACCTGCACCCAGCAGTAAAAGGCACTTCATTCTCCTTATCAGTGGGTGTCAGAGGAGACCTAGTGGATAGTGAATACTTATGCCCCACTCAGCAGTAACAAGCCACATTCCCCAAGAGGGGTCAGCAGAGACCATACGAGGAGGCTGGACTCTCACCCTATCTGGGAGTAATGAGGAGTTTTTCCCCTTCCCTGTAGGAGGGTTATCAGAGGAGGCCTAGTAGAGCATCAAGACTTTCAGTACTTCTCAGCAGTAATAAGGACATCACCATAGTTTAGGAGGAGGCCAGGTGGGAATAGTAATAAGGTATACCTTCCTAGGCAGATTGGTGTCAGTGGAAGTCTAGAGTGGAGCCTGAACTCCTACACCCACCCAGCAGTAACAAGGAGCCTCTCCCTCTTATATGCCAGCCTCCATTGGCACCTAAAGAGGAGGGGCTTCTTGTTACTGAGGAGAGAACTGGACTTCCATTCCTACCTGGAAGTAATGAGGTTGTGACCCCTTCCTTCAACTGTGGAAGCAATGTTACAGGAGCCATCCTGAAACAGAACATTTAATAAAACCAGAGTCTTACAACATCCTACCCAAAATGATGGTATTAATTGAAATTGTTTATTATTCCAAGAATCGGGACAATCTCTAATGAGAAAAGATAATCAACAGGTACCGACACTGAAATGACAGATGTTAGATTTGTCTAATGGGGATTTTAAAGCGCTGTCACAATAATATTTCAACAAGCAGTTATGAACATATTTGAGACAGATGAAGAAAAAAGAGAAAGTCTCAGCAAGAAACTAGAAGGTACATTTTTAAAAACTAAGTGGATATCTTATAACTAAAAATGTCTGAAATTAAAAACTGACCATACGCAGTGTTGGCAAGGAAGTAGTGAACTTGGAACTCCCACAGACTGCTTGTGGGAATATAAAATGATACAACCATTTTGCAAAATGATTTGTCAGTTTCTAAAAAAGTTAAACATACACCTACCATATGATCCAACGTTTCCCTTCCTATGTATTTACCAAGAGAAAAAGATTTGCACATGAATGTTCCTAGTGGCTTTACTTGTATCAGCCAATACTAGAAATAATGCAAATGCCCATCAACATGTGAATGGATAAACAGACAGTCCTAGTCCGTACGGTGCAATAGTACTCAGAAATAAAAATGAACTATTGCTATACATTATAACATAATAAAAACGTAAGGTGATTATGTAAAGTGCAAGAAGCTATACAAAGATCAATACATACTGTAGGTTTTTATTTATATAAAGTTTAGAAAATGCCACTTAATGTACAATGGCAGAAAGCAGATCAAGGGTTATCTGCTTTGGAGGGATGGTGTAATTACCAAGTGGTACAAGGAAACTTGTGCAGATGATGGATAGATTCAGTATCTTAATTGTGGTGATGATTTCACGGATGTATACCTATACCAAAACATCAAATTATACACCTTAAATACGTGTAGCTTATTATATGTCTATTATACCTCAATAAAGCTGTTGATTTTCAAAAAATTATGTCTATTAAAATCCCTAATTTTAAAAAATTTTAATTTGATGATATAAATTTCTGTTTTCTTCATACAGCTTTAATAAAATGTCTCAAGAAACTTTAATATAGAATTATTCTGTTTTTTAGACTTCTGTGTTCCAATCAAGGACAGGTAATTTCTTTTCATTCTGGGAATTATTTTTCATTTCTACTCTAAGGCTCCACTTAGATGTAACACTTTTGATTTATAACCATAAAAAAAGTTCCTTAAAAAAAGTCATTGAAAAAGAATATCATCTTTGATCTTGAAATTTTATTTTTGTACATATTAAAAACTATTATGGCCATAATGAAAAAACTTTTTTTTAAAAAAATCTTAGTTTGAGAAGGGAAAAAAGGGGTCTCTGATCTTTAAAATTAGAGGAATCCACATTGGTGCAAACACAGCAAAAACAAACACAGAGTCTGTTTATGAATGGAAGGACAAAATACTAATGACTTCTCACTCCCAAATTTCAAAAGTATCAGAAACATCAAGCTAACACAGAGACTACATTTTTACAAACTCAAATTCCTAATATCTGTCACCTGACAGAGACCAAACCCCTGTTGTCTGCAGAAATCTCTAGATAATCAAACTAAAAAATCAAAGGACAGATTACTTCACTTTTGCAATATGTAAGAACAAAAATCAGCTATGCACAAATCATCATTATAACCAGAAACAAACATTAACTGAAAGTATCTATTTAGCATGTTGGAGTTGAAGTATTGAATTCCTACTACAAATGAGACTTACCAGAGGAACTAAGATAAATTGATTCTCTCAAAGTGTACAATTTAGACTTTAGAGTACACAATTTTATTGGCTACAATTGTAGAACTCAGTCCAATAATGATTCAGTGACAACTCTAGAAATGAATTATCAAAAGGCAATTCAGAAATATTGAGTTAGTTGTACCATGGTAATAATTTATCTACATTTATGAAGAAGATTTAGCTGCTGTCAATAAACAAAGACAAAAACAGACTACTAAGAGAAAGTGGAAAGAGGGGAGAGAAAGTTTGGAACAGTGAATTTTGTTGTTATAAATTTGTAGCTAGGAAAAAAGCCAGCTGTGGTAGGGTATCTTGAAGGTCGAAAGGAAGCAATTTTGTTTCTTCATGAATTCTTCAGAAAAGCTTGAGGGTTTATCTGGCATACACAGAAGATGGGCAAAGATACATTTGTATCTCTATCTTGAGTGGTTGGAAGATGAGAACCATTTTTTTTCTACTAAATTTTAATTACTTAATGAAAAGTAGGACAGAATTGTCAGCTGAAAGTTGGGTTATCAGGTGAATGCTATGAGTGCAGCATGGTAAGATATTTGAAGAAATTTGGTTAGAAAAAGGAAGGCATGTAATGATCATCTTACAAAGCTGAAAAGCAGGCTAACTTCAGAAATATGGTAGGATTCAAGAAAATTTCCAAATGAAGAAAAGTATTTTTTTAAAAATCCAATCCAAGTAACATTTTTTAACCCCTAATTTGACTATGAAATCTGTATTTCCCCCAAGTTAGGTTAAATTCAGAAGTCATTTTTTTTAAATCCCAAATATGTATATTATGCAATTTTCACTATTCAGGATGTTTTATTTCACATGGTACCAATTTCCTCTTAGGCTTTATCCCTTCATCTCATAAAGCCTTTTTTGTGTGGTCCTTATTCTGTTGTCCTCCTACTTTTAGTGTCTGTGGTCATCCTGGGTATTTCTCCCTCACCCTCCTTTATATTGATCTTTTTATTTATCTTTATTTTATTTATTACTATTATTATTATTTTGAGACAAATTCTCACTCTGTTGCCCAGGCTGGAGTGCAGTGGTGTGATCTTGGCTCACTGCAATCTCCCACTCCAGAGTTCAAGCAATGCCTCAGCCTCCTGAGTAGCTGGGATTACAGGCATGTGCCACCATGGCTGGCTAATTTTTGTATTTTTAGTAGAGATGTGGTTTCGCCATGTTTCCCAGGCTGGTTTCAAACTCCTGATTTCAAGTGATCTGCCGGCCTTGACCTCCCAAATTGCTGGAATTACAGGTGTAATCCACTGTACTCAGCCATATTGACCCTTTTAAATAAATATTATATAATAGTGTCATGACAGCAGATAAGTAGCAACATATATGATCTACAGTTGCACTTGATGCTGTACACTGACCCACTCTGGCCTAGAACAATAGAGGGATGCAAATTCCAGGTAACATAATTCCAACTTAGGTTAGTTGACGGTACAAAACTACCATAGACATTCAAAGAGACACAATAAAAACAAAAATCATTAGATTCATGAAACAAAAACACAATGAAAAGAAAAGAATATTGAAATAAATCTTTATATTAAGTCTTCAAAATTGTTGTGTACTGTACTTATACTTAACAGTATACCTGAATTTGGCCTAATCACATTTCAATGCTCAGTAGCCACGTATGGCTAGTGGGAACCATAATAGCCCACAAAAGTATTTTTTTAAAGATTTTAGACAAAAATCTTATGGCAGATTTTTATAATTCAATGGAATATTTATATATTTTAGATGTAAAACTCTTCAACAGAATGCAACAAAAAGACAAAGTAAAGAAAAATAAGGGCAAAAATAAGACATTTATAGAATCTAGGTAAGATATCCAAACAATAGAACTTCAAGGGAAAAAAGAAAGAAAATTGACAGAGGACATTCTTTGGTCTTCAGAGAAAAGAGCCACTGAATACATACTGACTACATTGATGTTCAAAGCTTTAATTCCTGTGCAGACACAGGGAGATTTGAGTATAAGAAATTTGAGAAATTATAGAAATGCAGCATATATTCTCATTGAGTGTAACCTCATAAAAGTTATGAGTCCTAACTTTTGTCAGCTTCTTCCTTGACCTGGAAGATATACTCATCTAGTATGAATACTTCCCTTCAAGAATGCAGGCTGCATAATAGTTAATTACAATGTTGGAGTCATGATATGTGTGGTAGCAGCGATTAAACTCAGAAATAGAGAAAACCACAGACATGCGGAGTCATTTGCGTAAATCCATTAGGCCCCTTTGCTCTGGACCACTTATGAACCACTGCCCTGCACTAGTCTCAGCAACTGTTAGGATTCCTCCCACCTGCTACATTCCATGCATTTCACAGCAAGCACCTAGTTTTGGTTCCAGTGTTCTTAAAGTATACTCATTGTAGGTGGTATTTTTCCAGGTTAACTTCACAATCTGTATCCTCCTGCAGGCTCCTTACAGCCCTACCACTATGCCAGTGAAGCAAGCCTCTCTCAGTTCTCAGAGCATGTGAGGACAGGTTCACTTCAGGAACTGACCCCTTGACTCATTATTAGGATTTTATGTGACCTCTTGGTACTGAGAGTTACCTGTCAGAATTTAGGATATGTAACTCATCAATTCCATGTCAGAATTCTTATAGTTTGTCATATATGTTAATGACTACTAAATACTGGTCTGTTGGTCAGTGAAGAAGATATCAAGGCTTTCAAGGGAAATTGAAACAATAAGGATATTTAATTCATTTTTTATAAAACTAAGTTTATAATTTTAAACTTATAAATTTAAGTTTAATACTTTAAAAATTCTGAAATAATACTGATATGGTTTGGATGTGTCCCCACCCAAATCTCATCTTGAATTTTAGTTCCCATAATTCCCACATGTGGTGAAAGGGACCCAGTGGGAAGTAACTGAATCATGGGGGTGGCTTCCCCAATTAGTCTCTTGAGAGTAAGTTTTCACAAGAGCTGATGGTTTATAAGGGGCTTCCCCTTTTGCTCTGCTCTCATTCTTCACCTTCCTGCCACCATATGAAGAAGGACATGTTTGCTTTCCCCCTCTGCCATGATTGTAAGTTTCCTGAGGCCTCCCCAGCCCTGCAGAACTGTGAGTCAATTAAACCTCTTTCCTTTATAATTTACCCAGTCTCAGGCAGTTCTTTATAGCAGCATGAGAATTGACTAATACAAATACCATTCCCAATCTTGTTGTAAAATTATCCTTCATTTTATGAAATGATAGAAGTGGTAATTGGCTGTTTTATTTTAAATTACCTTATTTGGCCATATAAAAGTTTGACTGCCAAGGAAAAAAAATTAGCCACTGTATATTGTTCTTCAAATATTGAATTGAAAATCCTAGTGATGTTTGATCTAACTCACCATGACAGGAATAGCCATCTCTCTTATACCATGCAAAGATGACTATTTATTTTCAAAATTACATTCATTCTAAATGTAAATCAAAATCTGAAATGTAATTGATTGGAAAAGTATATGTAAAACAACCAGGATTTTGATAGAACTTCTCACTTTTAGCTTAAAAAAATCTTTAAACATTTTTATCTTAATTAACAGGTTATATTTTGTCTCAAGGGTTACATGCCTGAAAGGTAAGGATAGCCACACAGGAATTCAGCTGTTAAGATCTAGCTCTGCTCTTCATTGGCCTTATTTCATGACAATCTTTCCAATACTAAAGCAGAAACAATGACATGGGATTCTTTTCAGTGTTCTTGAATATACCAATATCTGTCCCACTCTAGGGTCTTCACAATTTTCAAAATTGTACTCACCCTTTTAAGGAGTTTGCCTGCTTCATGGTAGTCACAAATATTTCTTAAATGAATAAATTAATTTGTGGTATATGTCAATATAAAAGGGTGGCAACTGATAAGAGGAAAAGTAAGAATTGCATTTCAACAGTGTAAAATAGCACGAGATAAAACATAGAATTCTTTTTCTGTGTAAATAAGCATACAAGGTATTATTCATTCTTGACTAATATAGCTATTACTATATTTAGGTAATTGGGAGATATCCCAGCAGATGGACTATTTCCTCCATATTTACATATTCTGCCCAGAACCCTTTTAGCTTGTTAGAATTTCTTTTAAGAATTCCAGTTTTCCAGCAGTGATTTTCCAAGCCCACAGTTTCTACTCACACACGTTATAAATACTTTTAATGCCAAGTTCCAACTCCAGAGCTGGATGACAATTTTACATCTCTAATTCTGAGTCAGATGGAGGCATTTCACACGCCTGTGTGGCAGCAGTGGGTGTCCAAGCTGTTTAGCTTGCTGATCCTTCAGCATTTATTTTCTTATGGAAATTTTGAAAAGCATAAAAAATGCTGAAAAAGCTAACCTTTAGGTCTAGCATGGTGATTTATAATCCCATATCTGACAATCATTCATAGGAAAGATTATGGTATGAATTGCTAGAGGCTTTAAAGAGACCCAAAACTTGATGAGTCCGTCAAGCTTTTTCCTGGTTTCATGATGAGAAAGACAAGAGGGCGTGTTTCCAGGAGAAATTTCACAGCACCCCTAAAGAGCCGATGCTTTAATTAGAACAATATTTCAAGTGTCAGTGGATAAGACTACTAAATAAAACTGGGGGATAAGCTGATGGAGGTGAGAAAGTCCTTGAAGGCCCTTTAAGCTCTCTGGAGAATAGAGCAATGTGTAATATACATCCTAGAAGAGAACAATAATTAAATATGATTTATGCCTCCAGATCTCAGTATAATCAAATGTCCTCTTATTTTTCTCACTAGTGGACTTATGTTTTGTTTTCAATGATTATGTTTATGATGCATTAAATTTCTTTACAGACAATGAAATGTTTAGCTTCTCTTTTTCACATTACCACTGTCTGTACTGTATTTTATGCTGAATTTAGATCTAGTCTATAGGCATGGTAGAAATATGCTGTTTGCTCTATCTGGGATACCCTTTCCTTCTTCCTCACTGCTGTTTCAGAAGAGTAAGTCTTGTATCTTCTTTGGGACTTGGCTGAAATTTCCTTCACGAAATCCTTTTATAATCCAAGAATACTGGAATTGCTGTCCTGCCTCAAAATACTTTTACCCCTCTGTTTCTTCATGTCCTACCACTTATGCATTGTGCCTCTCTATTTGTTCCTGGGTTTATGCCAGGAAGCAATAAACCTCTATATTGTTGTAGTTCAAAACTTGGACTCCCGAATCACAATATACCTGCACTGCTAACTTTGCAGCTAACTAGCTTTGTAGCCTTGGGAAAGTTATTTAGTGTCTCTGGGAATTAATTTTTTATATGTGAAATGGAAATGATCCCAGGTAGTTTCATAGGGCTGCCATGATGATAGTATGAGGTAATGCATATAAAGAACTTAGCATGGTGCCTGGCTGAGTAAACTGTCCAAAATTGTTTTCATTATTTTTAATATTATTGTTTTCTGTGATGACAAGAAATTGTGGTTCATAGTAGAGACTGAAGAATATTTAATCAATAATTAAGAAACATTTCTTGTTTCTCTGTCTATTCAGGAATCAAGAAAGTTATTTTATTTATTTTTTAAGGCGGTTACTTTAAATTTAAAACTAAACTATTAATAAACTAAAAGTGTCAAAACAAAACTCTTCTGTTCTGCCCCTCATAAATGGGAGAGCAAAATAGATAGTATCTTTAGAGAGGGAAGATACTGGAGCCAGATAGATGTATTTTGGGTTAAACTCAATGTAACAAAGACCATTTTCAGTAGGAAGTTGTAACAAAAGACTTTGATAGCAGAGGTCAGTTTTTATGTCATTACGCAGTATCTGTCTTTGGTTTGAATTACTGGTGCTTTCTAAAATATTACATATACCCACATTCAAATATGCAAATAACATTTTAAATTATTTGATATTTTAGATTTTTCATGTTGTGTTTTTGTTGCATGAGTAAATCATCTCTCCCTACTATGAGAATCTGCCTGTCTACGATAGGCAGGAAATCCAGTAAGTTCAGAGAGTCATTACCTTAGAGGATGTTTGTATTTGGTTGGTGCAAAAATAATCGTGGTTTTGCCATTAAAAGTAATGGCAAAATCCGGCCAGGAGTGGTGGCTCATGCCTGTAATCCCAGCACTTTGGGAGGCCGAGGCAGGTGGATCACCTTAGGTCAGGAGTTCAAGACCAGCCTGACAACATGGAATTAACCCTATCTCTACTAAAAATAAAAAATTAGCCAGGCGTGGTGGCTCATGCCTGTAATCCCAGCTACTCGGGAGGCTGAGGCAGGAGAATTGCTTGAACCTGGGAGGTGGAGTTTGTGGTGAGCCGAGATCACGCCATTGCACTCCAGTCTGGGCAATAAGAGAAAAACTCTGTCTCAGAAAAAAAAAAAAAAAAAAGGATGGCAAAATCCACAATTACTTTTCCACAAATTGAACAATCACTGATTGATCTCCCAGTTTAGATACTAATGTGCAACTGTCATACCTATTTGAAAGGAAAAGCGTTAACCAGCAAAACAGAAACAAAAGGAAGATAAGATTTCTTATAGTCGTCTTCTTTGTTGTTAGTATTTTAGGTTTCCTGTTGGGGATTACTTAAGTGTCAAGTTCACCACCTGGCTTTCAAAGTCAAGAGGATAATGAAAATTATTATGCCTTGCATTTACATACTGTTCTGCAATTTATAAAATGCTTTCACAGCAACCAGTTCATTATTCCTTGTACTTGCCATTCTGGATGAAGACAAATCAGCAGAGAGCTGTGAACCTTGTGTGGATTATTGAATCTTCCAGGATGGCTTTGAATGTATCACAATATGGCATAGTTGGGCTCTGAAAATGTTACTAAGTTGTTGAGAAGGATATGTTGTTCACTGTAATAGACAGTGTTCTATTTTGGAAGACTCACAAAATAAACTTCCTACTACCATAATCTAGGGAATACCTGTCCATCTCTTGAGCAATTTAATCATATGGACATTGGCACTATGGAACTGATTTGAAATCTTCATATATTGACTGATAAAATGATCAAATCTGATTTTGCCAAAAAGCAAGAACAAGGACGCAAGACTTACATTAGCCTCATTCTTGGCTACCTTAAATGGCTCTGTGCTTTTTTCTTCTTTATCTATTTCAAATTTATGGTACCTTGCCATATTTATGTGTCACTGTAAACTACTTCAAGTCCTTTTTTTAAATGAAGAAAGGCATACATTATTAAAGTGTTTTGCATGTAATATTCTATTTGAATCTCACATGAGCCCTCTATAAAAGGCATATTACTAACCCAATTTTAACTATCCACCCATATTTCTCACTCTTTTCCCCAAAAACAGTTAGACATTTTCTGCAAAGTTTGAGGCTGGCAAAGATCTATGATTGGGATTCTGTGCTCTGTAATCCTGGATCCTGCTTTGTGTAATAGATCCCAAGTGCAGGCTTATGCAAGCAGACAGCCTGGAATCCATGCCAGCACTGTGTCTCTCCAGCACTGATTAATTTCTGTGCCTAAAAGCCATGTGTTCATCGTGGATGATAAGCTTGTTGCACAAACATAAGCTAACCACATTGAGTAAGTTTGGCATTAGTTCTGCATGAACCCCAGGGAGAAGGGTATTAACCAAAAGGAATAAAAAAATTCCTGCCAATTTAGGCATGAATGAAATGTTTTAAGGCATCTGTAGACTTTTACATACTAATAAGAAAAAAAACATATGTTTTATAAAGCTGATTTGCAATTCATTTAACCAAACAGGTTGCACTGAGGAATTCCAGGTTCTAGACTTTGAAAGTGGTCTAGACATGTCCTTAGCAATGGAGGCACATGAATACAAATAAATATAAAATCACTAATAATCAAAACATGCCATCTATCGTACTAACTTTGATGGAAATACTTATATACAAAGAAAGTCATGACACTATTTTGTGGTGTACCAAAATATGATTTCTATGCATGTAATCATAGAAGCTTGCAATTTCCAGATCAGTCTTCTTTTCCTCCTCCTCCTCCTCCATAAAAAAAAAGGCAAGCAAAGAATAAAGAAAAGGAAAGAAAAAGGGGAAAATAAAATCTGTGAAGGAGCACAACCGCATGAATAATGCCATCATAGATTGGATCACCTTGAGAATCATGCTCTGTTTTCGTTTTCCCTTTTGTGTTAACATAGAAACAAAGTTCCACCTTTACATTGTTCTAAAAGAATTTTTTCATATTTATGGGAGAGAAAGGTGAAGGGAGGCCATGTGTATGTGGTCCAATTAGAAACATAGGCTTTTAGAGCTGGCAGGAAACCTGGGGATCATGTACTGGATTCTCCCACCTGGTGCAGGAAGTCTTTCTGCTGCATCTCTGACAGATGGTCAGCGAGCCTTTGCTGGGAAACCCCAGCCGTGAGAAACTTAGCACACGCCCACTGCCACCACCACTGTGGGGAAGAAGGCTTGTTCAACCCTACAGCCATCCTTGCTAACTTCTTTTTTTTGTGTTCTTGTTTTTTGGAGCATTAAAAGACAGCACTTCCTTTCTACTATATGACAACCCTTCAAATCAATGAAAGAGCTGTTATGATTGTCCTACTATGATCCTAAGTTAAACCCATGAGTTTTCCTCATCTGCTCAACATGTGGTATTGCCTTCAGAATCTTCACTAGTCTGGTCACTCTACTGTTGATAGAATCAACCTGTTCGTGATTGTCCTAAAATGTGATTACCCAGGGAGGGATCACTTAGTTTGGGCTGCAGTGGGACTATGAATCCTGTGTTGAAATTACAAACTACTTTTATTGGCCTGGCCTAAGATTGCATTGCTTTTTAACGGCTGCATCAACATTATTTGCTTTTTGTAAGGATTAGAGTTACATAAACTCTCTAAATATCTAAATTTTTCCATTTAACATGATTTTAGCCCATAATAGTTTTTTTAACCACATACTTAATGGTAAGATCATAGGCTAAGTTTAACCACATACTTAATGGTACGATTATATGCTAAATCTAATAAAATTAATCAGAATTTATAAATGTATATCAGAATTTGTGAATTTATCAGAATTCACAAATTCTGATGAATTTATCAGTTTAACAAATTTGGATATGTGGCTCATGCCTATAGTCCCAGTACTTTGGGAGGTCTAGGTGGGGGGATCACTTAATCCCAGAAGTTTGAGTCCAGCCTGGTCAACATAGTGAGACCCCCATCTCTACAAAAAATGTAAAAAAGAAAAACTTGGTCAGGTGTGGTGGCTTATGCCTGTAATCTCAGCTACTCAGGAGACTGAGGCAGGAGAATCACTTGAGCCTAGGAAGCAGAGGTTGCGGTGTGCCGCGATGGTGCCATTGCACTCCAGTCTGGGCCACAGAGTGAGACCCTGTCTCGAAACAAAACAAAAAACAAAACAAAGAAAAGAAAAGCATATTTTGTCGTGGTGGCACACACCTGTAATCCCAGTTGCTCTGGAGGCTAAAGTGAGATGATTTCTAGAGCCTGGGAAGTTGAGGCTGCAGTGAGCCATAATCTTGCCACTGCACTCTAGCCTGGGCAGCAGAAAGACCCTGTTTCAAAACAAAAATTCAGAATTGCATGTAAACCAACTCCCTCCAAAATTCTTGATTTTTGTGCTACAGATACATTATCCAAACTTTCTTGTAGGTAAGTCTTATTTTGAATCATCTTTGTATGTAACCTAAATATTTTTTTCTTTTTCTTAAGACAGGGTGTTGCTCTGTCACCTATGCTGGAGTGCAGTGGCAAGATCACAGCTCACTGTAGCCTCAACCTCCTGGGTT
The DNA here is from genome assembly GCF_000001405.40 of Homo sapiens. Classification (NCBI taxonomy): domain Eukaryota; kingdom Metazoa; phylum Chordata; class Mammalia; order Primates; family Hominidae; genus Homo; species Homo sapiens. Next base: position 137,079,614 of record NC_000007.14, on the reverse strand, counting down.
CAAGTGATCCTCCAGCCTCAGCCTCCTGAGTATCTGGGGCTACAGACCTAAATATTTCTATGTAACTGGAGAATCTGGAACTGGTACCTTACTCACATGTGGTAGGAATAGTCATGTCTGACTATATTATGTGTGTAACCAGGATATTGAGCAAGGATACTAATATGAAAAAGTATTCTTTATATTTTTCCTCTTTTTTTTTAAACTTATTTTAACGAATACTTTTTTTCTATCCTTAACAACCCACTGGCAGCTTCTGTGGCTTTTCCTGCCAGTTTCAATTAATGTAAATTCAGTTTAAAACACCTTTCACACTCCCACTTAAATGTCATCTTCCTTTCTCCCACTAGTACCAGGTAGGCCTTGGCTTGAGATACTTGGAGTGGGCAGGATGCTCTTTCACTCTCCTTCAATCCCTGGGAGGGGAAAGGGCAGGAAGGCAGGGCTCAAGGAGGTTTGCTCTGTCTTGGAACCCAGATTATCTTCCTATATCAATGTATAACTCCTCTAGTGTTGAGGGTTGTGATTGGCAAGAGTGGAGAAGTGATGCCACTTGCATGATTTCTCATAGTTCCCATCCCTCTGCCTGACACTGAGTGCCACTTCATGGTCTTAGGAAGCAAGTGTCAACATGCTGAAACTTGCATGGAACGCTGCACAGTTCTCTCACATCCTGTGGGAGATCTCTATCTGGCTGAACCTATAGCACCATTTCTTCCTCATAGATCTCAACACTGGCAGAATGTCCCAGGCCCTCTTAGCAACTGGCAATTGAGTCGTGTAGTCTTGCACTTGTAGTCTTGACAAGTGATATTTTTGAAATCTCTTTTCTTTGGTTTGGGGAAGGGAAAAGACCCCTCCATTTCCTTATTTGAAAGGAAGAGAATTAATGTCTTAGCACAAGCACTGGACATGTCCTAAGGACTGTGATCTCATGGTTCTCTCTTTTGCTTCTCACATGTTGTCTACATGTAGAGTGAAGGCAATTGATGGGGGTAATGGAGGTTCTTCTAATTCTTAGTGGGGTATGTATGTGTGTGTGTGTGCGCATGCACACATGTAGAGTGGTCTTCTTTAATAATAAGAGTTTCTGTTGAGGTTGTAGGGAATGCCTCTTGATCTTCATCTGTTCAGGGGAATAGAAACAGGAAAACAAGAGTCAACCAAATCTGCCTGGTTTCCTTTTTCAGTTTGGATGGATCATAAGACTCTCTTATTGTACTTTGTTAAGAAACATATATTTCCAGTGATTCTGATTTCATGGTTTTGGGTGGGTCCTAGGAATATATACAGACTCTTGATTGCACTCTCAACATCATATTGGTTGTGGGGTAATCTGAGGAACTGTCTTAAGACCAACGATTTCCACTCTACATCTTAGGGCTCTTGTTAGATGCAGGGCTGCTCTACTGCCTTCAATCTCCTTTGCTACATTCTGAGAATCCAGACAAATACATTTTTTGCTGTAGAAGCCCCTCAATCTTTCTTGGAGTACTGTTAGCGTCCCACTCGTATCTCTCTTCTTGGACTCCTGGAGGAACAGGGCTAGTTTCACAGGTTGAGATACCTTGAGGGCAGTTAATGTTGAAAGCCTGTTCAGCTGCTTGCTCTTTTGGTGAGACCAAATTGAAAGATTAAAGTCAGGTGAGCAGTAATAACAACAATGGCAATAAGAAATTAATAAAAGTATTAATAATGAAAATGTATTACGAATGAAAATTTGTAAATAATGAAAACTTCAGTGCTGTCCAACCTCTTTCACCATGACGGCCCCTCACTCTCTCCATATATATGTACATCTCAAATATATGTAGGATTAAATAGATGCTTATTGTGAGCATTCATATAGAAGAGAGTTTTCCTGTTCTAATTCAATTAATGAAGGCATCTAGAATATTGATATTAATATTAATATTCATGGATCCATACCCCAAATCTTATTATTCCTGCTTTTACTAGCAGCTTTTTCTTCTCTTTGAAGTCTTTTTACAGGAAGACACATGCTTTGATAAGAGTGGCAATGAGTAATTTTATTAATCGTAAATTATCAAGTAGACTTATCAAGCATAAAACCAGGAGTGGGATGGGGTGTTAGGGTAAAAACAGGTTTGACAGTATAAACTTACGAACTTATTGTCATCTACTTTGTATAAATACTTCACTTTTAAAGCTTATTCTTTGGGAAGTAAAAAGATGTCACAGCATACCAAATACTTGGCTGAGAGAAGAGTAAGTCAAAGAGAAACATACATAAGTCAGGGAAGAAAATTGTATTTTGAACCAGGAATGCACAGTCTTATAGAGTGTAACTATATTTAGCAACACCTTGAAGGGCACTTCTTGGTTTCATCTGATCTGTTTTGTGTAGGGTTAGGCTCTCAACAAGTCAGACATTTGGGTAGAACTGTTTTTTTCCTAACTCTTCAATTATATAGTTGGTATATCATGAACTTCTTTTTGATCCTTTATGTTTGTTTAAAACACTACTAGATCTGAACCTTTGTGTAGGGTTTGGCTTTTTGCAAATGGATCTTTTCACAAGTGGATCTTCAGGTATTGTGCCGGAAGTTTCAGGTAATAGAAATAACAAGGCATAATTGGACAGATGAAAGCCAGTCTTATGATATGATTATCTAAAGGATTCAGATGTGGGTGCAATTCATTTAAGTGAGACTGTTCATGGAGATTATAAATAAAGGTGCAAGAAAGAGGCTTAAAACTCTTGCTTTTAGATTCAGGATGTAAAGAAATGTTTGTTGGCAAAGATAGCAGAATTGCCTGATGCCCACTGGTAGACATGAGAGAAACAGACTTGGCTGTACCATCAGATGGGGGAAATAATTTCCTTTTATATTAGGTGTTCTGTGCTAGTTTCTTTGTCTATTTGATTCTCTTCCACTGGAACAGAACCTGTTCTTTGACCAGCACTCTCTCACCAGCAGAACCAGGGAGCAGTACACTCCCCTTCAGGAAGAGAAGTCTCCTCTGGTAACTGCAATGTACACATGAGGTGCCCTACATTGACTTCTAAGTGTCTTCTTTGCTCTTATCCTTTCCATTTATTTATTTATTTATTTATTTATTTATTTAGTAGTCCTACCTTGTCTTGGCTTGAGTCCAAGGTCCTTGATTTGAATCTAGGCATTGATTTTTGATATTCCGATCATTCCAGGAAGCTATCACCTTCCTTCTAGCTGAATAAGATGCCTTTTCTCTCTCTCTCTCTCTCTAAGAAGAATTCCGAACTCTCAGGAAGGTAGTAAATTTCCATTAGAGTGAATGATCATTTCCTCCAGAACCTCACAACTTTGAAACAGATTTACTCTTTGAGGAAAACTAGCTTGAAGAAACTCAGAAATTGCTGAGACATTTAGGTAGAATGTTTTTTAACTCTTCAGTTACATAGTTCTTATGAGCTTCTTTTTGATCTTTTAGTTTCTTTTAAAATACTACTAGATCCAAAGCTTTGGCTCTAACAGTATCATATAATTAAGTTTATGTTTGTTGCCTTATAAGAAAATAAGTGTAAAAAGTAATAACTTTTAATTTGAGCCCCAAACTACCTTTGTTTTAAGGTAAGTCCAAGACCCTGTTGAAATACAACTAAAATGTATTCTGAATGTAATATTCAGACTGCTTAACGTATGTAAACAGAACACCATAAAATCACAACATTGGCATTGGAGCTAGAGCTTCCTAATTTTTAAAAAGTATTGATCATGAATATAAGGGAATTTAAACTTAACAAATATTTAAAATAAATAATCAGTTTATTTTATTGCTTAGAAGAAGGTGTTATTTAGTGAAGGACAGTTAGAGAGTTGATTGTTACTTTAGCTTGGGGCTCGAGTTCACACAGACAAATACTAAATAATGTCGGGTATCAGCTCATTCATACAAAAAATTCATTTCATTGTCTAATTGAAGCAAATTTTATCCAAGAAAGGTCAACATTCCATATGTGATGGGGATTATTATTGTTTTTAATTTCATTGAATATATGGTGTCTCTTCAAAGTAACTTCATTTTTCCCCATCCATGCTTGGTGAGTGAAGGGGAAGGCAGTTCACTTATATTCTTTTCTGAATCTATAATCATTTAAAAAAGGCAAAAGTGATGTTTTTAATTAATTGTATAATAAATGCAATTCCTGTATTTGCCAGCATGGCCTAGGGTGCTACGGATAATTGACTGAACAATAATTCTCTACTCCTGCCCTCTTTCTCAGAAATATGCCATTAGAAATGCCCTTTCACTAATTCAACTGTCACCATCAGTTGTTGTGAGGACCCTACCCTATCATCTCTTTGCATTTAGTCATTTTAGGAGGAGAAGAAGCTTATTCTTACCGGTGAGAGTCCAGACTCCTGGGCCTTGCACATCTCATCTATTCCTGAGTACTTAGCAGGCCTGTTAGGGTGTGAATACCTTGTATTCCAGTCTTGATTTCTTGAGAGGAACTTATAAGATCGGCCACACTCTCCAATATTCTTCAGTTCACCTGTTCTGGGAAATATGGACGATGATTGGAAGGGTCAATATGCCCTATTGCCTTGAGTTTAGAACCAGTGGTAAGCAGCTTGAACTCTGACTCCAGGATCTTTGCCTTGATCTTTCTTAGCCCTCCAGAACCAAAGATTCTAGAAAAATAAAGAAAAACCTCCCAGTCTCATTTCCCTAAGGGGCTCCAAAGATGTTTATAGAAATGTACAAGGCACAAATGTCACATACTTTCTATAATCCTTAGCTTCATACTTCCAATTAAGATCCTGCCCCAGGCTTGTGACATTGTAATCCCTGGCAAGAACGAAAAGAATGAAAGCTAGTCTTGGTACCATTGCCACTCTCTCTTCCTCTTTTGACTCTTTCCATCCTTCTTTGCTGGGGTTTAGATGGCATAAAGGTGGCCCCAGGGTATGTACACAGTACTTATCATCTGATGTCTAATAAAGAGAAATTGAGGAGTCATTTGCGACCATTTGCTGAATTTCTACTGGATAATCTTATCTAGTATGAAGTAAATACTGAATTTAAAAAAATGAGTAAAGTAAACTTTGTTTTAATGACTCAGACATCAAAATCTGTAACATTTATAAGCTATGAGCCACCAGCAACACTTTATCTCTCAAGAATTCTTTCTTTATTAGGAACATATAAACTACACAGTGGAATGATGTTGCTCTTAACCTTGAAAGTAAATAGAAGACTTCTAATTTTTTTTAAATTTCAGATCTACCACAAATAGCATATTTGCAAAAAATCACAATGATGATTTATAATTTCTTAATTTTCATCAAGAAAACAAACAGGAGAAGAAAACAAACAAACAAACAAAATGCTTTACAATCTTTCGTATTCTCTTCTCACTTGTTTGCATATGATTGCCCCTTGTCATAGACAGCTAAAGTTGTATGATGGCAGCCCAATACTCACTACCTGAAAAACTATTTTTGACCCAAAAAACTTGCGAAAGTCAAAAGTAGTTGTAACCTCATGCTTTAGTTGATTTGTAAACAGATAAAAACTGAAGTTTTCTGTAGAAATACCAATCAATGACTCATAGGCCATTTTGCATGTGTGTAGTTTAGCTCTCTAATTAGTGTTTTTGAGAACAAATATTACCATTTAATAAACATTCAGAAATGATTAGGTATGGCCATTGTGTTAAGTGGAAAGGCCTTTGAAGAAAATACATTTTCCGCCCCTTCACATTCATGTGCTTCTTTTACCCAATGCTTCCTGTGTCAGATGGGAGTAAGCATAACACTCCATGGATTTGTCCTCCTCTCCTTTTATGTTGGTAAAATGAGGCCCACATGTATTGTCTGGCATTTCCTGAGGGACCCAGATTGAACTGAGGAGTTCACTGAAACCCACAGGTCTTGGGACAGAATGAGGCATTACCTCATTGAACCTTAGCTGCCTGCATGAGTCCTCTGTCCTCAAGTCTTTCTCAGATCATTTCTCAAGCTGGCTCCCAGCTTAGGGCAAAGAGAATCTCCATGATGTGCTGACTTCTAGCTTGCCACAGACACAATTCTACTCCAAAGTCAGCCTGGCATAGTAACATTGATGTCAGGGGAGACATATCAGTTTGAGGCCATACAAAAGAAGAAAAATACCAGACACCATTTCAGCATCACTACAGTAGAAAGTAAGCAATCTGGCAGGGGGCTCAGTAATGGCAACAGTGCCAGAATGTAAGAGATTCATGGGAAATGCTTCCTGAATCTGTCCTTTTGTCCATTTTATTTCAGCTGAAATCCAACACTTTCCTCAGTGAAGTATAGGAAGTGGGAGAGTATAGGAAGTGGGAGGAGTGGGAGAAAGACATTGTATTAGTCACCTTAAGTCAATATAACAAAATACCACAGAGTGGGTGGCTTGAGCAACAGAAATTTATTTTCTCACACTTCTGGGGGCTGGAGGTCTGAGATGAGGATGCCAGCATAGCCAGACTCTGGTGAGGGCTCTCTTTCTGGTTTGCAGATAGCTGCCTTCTTGCTATGTCTCACATGGCCTTTCCCCAGTGGTGTGTGTGTGTGTGTGTGTGTGTGTGTGTGTGTGTGTGTGGTAGGGGGCTCGGTGGGGGGATGCGGGGGGCAGGAGTGAGGAGACAGACAGAGACAGCAAGACAGAGAGATCTTCCTCTCCTTATAAGCCACCAATCCTATCAATTAGGGACCCTCCCTTATGACTTCATTTAACCTTAATTATCCCCTAAAGACCCTATCTCCAAATACAGTCACAGTGTACAATTATGGTCCTGAAGACCCTGTTATCCAAATACAGGGTTAGAGCGTCACATATAAATTTGGGGGGGGGAATAAAATTTGGTCCATAGCAGATACAAAGATTGTGTTATATGACAGTGGTGGAAGAAAATCTTATCTATCCAGTGGAGAATAAGAATAAGGAAATAAAATCAATTGAATGAAGTAAGAAATAAGACCTACTCTAACAATCTGAAGTCGCAATATTGATCTCTGACAAAATAAAGATTTAATTCAGCAAATATCTTATGTGACAAAAGAGATGTTGTATGTTAGTTCACAGAGCAATCAGAAAATAATTGTATTCATTAAAAATGAATATTAACATATCCATCTAATAGTATAGCTTCAAAATATATAAAGCAATGATCAACCCACCTGAGAATTTCATTTTTATGAAAAATTTTATTTTATGCTGTCTATAAAATTCCTTAACTTCTACTGATATATTAATTTTTTACACATGTATTTTTTTTGAATTTTTGAAATTCACTATCATTTTTCAAGTTGGTACTCTTTGTGGTTTGTGTCTTATTATAATTTTGATTTGTGCTGAATTCTTTCTGCTAATATCATAAGTAGATTGTATGCATATGTATTTGTAAATAAGATTTTTCTGAAAAACACTTTATACCATCTTTATCAAGTTTTAATTAAAAATGTGATGCCCTCATAAAATAAATTAATAAAGATTGTCATCTTTTCCTATTGTCTATTTTATTAGAATTATCTGATTACCAATAGCTTAGTTGTGGAGCCCTTTATTTGTGATGCTTCCTTGTTAGATATCTATGTCTCATAAACCTTCTATGGTATTAATATCTTTTTGTTTTCTTGCTTCATCTTTTTTTTTTTTTTTTTTAGACATAGTCTTGCTCTGTCGCCCAGGCTGGAGTGCAGTGGTGCAATCTCTCAGCTCACTACAACCTCTGCTTCCTGGGTTGAAGTGATTATCCTGCCTCAGCCTCCCCATAGCTGGGATTACAGGCCACACAACCACCCCTGGCTAATTTTTGTATTTTTAGTAGAGACAGTGTTTCACCATGTTGGCTAGGCTGGTCTTGAACTCCTGACCTCAGGTGATTCACCAGCCTTGGCCTCTCAAAATGCTGAGATTACAGGTGTGAGCCACCATGCCCAGCCTCTTGCTTCATTTTGAGTCAGATTTAGAAATATATGTGTATGTGTACATATATATATATATATATGTGACGTATATATATATATATGTGACATATATATATAGCTAAGAAATTATTCATTTCCTTTAGTTTACAGCCTATTTGCCAAGAAGCTTGCATGTAGTATTTTTTACACTTTTAAAATTTCTTCTGTATTTCATGTGGCTCTCCATTCTTCTACCCAGTCTTTAATAATTTTGCACTCTCTCTCTTTTTCTTCTCCCTCTCCTCTTTCCTCCTTATTTAGATGTGCTGCATTGTCGGGATAGTGACACTGGTTTAGAAAGTTTCCTGCCTGGCCTGAAGGTGCCTTGGGATTAGCTTTTCTTCCTCCTAGTACTTGTCTATCAGGGAATCACAGTGATGGGGCACAGGAGCATCTGGGGCTGCGCGGGGTTCAGCATTTCAGATTTCAATGCTTATGGCCTTTAGACACATGCTTAAAGTTATAGACCTATTTAGTCTTTCTAGTTCAACCTTATTCATATTGGCCTTTCTATACAGTGGATTCCTCGTTGCATCATTATTTGTTTTCATTCAGTATTTGGCAGGTTTCATTCCTGCTTCTGACTGCCTCATTTCCCACATACAGGAATATGGGAGGAGGACATGTCTGTGAACATCTTTTTGGGCTGTGCCATATGAATAACAATTCGGCAGTGTAGAGAATTCTTATACCCCCTAAAAAGCGTGTAGACTGACTCATTTTTCTCTAACACCTAGTGATCTGATCCTCCGAGATGTCTAGTATTTCTCCTCTGGCAAGGGAGCCCTTCATTGTTTAGATTCTAACAAGTCTAACCAAAAATAGAAGGCATCAAAATATTGGCTCTTAGTAATAAGAAAAGATACATAGCCTTATATACGGAAGTTGTATGTCTAATTGCTAATAAGATACTATATGCAACTCTGTTGCAACAGTTATGAAAACTGAAAGGAAATAACACTTTCCTAAGAAAATATCGTTTACCAAATTGATCCAGGTAGAAATAGGAAGCTTAAATAGATCTATTTCAGACAAGAGATTAGAAAGAAGATTATGATTTAGATATTCACACAAAATAGATTTCCTGCCAGGACTATCTTCCAGAAAGTGGAAATTATTTATACAGAATCTCGATGCAATAAAACTCAAGGCTTTTATACACTGAGGATCTTTGTACTGGAACATCTACAACTTCAGAATCCTAGTGGTCTTCCGTGTACATTAGCCACAGAGACATTTAAACAAAGAGAGAAATTGATAAAACCAATATTTAGGGGCTTTTAGTTCCCAGATTTAAGTAAAAAAAGCAAGAAAATAAGCTCAATATTCCCTTTTTTGAAATTTTCAAGGAAAAAGAAAATTAGGAGTATTTACAGTTTGGGACTAGTGAGAAATTGTTACTTGGTATTATTTACCTCTAAGAGCTTTTTCAATTTTTTTTGTTTTTTAATAAAGCCTACTGACATTAAATTTAATCATTTTAATAAATATTAAAGAATAAAGTTCAATGATTTTGCATATTCCCCTAAGTAGTAATTTCCTTTGGACACACTATACCACTTTGCTTCAAAGGTTGCACAGAAGGATAAAAAACAGAGTATGTGAGTTTGTAGAGCTATAATTTTCCACACTAAGCTAAGTGTGTGAAGCAGGTTCTCTGTGCACTAGTTACCAATTTGTCTGAATCTGGTGAGACCGAACACCCATGCCTACAACAAGTTACATGAAGCGGGTTTGTTACTTACAGATACGCAGCAAGGAACAACTGAAGCCTAGGATTAACTGCTAGCTAATCCCCTAAGGCTCAGAAAAACTCCCCAGGATGGATGGAGTCACAATTACCCATGCCTTCCTTGCACCTACTGAGGGACCCACAAAAGCAGCCCATTCTGGGTTTTATATCTTGGGATCACGTGACATGTTGGACTGAAGCCTCGAAGGACATCTTGTTTCCAGAAGGAACTGGAACAGGGCCTAGGCTGTTTCAGCCAACCCCCTCTCCCAATCCCATTTCAGGTTGTTGCATTCCCAGCACATTCTACAGTTATTCTTGAGAACTATAAGCAGGCAAAGGTGAGAGACCTAGGTCGGTGCCAGGCCACCTAGAGAATAGTCTGCAAAAATGAAAGTTACTTGGTAGAAAAGCTCAGAGCACCTTTCAATTGTCCTTTAATGGGAAGCTCGTGTTATCTCGGTGGCTACTTTTGCAATCTGAACTCTAAGCCAATTGTGAAATGTTTGACATTATCACAACCAGGCTACTAAATCATCTGTGCCTGAAAACTCCTCCAGAAGCACAGCAGGATGGAGCCACTTTGGACCTCAAAACTAATCTAGACCAGATCTGCACTATACCTGGGCAGGTCAACTTTAACGCTAGTTTGCTCAAGGAGCAACAAAACAGCAGGGTTATTTGCAGCTATACCCTTGTGGATCTTCTCTGTTTTTATCACAAATCTGTGTGTGAGGTAAGGTACCGATACAGAAAATGTAATGGAAAACATACCACTTGTCATAGCAAAAAAAATTTATAAAATGCCTATAAATTAACTTGGCAGAAATTTGAGAATTCATTTATGCATCAATACTCAAAATAGTACAAAATACAAAAGATGACTTGTTTGCATGTAATAAAATAAATATCTCTGAATGAGAAAACTCAATATTCTAAAGATAAAATTTAGACTCGGATTTATATATACATACATGCAATCCTAATCAAAATATACATAGGCTTTGGGGTAGGGTACCTATTGCAAAATGATACTAAATATTATGATTAGTTGTAAATAAATAAAAAGAACCAAGAAAAATCTGAATAAGAAGAATGAAGTGGTACGTGCCATGCTAAGCATTAACATATGCTATGTTGGCAGAATAAATAAAATCACATGATGTAAGAGAGGGCAGGTTAATGGAGCAAATATAGAGGAAAATCAATGTGTATTATTCTAGGTCCTTTTCATCTAGAAATACATTTTTCAACCCAGGGGAATTTTCTTGAATTATTTTGTTAATAATTTTATCTCCTCCATTTTTTTTTCTACTGAGTTTGGAAGCCCTTTTAGTAATGTGTTAGATCTTATGGACTCTTTATTTAACTTTCTTATATTTTCTCTCTTGTTTTCCTACACAGTTGTTTTCTCCTTCTGCTATCTGGGTGATCACCTTAACTTTGTTTTTCACACTTTCTACTGCTATGATGCATTTACATTCAAGAGTTATTATCTACTATTATGCCTTTCATTCAAGAGTAATTATCTAATCTTTTTCAAGAATCCTCAATGTTTATAAAAATATTCTCACTTTATTTCACAGTTACAAAGTCTTCTCTTAACTCTTTGATGTTGCTAATAATAGCTTCTTTTCTTAATGTTTCCCCTCTTAGATCTCATGCCTAAAACCTTAACCAAGTGACCAAATTGAGCATCATTAATTATTCTTAAGGGTGGGCCAATCGAAACGTATGTGTCCTTTTAATGTGATATAATAAGAATAAAAATAGCATCATCTATTGAGTAGATCTATGTTGAGAAATATGGAAATAAGTTAAATGACATCACTATAAAACAGTCGGTCAAATCCAGAATGTAGGATGTTATATCTACAAGACAACTTGACTGGGCTCCTTAAAATGTAAATGTCATGAAAACAAAAGGCAGAAGGACTGCTTTATGTTAAAGGGTCTAAAGAGACAGAGAAACAAAATGCAATTCATAAAATCTAATTGTATTATATAATAAAAATGAAGCATTAATAAAAATCACTTGTGGGAAAATTAAATATATATGGGAAATGATATTATAGAATTATTAATTTTATTAGATGTGAAAATGACAATATATAGAAAAATCCCTTATTAGGAGATAAATGCTGAATTATATAGGAGTGATGTTTCATGATTCGGCACTTCAGAAAGAGAGAGAACACACAAATGTGGTAGTAAAATGTTCTCTGCACTGTTCATTCATCTTTTCTTTAGGACTGACACTTTTCAAAATAAAAGTTGAGGAAAGAGGTTCTCTTCCTTAAGAATCTGTTTCTTTTAAGTTACCTCTTTTTTATGTCTGTTTTTTTTACGTTTATGTTTACAGGATATCCTCGGATGGCAAGGTAATCTTGGTTGTTATCTGGAGGGTTTAAGGCTGAGTGCTTGGGTGCTAGTAGGAAAAGGAAGTCGGGAATTTGGAATTTCAACATTCATTTTATAAACCTACACTTAGTTCTCCATTTTCACTTTAGCTCGCTCCCCAACTGCATCTATTCCTCCAGCCCCCTAGTGTAGAGACCCTCTAATTTATCCTATTCTAAGCATCAACTTCAAGTAAGAAAGAGACAGTTAAGTAGTTAGGTAATGGAGGACAAAGATCAAGAGGGTATAACAGACTTTGATGTGAACCTCTGCGTTTCGTTCCACCCTCACCTTTATTCAGAGGTACCTAGCACTGTCAATCCCTGTGGCTATTTGGGATTCCCCACAGCCACCTAGGATTCAGCTTTCTTGTATTTGCTAAATCAGTTACAACTCATCCACTTGCTTTCATCTTCCAAAAGTCTGCTATATTTCTCTTTATCAGCTATTTTAGTTCTTATAGATTTCTGACTGCTGCTTTTAAAAAAATCCCTTCACTCTTAACTTAGTAGAATTTCAGAGATAAGCAAGGATATATATATGTCTATAGCTCATCATATGTAACCAACTTTCCCAGGACAATAGATGGATAAAGAAAACATTGAAGATATGTTGCTAAAAAGCACAATGTATCATTTTCTTTTTAAAAGCTAATATTCAATAATTCTAGTTTTATAATTTTATTAGTCCATTATCTTGCTGCTAATAAAAACATACCAGAAACTGGGTAATTTACAAAGGAAAGAAGTTTAATGGACTCACAGGTCCACATGGCTGGAGAGGCCTCACAATCACGGTGGAAGGTGAAGGAAGAGCAATGGCACGTCTTACATGGCAGCAGGCAAGAGGGCTTGTGCAGGGGAGCTTCCATTTATAAAACCATCAGATCTCATGAGACTTACCCACTACCACCACAAGAACAGTATGGGGGAATCTACCCTTATGATTCTCCACCTGGCCTCGCCCTTGACACATGGGGATTATTAAAATTCAAGGTGAGATTTTGGTGGGGACACAGCCAAACCATATCATATAATGTTAACTTATATATGCACAGAAAGGGTATTGAGATGTCATACCTCCAAATTGTATTTATAAAAATTGCTAGGATAAAACTTCAGGTGAATTTTTATTTTCTTGTTTATCTCTATTGCTAAATTTTTATAGTAACAAATGTTAATTCTGTAAAATGAAAAACATGTAAAAGCTGCCCCCCACAAAAAGCACATAACCTGTACATTTTGTCTGTTTCTTTATCATGAAAAAATGCTCACCATCACTGGCCATCAGAGAAATGCAAATCAAAACCACAATGAGATACCATCTCATACCAGTTAGAATGGCAATCATTAAAAAGTCAGGAAACAACAGGTGCTGGAGAGGATGTGAAGAAATAGGAACACTTTTACACTGTTGGTGGGACTGTAAACTAGTTCAACCATTGTGGAAGTCAGTGTGGCGATTCCTCAGGGATCTAGAACTAGAAATACCATTTGACCCAGCCATCCCATTACTGGGTATATACCCAAAGGACTAGAAATCATGCTGCTCTAAAGACACATGCACACGTATGTTTATTGTGGCAATATTCACAATAGCAAAGACTTGGAACCAACCCAAATGTCCAACAGTGATAGACTGGATTAAGAAAATGTGGCACATATACACCATGGAACACTATGCAGCCATAAAAAATGATGAGTTCATGTCCTTTGTAGGGACATGGATGAAATTGGAAATCATCATTCTCAGTAAACTATCACAAGAACAAAAAACCAAACACTGCATATTCTCACTCATAGGTGGGAACTGAACAATGAGAACACATGGACACAGGAAGGAGAACATCACACTCTGGGGACTGTTGTGGGGTGGGGGGAGGGGGGAGGGATAGCATTAGGAGATATACCTAATGCTAAATGATGAGTTAATGAGTGCAGCGCACCAGCATGGCACATGTATACATATGTAACTAACCTGCACAATGTGCACATGTACCCAAAAACTTAAAGTATAATAATGATAAAAAAAGAAGAGAATAGCAGAATTTAAAAGAATACTAGGAATATGAAGTGGAATTCATATGATTTCAAATAATGTTCCCAGTCTTAACTATTAGCATGCTTTTCTTCAATGGCAGGTCTCTTTCTGCTAAACACTATATGGTATGACTGCAATAGAGAATCAAACATTTTTCATAATTGTTCAAAGAATGGATTTTGCTGTCTCCCTTCATGATCATATTTTAAAGGCCTAGTCTTAATAGAAAGGTAGACTTACTCTTTTTTCTTAGCTAGCAATAAGGGTTTTTTTTCTCCTATGCAAACCAGAGCTTCCAAACTATGGCTTCTAGGTAGATGAGATGAAAGCAGTGTCAGTTTAAGTCCATCAGGCATAGCTAAATCTGATTTTGAATAAGTATCCATCCATAATGAATTCAGTAACACACTTGGAAGAAGGAAAGCAATCATGAGATCTTTATATAAAAGCTTTCAGAGGAAATGATGGCACCCAGTTCTGCTCTCTGATTGTCTTTCACAAAGAAGCCAGTCCCAGGATGCCATGGAGTCATGTTCGTTTGCCTTCTTGCCTCTTCTTTTTCCAGTAAGCTGAGAAGAAGTAGACAGATAGGGCACACACTTTCAAGAATTCATTTTCACATTTTATTATTTCAAGTCTAAATCAAAATTGGAGAATGATACATTACTTGATGAATTGCAAATTTCTAAGAGGAAAGGGTGCTAGTAAATTGATCTTTCAGATAGCCAGGAAACATAGATCAATAGACCAGTGTCATGAATTTCCTTGCTTTCTATTCTGCTGCCCTTAACATTTAAGTCCATATATCTCTCTGTATCTCTAACTTTAGACAATCTGCTCTTGGAACCAGGAGGAGAGCTCTAATTCACAGACTTTGTAGCTTAGCATCAACTTCCATTTTTTCCTATTGATGCCCTGCATTTACCACTGAAGTCTCTTAACTAGCAGCTGACTTGTTCTTGCACCAGATTTCTTTTTCTAGGTTGCTTTTAGTTTCCATTCTCCTACTGTGAGTCCCATTCCAGGCTACCAAATTCTTGTACTCTGGAACTCTGGCAGACTTAAATCTATTGCTTCTACCTGCTACTCTCCCTTAGCTGCTTTCTGCAATTATGACCCCAAAGTGGCTTTGCTTACAGAATCACTGCTAAAAGTGCACTCCCTGTCAACCACTTTCTTTTTTCACTTCTTTTTATTTTAAAAAAATTATTGACAAATAAAAATTGTATATATTTATGGTGTGCAATGTAATAGTTGAATATATGTATACATTGTAGAACGGCTGAAAAAAGCCAATTGACATATGTGTTACCACACATACTTACGTTTTAGTAGTAAGAACATTTAAAATTTACTTAGCAATTTTCAAGTATATAATATACATATATTTTTATTAATTATAGTCACAATTATGGACAGTTGATCTATGGATCTTATTCTTCCTGTCTAACTTAATTTTGTATGCTTTGACCAGCATCTCCCCAGTCCCTCCACCCTCTGGCCACTGATAACCACTATTCTACTCTCTGTTTCTGTGAGTTTGACTTTTTTAGAATCTATATGTACATGAGATCATGTGGTATTTGTTTCTCTGTTCCTGGCTTATTTTATGTAACAACCATGTTGTCACAAATGACAGGATTTCCATCTTTTTTAAGGTTGAAGAGTATTTCCTTGTATATATGCCACATTTTCTTTATCCATTCAACTACTGATAAATACTTAGGTTCTTACAATATCTTGGCTGTTGCGAATGAGCTACAATGAATGTTGCAGTGCAGTTGTCTCTTGGACACACTGATTTCATTTTTTTTAACTTTATTTTAAGTTCAGGAGTACATGTGCATGTTTTATGTGCATGCAGATTGTGTCATGGTGGTTTGTTGTTCAGATTATTTCATTACCCAGGTATTAAGCTTAGTGCTTATTTATTATTTTTCCTGATCCTCTTTCTCCTCCTACCCTCCACCCTGTTAAAAAACTCTGTGTGTGTTGTTCCCCTCTATGTCTATGTGTTTTCATGATTTAGCTCCCACTTATAAGTGAGAACATGTCGTATTTTTTGTTTGTTTCTGCATTAGTTTGCTAAGAATAATGGCCTCCAACTCCAGCTCCATTCATGTCCTTGCAAGGGACATGACCTCATTCTTTTTTATGGCTGCATTGTATTCCATGGTGTATATGTACCACATTTTCTTTATCCAGTCTATCATTGATGAGCATTTAGGTTGATTCCATGTCTTTGTTATTGTGATTCGTGCTGCAATGAACATACACATGCATGTGTCTTCACAATAGAATGATTTCATTTCTTTAGGATACATACCCACAAGTGAGATTGCTGGATCATATAGTAGTTCTATTTTAACTTTTTGAGAACCCTCCATACGGTTTTCCTTATGGTTGCATAAATTTACATTCTCACAACAATGTATAAGGGTTCCCTCACCTCCAGTATTTGATAGTAGCAATCCTAACACGTGTGATGTAATATCTCATTGTGGCTTTCATTTGTATTTCCTTCATAACTAATAATATTGAACACCTTTTCATATACCTGTTGGCTACTTATATGTCTTCTTTTGAGAAATGTCTATTCAAGTCTTTCACCCATTTTTTGACCGGATTATTTGTTTCCTTTGCCACTGGGTTAAGTTCCTTATATATTTTGGATACTAACTCCTTGTCAGTTATATGGTTTGCAGATATATTCTCTTATTCTCTAGGTTGTCTCTTCACTCTAGCGATTGTTTCCTTTGCTGTGCAGAAGCTTTTTAGTTGGATTCAATCCTATTTTTATATTTATGTGTTTGTTATCCATGCTTTCAGAGTCATATAAAAAATCTTTGCCCAAACCAATGTCATAGAACTTTTCCCCTATGTGCTCTTCTAGTAGTTATATATAGTAGTTTCAGGTCTTATATTTGAGTCTTTAATTTTTGTGTGTGTGTTGATTTTTGGGTACAGTACGAAATGAGGGTCTCATTTCATTCTTCTACATGTGGATTTTTAGTTTCTGAAAAATAATTTATTGAAGAAACTGTCTTTTTCCCACTGTGTGATCTTGGCATCTGTGTTGAATAATAATTGACCATAAATGCATAGGTTTATTTCTGGGTTCTCTATTCAGTCCCATTACTCTGTGTGTGTGTTTCTTTGATTACTATAGCTTTGTAGTAGGTTTTGAAATCAGGTATTGTGATGCCTCCAGCTTTGTTCTTTTTGCCCAAGATTTCTTTTACTGTTCAGGGTTTTTCATGGTTTCAAATAAGTTTTAAGATTTTTTTTCTCTTTCTGTAAAAAATGTCATTGGAATTTGGGTAGGAAATTATTGAATTTGTAGTTCTCTGCCAACTACTTTCTAATCAAGTCTAGAGTCCTAGTTCTCTTAGTATGTTCCATGTAAGATTTTATATGTATAAACTCAGAAGGTATAAAGCTGGTATTTCTTTCCTTAGTGAAAATAATCTGGAGCATTTCTTCTTCTTGTATGTGGATTTCACTCGATTATAGGAATCAAGAGTTTTGAATCACTCTGCTCCTAGCTGGTGGTCTTTATAGACTGCATCTAATCTCTTTCGAATTTGGAGCAGGATGAAAACCACTAGCTGTACCTGCTGGAGAAGTATTCTCTGCAGATATTTGGGACTCCAACTCTATCAAATTTTCAGATGAGCTTTTCCCTGCAGCTTGTCCTATGCAGGCTGTAGCTCAGGGGTCCATGGTCTTAGTTTATCTGGAACAAACCTAGTTTATATGGATATTCCCAATATTCTATTTGGTTAACCATATACCTTACTCACCTCTCTTGCCTTGACCAGCTACTTTTATTCTCAAAAGTATCGTGGTTTGAATGGTAAATTATCTGACCACTCTTGTTATACAATCTTATTTTAATTCCTCCATGTAAATATCTAAAGACAATGATCTTTGATCATTAAATGGCAACTCTGTTGTATTAGTATCCTTGCTATGTTCAAGAATAGAGAAATGTTCATTATTAAAATAAGTCAGGAGGTAAAATTAGTCTTTATAAACTGGTCTGGAGGATTTTGGTTAATCAACAATTCTAATTGAGAGATAATTATTAATGTATTACTCACAGATTAATGTTTCTTTCAACATATATTTGAAGTTCTTCTAATTTTCAAAGTAGATTTTCTACGTGTTGAAGCATGCTATAAATATAACCTGGACACATTAGTAAAGGGCTTATACTCAGAGTATTACTACATATTTATCATACTAAATCTTATCTATTTTGGAACTGTGTATATGAGTTCACCCATGGTTCTCTCTCATTTAATTCTTTACAGATATATCTATACACATACAGTTTTGTTGTTGTTGTTGTTATGTGAAGGCTTATTTAACCAAAATGGACGTCACATACTATTTTATGTATCTTGCTTTTCACACTTAAAAAATCTTATATAAATCACTCCAAAGCAAGTTATGTTAGAATAATTCACTTTTAATTGCAATATAATATTTTATACATATTATACCAAAATATATCCAACTATTCTTCTGTTGACGGACATTTACATTGTATCTAGTAGTATGAACAATACTATTATAATCATCCTTAAATAGATGCATTTAAAATTATTACTTCTATTTTTACGAACTAGATTCACGGAAACGAAATAATTTCCAAGCCCATATACCTGTGTGTTGTTAATTTTCATTGAAGTTTTCAGTTGGTCTACTGTATTAGGCCATTCTTACACTGTTATAAAGATACTACCTGAGACTGGGTAGTTTATAAGCAAAGGAGGCTTAGTTGACTCACAGTTCTGCCGGCCTGGGTGGGGGTCTCAGGAAAGTTAACTATCATGGGGAAAGTGGAGGCAAGGACCTTCTTCACATGGTGGCATGAGAGAGAAGTGCAAGCAGGGAAAATGCCAGATGCTTATAACTCACTCACTGTCATGAGGACAGCAGGGGGAAACCGCCCCCATGCTCCAATCACCTCCCACCAGGTCTCTCAATTAACACCTGGGGATTACAATTCAAGGTAAGATTTGGGTGGGGACACAAAGCCTAAGCATATCAGTCTTCTACATGGGCAGAGTATTTCTTCTTGGTATTTCTTTCACTAATGAATAAATATCAATCATCATGGCAATAAGTATTAAAGCATTTCATGTATATGTTTTGTTGGAATGGTTAAATGGTAAGTAATGGCATTGCTTCTTATATTTCTTTTTATATTTTAGAGTTTTGTTTATATATAAGTTAAACGACAAAACCACTCATTTTAAGAGTACAGTTTGATGAGTTTGCTAAGTTAAAACAGCCATGAAATCACCACAAAAAATGAAGTCTGGATTGACTACCTAATATACAGAGCATAGTGCAAAATGAATGTGGGTCTCTTTGTTCAAATATTGTTAAGAATTTCAATACTGAGTACCCTGATTTGATTGTTATACAATGTCTACATGTATGGAAACATCAAATTGTACCACATAAATAGGTACAATTATAATGTGTCAATATAAAAAAGAAATGAAAAATAGTGACAGCAGAGCATTAAATAAAATGCAGAGTTCTGAGGACTTGTGTGACCGCACGTGTCAAACACCCATGGAGCTGGCCCTGCTTCCATCAGCTCCCAAAAGTTCTCATTCCTTTTCAGTTAGTCTTTTGCATTGGGTAGCCATTGCTCTAAATGTTGTCCGTCAAGTTTTGCCTTTTCTAGAATTTCTTAAAAATTGAGTCACATACTACATTGTCTTTTATGTGCAGCTTTAAGTTTCATTGTTTTTCACTACTATTTATTCATTTTCTCTTGCATAAATTTCCTTTATGATGTTTATTTCTCTTCTACTTACTCTACTAAACTATTTTCAGGTTTAATTTTTTATAGCTTCTTAAGGTTGACACTTAGATCTTTGTTTTTTTCTTTCTTGCCTTGTAGTATAGGTATTTATTATTCTAAATGTCCTTACAAACACTACTTTAGTTGCATTTCATAAATTATGATATGCCATATTTTCATTTTCACTGATTTCAAAATATTTTCTGATTTCCATTTTGATTTCTTCTTTGACCTCTGGGCTATTTAGAAAATATGCATGTTAAAAAAACAAAACAAACCAACCAACCAACCAAAAAAAAAAAAAAAAAAAACTACACATTTGTAGATTTTCCAGACCTCTTTTGTTATTGATTTTTTTTGTTGTTTGTTTGTTTGTTTGAGACGGAGTCTCATTCTGTCACCCAGGCTAGAGTTTAGTGGCACCATCTTGGGTTGCTGCAACTTTCACCTCCCAGGTTTAAGCAATTCTCCTGCCTCAGCTTCCTGAGTAGCTAGGACTACAAGTACACGCCACCACCCCTAGCTAATTTTTGTATTTTTAGTAGAGGCAGGATTTCACCATGTTGGCCAGGCTGGTCTCAAACTCCTGACCTCAAGTAATTTCCCCCCCTCAGCCTCCCTAGTGCTGGGATTATAGGCATAAGTCACCATGCCTGGCTTTGTTATTGATTTCTAATTTAATTCTGTTGATGTTCAGAGCATACTTCATATAAATTAAATCTGTTTTAATTTATTGGGACTCTTTTTCTGGTATAGCATGTTGTCTATACTGAATATTCTGTGTGCACTTGAAAATACATTTATTTCCTTGTTATTGAGTGTTTGGTAGATATCAATTAAAACAATTTGATTGATTGTGCTGTTCAAGCCATCTATGACTTTACTGCTTTTCTGTCTACTGGATATGTTTGCTAGAGAGAAATATTGCAATCTCCAGTGATATTTGTCCGTTTACAGTTTTATTTTTTCAATTATGTTAGTTTTTTTCAAGTATTTGTTAAATATTCATAGATTTGTAATTGTTATATGATCCTGCTGTAGTGACTCTTGTATCATTATGGAATAATATTTTTCTTTGTCCCTAGTAATATGAATTTTGTTAAAGTCTATTTTTCTCTATATTAATATAGTCACTCCAGGTCTCTTATGTTTACTGTTACTGTGGAATATTTTTCCATTATTTTGTTTTCAACCTATATTGTCTTTGATTTTTAAGTACATCTCTTATAAACAACATATAGTTGACTTTGCCTTTTTTATTCAAATGAATAATCTCTCTTTTCATTAGAATGCTTAGACCCTTTACATTAATATTAGTTGAAATATGATGGCTCTATTGTTATTTTGGCCTGCCATTTTACTATTTGTGTTTGATTTACCATATTTCTTGTTGCTCCTTCCTTGCCTTGCTTTGTGTTAAACAAATATATATATTTAAATGCTTTATTGATGTTTTAGCTACGTATCTTTGTGTGATTTTAAGGGTTGCTTTTGTGATTATAGTTCTTTAACTCTTTAAAATTTACTTCATTTTATTCTCATTTACTTCTGTTAAAGTATAGAAAATTTATACCAACAGAGATCCATTTTCCTGCTTTGTCATATATTAATATCTAAAGGCATTATTAACCTAACGATACATGGTTAATGGTTTTGCTTTAAAAAGGCATGTCTTTTAAATACATTGTTTAAGTTTTTGCAAGGCACATCTTTAAAATAAATTAATAAAATAAGATAAAATGTATATAATCTTTTTTATACTTACCAACAGTCACCAGCTCCTATGCTCTTCATTTCTTCTTTTGGATCTGATTTACCATTTGATGTCATTTCCCCTCAGTCTTCCTTTAACGTTTTTTACAGCACACAAGTCATAGAACACAGGTTTGCTAGCAGTTGCATCTCATAGTCTTTGCTTGTGTAGAAATGTCTTTAATTTGCCTTTATTTTTGAAGGGTACTTTTACTAGATATATAATTCTAAGTTAACAAGTATTTTTTTCTCTCAGGTCTTTGTATTATTTCAGTGCTTTCTGGTCTCCATTAAATCTATTAAACATATCATTCTTTCATTGGAGGTGATTGGTTACTGCTCCGTCTTGTTGCTTCCAAAATTTTCTCTTTATTCTTTGCGAAGCATTTTTCATGTTGTATTTGCAGAATGTTTTTCTTTGTGGTTATCTCACTTGTGGTTTGGTGTGCATTTTTATTCTGTAAATTAGTGTTTATGAGCCAAATTCTCTGTTTCTTTGGATGTCTAGTAAACTTTGGTTGAAAACAAGTTAATATATATAATATATTGTACTGGCTCTAGGTATAGTTTTGTTCTCTGAGGGTTACTTTTTGTGTTGTGATAATGAACAATTAACTAACAACTCAATCTGTGAAATTTGTCTACTGCTCAGTGTGCAGCTGAAATCTGTCTTTTTTTTTTCCCTTGTTCCCTGTGACTTTGTAACTCAGACAACTAAAGCCAGTAAAATTTCCATCTTCTCCTGTCTGAATAAGGAATAGATTCAAATACATGAAAAGTTTGTAAGATTCCCTAGACTCTCAGTTTCTTTTTCGGGCTCCATGGTATCTACTGCGTGTACCTGTAGTTTATCAGTCGGCCAGAAACGTGTAGTGTGTGCTATCCCAGCTTCCAAATCTCTCCCTTGAATTATTAGCTTCAGTGACATCTGCCATAAACTGTCTGACAACTTCAGCTCAAGGAAGAGTGAAGGGAGTATCCCTATGCAAAGAAGTCACAAAATCAGATTTTTACCAGATACACAGAAGTTCATTAATTTTTAAAAATGAGTAAACACTTCTCCTAGAGTTGTTTATAGTTAATGATTTCCAGTATCTTTTAATAGTTGTTTTTAATGATTTTGTTTGGTTTATGCTTTTTATTTGCAGAAAGGAATTATACAACTTTGTCAAGCTACCAAAAGTCTTCACTTACATTTATATTTTCCTCACTACTATGGATTTAAATGGCTCTACATAATTACAGTCATTTCCTCTGGCTCTTCCATAAATCATCTTTTCATAATCTTGTAATTTTTTCTATTGAGCTACTTGCTTTTTTCTTGAAAATATTTAAAAACTTTTAAGACACTTTAGAAATTAACAATTTGCCATCTCCATTACAAATTTGTGTTTAGATTTATCATTTGTCTATGAACTTTGCTTCTGCATTGTTTTGCTAAAGGGAAAATTATAAAAATCATTAATTTTTACCTATGTCAATATGCTGTCTTTCTTTTATGGTCTGGCTTTCTAGTCTTGCTTATGTTTAAAAAATTCTCCCAACGCATTGATAGTACTGTTAGTTTTTGATATTTTCCCTAAAATATTAATTTTTAATTTTTAAATTAAATTTGTTAATGTGTTTATTTCTTTAACTAGGCATAAGTTAGTGGTCCATTTAATGTTTTTAAATGGTTAGCTATTATATTAGCTCAATTTATATAACATCAGTGCTTTCCCTACTGAACTACATTTAACATATATTAACTTTTCATATACATCAAGATGTAATTATAGATCTGCTATTCTGTTCCATTAATATTTTGTTTATTTATTTTTCTAGTAAGAAGTGAAGCAAATCTCCTTACTGCTTTTTATTGTTTCATTGGATATTCTCAGCCCTTTTGGATAAATAAAAACCATAGGTACATACTAACTGATTAGTATTCTAATTGATATTACATTAAATACATTTAAATAAAATTAACATTTTAAGATTTTAATATTTCTAATAACAAATTATGCACTGGCATCAATTCAAATTTTAGTTTATGTTTTGTATTCATGTTTGGCTTATTCTTTTCTTAATTTGGTTCTTCATCATGCATATTCACTTTATTCTTACATGATGTACAGATTTTTTTGTGAAAATAAAGTTGGTGTTTTTCTGTCCATTTTAAGTGCTTACTGTTTTGTAATACAAAGATGTTAATTTTCTACATTTGTGTTGCTACCGGACTCCTTAACAGATCATTTAATTCTAACAGATGTTGTATCAGAGCTTTTGAATTGGCTGGAATTTCAGTCTCATCAATCAGAAGGAATTTTATCACTCAAAAGTATTTTTGACATTTATTCTTACTTATAAGTTTTCTTATTTTAATGCATTTTATTTGCAAAAGCAGCCAAAATAATATGAAGTGATAATGACAGTAAGGATCCCTGTGTAGTCACTAACCGTATTTGAAATGTGCTTCAAATGAGTATTTTTAAAAGTATTAAAATATTATTTACTTTAGGTGTCAGATAAATAAACTTTATAATATTTAAATAATTTTCTTTCATTGATTCTTTAGAGTGTTTATTCAGAACTAATATTGAAATTTATTAAATGCTTTTAAAGCGTTGATTAATGTAATCATATTTATTTTTCTACTTAAGTGTATTGATATAAAAGATTATGGTGAATGCTTCCTGATGATGAATTATTTTTACAATGCTTGAATAAACCTTACCAGATCATACTGCATTACTCTTCTGACACCCAATTAAATTCTGTATGCTAAGGCTTTATTTAAGCCTCTTGAATTATTATACATAAATAAAGAAGATCTGAAAAAATGGAAGCATTTCATCCACATAGATTAAAACACTCAATACTTTATACATGACAATCTTTGCAAAATGGGCCTCTATATTCAATGCACTCCCTATCTAAATTTTAGCAGATTTTTATTGTTGTTGTTGCAGAAACTGACAAAGAAGTCCTAAAATGTATGTGAGAAGGCAACACACAAAGCAGCTAGAAAAAAATGTGAAAAGGAATAACAAAGTTTCAAGACTTTCACTTCTTTATTTCAAAATTTATTTAAAGCTACAGTGATTAAGACAGAATGCTACTGGCATAAGGATACTCATATGAATCAACATAACAATATTGAAAGTCCAGAAATAAATCCTTATATTTGTAGCAAATTGACTTTTGACAAATGTCCCAAGGCAATTCAATAGATATTTTGTTAAGTAAATTGTTCTGGAACCACAGTATATCCACAAGCCAATATATGCACTTCAACTTGTACCATACACAGACATGAACTCAAAATGGATCATAGACTTAAATGTAAGAAAGAAAACAGTAAAACTTTTAGAAGAAAACAAGAAAAATCTTTGAGACCTAGAATTAGGCAAAGATTTCTTATATATGACATCAAAGCATGGTCCATGAAAGAGAAAATTGTTACATTTTATCTCATCAACATTCAAAACTTTTGCAGTTTAAAAGAAACCATTAAGAGAATGAAAAGACAAACCACAGACTGGGATAAAGTATTTATAAAACATATAAATGTAATAAGACATTATTTTATACAAAATGGAATACTTAAAATTAATGTAAGAGAACAATAAATGTTGGTGAGGATGTAGACAAAATAGAAACCCTCATACATTAATGATGGTAATGTAAAATGGTGCAATACTTTGGAAGACAGTCGGTGTTTCTTAAAAAATTAAACATAAAACTACCATAAGTCCTGACAATTCAATTCTAGGTACTTACCTAAGATAAATAAACCCCTATGTCTACCCAAAGCTTTGCATATAACGCTACACATTGTGAATATTACATGCATATAGTAATAATATTTATAATAGTTAGAATTTAGAAAAAAAGATTCATCAACTTGTGAATGGATAGACAACATGGGGTATTCCATACAGTAAAATATTATCCAGCAATTAAAGAGAAAATAACTATTGATACCTTCTACATCACAGATGAACCATGAAAAAATTTTGCGAAGTAAAAGAAGTCAGACACAAGAGACTGGATATTATATTACTACATTTACAGGGAATGTCCAGAAAAGTTAAATTTATAAAGAGAGAAAGTAGGCCAGGCATGGTGGCTCATGCCTATAATCCCAGCGCTTTGGGAGGCCAAGGTGGGCAGATCACTTGAGGTCAGGAGTTTGAGATCAGCCTGGCTAACATGGTGAAACCCCATTTCTACTAAAAATACAAAAAAAAAAAAAAATTAGCTGGGTGTCATGGTACATGCCTGTAATTCCAGCTACTCAGGAGGCTGAGGCAGGAGAATCACTGGAACCCAGGAAGTGAAGGTTGTGGTAAGCTGAGATCCTGCCACTGCACTCCAGCCTGGGTAACATAGAGAGACTCCATCCCCAAAAAACAAAAAACCAAAAAACAAAAGACAGAAAGTAAATTCATGGCTTACTGTGCACTGGGAATGGGAAAAAGAATTCACTGTAAATGATAATGAACTATCTTTTTTTCTCTCTCTCTGTTTGGTGGAATGGGGAATGAAAATGTTCTAAAACTGATTTGTGGTGGTGGTTACATCTTTCAGTAAAGTAACTAAAATCATGGAGTTGTACACTTAAAATGGGTAAATATTATGACATATAAAATATGACACAACAAAGTTGTTCAAAATCTATTGGTCTGACATTGGTGCCAATATCTGGATTCTCTATTCTTTCCCATAAATCCAAATGTCTATCTTACTCCAGTTTTGTTTTAGTTGTTTAACATTGCTTTGCTATTCCAGGTCATTTGCCTGTATATATTAAATTTAGAATCAGTTTGACAATTTCTAAAAAAGAACGCCTACTGGGACTTTGATTTGGCTTGCAATAAATCTATAATATTAATTAGGAAGGAAGTGACAATTCAACAATATTGAGTACAGGTTGAGTATCCCTAATCCAAAAATGTGAAATCCAAAAGGCTGCAAAATTCAAAACTTTTGAGCATCAACACGACACAAGTGAAAACACATATGACAGATCACAGTCAAAACTTTGTTTTATGGACAACATTATTTAAATAACTTTAATACTTAAAATAATAATTTAATTATTTAAAATACTGTATAAAATTACCTTTGGTCTATGTGTATGAGGTATTCATAAAACAATCATAAATTTTGTGGTTAAGCTTGGGTCCCGTCTTTGAGATATATCACTATGTATTTGAAAATAGTCCAAAATCTGAGCAAATCTGAAAACTGAAATACTTCTGGTCCCAAGCATTTGAATAAGAGATAGTCAATCTGTGTTCCCAAATAATTCTATGAGGCACTTACTCTGATATCCTAACTGCATTAGTCTGTTCTCATACTGCTAATAAAGACATACCCAAGACTGGATAATTTATAAAGGAAAGACGTTTAATTGACTCACAGTTCCACATGGCTGGGGAGGCCTTGCAGTCATGGCTGAAGGCAAATGAGGAGCAAAGTCACGTCTTACATGGTGGCAGGCAAGAGAGTCTGTGCAAGGGAACTGCACTTTTATAAAACCATCAGCTCTTGTGAGACTTATTCACTATCACAAGAACAACATGGAAAAAAACCCACCCCCATGATTCAATTACCTCTCATCAGGTCCTTCCACAACACATGGGGATTATGGGAGCTATAATTCAAGATGAGATTTGGGTGGGGACATAGCCAAACCATATCACAAACCAAAGATACCACAAAATAAACTATAGAGGAATACCCTTTATGACCATAATAGATGCAACAATTTTGTTTAAATTCAGTAAATGCAGTTAATTAACATGAAAAAAAATATAGCACATCATGTTCAACAAGAGTATATTCAAGGAATACTAGGTTAGCTTAATATTTCAATATCAATCTATGTAATTTATCATATTAACAGGTTAAAAATATCTCATTAAATATCTCTACATATGATATTTATTTTTAAAAAATGCCCATTTTCAGTTTGCTGTAGTATATAGAAATACAATTAATTTTTTAAATATTGATTTTGTGTCTTGTGACTATTATATAACTGATTTAGGATTTTCTACATAAACACCATGTTGTCTGTGAAGAAAGACAGTTTTACTTCTTCCTTTTCAATGTCCGCCTTTTCTTTCTCCCTTTCTTTAATGCACTGACTGGCACCCCCAACACAGTGTTGATCGAGGAGATGACAGGAGACTTACTTGCCTTGAACATCTTAGGGGGAAAAGCACTTACTCTTTCATCTTAACTATGATGTTTACCAAGAGATTTTCTACCTATCCTTCATCACTTTGAGGAAGTTTCCTTCTAGTCCAAGTTTGATGAGAGCTATTACTGTGACAAGTGTTGAGTTTTGTCAACTATTTTTCTGAATGTTTTGAGTCATTTGAGTCATTCTCACCCAACCAGGTCTAGGAAAGTCCTTGGTAACATTGGCTGGCCCAATAGCCCTAATTCTTGTACTCTAGACCTCCCAGAAATTCTGTGAGCCATCTTGTGTCTCTATAATAAATTGACTGCTTCAAGCAAAGTTTGTTTCTCTTATGAGAATTACAAAACCTCACAGACACAATCATCTATATTTTATGTAAAATCTCAGCCATTTTGTTGTAATTCCTAAAACATTTTCTGATTTTTAGCTTCCAGTTATTTATCTACTTATTTATTCGTTGGAAGAGTGTAATTATATTTTGGGTTTTCAGACTTCTTCCCTCTCCTCCACATACAATTGTTCTTTTTTCCTTCTTAATAGCATTTGTTTTCTCTTATGGGCTTAGGAATTTCTTCTAGGGAAAATATTAAGCAGCAATGTTCTTCTTACCTGGGTTCTGAGCAAACAGAAATTAAAACGACAAAACAGAAGTAAATGATGGTCCACATATCATGTATATTAAAGATAGAGTGAAGCTGGGGACATGGTGTATGTGTGAGGAAGTGCACTTTCTAACACAGGACACCAGAGGCTGGCTTACCCACCAAACTGAGACCATAATGCACCAGAATAAAATGCCAAATGGAATATACAATGCATTATTATTAACTGTGGTCACCATGCAGTACCATAGATTACTAAAACTTACTCCTCCCATCTAACTGAGACTTCACACCTTTTCATTAACATCTTCTCTTTCCCCATCTCTTCCTTCCTCCCTAGCCCCTAATAGTCACCCTTCTACTCTCTGTTTCTATGATATTGACTTTTTTAGATTCCATGTATCTAAGATCATATAGTGTTTGTCTCTTTGTGCCTGCTTATTTCACTTAACATAATGTCTTCCAGTTCTATCCATGTTGTTACTAATGATGGAATCTCCTTATTTTTAATTCCGTACAGTATTTTACTGCATATATGCTATATACCACAATTCCTTTATCTGTTCATCTGCTGATGGACACTTAGGTTGCTTCCATATTTTGGTTATTGTGAATAATGCTGAAATAAACATGGGAGTGCCAACATCTCTTTGACATACTGATTCCTTTGGCTGTACACACATAAGTGGGATTGCTGGATCATATGGTATTATATTTTTCAAAATTGCTAAAAGAATTAATTTTTAACATTCTCACCTTAAAAAAGGATAGGTTGGTGAGGTGATGTATATTTTAATTCGGTTCAATTTTTTACAGTGTAGACATAGGTCAAAACATTGCATTGTACCTTCTGAATATACACAATTAGTATTTGTCAATTAAGAATAATTAATACTTATTTTTTTAAAAACAGTAAAAGAAAAACCTTTCAAATGGAGAAACAGCAGATAACACTTGCAGGTAGATAGCTCTTGCAGAGAAGGGTTAAGGTGAGCTGAGCAAGGCCCTACTCCCTTCACTCACAGAATGAGACGGGGCCAGGGCCAAGCATGTCATTTGCACCATTTGGAAGGAAAAATCAGATTCAAAGACACACTGTTTCTCCTAACATAGGAAGCAATATCTTTTTTAATTACTTGGGGGAAAGTAATTAATTGTGCATTTTTTAGTTCTCCTTTGTTCCCTAATTATCTCTGATTCTTCTAAGTAATTTTGTGTGGTTTTTTGTGTGCTTTGCTCAATCTTGCTATTCCATGTTTCTGGCTTTACTCCAGCATCGGACTTGCTGTGATCATCAATTCATGTTAAAAAATGAGTCAATGAAACACTGAGCATGGGCTCTTGAATGAAGATGTTCTTCTTTCCATGGTACCCCTCTAATCTTTATTTATTTATTGACACATAAGTCAATAAGAGTCTTCCTGGGCTTTAGGCTGAGGATTCTAACAGTCAGGCTATACTCAAATGGTGAGCAGAGCTGGGAATTATTTTTCTTAGACTCAGATAACAGAGAGATTGCAGTGTTAAAGACCGTGGACTCTGAAGCCTAAAATAGATCATCAGAGACAATTTTGTAATCATCCTAAAACTTCCAGGCAGATTCATAGTTTTACAGTTTTAGGAAGATAAAAATCTTTTGTCTTTTGAAAGCTACTCAATTGAAGAATTGCTGGGGATAAATAAGTATTACCTATAAAAGAATTTACTTTTTAAGTGGCCAAACTAAAACAATATGAGGTATTTAGACAATTTAGAGCTTATCAATATTGAAAAATAATTCTATTTTTCAGTAAATAAATGAATAAAATTTTCTGAATGTATCCCATCAACATTTCCTGTGGGGCATTCATGTGCATTTAATATAGTAACACTTTTAAAATGGAGTAAATATCTAGGCAAGTGATTCTCTAAAGTCTTTGTAGAATAGTAATCCCAGAAGATAACCCTTAAAATCCCTAAGCAATTTACTTAGTTTTCCTTTTGGGACTCACACTGCATGCTAACACATTCTAAGAAGCCATCAGTAAACAAACTTGTATCACTTTTTCCCAAATAGTTTGCCCTAATCATCATTTTCACATTAAAACTCATGAATATATCTTAGGACTTCAAGGCTAAACAGAGCATACTTTAGAAAATGCGGTTCTAAGTTCATACTCTGTTCTAGTAAGCTGAAATGTATGGAAAGATAATAAAAAGCACAGTTATTATAGTACATTTTTGCCAAACAGAAATGTGCAATGTTTGTGCTGTTTTAGTCAAACCATGTGGGAAATAACTATCAAATGCTTCAGCCAAAGATTTTTGCACTCAGGCACTTAATGACTGAGGTCCCTACATGCATCATTGTTGATGATAGGAACTTTTTAAGGAATATTTGAGAATCTTCAAAAGAAAACAATTTCTTGGAGAAAAATATGAGCAGGTGAACCTTCATTTAGGAGATAAATGTTTTGCTATCAAAATATTTGTCTAAAATTCTGCTGTCTTTTAGGTTTTAGACACTTTTTGTTAAAACACGTATCTAGGTAAACATGACTAAAAATGATAAAAGCATAAAATGCTAAATGTGCTGGTAAAGTCAATGACATTCAAAAGACAGTTTGAAGAACTTATCAAAATGGATTCTAGCAATTCTAGTTTTAGAATATGAAGATAGCATCTAGAATGGAATGGAATTAAAATCATCATGTCCACTGATGGTCACACTTATTTTTAAGCAGCAACACCATTATTTTAAAAAGAAATCTTACTCCGAATTATAATATTAAAAACTGATCAAAGTTGTGTTGAACTGATTAGAATCAAGTGGCCACCAGGTTCCCTCATCGCCTGACATCATCTGCTTTACCCTAAGTAATGATTCAACAGCATCATCTAAAGGACCTTTTGACAAAGAGATTCCTATACCTCTACCTCCTGGGAGACAGCTCTGTGGGTCTCAGGGAAAACACTGATTTGGTGTAACATGATCACATTTCAGAAGTCCCCTTCTGTTCAAACGTTTCAGTATTTGGAAACCTACCTCCTTAAATAGTACGATTCTAAGGTGTGGCTTCTAGTGCCTTCTTCTAACTTGCATAGTTGTGGATTTCACTGTAATTTTCCTTGCAGTATCTTCTGGGAGGTTCTGTGACTTCATGGTGTCATTATGGATTTCATTTGCAATTCACTAAAAAAAAAAGTGGATAATGACTGTACTCAGCACTACTGGATTATAGCCATCACCTTAAAGAAGTCTTTTGTGAGTCTCTCTGCCAGAATAAAGTTTAATCTTTCCTCTTTATTTTTCCTGTTACAACTTATGAACTCCATTTTTTTTATTATTATACTTTAAGTTTTAGGGTACATGTGCACAATGTGCAGGTTAGTTACATATGTATACATGTGCCATGCTGGTGTGCTGCACCCATTAACTCGTCATTTAGCATTAGGTATATCTCCTAATGCTATCCCTCCGCCCCCCCCACCCCACAACAGTCCCCAGAGTATGATGTTCCCCTTCCTGTGTCCGTATGTTCTCATTGTTCAATTCCCATCTATGAGTGAGAACATGCGGTGTTTGGTTTTTTGTCCTTGCGATGGTTTACTGAGAATGATGATTTCCAATTTCATCCATGTCCCTACAAAGGACATGAACTCATCATTTTTTATGGCTGCATAGAGCTCCATTTTTTTAATGCTAATGTGTATGAAAGACTTGGTATTCCCTTTGGTCTGGGGTAATCTTGAATATGGAACATGACTCTCCATTTCTTCTACGTCTTTCATAGCACAGAATAGAAAAATAACAGCAATGCTGATTAACTCATGGAGTCACTGTAATTAATTCACTATCGTAAGTGGTTCCAAGAAAGAGGCTCACGTAATGGGAACCAAAGGACTAAAATGGCTTAAGATCCAAGGCAATCATATTTTAAATTGAAATGATCTTGAAAAGGTTACTGTTGATTAATTTTGAACATCAAATTCTATTTGAAGAGCACCGGGAAATTCAACACAACAAAGGAAGCTCCTAGAGAATCCTTGGGAAAAGTAACAAGCTCCTTTGTTTTATCTTGATTGTTTTGTGTTTTTACTTATCAGGTTTTTGTAAGACAAAGCTCTTCTCATCATGGCAATGTGGAGATAAACAGAAAAAGAAAGCACTAGGAAGCGTTCTTTCTGATAATAGCATAATGAAGTTACAGGTGTCTTCTTCCACTTCTCTTTCTCTTGCTTTTTCTTCCCCTTCTTCTCTTCCTCCTTCCCCCTCCTCCTTCTTCTGTGTTTAATGAGGTCATTCTTATGTAGGCTAAAAGATTGTTCATGTTACTCATTATCAATTCAGCATGAGAAGATGAATCACTTTCATAACGGGGGTGTGTGTGTGTGTGTGTGTGTGTGTGTGTGTGTGTAAACTGTTCCTGGTTGTCATGCCATAGTAAAGGCTTTAAACCATAGACAAAGCCCTGTAAGCAATTCCATTAAAGAATTAGAAAGTGCTCACGTTTACCATTCATGGAACAGGTATATCCAGGGGACCTGCCAGACCCAAGTTGAATTGAAATTGGAAACGAAAACAGAAACAAAAACAAAACAAAAAACACCTTTTTTGTTTGTTTGTTTGTTTGTTTGTTTTTGGAGACAGAGTCTTGCTGTGGTGTGATCTCAGGTCACTGCAACTTCTGCCTCCAAGTTCAAGTGATTCTCCTGCCTCAGCCTCCCAAGTAGATGGGATTACAGGCACGCACCACCAGCCCTGATAATTTTTGTATTTTTGGTAGAGACAGGGTTTTACCATGTTGGCCAGGCTGGTCTCGAACTCCTGGCCTCAAGTAATCTGACTGCCTTAGCCTCCCAAAGGAAAAAAAAAACAAACAACAAAAAACAAAATGAATTAAATAAAACCTGAAAAGAAAACAAAATGTTTTATCACTTTCAGAATTTATACCCAAGAATAAAGTTATTTCCCTTTGGGAAATAAGTAATCACTTACGTTCTCTCCAATTTGTTTTGTTTTCTTTGAATTGTTCATTCACTCTGTAAAATTCAGGTTTGTTGCTTACAGTCTTTTGTGAGTTTTCCAGGCAGACTTACACATCCCCACCTCCCAGCTTTGAAGATCTGTGTAAATGATTTTAATAGATCATTTCACATCATATTGTAGTAATTTGGTTTTCTCTGAATAACTGAAATGACCAAAAACAAAGATCCCTGATTAACTTATAAGCTGTTGATGGCAGATGCTCTTTATCACACAAGGAAAATGCTATTTTATTTTTGAATATCTTGCCCTCCTAAGAGATTTTACTTCACATTCCTACTTAACCCGTTTTCCAAATGATATCATCTGGAGAGGGAAAGTGGGCACAGGGGATCCAGAGCAAAGGCTATTCGCCCCCGCTTTGTGTGATTCTTATCTTTGAATTGCTACAGAAATTTAATGAAATTCTCTTACAGCACAATTGCACTGGACCATGATGCTTCATTCACAAGGCTTTAGTTTTCTTTTTCCACAAAGTACATACTATTACTATGTTATAATGTAATGGTCAGGATTGAATTCTTGTATTGAATCCTACTCACTGTGTATGTGACGACTCCAAATGCTACTATAATTAAATCAGCCCATATTCAAACCCATCAAAGCTCTTCTGAAAGCCTTAAGTAGAAACAACTACCATTTGTTGAACAGCTTTAGGCTTTTGAAACCAGAAGAGAAATAAATGATTTAAAAAACAAAAAACAAATCACCAAAATGTGGTGCTTTTGAGAGTAAATGTCAGCATTGGGATAACTCAGCTGAACTGTGAGCTCTTAGCTGCTCCAGATATTTGACTATGTCCTTCAACTTTAACAACTACTAAAAAGCTAAAAAAAGGCACTCATATATAGACTATTTTTCTGGGAATATATGGTTGACTATCACTTTCAAGCAAAGATTGTAAATGCATTATATGTCTGGCAAGAATCTTGGATTTAAGAAAACCACAGAGGTCACAATATCTTCATTAAACCATAGTAAAAATACCTGGAAAAAGAAAGCCAGGATCTTAAAAATGCCTGAGGACCTAATACCCGTTCAAGAAACAAAATTTATGTCACTCAATTATAGTGGATCTTATTTTTACCTTAATATTTAGATTCTGATGATTTCTATAGTTCTTTAAGAAGCATGATTTGGATAAGAATGCTGAGTATAAAAGAAAACGATTTTTGAAACCTTACCGCTGTGACACCCTAGTAGTAATGAACACACTCAATGTCCAGAACTTGGCTTCTCTTTACCATTCTCCAATAAATGAACTCAGGGATCCCTGGAGAAATGACTGATTCTAGGGCTGGGATGGTGTAAGTACAAGTTGAACCTGGAACTACCTGTGGTCTCAAAAGTTAAAAACATATTCAAACAAAACAAAACAAACAACAAAACAAAGGGTGGGACAAGTCAAATTGACACAGGAACCAACTTCAAAGAGCTTCCAATTATCAAAGCTAAAACAATTTTTACAGTAAAATAATGATAGTATTGGATTATATCACAATGAATAAACAAATATCCATGAGTGCTGACTGACGTGAATAAATAATTGAGTAAATAAATAAAAGGTGGAGAAAGAGCAAATCGTTGTTAGAATTCCGAATAATTGTCAATTTTCCTCCCCTTAAGTATGGACTGGACTTAGTGATTCACTTATAAGGAACAGAATATGAAAAGGGGGAAAATAGTAACTCTGTAGCAGAGAAACCTGCTAGATACAACCTTAACCAAGTGGTCAAGGTTAACATCATCAGTGATCAGTCATGTTGATATCATATAACCTCTGATTTGATGCAGTGAAAGGACACTTCACCTCTGTGGTATAATTCTCTAAAACTCAGAACCCTAGTTACTATGATCTGAATGTGTGTGTCCCCCTCAAATCCATATGTTCAAACCTTAACCCCTAAGGTGATGGTTTTAGGAGGTGGTCTTTGGGAGTACAGCCTTCATGGATGGGATTAGCTCTTTTATAAAAGAGCCCCCTGGAGATCTGCTTAAGCCCTTCCACCATCCAAGGACTCTGCAAAAGATGCCATCTGTAAACCAGTTAAGGGGCCCTCATCAGACAACAGATCTGATGGTGCCTGGATCTTGGACTTCTCAGCCTCTAGCACTGCAAGAAATAAACTTATAGGGCTTGTAAACACTCAGCCTATGATATTTTGCCATGTCAGCCCAAGACACTTGTCTAATCACAAGAAAACATCAAGCAAACCCAAATTGAGGACTATTCTACAAAAAACCTTCTTTATGAGTAATATTCAAAAGTGTCAAAGTCATGAAAAACAAGACAGAATTTGTCACAGACTAAAAGAGACGAAGGAGACATGATGACTAAATGTGGCATGTAATCTTGGATTTGATCCTGGAACAGAAAAAGAATACTAGTAGAAAAACTGGAGAAGTCTAAATTAAGTCTGTAGTTTAGTTAATAGTATTGTTAACAAAGTTAAGATTTTAGTTTTGACAAATGTATTAGAGTTAAATAAAATGCTAACATTAGGGAAAGCTGATTGAAGGGCATATAGGAGCTCTGCATTATCTTTAAAACTTTCTTTTAACCTAAAATTATT
Organism: Homo sapiens; assembly: GCF_000001405.40. Lineage (NCBI taxonomy): Eukaryota > Metazoa > Chordata > Mammalia > Primates > Hominidae > Homo > Homo sapiens. Next base: position 137,043,526 of record NC_000007.14, on the reverse strand, counting down.
TCAAAGTAAAAAGTTAAGATAGGAGCTTTACACAAAATTGATACTTTTAGAATAAGTGCTTTCCATATATAATGGGAAAACATTTACTTCATCCAGGAACTTTTATTCCTATTCTCCCCATGTGCTAGAAAACACATATTTCAAGGACAAGACTGATATTTATGATCCTTAAAAAGATCACTAAAATACATGGGTCTACAAGGACTGAACCTGTAACCAGAGCCAGTGGTTCTCAGTTCTCACTGTGCATCAAGCATGTAGGGTGCTTAATAAAATACAGAGGCTAGGGCCATATCCCGAGGCTCAGGTTTCATTGATCTTAGGTAAAGCCAAGACATGAGTATTACTTTAAGATTGTTCCAGTTGATTCTATTATGTAGCTAGGCCTGAGACCTACTGTATTAAATCTATTGAGACATGTAGGAACTGAGATTCCAAAAAAAGGATGAAAAAATAAAAAGAGACAGGAACTAAATGTTATCATAAATCCCCAATGGAGCCATTAGTTAATTTTCAAGGGGGAAAAAGCCAAATATGATTGTTCTAGTAACAGACTAATTATTCATATATCACAATTATAGGACAGATGTGGGAAGTGTCAGGAATACCAGAATTGAATATAAAATTGTCTTCATAAATAAATGTTGATTTTTCTACATTGAATGGAATGTAAAGAAAGGGAGAGTCAAAGCAGCATGGGAGAAATGCATGAAAATGAGGATCTGTCACTTATTTTGCCCAAGGCTGTCTTATTAGCCTTACCCAATCAGAGTGGCAGTCTTTTCTTTATGGCTGGTATCCCTTCAGATTAGTATTCATAGACTGCATTGTTATTGGTAAGTGACTTTCATAACATATTAGCTACTATGCATACTAATTCAGAATGATGGAAGAGTACTAATATGAGAATAAATTTGTACTTGATTTCCAACTGACTTCATGGTGCCTCTGAATGTCAAGAACTGAAAAGAGAGAGAGAAAGAGAGAGGGAAAACAAGTTAGAGCAATTGGGAATGAGAGAGAGAAGAGGGAAGAGGGAAGAGAGAAATGGGGGTTGGAGGTGGGGGCAGAGCTGAATTCTTATCTTCAACAACCCCTAATCCTACACACATCTAAATCAGCCTCAATGGGCTTTTTGAATAACAAGGACGGCTTTGCTGTCCCTGTATTTTACAGTTCAGAATTTACTCATTTTTTTTTCAACAGGGATTAGGAATCCTCACAGCTCAAAAAGTGCCCTGAAAAAAGAATGAAATCATGTTTTTTGCAGCAACATGATTGGAAGTGGAAGCCATTACTTAAGTGAAACAACTCAGAAAAAGAAAGTCAAATACCACATGTTCTCCTTTATAGGAGGGAGCTTAAAAATGCTTACACATGGACATATGGAGTGGAATAATAGACATTGGAGACTCCAAAAGACGGGAGGTGGGAACAGGGTGAGGGATGAGAAATTACCTATTGGGTATAATTTACATATTCGAGTGAAGGTTACACTGGAAGTCCAGACTTCATTTTGCAATATATGCATGTAACAAAACTGTACATGTATCCCACAAATCTATATGTTTTTGTAAAAATAAAAGTAACTTGGATTATACTACTGATTTTGATGACTTGACTTTAGAGCTTGATGTTAGGGTATTTTTTAAAAATATACTTTGGTTTAATTTTTTCACGTGTATTTTACCACTATTTGCTATAGATTGGCTGTTTGGGCCCTGCAAAATTCCTATGTTTAAATTCCAATCCCCAGTGTGATGGCATTATGTGGAGAGCCTTTGGTAGGTGTTTAGATCATGAGGAGGGACTCCTCATAAGTGGAATTAGTGACCTTATAAGAAAAGACCCCAGAGAACTCCCTCTCCACCCCTTCTACCACATGAAGAAGCAGCAAGAAAATGGCAGTCTATGAAGCAGGAAGTGGACCCTCAACAGACACAGAATCTGCTGGTCCTTTGGTCTGGGATTTCCCAGACTCCAGAACTGTGAGAAATAAACTTCTGTTGTATATAAGCCCTCCAGTCTGTGGTAGTTTGTTTTATCAGCCCAAACAGGCTAAGGCACTATTAAAACACACATTTATTGAACATTTGCTATGTGGCAAGTTTTATTCTGAGTTTAAGTAGTCCTACTATGTGCTGCATAGACAAATTGTTATTGTCACAAGAAAGGGGTCCCAATCGAGACCCCAAGAGAGGGTTCTTGGATCTTGTGCAAGAAAGAATTCAGGGCGAGTCCACAGTGCAAAGTGAAAGCAAGTTTATTAAGAAAGTAAAGGAGTAAACACAATGGCTACTCCATAGACAGAGCAGCCCCGAGGACTGCTGGTTGCCCATTTTTATTTCTTGATGATATGCTAAACAAGGGGTAGATTATTTGTGCCTCCCCTTTTTAGACCATATATGGTAACTTCCTGATGTTGCCGTGGCATTTGTAAGCTGTCATGGCACTGGTGGGAGTGTAGCAGTGAGGATGACCAGAGGTCACTCTCGTTGTCATTTTGGTTTTGGTGGATTTCGGCTGGCTCATTTACTGCAACACGTTTTATCAGCAAGGTCTTTATGACGTGTATTTTGTGCTGATATCTTATCTCATACTGTGACTTAGAATGCCTTAACCATCTGGGAGGGCAGCCCAGTAGGTTTCAGCTTCATTTTACCCAGCTCCTATTTAAGATGGAGTTGCTCTGGTTTACACGCCTCTGACATTATCACTGATTCTGATAACCGCTAGCTATTTACATTTATAACCCAAATCAAGTAACACTGAGACATTCTACTCATATAATGGTTATCAGTAATTTCAAAGTACTGCCTAATTTTTTTCTTGAAGATGACGGTTTCAATCATCACTTTCAATGAACAATTTCTAGTCATCAACTAACTCATTCACTTATTCATTCATTCCTTCATGTATAACGTGTGTTCATATTTATGGAGCATCTACCAGAGGAATGAGAGTTTTGTGAGAGTGTACGGTATGCTATATTTTTCTTTCCATCCCAGTGCCTGGCACAATCCCCTGTATATTACCAGATGCTAAATAAATAGAAAGAGTTTGAACATTTGCTATATACAGCATTAATAAGTATTAAGGCAGGATCTTAGTCTTCTCTATCAGCAGTTGGGGCTTCTTGTCTTAGCTAATATTTTTTGTTTTTTTTTGAGCCATATCCCCTATGGGTATCTTTATTACCCCCTGCCAATTCCAAATATGTATATATATATATATATATATATATATATATGTGTGTTTCTGCAGAAGTATCTCCAAGTTCTCCTCCAGGGAATTGTTTCAAGTCCTGTGAATGACAAACATCATTGTCATTGCCTTAGGGGAAATTTTAAGAACAAATTATTTATAGTCTTATATCATGAGTCTAATAAACTTTAATTTTAATTTTGATTTATTTAACATTGTGGTTATTTTTTCTCTGAGATTTTATTTTAAAAATTCTGTCATCTGCATTGAAATGAACAATTCTCATATATACTTTCAGGAAGAAAATATGAGAAGTCCTGTGCTATAAGAAACTACCATTTCAATGACTGTCTTTTTCCAGAATTTAAAAATACGAAACAGTGTCATGGCCCTTGATGATGAGGTAAAGGGAAGCAGACATTTAACCAAATTTTAAATTATAATGTTATTGTCTGGTTTTGTTTCTTAAAGAGTAAAGCCACTTATAAATTTCATAATTAACTTTTAGCTGTAACTGAGAAGTTTCATCAGACTCTAAATAAAATGCTAAAAATGCAGAGTTTTCCTATTATTTCTGGCGGCATTTATTTGAAACCGTGAGCGAGTTTTCATCCAGAGAACACTGAAATCTACAGAAAAAGGAGCATTCTTTCATAGATTGTACAAACCCAGGTCTACATTTTGTCTATGTTTTTAGAGTGTGGAGGACATGGAAAATTTGATATTTTTTAGATTCTTCCTACATCTCATAGTAAAATTCTGAAAGGGGCATCTCATTGTACTTTTCACTTTTCTATTTGAAGTAAACTTCTTCTGATTAAAGTCACAGTGTCTTTGAGGAACAAATCTGCTCAATAAAGTTGTTGAGGAATATTTATAGTTAAACCCAAATATAACTGAAATTTTCATGTTAAATTATTTGATTCTTTTTCCAGAGGATTATGCTTATGAATTATTGGTAAAGACTGAGCGTTTGTGATTATTTGAATAAAATTATATTCTGTATTCCTTACCAAAGTGGTAGAGAGGATTTTGACATGAATGATGCATCTCAAACTCTGCAGTATCACTGAAAATGGTGGGTTCTAACTAGCTGAAGTTATAAAATTAACTTATGGGACAACATGCCTTGAGAGTTATGAAGTAGTGAAATACAGGGAAAGATAGCACTTGAAAATGCCATTGAGCGTCTCTCCAGGTAGACATTGCATCCCCTTTGTGTTTCCTAAATGTCTTTGATCTGGTACATTTGACCAATCCCCATTTAATAGTCATAAAAGGAAGAAGTCCAAGAATAAGGCAACTAGGTACATCCCTCGATTCAGAGCTTAAATTCTAGGGCGCCATTTCTGTGGAGTAGTTTATGTAGTGAATAACTTTGAGGGAGACTATAGTTCATGAGAAATAGATACAAGCCCTGAGGCTATCTCATAAAACCCCTTGCTCCCTCCCAGGAATGCAATTAATACAGAACAGTGATCATGTTTTCTGAAGGAAGCAAGGAAAATGACAACATCATATTTTTATTCCAGGATCTTAGGGTCTTGAAATAACTTAGGAATTTTTTTTTTTTAAATTTTGTAAAGAGAAATAACCAATAATTAACTGTGATATTTAACCTGTGTTCCTTCCATCTTTGCTTCTATCCTTTATTTTTTCTTTCTCTAGTTCATTTTTTGCATAAATGACTATATGAATAATATATAAATTATTAATAAAGGAATAATTGACAAAACATTTACCAATCTTTCCTTTCTCCTATTTCTTTCTGTGTTATTTCTTTTTTCTCTCATTTTTATGTGAATGAAATAAAGAGAGACAGAAATGCAATGGCTGCTTTGATTGCTCCTAAGCTTCATGATGCTCTTCTCTGCCTCCCACAAGGCTTGCATTGGCTTCTTGACTATGTCTATAACATTTGAGTTCTTATAATAAATTCTCTATCACTTAAGCTAGCTTGAGGGGGTGTCTGTTGCTTGAAAATAAGTAATACCCTATAACTAAGATAATGTTCTGTTCTGTAACCTGTAATACTCTATAACTAAGATAAATAACACTTTATAACTGATAATGTGTGACCATCTTTCCATGTCAAAGAAAACCATACAGACTTTGATGGGTAGTATCCTCTTTTATGCAGCACCATGATTTATTTTCATTAAAAAATTTTGTATGATTTAAAGTTTTAAATATGAAAATGTGTGTATGAATCCATTTCCACAGTCCTATAAAGAACTGCTTGAGACTGGGTAATTTATAAAGAAAAGAGTTTTAACGTACTCACAGTTCTGCATGGCTGGGGAGGCCTCAGGAAACTTACAATTTTGGTCAAAGGTGAAGGAAGAGCAAGTACCTTCTTCTCAAAGCAGCAGGAAAGAGAGAGAGAGAGAGATCAGGGGAAACTGTCGCTTTTGAACTGTCAGATCTCATGAGAACTCCCTCACTATCACAAGAACAGCATGGGGGAAACCACTCCCATGATCCAGTCACCTCCCACCAGGTCCCTCCCTCGACACATGGGGTTTAAAATGCAAGATGAAATTTGGGTAGGACACAAAGCCAAACCATATCAATGTGTTTCTGAGAAACCCAAGAGAAATACCATTTGGAGCAAATAAAATAAAATGCAGCTACAATTCAAACACCTAGTGTCCATTATTAATATGTTAATGCATTTCCACTCCAGTTGTTATTGTTGTTAATGTTTGCTTCATTTGTTTAAATCCCCACAGGTAATATTTTTTTCTTTGCCTAAAAATTAAAACATTACTAAAAATATTAGCCTCCTGTGACAACCACTCCCACTTGTAATTTTCCAATCATTGGAAAAAGACTGTTTTTAATTTGTTCTATAACTTTCTAAAATGTTTCCCATGCATTTACATATACATAAATGAAACTGTAAAATATCATTTGTCTGTGTGACTGCAAACTTATATTTATAAATATGCTTTATTATGTGCATATTATTCTACAACTTGCTTTTCCCTCCTGTATTTATTAAGTTCATTTCTTTAAAATACTTTCACAGTATTATTTACTTACATAGTGAATTAGGCCTTTCCTCTTATTAGATATGTAGGTTTTTTAACAGTTTTTACAGTTACAAACAACACAGTAATGACATTTATTGTATGTTCCTCTCCATGTGCATATACAAATGTTTGTCCTGATATGCAAAGTAAACACGATTTTACTTTTAATAACCACTCTGATTATGTAATAAACCTTGATATTAGCTAGAGCGGGTGTGAAAGGGAATGGCCAGCTACTCAACAATCTGAATCCTGTTCCTTGAAACACTGAAAGCTAAATTTTCAAGTTCCTCTTGGAGTGAGATCAAGGCCATGTAACTACTTTGGGTGAATGGAATGTAGGGATTTTCCCTTAGAGTAGAATCTAGGAACTTTCCTCTCTCCAGAATAGGAGGACTTTATGCTGCCCAAGAGGACTGCAGCATTGCTCTGGACCAGTGACTGTGAGCATTTCATTCTCCTCCATTTTTCCTCAGAAGGTTTATTATGGTTATCCTGTCCCTGTTCCTGCATTGCACATGTGGTGCATGTGGCAGACAGGGCAAGTAAATTAATGTAGATGCAGGTAATTTACTTTTTATTTCAAAGGTTGCCAGACAAAGAAGGAAGGACTATCTGTCACATTGAGATCTTTGTCAATGAACTGGTTCCATTGAAGGGATGGTTGTCCTGGAAGCTGGCAGATTTTAAGGAAGAAAAGGAAAGTAAAATGGATATTTGGTAATAAAATGGTCAGAATGATGGACTGTGGAGGAAACATCTGGATACCTACTACTGACTTCCCTCTTACTGAGAGAAAACTGGAGTTTTATCTGCTTACATTTGTGGAATTATAGATATATTTGTATGTATGTGTGTATCTCTGTGTGTATAATATCATATATATTAAATTTACCTTTTAATTTTGAAATGATTTTAGATTATTATTGTTTTAGGAGATAATACAGACAGACTCCATGTATCTTTTACCTAGTTTCCTTCAATGATGATATCTTATAAAACTATAGCACAATATAACAACCACACTATTGACATTGATACAGTGACGGTGAAACATTTAAAGGTTCACAAGGATCCCTCATGTTGTCCCCATTTAGCTGCAGTCATTTCTTTCCCTCTTTCATCTCCTTAATCCCTGACAGCACTAATCTTGTCTCCATTTCTTTTTTGTTTGTTTGTTTTTGTTTTTGAGAAAAGAGGTTTAATTGGTTCATGATTCCACAGGCTGTACAGGCTTCTGCTTCTGGGGAGGCCTCAGGAAACTTACAATCATGGTGGAAGGGGAAAGTGAAGCGGGCACGTCTTATGTGGCCAGAGCAGGAGGAAGAGAGGGCAAAGTGGGCGGTGCTACACAGTTTTAAGCAACCAAATCTCCTGAGAACTCACTTTCTTGAGAACAGCAAAGGGGAAGTCTGTCCCCATGATCCAATTACCTCCCACCAGAACCCTCCTCCAACATTGGGGATTACAATTCGACATGAGATTTGGGTTGGGACACATTTCTATAGTTTTAGCAATGTTATGCATATAACCTTTTGGGATTGAATTTTTTTCATTCACTATAATTCCCCGGGGAATCATCCAAGCTGTTGTATATTTCAGTAGTTTATTATTTGTACTGCTAAATAGTACACCATGATATGACATACCAGAGTTTGTTCAACCATTCACTTGTTCATCTGAGTTGTTTCCAATTTGGGGCTATTACAAACAAAAGTGGTATAAACATTCATGGATGAGATTTTTGTGTGAACATAAGTCTTAATTTCCCTGGGATAAACTCAGGAGTACAAATTGCTGGGTTGGATAGTAAATACGTGGTTGGTTTTTAAGACACTGCCAATCTGTTTTCCAGAGTGACTGTACTATTTTGCATTCCCATTAATAATGTCTGAGTGATCTAATTTCCCTACATCCTGGCCAGCATTTGGTGCTGTTTATGTATGTATTAGCCATTGTCATTAGTGTGTTGTGATATTTCACTGTGGTTCTCATTTTTATTTCCCTGATGGCTAATACTTATTTGATGTCAGTGTATCTTCTCTTGTGAAATGTCTGTTCATGTCTTATGCTCATTTTCTAATTCGATTGCTTGCTTTTTTTATTGTGGAGGTTTGAAAGCGCTTCAAATATTCTGTATACTATTTTTGCAAATATTTTCTCACTGTTCATATCTTCTCTTTTCATCTTGTCCACAGTCTTGCGGAGAGCAACGGTTTTTAATTTTTATGAAATCTCATTTATCAGTTTTTCCTTTTATGGCTCATGCTTTCGATGTCAAATCTAAGGACACTCTTTCTAGCCTTAGAAATCAAGTATTTTTTGTTTTTTTTTCCCTAAAAGTTTTGTAAATTTATACTTACTTTTAACTTTATAATGCATTTGAATTATATTTTGTATAAGGTATGAGGCTTAGGTTGAAGTTCACATTTTTGTTGTAGATGTCTAATTGCTCTAGCATCATTTGGTGAAAAGGCTATTTTCCTTCTTTTTTAAATGTTTGGTAGAATTTTCCAGTGAAACCATCTCGCCTGGTGACTTTTTGGGGGGCTATTAGTTTTAAATTATTAATTCAATTTTCTTAATTGTTATGGAGCTATTCAAATTATTTACTTCACATTGGATGAGTTGTGATTATTTGTATTTTCAAGGAGGTGACCTGTTTTATCAAAGTTGTCCATTTTATACATGCATAATTTTTTGTAGCATTCTGTAATCATCCTTTGGGTTATTTGCAGGATGTATAGTGATATATGCTGTTTAACTTCTGAGATCAGGAATTAGTATATTCGCTCTTTATATTCCTTTGTTCATCTTTCTAAAGGTTTGCCAATTTTATTAGTGTTTTCATACAAGCAGCTCTTTCATTTTTTTTTAAAGTAATTTTCGCTTTTACCATTTTATTGCAAATTTTCAAATTTCTCATGAAAACAGAAATACAAACAAGTTCATCAGCAGTCTGGAAATAACTCGTACATGTAGTGAAATTACAAATTGTCCTTTTAAAGAAATGCAATAATTATCCATATAAAATGGAATATCTTTATTGCCTTAAATTACGTTTTATTAATAATAAGAATATAAACTTTTCTATATCAAATAGTCTTTAATTTATATTTCTGTTTTTGGAGGGCCACCATTTCATATATTCTGCCAATTGTTTATGAAGTTTATCTCTTTGCTGTTGATCTGCAAAAGCTGTTTATATATTAAGGACATTAATATTTTTCATTGCGTACATTGCAATTAATTTCTAGTCTGGCTTTATTGTTGTTAAAGGAAGTTTTGTAACAAATTTTTTAAAAAGTTTTCAAAAACAAACATAAAAATCTTTTTTTTTCTTTATGATTTCTGCTTGGATATCAAGGCCTCTTTTTTTTTTTTTTTTTTTTTTTGACTGAGTCTTGCTCCGTCACCCAGGCTGGATGCAGTGGCACGATCTTGGCTCTCTGCAGCCTCCACCTCCCAGGTTCAAGTGATTTTCCTGCCTCAGCTTTCCAAGTAGCTGGGACTACAGGTGTGCACCACCACGCCTGGCTAATTTTTGTATTTTTAGTAGAGACAGGGTTTCACCATGTTGGCCAGGATGATCTTGATCTCTTGACCTCGTGATCTTCCTGCCTCTGCCTCCCACAGTGCTGGGATTACAGGCATGAGCCACGGTGTCTGGCCATTTTTTTTTTTTTTAAAATAATCTCATCTCTTTAAAAAGCAATTCCCCTTTTTATGTGATCTATCATTTGTGTCTGACCCTTTCCCAAAGAGTAACTTTCTTTTTTGTTTTTAACTTTTATTTTAGGTTCAGGGGTACATGTGCAGGTTTGCTGTATAGGTAAATTGTGTGTCATGGGGGTTTGGTGAACAGATATTTCATCACCCAGGTAATAAGCATAGTACCTGATAGGTAGTTTCATGATCCTCACCCTCCTCCCACCCTCCACCCTCAAGTAGGCCCTAGTGTCTATTTTTCCCTTCTTTGTGTCCATGTTTCCTTAATGTTTGTCTCCCACTTATAAGTGAGAACATTCAGTATTTGATTTTCTCTTCCTGCATTAGTTTGCCTAGGATAATGACCTCCAGCTGCATTCATGTTGCTGCAAAGGATATGATTTCATTCTTTTTTATGACCACATAGTGTTGCATGGTGTATACGTTGTACCTCAGTTTCTTTATCCAATCCACCATTGATGGGCATCTAAGTTGATTCCATATCTGTGCTATTGTGAATAGTGCTGCAATGAACATACAAGTACACATGTCTTTTTGGTAGAACAATTTACTTTCCTCTGTGTGCTTACCCAGTAATGGGATTGCTGAGTTCAATGGTAGTTCTATTTTAAGTTCTTTTTTTTTTTTTTTTTTTTTTTTTGACAGGGTGTTGGTGTCCCTCTGTTGCCCAGGCTGGAGTGCAGTGGCAAGACTGGCTCACTGCAACCTCCACCTCCTGGGATCAAGCGATCCTCCCATCTCATCCTCCAGGAGCTGGGACTAAAGGTACATGCCACCATGCCCCGCTACTTCTGTGAGAAATCTCCATACTGCTTTCCACAGTAGCTGAACTAATTTACATTCACACGAGCAGTGTATAAACATTCTTTATTCTCTGCAACCCCACAAGCATCTGTATTTTTTTGACTTTTTAATAGCCATTCTGACTGGTGTGAGATGGTATTTCATTGTGGTTTTGATTTGGATGTCTCCAGTGATTAGTGATGTTGAGCATTTTCATATGCTTGCTGGCTGCGCATATGTCTTCTTTAAAAACTATCTATTTGTGTCATTTGCCCACCTTTTAATGAGGTTGTTTTTTTGCTTGTTAATGTGTTTAAGTTCCTTATAGAATCTGGCTATTAGACCTTTGTCAAATGCATGGTTTGCAAATATTTTCTCCCATTCTGGTGGTTGTCTGTTTACTCTGTTGATAGTTTATTTTGCAGTTCAGAAACTCTTTAGTTTAATTAGGTCCCATATGCGAATTTTTGTTGCAATGTTGTTTGGGGTCTTCATGAAATCTCTGCCATGGCCTATGCCCAGAATGGTATTTCCAAGATTATCTTCCAGAGTCTCTATACATTTACATTTTACATTTAAAAAGCTTAAGTTTCTAAAGTGTTTTTCTCAAATGTATGATATTAAAAAGGGAGGCAGATAATAATAGTCACTCAATTCATGAGATATTCTGTAATTGGTAGTGTCTGTAAAGATCTTTATCTCTTCTTGATTTAAGTGGACATTTTAATGTGTTTTTAAGCCTCTAAACTTTGAGCATTTCTGACCAAATGAAATAACATACAAAATGAAACACATTATTATATTTGATTCAGAAAGAAACTTATAATTCACACTTTTGTTGATGAGGAGACCAGGACAGAAGAAGCAAGAGGTAGGGATAATCAAAATATCAGAATACTTAAGTTTGTCTCACAGATAACTGGCATCTAAATAATGTAAGAGTCTTCACCAAACTTAGGAAATATTTCCAAATGTTCCAAAAGAGTAAGATGATCTTACTTGCCTTCAGATAAAGAGAATAAATATGCCCCTGCCTAGTACAAGAACTAGTTCTGTTGCTTATATAATGCAATAACTTCAAATTCTCAAAATCTGAATTTCTTAGTGATTCTAATGATTTTCATAGTTATGTTTATCTTTCCAATCAAAAGAGCTCAATTTTAGAACAGTGGTAAATATTTTAGAGATTTGGAGTGTTGATTCATGTTTTCTTTCATTTTGTTCATTGCTACTTATCATTTATGTAGAGCAAATGTGTTCTTTGTCTTCGTTTTGGGAAGATATGTTAATCTTGAGTTCAGATTATAATAATGAGTAAATATTTCAAAACCGTCTTCTAAATAACCACTGTGACACTTTGTTTAAAATCATCTTTATGTATATCCACTTGGCTTCAGCTACACAGTCTATGTGATGGAAAAAACTTTTGGATCTTCCCTGTGCAGTACTGGATCTCAAAACCCCAGAATAGAGCCAGATAAATCACTTTCACTCCATAAATATTTTCTGAATAAATGATTTTATGAACAAATGAAAGAATTTGTAGTAATTGGCTCCTGGTTGGTTTGGTCAAACCATCAAATTAAGTCGTAACTCTAAAATAGATGTCTAATTTTCTATTGTCCTCTGAATTCTCAATCCTTGTGCTCGTCCTGATATTCTGGCTTTTGAATCCATCGCTTCAGAATTGGAGTCCTAAATTACCTTTTAAACATTTCATGGAAATTAAAGAATCTTATGCTTTCTACTTTCATAAACAATACTTGTTTATTACCTAAGGACATAGTAGGTAACAATCCATTCAGAATCGATGCATTGAGGAAAGTTTAATAAAGGCGCTATGTACAGAGGTGAGGATGGTGTTTAGGAAATCCATACAAAAGAGAACAGTGCAAGATGCTGGGGCTAGTAACAGAGAAGTGCCATTACCACCCTTCAGCCTGAAAGGCCAAGGGAGGGAGAAGTTACTGGACCTAGATTGCAGGCCACTTGGTTGGCCTCTTGTAGGAGGACACAGCCAAGTTGTGGTGGGTGACCTCAACTAAAAACTAGAAGATAAGTTTTAGTTATGGCTAAGAAGCATATTAATGCGATGCATACAGGTCAGCTTCCCAAAATCCACAGAGCAGGATGGAGAATGTAGTGGACCAGAAGGGGCTGGAGAAAGATACTCAGCATGGCTTGATACATAATGTTGGAATCCAGATGTAAGGACTCTGCCTAATGACCGATGATAAAGTATTTTATTGTGCTTCCTACGCTAAGCCAGCCGCTTACCTGAACAGATCTCTCTCTATTGCTCCCTTCAATTGTCTGTTCTAGCTCTATGTCATTCACTAATGGGAACTCCGTAATTTGCTACAGTCCTTAGCTCTAGCCTATCTCTTCAATCTGACTTTTTCTTGCAGGTCTGATTTTCCTTTGAATCAAAAAATTGTTACTGACTCTTGAGACAGTTCATGTGAGAAATATGATTAGAGCTCTTGGAAGTGAATAAATAAAATTGAAAACACTGCTTTTCTATAGGAAACATCAGCTTTCATATTCAGTAATTTAATTTGAAAACCTCAAGCAGCTTCATCAGAATTTATCCTAAAATATTTCTAAAGATGACTTTGATTTGCTCACCCTCCTCCCTCCACCACATACACAAAATAGAAGGAAAGAATTTAATTTTAGCAAGTTGGATTCTATCTAACATATCAGATCTTGATTATTCATAAATTATTTTGAAAAGTGAATATAGTAGCCATTTGAATGGGCATGCTATTTTGAAGTAAATAAAAAAAAAAACTAAAACCACTGGATCTCATGGCTGGCCCCAACCAACCCCATGGAAAAAATGTAGCCAACTAGTCTGGACTGACATGACCCCAAGTAGCATTTGTTTACCTTGGAACAATATTCTGAAGTTATCTGAGAGTAACCCTGGAAAGACTTGACTTATAAACTCCACCTCATTAGGGTTGGAAGATACAATAACCTCTACTATAAGCACATATCAACTCTATTTTTGGTCCCTTAATCTTCTACTGCCTGAGTGTGCGCTTTTAAATTGAGAGAACAAGCCAGGCATAGTGGCACGTGCCTATAGTCTCAGCTACTTGGGAGGCTGAGGCAGGAGGATCACATGAGCCCAAGAGTTTGAGACCAGTCTGGGCAACATAGTGAGACAATGTCTCTAAAATTAAAATTAAATAAATGCGAGAGAACAATTTGTTTCCTTATGTGCAGGAAATCAAAGTGATATAGGCCAAGTCATTTAACTTCTAAATCAAATATCCCTTATCTGAAAAAAGTGATAATAGTGTCCACCTTATAGGGTAGGTATAAGGATTAGCTTGGGTGAAATGTGTGATGTTCACTGTATAAATTGGTAGGCACTTTGTGAAGGGGCATTTTGTTCCACTAACAATGGTTTCTATGGTTTTGCTTGAGATTAATAAGAATAGTTCTGTTTAAAGACTAATGTCAAAGTATCTGACCATCTAATAGAAATTTCAAGAAGCTCTATAACTGTAAGAGGCTCAGGAGGGTTTAAAGAGGGGGGAAACTCAGGCCTAGACTTAAGTTGCCTCTGTGGGCCCAAGAAGCAGAGCTCCCTGGTCAAGTCTCCAAAGTGGAAGTTTCCTTTAATGTAGGATTGAGAGCTGGGCAAACACTTCTCACTGGGGACTGCAGGTCTTGGGGATAAAGGACAGGGCATTGGTGGAAAAGAAGGGCTGGGAGAAGAGACCCTTTTTGCTGTGTCCCCAAGCCGGCCTTGCCCTCAAATTCTGCAGGCCCCGAGCTCTCTCAGACACCTGTTATATTTATGGACCAGACAATGGGGGAGCATCAAGCACAGCCTGTCTGGGTGTAGCTTCTTCAGCTATCTGGCTGCACCATAGAAACTGGGCATTTCAGGAGGCATCACTTGGGTCACCCTGAAAATCCCCTGGGGGGTTGCAATCCTGGAAAATATTTCAACTAGCTGCTTGAGCTGGATGTACAAAGAAATTAGCAATAAAATAATGCTGTAATGTTGTATGATACTTCAACTGTACAATAATATTGTCACTTATCATAAATGTACCATGGTTTTATTAACAATAAAACCATAAATAGAAATAACAATGAAAAGAAATCTATTAATGAGGTATTAATATAGGAATATATACTGTACATATATATTGCATTATATAAGTATATTATATATTATATATGTAAATATACATTACATATACATATATATTATACATATATAGATATATACATATTCCCCAGAGGTTTAGACCGAGGAAACCAGGTCAAGCTGCTTCTCAGGTGCTTGCTGTATAATTAACCACTTTTAGATTTGAGTCTTGGCTATTCCACATGCATCTGTGACCTTGGGCAATTACTTGATCTCAGAGAGCTTCCAGTTCCTCATCTATAAAATAAGTACAAAAATTTCTCATATGATTAACACCAGATCTAAAAAAATACCTGGAATGTAAAATGAGCTAGAACAGTGTAAGATATGAATAACCTTATTACTGTAATTTACGTGACTATTTAAGCAAAACGCTAAAATGATTTGAGCAATGTCTCAAAAGAAAAGAATAATTATATTCTATCTGGAGTGTTTCATAGTTAATTCCCTTTATTGAGGAAATGGTCTGGAGTTTCCAGAAGTCTCACTTATTTCAGAAAAGCACCGGCTGGGTTTACAGGACACTTAGGACTCTGCAAAGTGAAGGCTAAAAGCTCTGAAATCTTTGGTCTCTATTTCAGTTTTCCATGACAGTAAGTGTTACACATATACAACTTTGAGTACTCCTCTTTGTCAGGCACTCTGCTAGGAGCTTTTCAAACTCTAATTACTTCTAATCCTCAAATTAGTGCTTGTATAAATATATATATAATTTATAGCAATACTATGTATATATAGATATTGACTGTCTTTACATATGAAGAAATTAAATAACTTTCTCAAATTTAGATATCTAGAAAGTAAGGAAAAAATGTTAGTGAGAGAAGAGTGATCATGTATAAAGCACTGTCTTAGGTGAACAAATGTAGATGTGGTCTTTGAATTTTCAAAGCGTATATTCTATAGGTGGAGACAAAAATTTAGTCAAATGATCTCTCATGCATAAATAAAATTTCAGCTATGAAAATTGCTATGGGGGCTATAGTAGGGGATTTGATGTAGTTAGAACACTCAGGGAGGTATACCAGAAAGTCTCATCCTGGATCTGAGATGCAAAGGGTACTTAGGAGCTATCCAGGTAATGATGGGTGAGGAGAGCTTTCCAGGCAAAGTATGATTAAGTGCATGTGCAAAGGTCCTTTAGCAGGGGGTGCATGATGAGGACAGGTGTGGCTTGTGCCAATGTGGCAAGCGCTATGCAATCACATGGGAGTGTGGTGAGAGGTGAGGATGGAGAGGAAGGAGGGGCTATGCCTTGAAGTGCTCCTAGGCCAGATAAAGGATTCTGGACTTTGGCAAAGGAGGGAATCACCCACAGATCTGAAGCAGATTTGCCTTCTGAAAAGACTGCTCTGGTTTCAGTATAGAAGACATATGGGATGGGGTCAGAGCTGATGTGGTAAAATCAGTTAGGCTACCTGTGCTGTGTAGAGGTATTAGTGGAAATGGGAGAAGTTCATAGATTTAACAGATTTGATATTTATGAGGTAAAATTGGGAGGACTGGAGGTATAATTAGAGGTGAAAGTCAAAGGTAGTGCTTTGGTTTCCATTTTGTGCAACTGAGTAGAAGATGGGTTAGGAAATAGCAGAATGGGGCCACTTTTGAGGGTGAAATCAGGAAGGTAGCCTTGAACATGTTGAGGTTGAGAAAGGTGTGAGAAATCCATGAGGGGTGCTCAGGTGGGTAGACAATAGTCTATACAGTGCTGGTGTTCAATGGAGAAGCCTGGAATGGAGGTAAGATTTATGTTCTGTCACATTTAAGATGATAATAAAAGCTGAGGTTATAGATAAGATCAGATCAGAATAGAATAATGAAATGAGACAGAGGCCAGCGTGAAGTGTCAAGGAAATTGAACTGCTGATTTCCAGGGAGGCTGAAGCAAAGTCTTTATGACCATTACAGTTTATAGAGAGCATCTGCTCTTGAAAGTGGGGATAAATGATAAATAAGGTTGTAACCAACCTCAAGACTCAAAGAATCTAAGTTTATATCATAAACTTGAGTGCACGAATACTTCTGAATGAATTCTTCCTGGGGTTGGAATTGCTACCACCTCATTGACAAGAACATAGTCAGCTCCAAGCCAAGTCACCATGGTGACCTGTGTACACTTGAGAACATTTGATATGAGTTTTTGTGGGTGTTGACTTTCTTCTTGTTTGGAGAGAGGAAAACCATATTGGATAGATGTCTTAAAATCAATTCTTTGTGGAAATTATACAAAAACAGGAATGCTTCCTGACACATCTAGTCCACTAAGTACCGATCTAGAAACCAGGCAAACCTGGAGTCCATCTAGCCAACACTTTAGGAATGCCAGAAATGTAGAACAGTTGGTAGAAAGAGTACTCCTGAGCAATTTTCATCTGGTAGATAGTGAAAGCAAAATGAAAAGTCTTTAAGGGTAGAGCCAGAGCTCCCCGTAATTTGCACTGAAATTAGTACTTAATCAAGTGAGGAACTTGCACTAATTGACATTCTCTTAAAGAGTAGTCAGGAGTATAGAGTCTGGTTTCCAAGATACTCACAGAGATATTCTAAACAGGATGAATCATTTGATAAGGGGAGTTACAGTGGTTTTTTGTTTGTTTGTCTTTTTTTTACTTTTTGTGGAGAACAGGGTCTCACCATGTTGCCCAGGCAGGTCTCCATCTCCTGGGTTCAAGCTATCTTCTCGCCTCTGCCTCCCTAAGTGGTGGGATTACAGGCGTGAGCCACAATGTCTGGTCATGATGAATCATTGTCTTTTTTAAAAAAGCAAAATATTTTATTGTTGTATTTGTTGTATTTTCTGACTGGCGTAAGGATTCATTTAGGGATATAGTTTGGCAAAAACACATCCAAGGACACAGCATGTAAATATTATTCTTCAACTCTTTCTGAGACTTGGCATCACTGCTTCCTCAGCACTGAATTTGGAAGTTGAAATGTCTTTGTATATATGCATCATCAACACTTGAGCCAATACTCCTTTGGTATGCTGAATATTTTCCATTGGTACATACCTCATTCCCTGCATTTGCAAGTCATTTTCCATTAAATTCCTAGTACTGTTTCTTTAAACATGTTCTTTCTCTTTTATAAATAAAGCATATAATATGTATATAATTATACACACTTGTATAAATACATGAACTTGATAGTAAAACTAACTATATGTATATAGTTATATTTAATCTCCAATCCAATTTATATATAAATTTGGATTATCTTTAAAGATCCTGTCAAAAATTATCCGTATGCCGTTTGTAGAATATAAAACATACCTTTTTTAAAGAATACTAACATTCTTCAATTTTTCTAGTATGTAAATTTTCAATCTTAAATAACCTACGTGATTTGGAATTCACATACATTTAATAGTTGTCTTTTATTACAGAATTTTTTAAGACTAGGATTCTATACTACGTGTGTATTTCTCTCAAGTGAATGCTATATATCTTACTCAAAAAAGTAAAGCAGTGGAAACAAATAAGAAAGATAACAGGTTCCTTTGTCATTCAAATTTTTAGAAATCATTATAGCTAAGGTAACAGTATAATCCTAAGTTGTCATTTACATAAAGTATTTCACCTGTACATGGCCAAGAAATACTGTTCATTAAAATTTGCTTCCAAATAGGTATGCATACATGAAACAAACTTTAGATCCCATTTTCATCATATCTGAAATTTTAATAATTTTATTTTCATTCATTTCTCCCAAGTTTGTGGTAGTTTAGAGTTCCTCATACACTCTGTACCCAACAGGGGCTTTGATAGACTTTAATTTCTTGATTTAGGACTAATAACTAATGATGACTCATTCCCAGCTGCTGATTGTGCATGCCAAGATCTGCATTAAAACAGCACAGTCTAGATTACTTCACAGGGTGGCCATGGGACAGTGTCCACCACTTTGTGAACAAACTTTTAGAGCCCATGAGACCACAGCGGCAATTGCTGCATATTGTTCAGAAATAATTACAAATGGCAGTCATTAAGTCCATAGAATTGCTTTTTTATTGTATGTTATATTTTTGCACTTTGCCCATATTTTTGTTTCTTGTTTTCTGTTTGTTTGTTTTTTGCTATTTAGTGTATGTGTCATTATTAGCAGTTTTCTTATACAGCCATGTACCACTTAATGTTTGGTCAAGGACAAACTGCATCTAAGATGGTGTCCACATATGAGTGGTCCATTCCATAAGATTATAATACTGTAATTTTACTGTACTTTTTGTATGTTTTTATGTATTTAGATACACAAATACCACTGTTTTGCAACTACCTATAGTATTCAGTACAGTTACTTGCTGTACAGGTTTGTAGTCCAGGCTACAATATACAATAGGCTATACCATATAGCTTAGGTGTGTAGTAGGCTGTGATGGTTAATACTGCATGTCAACTTGACTGGATTGAAGAATTCAAAGTATTAATTCTGGGCATGTCTGTGAGGGTGTTGCCATAAGAGATTAACATTTGAGTCAGTGGTCTGGGAAAGGCAGATCCACCCTTAATCTGGTGAGTACAATCTAATCAGCTGCCAGTGAATATAAAGCAGGCAGAAGAATGTGAAAAAGTGAGATGGCCCTAGCTTCCCAGTCTACATCTTTCTGCCCTGCCAGATGCTTCCTGCCCTCAAACATGGGACTCCAAGTTCTTCAGTTTGGGACTTGGACTGGCTCTCCTTGCTCCTCAGCTTGCAGACAGCTTACTGTGAGACCTTATAATCATGTAAGTTAAGACTTAATAAACTCCCATTTATACATATATATATAAATACCCATATATATCTTTATGTATATGTATGTATGTATCTGTCTATCATCTATCTATCTATCTATCTATCTATCTATCTATCTATCTATCTATCTATCATCTATCTATCTAGTTCTGTCCCTGTAAGAGAACACTGACTAATACGTAGGCTATACCATATAGATTTGTGTATGTATACCCTAGGATGCTCACACAACAACAAAATTGCCTAAAGAAACATTTCTCAGTACGCATCCCTGTTGTTAAAATATGCATGACTGTATTTCTTTAAAAATTGGTTTTGCTTTCTGAAGTAGCAGTGTCAACTACAACACAAATTAAAAGCAATCCTCAGAAAAATAGCAATTTTTGTGTTTGCCTCTCAAAACACTTATAAAAATTACCTTTAAAACATTTTAAAAGATAAAAAAACTAAAAAGAGATGAAGTAAGTAGACATAAGAAAAAAACATAATAAATGGACATAAGAAAACATTACAAAAATTTATTTTTCCAAAATAATAAATAATAATCATGGTTTAATAAAAGAAATTCTGTTAAACTTTTATTATTCATTTGAGGGAGTTGAGGGATAATTTATTTTCTTTTCTCACTGGGACTTCATATTTTATCATTCCTGTTTCATTCTAAATTTTATTCCTTATGGATTTTTTTTCTGCTTAAATACAAACTTGTTCAGGTTATATTTTCCATGCAGGTTAAGTTATTCAGTAGGACTGAGAAAAAAGGAAATTATATTGTTCAACCACTTAATATTTGATGTTTAAATTACTTTGATTTACTTCTTTATTAATAATTTTTAAAAGTGATATAACAAGAAAATAAAAATAATCAGATCATTAATCTTACTTTTCCTGCAAGATGGAAGATGCATATATGGCTTTCCTGTTTATTAACTCAGGACACAAGACATTTTGACCATTTGATCATCTGTTGCATATTAACAGTAAGCTTCATTTCTAAATTTCTATACATTCTGTAAGTACAAAGAGCTATATGGCTAAAGGAAAGTCTGAGAGGGATTTTTGGAAGAAATGTGCAGAGAAGGTATCACTGTTTCCTCTCCTCAGCACTCTAGATAGTTATGCTGACATTTAAAGCACCATCTTATATAGTAGCGTAGTGCTTGAGGACACCCATTGTGAAGATATGAATTTGTAGATATGTTTTGTATGTGTTATGACATATTTTTCTGATATAAACATGTTTTCTCACCATGACCCCATGTAATCACTGGTATGTGATGAAGAGATGGCCTGCAGACAACTGGAAGGCTGTTGGTGGCAGACAGAGAGCTAAAACTCACTCATATGATTCTAACAGATTTAGAAAATTGTGCAGGGAACTGACCATCGAGCAAAGAGGAGCAAATAGAATTTTTTCTTCAACATCACTCAGCTGAACTCTAGAGTTCAATGGCCTCTAGTAATATTCCAAATGCTTTTGGAAGTAGTAGAAAAGTTATGCCTCTGGGCACTGTCGAGAGGATGAGACCTGTGTGTGTTTGTATGCATGTATGTGTGTGTATTTGTATGGGCATATGTGTGTTTCTGTACCTGAGTATGTATGGTTGTGTATGTTTCTTTGTGTGTGTATGTGTGTGTTAAGGAGGGAGAGGTTGATGGATTACTTCTTAAATGCAAATATTTTTTACTTGCTGGTAATTCTAAACAACATTATAGCAGAATGATTCTTTCTTAATACTCATATGAAAGGAAAAAGAATGTGTTTAAATGCAGTCTCTGGAAAAATACATGATGTAGGTGATGATAGAAAAATATATGCTTAAAATATATATTTTAGTGGAGATATCGCAGACAGAAGTCAAGCATCTATTGTATTTGTCTTTAAACTTTGATATGTGCTATGGCTTGAGTATGGTTTGTCTCCACCAAAACTCATATTGAGACTTGGTCCCAAGTGTAACAGTGTTGAGAGGTGGTGGGACCTTTAAGAGATATTTGTGTCATCAGGGGTGCCCCTTTCTGAGGGAATTAATGCCCTTTTGCTAGAGAGAGTGCATTCTTGCAGGTCTAGGTTAGTTAACACAAAAGTAGGTCATTATAAAGTGAGATTGTCCCTTGTATTTTGCCTCTTTTGCACAGGCTTCCACCATGTAATTGCATCCACCATGTTAGAGTGCAGCATGAGGCCCTAACCAGGTGCGGCAGCCCTATTTTGAACTTTCCAGCCTCCAGAACTATGAGCCAAATAAACCTCTTTTCCTTATAATTTGCCCAGTCTCAAGTATTCTGTTATATCAACAGAAAACAAATTAAGACATTATTCTAATGGTACTTCAAGTAAATTTATCATTATGGTTAGTTTTAATCCCTGGTATAAGAGCGTGGCACTAAAAGCTTCCCAAGAGAGAAAATATTGGAAACATGTTATGAGGTGGAAAGTTCTTCCTTAATGATGGCAAGATGTTTTTGCTGTTTCATTATTTGCAATCATCTAGTCAGGAATAGCATTTGGCATTTCATCGATATACAATTCAATTCAGTTCTCAAAAATGAAATGAGAACACTTCACTGGAACAATATAAAACTAATAGGAATTGATAGAAAACTCAAATATTTTTCTTTTTCTAGAAATGACTTTGGTATAGACGAAGACATCAATTCACAGTGTGAATTGTCATAGGTAAAATTTAGAAAGTAAATAGACATAGAATTATGCCTTAAAATTTGGAGAGAACTCAAATTAATTAAAAAATGACTACAACTGCATGACTTGGTCTCTAAAAGCTGTAATAGTAATCCTTTAAATGTTCAGTATTTACACTTTTTATATTAAAATGTAAACATCTCCTGGAATTGCACGTCCAGTGGCAACTAATATTATAAGTGTATTAGCTAACTACAGATTTGTGTTAATGGATCAATGCAAATGTTCTCGGAAATGTGCGTAGTCGAGAGGCAAACAAGGAAAGGAAGAGGACTGCTATTGAGAAAATATAGGCCACTTAGAAAAAAAAACTACCCACTTAAAATTTCATGGGGAAACTTCTAATATTATGCTATACCTCATTAAACATTTCTGGAAGTTAATGTATGGGATGTTGTATTGGACCGAAATTGAAAAGAGTAGTTTATTAAAATATGGTGCTTATACAAAGTTTACCTTGGTTGTCAGAATGAAAAGCACTCTGAAGGTCATCCTTTTCTCCCAGTATGATTATTTTTTATTCCACTAAAATCAGTTAATTTGGAAGAGAGTGAAACTGTATGAGAAAGGGTTGGTTGCAACCTCATCAAGTAATCAGACACTAGATCAACACAGCTGTTGGAACAGTACCAGCTGGGAAGATTCTAGTCAGAAGAGGCATGTCAGGGGCACAGGCGAATAAAGCATTGTTGTCACATGGAGTGATACCAGAAAAAATTATTAATTTATTCCTGTGAGAGATATTTGAAATCTGCCCTGTTCTTAAAGATCATAAAACAGTTTAATCTTAATATGGGATTTTGGCTGTTCTTAAATCTCTTCCTTCTAATGCAAATGCTATTTTCTTTGAAAATTGGGCATATAAAATCAACTTTGTTATTCAGAAGCAACATATACCATATTGCGTATTAAGAGTTTGTGTATAATATATTTATTTGCATACAGAAATATGTATTTCTATTGTACATTTTATTATTTTATTTATAGAATATATATATATTTAGCACATAGCATATTCCAGGAAGATACATTAAATATGCACACATTTCATGCTACAGCGTGCACCCTTTAAGAGAAGCATTTTTAAGAGGCATGGTATTGAATATACATGCTGAGAATACACTTTGCACAATTTCATCCAGCTTTGGGTGCTTTCCTAAACTATTTGCAACACCGGTACTATGGTTGTTGAAAGGGATATTATCAAACTGGGGCGAGGAGGAAACTGTCAATGAACTAAGTAGGAGAAAATAAAAACAGACTGCATTGCTGAGTAATTGTTGCCATCATTTTGAATTCCCATCTCTCCCAATGTCAGATCTTCAGGATCAAAAAAGCAAATGAACAAAGAGCAGGAGTATGTTGGACATCCAGCTTGTACATTTCAAATCAGAAAGCTTACCCGTTGTGGCTTCTCATATTGATTACTCTGCCCTAATACTTGGGAGCTGGCGTTAAATTAATGATGAACTGGTAAAAGGAAAATCATTTCTTGTTTCGAAGAAATGAACAGACTTTTTCCATATTCTTAATCTCCTCTTCTTATAATATCACTCTGGGATAGCTACATTATTGCTATGAGGAGAGAAAAAACAAAGACCTTACAGATACACCTTTCCAGTAAATGCAAAGAAGATAAATGATATTGTTTCTGAAAGAGGCTCTTAATATTTTTTGAAAGGAAAAATTGCAGCTCCAGTAGAAACTGATCATATCAACTGCAAATATTTTGATGGCCAACTACTGCAACCTCAATTGACTAGATCTGTGGCAATCATAATTGAACATTAAGATGCTGGAAAAAAGATGTGCGATATGCATAGTCTGGTGATTTTTGATATGTAGATGTGGCCTGAGTTCCCAATCTGTGACTGACACATACACCAGACTCAGGAGAAAAGTTTTTCTGATACATGGTTGGTGAGTATTACCTTTTTCTAACAGGTGAGGAATTTGCATTGATATTCTAAAAATAATGCAGGGTTATTTTCCCACTAATAAGAGGCAAGCTTTAGAAATCCCTTAAAGTAGACAAGAATTTCTCAATCTTGGAACTATTGACATTTTGAGCCAAATAATATTTGTTTAAAGGGGTTGGGGGAAAATGTCCTGAGCATTATAGGCTATTTAGCAGCATTCCCAGCCTCTATGCACTAGATACCAATAGCATTCCTCCCAGTGTGGCAACCAAAAATGTCTTTACACATTGCTAAGTGTCCCCTTTCGGGGAGAGGGGAATTGTCTCTGTTTGAGAGCCACTGAAATAGACAAATCCAGCAGTGGTTAATAAAAATCCTTGAATATAATCTCCATATCTCTCCAATCATCTATCATTTTCAGTATTCCTTCCATTTTTCTTATCTGTTTGACGTAGTTTCCATGGTGTCAGCCTATCTTCAATTTCTTTCTTTAAAGTGACAGTTTCTCTTTCAATGAGGTTGCAGTGGCTGTGGCAAGGATCAATAACAGAGGGAGGAAAAGGAAGGATACAATGGCAGCAGAGACTAAAAGCTTGATTCATGGTGCGTTGGATTATTAGAGCAAACAAAAAAAGACCCTGAATCCTGAATCCTGGATGCCAAAGGGTTCTTCCCAACTGAAGCCAAATCTACATAATAATAATACAATACATTAAAAAGGGAAATACTTGGCTAGTCAATTCTCTGGTTTTCAGAAACTCGAGGAGCCCACTGGCTTGACGTTATTTCCGTTCAACTGATTCCTTCATTTGAAGAAACAATATGAAAATAAATATGAATTTAAAATGTAAAAGTGCATGTTGAAGTAACTGTAGGTAAGGGAATCTCTATAAATGAATGCTTTAAATATGGAAGATTACTTTGGGGGGGTAATGACTGAAGTTATTTAAACAGGAAATTGTTTTTACGAAGGATAAGTCAAATATAAATACTGCTGGCAATTTGCTTCTTACTAACTTATAAGTTTTTTGGTTTTTTTTTTCCCTCATGCTTTTTTTCCTCCTTAACTCTCCAAAATGTTGAGGTGGCATCTATGAGGCTAATCATACAAAATAATT
Organism: Homo sapiens; assembly: GCF_000001405.40. NCBI lineage: Eukaryota > Metazoa > Chordata > Mammalia > Primates > Hominidae > Homo > Homo sapiens. The sequence continues at coordinate 137,018,126 of NC_000007.14, read as the reverse complement.
CTTTTAAGTGCTGGGGTCTAATATTGATAAATTTACCATGTAACTAACATTATTATTACTGAACAAGATATCATAAATCTAAAATCCAAAATATGAAATTTGCAAATGCGTTTATAATTTGATTTCCATTGATTGAGCCATTTTTAGAAAATCTCATTGGAAAACTACAGCAAATACTGTAAGAAAAATATAAAGGATAAAAATAACTAGTTGTATGTGAATCCGTATAATCCTAATCCTATATTTATTTAGACGACCAAATAAAAAATCTCTACGTGGCAAGATTCTATATAATGCCACCACTTAGATAATAGTTCCTGACATGATTATTATGGTCTAGAATTAGATGGTGAGATGTGGCATGGCAACAGCCACCTACCTCCTTCTGTCAGATTCTGTAAGCTCGTTTGGCCTCTATTTAGTTAGCCACTACATTTCTGTCACAAAGATTACTATAATTCTATTGATAAGAGAATTTTGAAGTTAAATAATGTTAGGGAGAATTGACAATTTGAGGAATATGGAATATGTAATTGTTTCAGTAATAGTTTTTAAAATATCGTTTTTTCCCCTTTCATGGGGTCATAGGATAATTGCAGACATCCTCACTTGGTTATAATTTGAATATCATCCTTTAGCAGGCATTGGATAGAAGGTTCTATTCTCTAGGGACTGGCCCAGAAATCACTGGTGCTATGTGAGTATGTTAATCCTGTTTAGGATTCCAAATAAATAAAACAGCATTCCTTTCTGCTGAGAAAGTCAGGAGTTCATTTTCTATAAGTTAACATTTCATACATGGGTCAGGCAAATTCAGGTTGAAATAGAAAGTCCTAAACTTCTATTTTTTAATCTTAAAATTCACCTGACTTTAATAAACTTGGTCCAACTAGATAGTCCATTATTTAATTTGATGAAACCTCAACTTTACAGTGACGATGGTTTCTTAAACAGGTTTATGTTTTAGGTAGGATATTCTGTTGATATAAAAGGCTATTTAGGAGAAAATCAGATTGGTTTAAACATTTCGCATATAGGATTATAAGTGCACTAAATCCTTATAGACCTTGATATCCCCAACGAATGCAAAGGACACAGTGAGGAGGGGTGAAACGTCCATTTTCATGGCTGTCTCTGGCTAGCTTTAGTGAAAGTCCTGTAGGTTTTCCCTATAAACAATATAGAACAGGGATGTACAAAATAGTGGCATAACAAGAAGAAAAATGGTGTGACCTAGTTGGGGTTTCTGTTTGTTTGCTTTCTCTTCATGGTGGGAAAAAGAAAGGCAAAAAATAAGCATTTATTACATTCCAATCCTCTAAATAGGACCGTAACAAAAGAATAAAATATGCTTAACACTCCGGAGACAATTTCTGCATCCTTCTTTGATTTTCTTTTTTTATGTCCCCATTGTATAGTGCCTATTTCTTTATGTTTAAGTCTCCATGTTTACCTTGTAACTGTGGCATTTCCTTCTCTTAAGGACACATGAGAACAACAACAACAAAAGTAACAAAAAAGGAACAAGGTTATTCCTCTTGTGCAGAGACTGATAAAATTGTAGAATCAGAAGCCCTTCTTCAAGAGATTATGAGAAACAGTGTATAGTTTCTTAAATCCACGATCCCAACATGTTTCTTTCATTGTCTCATTGCTCCTAATACTGACAGTTTATAAGGTGCAATTTTTGCAAACTGGAGCCTAGGCGTGATAAGTGTGTCACTGCTGGGCTCCTGAATTGCACGTTTTGTAATCAGACTATAAAGTGCAATGGCAGAGATTTTAAAACTAGGAGCTCGTTTATCCCTTTTATTCTTCTCAAGCTCCCCTTGCCCACCTTCTATCTTTTTCAAAGATATTTTACCTTGTAGCGCCTATGTTCTTATAATGACACATGAGAAGGTGTTTAAAGGTCTTCTTGAAGGTGGCATTGCAAAGTGCATAGCAGGCAGGGTTGATAGTGCTGTTGATGTAACAAAGCCAGTAACCAATTGTCCACACAGTGTTGGGGATGCAAGGTGCACAAAAGGTGTTAATGAGCACCATGACATTGTATGGGGCCCAAGTGATGATGAAAGCCAACAGAATAGCCAAGATTGTCCTGGTGACTTTCTTTTCCCGGGAAGGAGGAGGCTTCTTTTTTGCAGGCTGCTTAGTCATCTTCACAATCTTGCGGGCTACAATATTCTGCTTTTCATCTCCATTCTGACCTGAAGACCCCACTACCTCCACGGTGGTATTAGTTGGGGTACATGAGTCACTTTTTGGGGTCTTGGTGCCAATTCTGATGCATGTTTGCTTAGAGTTCTCATCTTTGGAATGGCCCAGGGAAGTGGAAACTGTGTTTTCATCCTGGGTTATTTCATCATCTCTCATATTAGAGGCAACAGCACTGACTGAGGTGGAGTCATTGGAGCTCTCCTTCTCCTCTCCCTGAACACAGTTTTCAGTCACAGGATCCCTGGGGGCTTTGCCATTCTGGATTTTGTTGTGCTCCAGGCCATCGTCACTGCTGGGCATGTTGTTATTGTTTGGCTTCACTATCCTTCCTTGTACCAGACTTGGAGAAACGGGGTCTTGGTTGGCAACAGGCTCCTTCTTGTCCTTCTTTATCCTGCTCTTGCTGGCTCGGGATATGTGCCAATATAGCACAGTCATGATGATCACTGGCAAATAGAAGGCTGCAATAGCCGTACCAAAGGTGACAGCAGCATTGGAAAAAAACTGAATGTAGCACTCCCCATCCTCCACAGTTCTCACCCCTACAATGAACTGCCAGAAGAGAATGGCTGGAGCCCAGAGGATGAAAGAGAGGACCCAGGCAGCTGCAATCATCATACCTGCCATTTTTGTGGTCCGCTTGACTGGGTAGGTCAGAGGTTTTGTGACACAGAAGTACCTGTCAAAGCTGATGATGAGCAGATTCATAACTGAGGCATTGCTGACCACATAGTCCAGGGCTAGCCAAAGGTCACACACCACAGGTCCCAAAGGCCAGTAACCAATCACAGTGTAGAGGGTGTACAAGTTCATGGAGAAAACACCTATGATAAGGTCAGCACAGGCCAAGCTGAATAAAAAGTAATTGTTGACGGTCTGGAGGTGGCGGTTGACTTTAATGGAAACCATGACTAGGATGTTCCCGATAATGGTCACCAAACTGAGGGATCCAGCCACCAGGACAATAAACACCACTTCAAATGTCTTATAAGGACTTGTAAGAGCCAGGCTATTGTTAGAGGAGTTTGTTGAGTTATTCATTTTGCGTTCTCTAATCAGTAGCCAAGTAGCAAATAAACATTTAAACCTGCAAGGAAATAGAATAAAATTAACAAACATAATATAAACATTGGTTTAAAATACATAATGTTGTTTCTCCTTTTAAACCACATTATTTTCTCCCAAATCTCCCTTCCCCTGCATGATTACTGTGTCTACCTGCCTCAATTCCCCATGTAAAAAGCAAGACCTTCAAATGGAGGATTCAAAAGGACCTTTCAGGCTGGCAATGAACTTGAAGTCCAGTAATGTTTTAAATATGTCCTTATCCAGATATGAGTATCTATCTACCTACCTATCTACCTATATATCTCATCAATCCATGAAACTTAGCATAATACTGATAAATTGAATTAAATAAACCAAAATTACAAACAACACTTTCTAAAACATCAAGGGATTCCTGGAATAGACATAAAAATTAGTAAATTAGTGAGAGGACACAATTATAGAAGAAAGCATAGAATGTATAATATTGAATGTGTGACTTTTATAGTTAACAGTGCCTTTCCTCATGGAAGCTCTAAGCCTTTTTCACAATAACACTGAGGATGGTGAAAATAAAGATAATATAATAATACTTAATAGCCAGTATACTCTCCCTAGATGAGAATTATTTTCCTCTTGCCTCTATTTTATTTCATACTTGTAATCAGTATTACATAATCAGCATTTCCAATATTCCATATCTTACACAAGAATATTTGCTTATTAAATGCATATTGAACTGAAAAAGCCAAAATTATGCATAAGACTTTCCAAAGCATAAAGAGATTTCTGGAATAGACATACAAATTAATACATCAATAAGAAGACAAAATTATGGGAGAAAATACCACTTTTCTGAATGTTTTGTTTTTCAAACCACTATCAAATCTATTATCTTACTATTCTTTCTGCCAAACTTTTTGTTTTGTAGAAGGAACTAAGGCTCAGAAAGATGAAATCCCAGTTTGTTCAGTCATTCATTCTTTCACTTTGTGCTCACATATCTATTGAGCAGCTTCTCTTAATTAGGTGTTCTGGACGTTCAATGATGATTAAAACAAGGTCTCTGCCTGGTGGCAGACATGGGTTGATGAAGAAGCAATTATTAAACCTGAATGCACTTCTTGTTTCCCTATCCTGTTGTGTGTAAGTAAACACATAATCATCATTTTTGAGATAATATCATTGAAGTCTGATGACAATTGAGTGATCTTTCATAATGGAAAATGTATATTGGGGATTTAGAAAAGAAAGTTAAGAATTCATCAAAGAGATATGACACATTTCTGGAGAAACAGCATCTGAAGCAGAAACTAGCCCAAGTTCCACCTCTTTTTGAAAAAATTGCTGTGAGCTGTCAGAAAATAAGCATTGCTGAGAAATTAAAATTTGGGAATATTGATTAGTTTGGATGCTATTAATTACAAAGAAATGGGCAGTGGTTTGCCCTTGAAATCCATGTAGAAAATAATTTGGTAAGCAACTTCATAACACAAATAACATTTAAAAAAATAATTTTTTCTGCTTTGGAAAGTCAATTGTTTTCCAGTATTTTATTTGACAAAACCCAAATAATGGGATTTGGCCTTAATATAATAAGACCCAAAATTCAGAAGCCAGAAAGGAAAATATATGTAACTGTTGCATATTCCTTTAAAATTTTTGCATAGAGCAAAAAAGTCAAAATAACAATTGAGAAACAATATTTGTAAATTGCACGATAGAAAATTATCCAATGTCTTTAATATAATAGAGTTTTGGCAAAAAAGGAAAGATGAAAGATGAATAATCTAAAACATTGATGTAGTAGTTCAATCAAAGAAAAATTAGACATTAATGACTTTTAAACATATGAAATGATACTCAACCCCACAGTTTAAAGATGCAAATCCAGACAGTGAAAAACAATTTTCCATCCGTAGTATTAATGGTAGTGTTGAATACTTTTGGTGGGACTAGCGGGATAATCACCACGAAGGATAATGTATCTATATCTATAGAACTTTAAATCTGTATCTATAAAAATGTATTAAGAAACACTTGTCTCAGGAATGCCACATTTAGGAATGTGTCTTTCAGATAGAGTCATAAAAATGTACAAAGAGGTCTACTCAAGTATGTTCACTCAGAAATGTTGTTATAGCAAAAAAATCCCGAGATATATTAAAACTATTCATTGACAAGGGATTGGTTAAATATATTATGGAATACTCTTACAATGGAATATTATGCGGCTAGTAAAACAGGTAGATATTTGTGTCCTGGCATTGCTGTGGAAAGTTATATAGTTAGAAGATGACATAATCATAGTGAGACATAGATTATTACAGAATATAATTTTATTTAAGCAAAAAGGTGATTATATGTAATATTACATATGTATGCCTGCAGCTCATTGGGAAATATTGAAGAGTTTAATCAGGGAAATGATGTTAATGGAATGCAACTTAGATCAGTTGAATTATTTTAATCGGATTTCCCTTTGACAATCCTTTTTTGCAATTAATCATACAATTGTATATTCATGGTAATTTATTTGAACAAAAACATTTTATTATCCCAGTTCTTATTCCAACAATTTCTTAATAGCTCAGCTAACTGTAAGATCAGAATTGTGACTTGCTTATAAGCAGCATTTTCTCTGTTTATTAGATAAATTCATGGACAGTTTGGAGTTGAGCTATATGTGTATCTGTTTCATGAAATGTTAATATTAATTCACTTAGTTTGAAAAATACAAAAAATGAATGTATTGACTCTGCATTTTAATTATTCATAATTTTGATAAAGCATAGGACTTATATTCTAGTTTTTAAAAGATTTTTGATAATTTCCTCTGGAGAATAATGAATAACACTGATGTTGAAAAGTAGGGATTCAAAATCAACTAGTTTGATGAGGATCTAAATTGCTAAGGTCCAAAATCCCCAAAATTACAATCCTGAAAGATTAAAATTCTGAATGTTGAAATCCTGAAAGCTGAATTCTGGAAAAGGGGTTGGCATTTCACTTGCATGCAGGATGGTCTCATCACATTGGCCTGCATCATGTTAGGTGGAACCATCACCTTGTTACTGCTTTTATTTGGAAATAACATATAGTTTGAGGAGATGTATATGAACACTAGGCTGACAAGTGGTGGACTTGTGAACTTAATTTTAGGTGTCAACTTGGCAGAATTAAGGAATACCTAGAAACCTGATAAAATATTAATTCGGATGTGTCTGTGAGGGTGTTTCCAGAGGCAATTCGTGTTTGAGTGTGAATGGACTAGATGGGGAATTTTGCCCTCAGTGTTGGAGTGCATCATCCAATTGGCCAGAGCCCAGTGAGAACAATTTCAGAAGGTGACTTGATCTGTCTTGGAAACTGTGATAGACTTTTCTTCTGCGGTCTTGGACATCAGAATTCCAGGCAGACCGGGCTTTGAACTCCAGGACTTACACCAGGAGCCCTAGGGTGCTGAAGCTTTCGGCCTCATTCTAAGAGTTACACCATCCACTTCCCTAGTTCTGAGGCCTTTGGACTTAGCCTGAGCCATGCATCCTGGGGTCTCAGGCTTGCAGATGGGACTTCTCAGCCACCATAAACCATAAACACTTGAGCCAATTTTCCTAATAAATCCATATATATATATATATATACACACACACACACACACACACGTACACATATATCCTATTGGTTCTGTCTCTCTGGAGATTCCTAATACAGATTTGGTATTAGAGAAGCTGAATATCATGCCTCAAATATGTATTATCTCACTTAACATTAACAACTACATAAAATTTATGGAACAATTTCTATCATTCCCTTAACGTGATAAAACTGAGGTTGCACAAGTGGTTAAAGCAACTTATTCTTGATCACAATCACAAAGCTAATGAGTAAATAATCTACAACTAAAACCAACATCCTTACCTTGCAGTTATACACACTCGCTCTGTTTCCCTTGCCCTTTGAAGAATTATACTCTATCCAGTAACGTGTGGAATTGTTAGGCAGCAGGACAGTGATGAACTACACTCAGAGGTTGCTAGTTTAAGACATTTGGTTTCCGGTAAACTGGAATTCTTACTCAGGTAGAACACAATAAATTTATGTAATGTTAACAAACTTAGTTGCTATTACAGTCTCTGAATTTTTAGAGTTATAATATTTGCCTGATTATACTAATATTGTATGTAAAAGTGGAAAACATTTTTCTTAGAAGCAATCGCAAGCAGTGGAAGGCTGTCATTTCTTTCTCTCAGCATGATGCACAGGCCATGTGGAATCGTTCCTCTTCCGCTGAAGAAAGCAGTTTCCTCCTGCAAACTGCATGCCAATTCTACTCTTTAAATTTCTGTAAAAGTTTTTAGATGTGTTGCGGCATCATAGGGTGGTGTTAAAGCAATAAAAGTTGATGAAATAACATAATCTCATGAGACTACACAATGAAGATGACCTTCAAGAACTCAGCATCTTAAGATGGCAAGTGTATAGCAATAGCCCATTTGGTATTTTACTGCCTAGTTTATGACTAAGGCCTGGAAGTACTATGGAAACTTATAAGACAATGTTTCTGCCCTCAGTTTCTTCACTACTTGCTTTCCCATACATGGCAGGGAAGACAGAACCACAGTTTAACATCTTCCTTGAAAAGGTGTGGGTGCTAATCTTTGCTCTTAATTATTAGCTGTGAGACTCTGAGCATGTCATTTAAATTTCGTGAACCTCAATTTTCTTTTTTCTCAAACAGGAATAATAATAACCCTCTTTTTCTTTCAGAGTTGTAGTAAGGATGAAAGTGAGATAATGTCTCTGAACTATGATCTATTAGTATTAAGTATTAAACAAATGCTGTTAATGTTAAAATTTGACAAGTGAGTATAGAATTATCACCTTTCTTAAGAGTGAACAGAAAATTATGTGTATGTGTATGTGTGTGTATCAGCTATCTTAAGAGTGGGAAGGTATGGGGCGCAGGGTTAGAGGTAACACTAAATTGTCATTATCAATGATATTAAATTATCGATAATATTAAATTATCAATACTACTACTGGTAATGATAATTAACATGTCTTGAGCATAATTACTCTCCAAAACAACCCTGGAAGTGTTAGGATGTTTATTATACTCCTTTTATAAATGTTGAACTAAATATCAAATAATTAAGCTACTTGAGATTCAAACCAAGGGCACCCAACTCCAGACTCTACTATGAATACTCAGTTTTTGGCAGAGGAACAGTGTCATGTAGCTGCTACTGCTCACTCACACATTTCTCCTTCTGACCTGATATGACTAAGTCCAACACCCCAACATTGAGTTGGGACCTTGGTTTAGACCACAGAGTGAAAATCATTGTGTCCAGGACAATACTGGGGCTTTGGGCAGGAGACATTCACAATAAGCTAGGGAGTCAGTAAGTAGGGTTCTGCACATGAAAATATGTGACATTTAAGATTCAAAAAATTGTCTTAAAATTAATCTTCATAAAACATATCACCATGTGAATTAATGAATAGATTCCCATGTAAGTATTCACATCAGTGGACAAAAAAAGTTCTAAATATTGACAATGACAGATTTTTCTGAATTGTTACAGAGAAAATTAATATAATTAAAAAATAAACTGATATACATTTAGATAAAAGCGGAGAATTATATAAAAAACAAATGGAATTTTCTTCACACACTGCTGAGGTCAGGCAGGATGCCTGATGTATGATGAATGCTTTTGTAGGTGAATTTCTAATGTAATAAGCTAATAATGAATTATCAATACATAAGTAATCTAAGTTTTGGGATTTTTGCGTGTTATTTTATTTAATTCTCACAATAGCCCTGAAAAGAATGACTATTATCTTTTCCAGTTGTACAGATGATAATGATAACAGACCCAGCAAGTGCTGTGATTCAAATTTAGGTCTCTCTGACTCCTGGACCATGTCATTTCCACAATATTACACAATGGCATAAAACCTGCCCCATTAAAAATGTTTTCTAGAAGAAATAGAAAAGTCAAGAAAAAACGAATCCATGGTTGATAACAGCTGAAATCCAGTGACAGAGAAGACATGTAATTGTATAAAAAAATTTGAGAACAAGAAGAAAGTTTGGAAATGAAGAGGAATTCACCTAATGTTTAATTTATACTTGTTTCTATTTCTTTAATTTTTGTTTTAAAAATGTAATCTTAGTATACATGCTTCCTACAGATTTTTTAATTCTGCTGCTATTTGAACACATTATCAAAAAATGGCAGAGTTCTTTGGCGTTTCTTGCCCACCTTTCAACCATTAAGATCTCAAAAGTAGCATATTCACTTAGCAAGTAACAGTGATAAGATAATGAGCCTTATCAATGTTGGCTCAAATGACCAAAACTGATAGAATAGTGATAAGGCCCATGTTAGCCTTCAAATTTTGTATATGAGGGCTAAACACCATAGAATGTCTTTAGAGAATTACAAGTTTACTACAACAATATTATGTTTAGATACATAGCTTTCAGTACAAATTATTACTAAAGAAAACATAAAAAATATAATGATCATGCAAATATGGCAGCAATTCTGGGAAATATCAGAGTATCATTGGAAGCAAGGGTTCACCTACTGAAGAGCCAGCGGTTGGTAGTAAAGGATACTTAAGTATTATCTCTTCCCCACCTTAAGAATGAGATGTGGTTATCATTGATGAGAAAGCAAATGAAGCTTATTCATTTTTAATTTCATATATTTGCAAATAAATATGTTGTATAATAATCCAATGAATGACATTCCAGCTATATTTTTTTTCTGACATAGGAGAGATGACCATTCAGGTATATAATCCATATGCTATTGTAGGTCTTTTAATATTCAGTTAATCCCACTAATTTATAAACTGCATTAGTGAATGTGTTAAATAGGCTTTGAGATTATGTTATCAATAATCACTCCTTCCATTAATGATGCCAGAGAGAAAGACATGAAAAAGAAAAAGAGAGAATTGTGGAGAGACTTATTTAAGGATGTCTTGGGGAGCAAAGTCCCCTTTCTCTAAAGAAAGGTTCAATTGTACACAGTTTTGATATTGATGCAGATGGTGATAGCATAATTTGCTTACATTATAATGACCCTTACCAATCTTGAATGTCCTTAAATTTTGCTTACAGATGGAAGCGAGTCCTGGCCTGGGGCTCAGGAGACAGTCCAGCCCTGCTAGCTAGCAATATTGACATTCCACAGTCTGAGTGCTTTGACAACATCACACAAAATGAAGTAAATTTCCACTTTTTGTTTTTTCTTTTAATCTGGTTTTCCTTTGAGCCATGCAACACATTATGAGTCATTGTACATATTTAGAGCTTTTTTATGAGCTCCTGAATCTCACTACAACAGCAGTTGTGGTGGGGGTGGTGGCCGCAAGGAGTAGTGGGGGCCCTGCTAAGAAATCATGGCTCTCTAGCTTTCTTTATTTCAAAATATCTTACTGAATTACTCTTCTGAGGAGATCCACACATGCCCTCAAGGGCTGTGGGGGATAGAAGTGAAGTAGGAATGGGTGACCAACAAAACAGAACACATTCTTGTCAACAAGGAATTTGCAGTCTAGGGGAGATACAAATTGCTGGTGAAATTTCCAATTTTCTAAAACAACAATGGCCCAATATCATGCTAAGCAACAAGGCTGAGAAACCATGGAGCAAGGCTGGTCAGATGTGGTGAAATAAATACAGAAAGCTCCCTGGAAACCTTTCCTACATCTGTATCTCTCTTTCCCTTTCTCTTTTTCTCCTTTCGCATACCACTGGCTTGTATCTGACATTTTTGGTTTTTCTTTGATTGATTTTTTACTATTCTCAAGATTCTGCGTTATATCTTCTTCTAAAGAAAGTACAAAATACTGCTGGTGGGTTTCTGCTTCAGTACATTGAGCCTGACAACCTGTAGGTTCAAAAGCACACAGAAAAAGACAGCCATGTCCTCACCTACACTGAGTTTTTATATTTCATCTGAAAAGATGTGTTGAAAGTATTCTAGAGGGATGTATAAGTTGTCCATCTTTAGGAAATTACAGCATACGGCGGCAGATTTTACCAGATATGCATTATGTACAACGTTTTGGGGGAAAAAAAAGGCCACACCAAACACATACTGCATTTTATCAAGCTGTACCCTTAAGGTTTGTGTGCAGTGCTAGATGTGAGTTGCACTTTTGTGAAAAAGAAAAAAAAATGTAAAAGAAAATTATAGAACAGAATGAAAGTAGCTGATAAAGCAAACTGATCCTCACATCAGTACAAATAGAAGAGAATTCATGACTTTTTCCAATGTAAAAAAGATCAGGATTATGCAAGGACTTATTACAGTGTAAACATGCTTGCCATTTTGGCTGCCTGTCAAACGTAATACTATTCTTAGTGATGCTGGGACAAACTTCCACTCCATGTCAGCCAAGCTATCTTTTCTCCTCTTCAAAACACATCCTAAACACCACTTACCCAAAAACAGTGTCATAAGGGGGAAATGGGTGTAAAAGCAACTTAACTGGGACCTTTGTCCTTGTCACTACATCCATGGCACCTTTTCATTAATTCGTTCACACAATATACAACTCCTGCCAAAAAGGAAGAGGCCTGGACAATTCTGAATAGAATGAAACCTGAAAATACCCAACCCTTAGACTTTTAAAAATGAAATTCCATCTGAGAGAGGACTTCTGCATCCACCTTTTTCTGTACCAAGGATTTGACAGAACTCAAATATTGATGATGAATGTAATCTAGTAAATGGTGCTGACTAAACAATGTGCTCTAAAGCAAACAGCAGCAAAAGTGGAGAAAGCCCTCTGTCTAAAGGTTGTTTTGTTCCCGCAAGGAAGAAGAGTGAAAGGAAAATGGAAGCAATTCTTGGAGAGCTACAGACTGTCTATGATTAGGCAGCTGTATTTGAATCAATCTGTCTCTCTTACCGTCTTGAGAAACTGGAAATTTGTATAGTCGGCTTTTAGAATTTTGTTTTGTTTTTTCCTAAAGTCGGCAGGCTGCTGGTTTAATAACTCTAAATTAGTTAATTCATTGCTTTGAATTAAAAATGTGAATCAAATTTGCAGAGAATTGAGGCTTTTTAGGACTATGATAGAAAATTCTAGAATAAAAGCAGTTGTTCTAGAGAAGCTGAGCAGCTCCAAACAAAATATCCTTTTAGGGATCCTTTTCAATGGTCTATGTGCCCATTGGAAGCTGAGACAGAGCACATGGCAATGTGGAGCTTTGGATAGTAGGTCAAGGACAACTTTAAAGGGAGGAACAAAAGTCAGTTTGGGAGAAGAGAGAAGATAAAGAGGAAGTTAGTACTTTTCCTCTGAAGAATAGACCAGGATGGTTGGGATAAGAATAAGTGAGATTAGAGGCTGTGAAAATATTAGGAGGTGCACATAGAAGTGAAATTTTTTTCAGAGTATATAGAAAACAAATATTCAGATAGCATATCTTATAATAGTTAAGTAGAGACAAGGACACTTAGTTATACTTAGGAATATATATTTATTTTAAGCATGTCTCTACTTAAGGCTGCATTGCTTATGGAGAGAAAGAGAAAGTTGCTCTTTTCATTAAAATGCCTATTTATATGAAAAGTAAAGCAAGTGGATTGTGTTTTGTAGACATGCTATTATTAGTCATCGCCTCTTAAAACACATGCACTGATAAGTATGAGCTTAATGGACACCATCACTCTTCTAGTAGCCATCCTAGAATGTAGGTATAGGGTACAGAGAAACCAGTTCACCCCCATATAGCTAAATCTTGGTTCTTCTAGCTTTTCAATGACAGAAATGACACAGGCCTCATATAATTAAGATTCATACCAGATTCAACGAAGCTGTAAAAATAAAATAGTAATGAAGTGTGGAGAGTAATGGGAAGCAACTATTTTTATTGTTTCCAGTCGAAAGACAAAATGATTGTTTCCCCAGAGTTTGATTGCAGACTATTTCTAGAACTGAGCCAAATGACCGCAGTGTTATCCCATGAAAACTTGAAAAAATGAGAGCAGGGAGAAGATTAAAGTCTTTACTAAATGATCTAATGGCAATTGAGATGAAGAAACATAAAAAGCTGCATCAACTCAGCAAAGATTTTTGTATCTAAAGCACTAATTTAGAATTAAAATAAAGCCAGTTGGTCAGAGAGAATGAAGAGGTTTATGTGGTAAATCAGGGCAGTCAACTCTCCAGACTGCTTGAAATGAAATGACTTTTTGGTTTATGACCTCAGGGGAATCACAACATAATTGAATATATGTAAGATAAGTCATCACATGCTGTGCCCACCCTCTCTTCCGAAGACCTCAGCCCCTTCCCTCTTCCAACACCCTTAGTGTGAGACTACATCAATATTTAAATACCCTGACTCCTCTTTACCTCCAGACTCTCCAAATACCTGTCTCCCATTTAGACTGAGATATAATTACCAAACCATAATCTTTACCTCTATCAGGGAGTATGTTCCATGTGGACTATGCCCAGTGTGAAAGCTAGGATAAAAAAGTGGCATTTCCCTTCTTGAAATAAACCATCTTGACTTGGAAATGTCCTCAGTACATTTTTTCTGCCCCCATCTCTACTGTGTCATCTGACAAAAAGTAGCTAAATTGTGAGTAGTTCACATACAGAAGTATTTAAATACAATTTCCATTCCTATATAATGCCTGAGAATGGAAGATCTTCCAGTAGACAGCAAATGGATTGGGACTTGTTCATAAATCTTCTAGGCAGTGTGGTTTTTCCTTGAAGCACAATTGTATTAGTCCATTCTCAGAGTGCTATGAAGAAATACCCAAGACCGTGTAACTTATAAAGGAATGAGGTTTAATTGACCCACAGTTTCACAGGACTGGAAGGACCTTAGGAAACTTACAAGCATGGCAGAAGGGGAAGCAAAGGCGGCAGGGGAGAGAAGTGCCGAGCAAAAGGGGAAAAGCCCCTTATCAAATCATCAGATCTCATGAGAACTCACTGGCTATCACAAGAACAGCACTAGGGTAACCACCCCATGATTGTTACCTCCCACTGGGTTCCTCCCACAACATGTGGGGATTATGGGAACTACAATTCAAAATGAGGTTTGGGTGGGAACACAGCCAAACCATATCAACAATTATACTACTATCAGCAAAGTTGGTTTAGCATGCATTGTCTGCTGGGTTAGGAGTATACACACCTGGACTTCTAAGATAACATGTTAGAGTAGGATTCTGTGAGTAGTTACTAACCCCAGAATACCCCAAGATGGAAGGAAATAGGAAGCTGAGAGGTTTGGGCCTGGGCCTGTATTTATTCACCTAACTAGTGTGTGTGTGTGTGTGTGTGTGTGTGTGTGTGTGTGTGTGTGTGTGTGTGTGTGTGTGTGTGTATGCATGCATGCATATGCATACATCAAGTATGTTAGTTGAGGAGGAAAGGGTAATAACATATAAGAAGAAAAGAAAGAAAGAATGTCTCTGTTCTTCTAAAGGTTAAGGAAAATTTCTCATAAAGCATCAGTGGAATGTGACAACATGCTGTACAAGGAGAACTTGCAATTCACAAAACAAGACTCCTGTAAGCAATTATGGAAGCTTGAAGAATGGCATTTGATTCTCAGATTCCTCCTTTTGAGGGAGACAGCAGCAAGCCCTACCAGGCTGCATATCTTTCTAAGAGATTTGCTGGCAGAAATGCTGGCTTCATGCTGTATAGGGGATGCAACTGTTCCTTCCATAACTTCGTACCCAGTTAACTGTGATGCATCTGTGAACGCAGTAGACAAGACTTTGGAGTTAAACCTGAAACGGAAGCCTATCTCTGTTATTTTCTCATTGTGTGAGCTTAAATTTGTTGACCCCCTTTCCACATCTAGAAGATCTAGAAGATGTGGAAAATAAAATCTACCATTGACAATATTTTTAAAAAGGCACATAATATAACAGCCTCTTAGCATAATACACCATGATAATAGTGACTGTTAAGCAGTCACTATTACTGAGTCCATTATAATTTAACAGTTGATTCTAATCAACAAGTAGAGCATTTAAAAAGGGACAAAAACAGAAACAAAGCATGTACTCTCTATTTCTCTCAAGAAAATAAGTAACCTGAAATAATTTTTATATTATAGGAGTCTATTCTATGTCACTTTTATTATTTACTTTTACTTATTTTAAGGATTCCAGAAATCTCACTGTCATTCTGTGGTATCCTGATTCTTATGCTGAAATGATATCTTCAATCTATACTTCAAGAAATGTCAATTTAAAACTTAGTGACTAATCCTCTTCCTAACCCAATGGTCAAAGTGTCACAGACAAGTGAACCTCTATTTAAAATTCTTGCTGTAGATCTATGAAAGATTACTTAGTAAATCTAAACTTACTTTTGCTGAAAGCAGTTTATTTTGGAGAAAAAGATGATCTTTCTGAGGGACTAAAGAAAAATTTCTGGTCCTCCACAAATTTAGAACAAATCATGAAACTAAGAGAGAGATGTATTGTTGAAAAATATAAAAATAACAAAATTTCATATGTCAAATTTGAGTGCTTAGAGCATGATCTATAAATATGCATAAAGTTAATTTGTAACTTGCATTTACCATATCACTCTAAATGCTATTTTCAAATAAACAACTTTTTAAAAAATTTCACTTAAACTCTTTTGCTAATTGAAATAAAACAACTTGTGATAAAAAACAAACAAAACAAAACAAACAAAACAAAACAAAAAACCAGAAAGCATTCTTTCTTCTAAATGCCAGTCTTCTTGACCGGCTTTTCTCATATTTTTTCTTTCTTACTCTTAATTATTTATCTTGACAACTTCATTCCTTTTAGCAAGATTCTTCTCTTCTACATATGTATTCATTCTTTCCTTCAACCATTCTATGTTCAGCGAGTGTAGGATGTAGGAGATGGCTTAGGTTGTCTGAAGAACCCCACAGAAGGACAGTTTCCCAATCTCTCATGTCATGTTACTCTTCTGCTGAGACTGGCTAGGATAAAAGAATTAACTTTGTTTATGATACGGTGACTACTATAAAACATTTATCTGGAAATATTATTCCACAGATGAGACACAGCCTTGTCATCCTAGAATTCAGGGGTCGTAACCAGGTTAGAGCAGGCCTCCCATAGCAAGACAAGGGATACAGACCTATTGTATTGCTAGTCCTTTGGTGATGAGATAGCCCCCCACAACCTGCTGAGAAGGCCCTCTCCAGTGTGCCACGGCCAAATCTCATCCTAGCCCTAAATGAAAGGTCTGTGCATCCCCCAACCAGACTTCTCTCTGGTTCATATTTGGCTGTTGGGAAGGAAATACTTAGCTCAAATGTTCCAAGGACAGAATCATTCTCATTCATAGGCCACCTCTTAGTCCCTGTTCTTCATGAAAAAGCATCCTCAGCTCTGTGTCTGCATTTAGGAATGTAACTTATGAACAGCTTGCCTCTGGCTCTTCCTTGTTTGGTTGCTTTCAAAGCCCACTGTAAAGCTCAAAGGTGACAGCTTGACCCGTTTTGCTCAGTATATATATTTTCTTTTTTGTATTGTTATTAAAATAACAAATGACTGTGCATAAAGCCGGCCTCTTTAAACAAGTGCTAAACTAGTAAATCACAGTGGGAACAACCCTGTCTGAGGGGGGAGGAGGAAGTAGCTAGACTACAGAAAGACCAAAAACAAGCATTGAAGGGGGCAGGGATGAAGATGTGGGGTGGGGAGTTTTCATTATGTTTGGCACAATGCCCAGTACATCCTCAGATTTCCAAGCTGTGCTTTAAAATGTAGATTGGAAGCCTCTTGAATAAAGTTTAATTTCTGTCTATATGTGATCTCAAGTTTTATAACCAAGTTTTTAACACTCACCCTATAGCTGGCTTCTTTATTCTAAGTATGAACCACACATTCCTTCTCAAACAAAACAAACCCTTAAATGGTTAAAGGCTCAATGGAGTTATAAAACTCAAACAATATTTTCATATGCTGGGGTTAAGCGAATTGGAAAATTATGAATCACTCAATAAAGTACACAAGGATATAAAAGCCAAAGGATAAAAAATCGTGACAGGTGTTTTTGGTTACATGCATTGTAGTGCTTGTGTTGGGATGGATTAAAAAAAAAAAGGTGAACAGACAGACCCCTATTTTATAATGTGATGGTAAAGCAAAATAGAAAGAAGAAGTGATTTAAAGGAAAGGTAGGTTAAGGAAAGGTAGGTTAAGGAAAGCCTTTAAAAATATTTGGTTTACTTGCTTTTTTTCCCTTCCTTCCTTCCTTCCTTCCTTCCTTCCTTCCTTCCTTCCTTCTTTCTTTCTTTTCTTTCTTTCTTTTTTTTTAATAATAATATATTATGAGACTAGGCGCGGTGGCTCACACCTGTAATCCCAGCACTTTGGGAGGCCGAGGTGGGCAGATCACCTGAGGTCAGGAGTATGAGACCAGCCTGGCCAACATGGCAAAACCTCGTCTCTACTAAAAAAACAAAAAAATAGCTGGGCATAGTGGCGGGCATTTATAATCCCGGCTACTCTGGTGGGTGAGGCAGGAGAATCACTTGAACCTGGGAGGTGGAGGTTGCAGTGAGCCGAGATTGCGCCACTGCACTCCAGCCTGGGTGACAGAGCGAGACTCTGTCCGAAAAAAAAAAAAAAAAAAAAAAGAAAGAAAAAGAATTATGAAAGACAAGCTGAACAAAAGAAAATACTGATGAGTGAGGGTCTAAAGGTTTAAAAGCAATAGTTGACTCTGGCTAGGTTGGGAGTAGTAGAAAAATAATTACCTTTACAGTTTGTAAAATTGTCATCTGTGCAATAGGTCTGTTTGAGATGTTGTTTTAGTACTTTCTGTTATTTAGAAAACATATTCATGGATTTCTTAAGCTCAGGTGAATTGTATAGCTTTGCTCTACTTATTCCATATAATAACAATTTTCATGAAGTCACATCCTCTTACATTCATCACCATTTATTACTGGACTCTATAAGTTTGTAATACATAAATTTGCTAACAGTTGTTTCCCGTTCACCAACATTTCCAGAAATTGAACCTTGGTTGCAGACTGTGGCAGCATTTATGTAGTATCGGGAAGCAGTTGGGAACAGAAGTATCTGTACTATTTACTTATCCTGTATGTAGAACAAACAGCAGCAGATTTTGGATATCCAGAGCAAGAATGTGTCATGTGTGACTTCTGTTTAACTATTAGTAGCTTTAAAAATACACTCATAGGTGGGAATTGAACAATGAGAACACATGGACACAGGAAGGGGAACATCATACACCGGGGCCTGTTGTGGGGTGGGAGGAGGGGGGAGGGATAGCATTAGGAGATATACCTAATGTTAAATGACGAGTTAATGGGTGCAGCACACCAACATGGCACGTGTATATATATATGTAACAAACCTGCACATTGTGCACATGTACCCTAAAACTTAAAGTATAATTAAAAAAAGAAGTAAAATATATTTTATTTTATTTAAAGTTCCAGGATACATGTGGAGGATGTGCAAGTTTGTTACATAAATAAACGTGTGCCATGGTGGTTTGCTGCACCTGTCAACCCATCACCTAGTTATTAAGCCCCATGTGCATTAGCTGTTTATCCTGATGCTCTCTTTCCCCTCCCCGATGGTACATTTTTGAAAGATAATGAACAGTAATAAACATCGTTCATGATGACTCAACTGATTTCCATTTTTAGGCTATATAGTGAACAGCAAATAAACAGGGTAGGGAAAGAAGTACATGAATTAGCAACAGTGTTCATGGGCGAATTTCATGACTAAATTAAATAAACCTACTATGTGAAATAAGCCCCAATCCCAAATTATCAATGTATCTAAGTGAGGGTTTTTTCTACAATTTTAAAATTTGATACTGCCTTTATTTTCTTGCAAACTACCTATTTGGCGTGATTAACTAACTGGTAGCTACTTCTATTGTTTGCTCCTCCTGAGTCACTATGTGCACATGTTTTCTTTTTTAATTTAATACTTTGGGGTGTAATCTGAGAGGGGTTCTTATTTAGAATATGTTTCATCTCAAAAATAAAAAAATTTGCAAGATGATGCCTTTTTCAGGAACTCAAGCAAATTGACAGTAGACACATTGTCCACCCAAACCACCTCTCCGTTTCTCACGTTGATCTGTTTGTTTTTAAACAGAAATGTTGATCTAAACTCATGGAAAAGGCATGTGCATGTGATATTAAAATATGTGCATTGTCATTCCAGAGATGCTATTTCATTTCTCTGAGTTTGATTTTTGTCCCTGTGGCAATGAGGACATTTGACTCTAACATCTCTTTCATCTCTAAAAGAGTCTTAGGATTCTAATTTTACTTGAATTCTCTTAGGATCCATATGATGCTGACTGAGAGGTCAGAGATGATGTCACTCACGTCTCCCTTAGATCTGCATTTTCCTAAATACTGTACCCTGTGTATCTACAAAAAGAAAACAACTCAATCTCTCTTGAATTTATGCTACTTCGGCCTTGTTGGCCTTATGGAAGAGGACTCACTTTGTGTCAGCTGTGGTTTTCTTTGTCACTATCTTCAATCCTCCCACCTTCAATATCCTGGTACATCTCAGCTTCCTTCTGTGACCCTTCATCCATGCAGGCTTGAAAATTAGATTCAAATTGCTATCTGTATCTTCATTTCACTCTCAATATTGAAACGTATGAGCTTGAACTAATTCTCTCAATCTAGCTCCATATGTACCTACTAACTCATTAAAAGCCAGCTGTAGCATTGGAGCAAGAGATCATATATTAGAGAAGGAAAGCAATTTACTTGGCAAGTTCATTTGTATATTCTCTTCAATGTCATAGCAAAGGTTTGTCCTTGGGATAAGGGTGTTTTCTCACCCAGTCTGTCTCTCCAGCTGTCTGATTCCTCAATTAACTGACACCTCTGTGGCAGTGATTTCATCCTGTGCTTATTTAGTGGACAAACTAAATAGTGATCTGATGACTTACATGCTTATTTCACAGCATTACTGTAATTTCTGCCTATGTAGCCCTGCAAGAAGGGAGGGAAATTAAGGAAAGTCTTCTGGAGAGGGCATGTTTCAGACATGCTACAACTATTTGCCAAGGGTAAGGAAGAGTATTCTGACAATTTCCACTGGAAGCCTGAAATCTAAACAAAATTCCAAAGATCAGACAAGAATAAATTCTTTCTTGTACAGTATTATGTTTTGTGTTGCAGAGCAGAATTCATTGCCAATGACAGGTGCATTGAGTCTCAAAGATGCTGTATCTTTCTTTTTAATTTAAAAAACACATGAGATTGATCTTCCATATGTATTTGCTCTGCTTTGAAACCTTCATCTGCGTTTGGACATTAAAAAGTAAAAATTATTTCTTTTTCTGATTTTCAAATTAGAACATTTAGAGAAGTAAACCGAAGAAAAAATATTCTCGATCATTTATATTTGACTCACAAGGGCCATCCACTTTACCTGATTATTCAAGAGATAAGTTTCTTCTAGCCAACTTCAGGGGATAAAACAGTGAAGAGTATCAATATATTTTCCATTGTCAAAGACTGTGTAGCATGGTTGGAAGCAACTGTGAACTTTTACTGCTTTTGAAATCTTGTTTATCTTCCTACACACATACATGAGCATGCAATACACTCATACACATATACATGTACTATTTTAAAGTTTTAGATTACATTGTATATATCAATGCATTATTTCACTGGGGCCAGGCAAGGGATTGAAGAGCAAAGGAAGGAAGCTGGCATAAGTTAACATATGCACACTGTACAGCTGGTAGTCCTTGGAGGGGGAGAATCAGAAAAGCTGTCAACTACTCCACTGTTGAGATACAGCTGGGTGAGAATGTGGACACAGAGTTGTCACATATTTAGAATTATAAAGAAACACTGAAAATCTGGATTTTTATACTTAACTCTTCAAATTTTTAAATCTTGGCTCAAAGTCATAAAATACTGAGAAGCCAGCAAAACATGTTTGTGGACAGCTTTGGCCTGTAGGCTCACACTCTATGACCTTTGCTGTTAGTACTGGGTAATAACGTTTTCAAATAAAGATAATCACAGACATTTTCCTATGACATTCGAAAACATCTAATGCATCATTTTTATGGGTACATGATATTTAGTTTTGTGGCATACTATAATTTCATTAAATAATTCTCTATTGGTGACACTTAATTTATTTCTAATTTTTTACTCTAGCATATAATAGTGTAGCAAACTTCCTTGTACATGATTTTTTAATAGATCTATGATTGCTTTCTTAGGATAAATTCCTATAAATGAGATCATTGGCCAAAGTTATATACATTTGCTATTTTGGGTAGCAAAATCCCAATCATAATTCATGAGAATGATATTTTCCTATAGCTAGTAACAAAAATAAGAATAATTACTAAAAAGCTTTGTGAATCAGATAAATAAAATATTCTGTTTGAAGTTTTAGCTATAATTTTATTGATTTGTGAAGTTTTATACTGTTCATGTGTTTGACAATTGACATTTAAATGTACCCTTTGTCTTTTTATAGATGTTTTTACATGTGTTATATCTATTGATACTTATTTTTGTGATATCATTTAAAAAGACTTTCTCCATCCCAAGAAGTTAATATTTAATGATAATTTCCTTTAGCTAATTTATATATTTTATACTTTAAACTGTAATTTATATAAACTATATTTAGAATAAGGTATAAAAAGATCTAATATCAATTTTAAAAAATAATTTAAAAATCACTCCAGAAACATTTATCAGGCAGTTTACACTTTCTCCACAAATTTGAAATGTGGTTCTACCATTTATTACATAATTCCATACACTGAGTTCTGTTTCTGGGCTTTCCATTCTATTCCATTGCTTTATCTGTCTATTCTTACACCCGTAGCAATATTTTTTATTGTAAATTTTATATTATATTAAAAAGCTCTAATTTTAAGTACAACTTATTAGTGTTTTATTTTTAATTATCTTTATTATATTTTCATGCTAATTTATATGACTTTAGAATAATCTGTGAATCCCTTTATCCTTATGAAATTATTATTTTTTAAAATTTTATTTATTTATTTATTTAGAGACAGGTTCTTGCTCTGTTGCAAAGGCTGGAGTGTGCAGTGGTGCAGTCTTGGCTTATTGCAACCTCTGCCTTCCAGGACCATGCAATCCTCCCACCTCAGCCTCCAGAGTAACTTGGACCACAGGTGTGCACCACCACACCTGGGTAATGTTTTTTAATTTTTGTAGAGACAGGGTCTCCCTATATTGTCCAGGCTGGTCCTGAATTCCTGGGCTCAAGTGATTCTCTCACTTTGGCCTCCGAAAGTACTGGAATTATGGGCATGAGCCACCACACCCAGCCCCTTGTGGAATTGTTATTGGTCTGTTATAAATAATTAACATTTTTATAATGTTGAGTATTCATATCAAGAAATATTTTTTACTTATTCAAGTTTTTTCTCTTGTCCCTTTCTGATGTGTTGTAATTTTTCGGTATACAAATATTGAACATAAAATTTTTATAGACCTGTGTTTGTGTATGTATATTTGTGTATATCTTGCTAAGGTCGACCTTCCTTATTTTTAGTTGCACAGTGAATGGGATCTTTTTGCCACTATATTTCTAATTGTGATGTATGTATATGTAGACAATTCACATAGACTATAGGGAATATGTTAATAAGATAAAATTATTAGTTTTGTACTTGACTACTTCTATACAATGTGTATAGGATATATTAATATATAAAAGCTATTATTTTACATTTGGCCACTTTCTCCGTATAAATAATTGATATGTTAATAAGAAATTATGCTTATACAAAATTATGCTTCTGTATTTATTAAAGTTAATTGTATTCCACAGCCTTCTCACCTCTGAATAAGGATCGTTGTAATAACCTGGTGGCTATTGCAACGAAGTTATGGATAAGAACAGAGTTTTCCAAAACAATGAATACAGTATATAAATCTGCTTATCCCCTCTTCCCTATTAAACTAAGCTGAGATCATATGGGATCTAGTCCCACTCATAAGTTAGTATTTATCAAATAATTTAAGCTACTTTTAAATTAAAAAATAAATATCTAAAAAATTTAATATATTTGATTTTATTGTGTATAACTTGAAAAATAACCTCATCGTTATGACAATTATTTGAATAAAGACAATAGTGCTAAACGTCTTTCTTTGTTGAAAAAGGGAGAATCGCTTGGACCCACGAGGAGGAGGTTGCGGTGAGCCGAGATCGTGCCATTGCACTTCAGCCTAGGCAACAAAAGCGAAACTCCGTCTCAAAAAAAAAAAAAAAAAAAAAAAAAAGAAAAGAAAAAAAGAGCAGAAAGCACTATAGAAAATGAATATTATATAACCAAATAAGTACCTCTCTATCAAATAAGAAATTGATGTGGCTTATGTAGTGTGGCCCAGCAAATAAAATGCGAGTTTATTTTTTAAGGCAAAGTCATAATATTAATGATTATTTTACAATGCAGGAGCAACTCAGAAATAACTTTCATATGGAATGACCACTAATGATGACATCTGCAGTAAGCATGGATACAAAATACATTACTGACTCTTCTGAAACACCATTGATGTTTGAGCTCTGACACTTTTGACTATAAAAATGACAGATTTATTTTTGCTTTAAAATATCCCTTCATTTTCCCCAAGGTCTGTCAGTTTGTGATGTGGAGGTCAGGAAAGGGGTTGGAGCATGAGAGCAGGTACAATCAGAGAGCTAGAGAGAGCATTTGGAGCGGCAAGGTCTTGATTTCACCTTTCACAGTTAGTATTCTGCATTTATGTGGCATTGCAACCATCACCTGCAAGCAAGCAACCTTTAAACAAAACAGTGGAAACATAGTCACATCGGTTTATTTATTTTCTTATTTATTTATCATTGAATGTACGAGGCAATTGGCTGGATTTTTTTAAGACTTTTAAGTTGATGGCTATGATTTCTATGCATGCTGAATTTGTGAGTGCTTTTTTTCTTTTGAAACAAAAATTATCAGGTATGGAAAGCATTTAGGATCTGTATTTTTCCTCATTTTACTTTTTCACTTTGGGGTTGGATTTCTTTGATCATAGAACTTTGGAATGGGTTCTGAGGCTAATGTATGTAAAAGCTTTTCTTTACTAAAGAGATAAGGTCAGAACTATGCACCTAACCCCATTATCATGTTCTTCCTAGCTCGAGCTTATTTTAGTGACAGGCAGAAAGCCACTGGGCTAGAGTTGTTTGCTTTCCCATCTATGGCCATCTCTGGCACTTCTCCGTATGCCTGTCAAGGGGTTGTGGCTTCATTTTCAAGGGAACGTGTGAACATGCACTGCATTATATCTCTCTCCCCTGACCTCAGGGAGCTAATACTGAGAAAAACTAACAATTTTTGTTTATCTAAAAACAATTGGCCCACTGTCAAAGGTGGTACTATTTTTATAGACAAGAAAACTAAGGCACATTAAATGAGTAAGTTATGTGCCAGCTAGTAAGAGATGGTGCTCAGACTTGAAATCAAGGGAGTCTCATAGCTAAGCTTTTGCTCCTGATCATACAAATATCTCACTTGCTGAAGCAAGAGCATGTTATATCTGTGCTCTCTTCCTCTCTTTCTCTCTCCCTCTCTCTCACTGTATGTGTCTGTGTGAAGATACAGCCATAACTCACTTCTATGAATAAAAATACCTCTCAATGAACCAGACTTACTATAAGCTCATCAGTATCTATCATGACTGTATGACTTTGATAGTTAATTTTATGTGTCAATTTGATTGTGACATAGTTCCTAGTTATTTAATCAAACACAAATCTAGGTGTTGCTGTGAAGGTATTTTGTATATATAATTAACGTGTACAATCAGTTGAATTTAAGTAAATGAGATTTTTCTTAATAATGCAGGGCCTCATCCATCAGTTGAAACCTTGAGAGTAAAAACTAAGGTTTCTTGGAGAATAAATTCTACCTCAAGATTGCAACACCAACTCCTGTGTGAGTTTGTAGCCTGCTGGCCTGCCTTAATGATTTCAGAATTGCCAGTTCTCATAGTTTCATGATTCAATTCCTTAAAAGAAATCTCTTTAGATAGAGAGAAAGACAGAGGGAGAGAGAGAGTCAGTCAATCCTTGTTACTGATGGTAGTTACGTTCTATAAAATCAACGTGAACGCTGAATTTGCAAATACTAAAATATTGCTTCTAGAGGAAATTCATCATTAAGGGCAGAAGATTTTGAAAATTTAAAAAACTCAGGAAATTTTGATGTATTAAGTCACGTGCTTACGGTAGGGTGTAGAACATTTTTCCTGACAAGTTGAATCAACTTGATTTGGAATAACAAATAGTTCTTAGTGAATAGTTTGTCCCTGGTCTGTGGGTTGTTCTGTTTAAGTGGAAGTTAATAGAAATATCCTAACACGACAACCCAGATTAATATTATTTCATAAGAGTAACTGATGTTTAATTTTACTTGACATATTTACCTTTCCAAAGGATTATTGTGACTTCACAACAACTTAATGTTTTGTCTATAAATGTATTAATTTATTCATTAAAAATTTATTGAGCACTTACTATATGCCAGGCATTGGGTGCTGAGAATACACTCTTGAATGGGTAAGATCCAGACCCTGTACTCATGTCGCTAACAACCTGGTAGAAAAGAGAAACAAAACATGTGTGGGAAACAGTAAAAATAATTACAACAAACAGAAAAATGGAGTATATTAGTCTTTACAAGGACAGATCCTAAACTGGAATTCTTGAGAGAAAAGTCTGTTGTGACTCAAGTTAGACACCAACATCTGAAGTACATGCACCTGTCAGGACAAAGGTTTACTCCTCCAGGAACATGGAAGACTGGCATCTCACTTAGGCCTGAGAATAGAATCACATGTACTCAAAGAGAAGTGACTCTGAGAAACATGGTCTGAGTAAAGGCCTTCAGCTTAAAATAAGTGTGATAATAGTAAGTATTGTAACCCTAGCTCTCATTAAAAAATGGTAATCAGCTACTGTAGTTTGCCTCCATGACAAAGAGTATATTTGCTAAGTTTCATCATACAGAATCATTGAAAATTGATTATGCATATAATTTTATCAGACAGACGTGGCAGAGGAAGGATTTTCATCAAAGAAAAATAAAATCAAGAGAAGATTGTCAATCTATATAAATATCTATGAAAAAGTGCACCTCCCTCCTCACCTCCAGATGGTAGCTAAGTTAATCCAAGCTTGGCAGTGTTCTCCAATGGAACAATATGGTACCTATCTCAACAATGTATTGTAAAAATATGTGTAAAGCTGTAGTAATCAAAACAGTTTGGTATTGGCAAAATAATAGACAAATATATCAAGGGAACATAATAGAGAGCTCAGAAATAGACCCACATGAATATAGTCAACTCATTTTTGACAAAGGAGCATAGGCAATACAATGGAGCAAAGATAGTCTTTTCAACAAATTATGCTGAAATACCTGGACATCTGCATGCAAAAAACCAATGAATCTAAGCACAGACCTTACTCCCTTCACAAAAATTAGCTCAAAGTGGATCAAAGACCTAATTGTAAAATGCAAAGCTATAAAAATCCTAGAAGGTAACATATGGGAAAAAACTACATGACTTTGGGTATGGTGATGACTTTTAAAATACAACACCAAAGGCAATCCATGAAATAAATAATTGATAAACTGAACTTCATTAATATTGTAAACTTCTCTGTGAATGACAATGTGAAGACAATGAGCAAAGAAGCCACAGACTGAGAGAAATGAAAAGACAAACCCACAGTTATCTTAATGGATAACTCACCAGAAAACATATACAGATGGTAAATTAGCATATGGAAAGATACTTTATATCATATGCCATCAAGGAAATGCAAATCAAGACAATGAGATAACTACTACACATTTATTAGAATGGCCATAATCTGGATCACTGACAACACCAAATCCTGGAGAGGTTGTGGGGCGAGAGAAACATTCATCTACTGCTGGTGGAATTGAAAAATGGCACAGCCACTTTGGAAGATAATTCAGTGGTTTCTTACAAAACTCAACATACTCTTACCATAAGATCCAGCAAATAATTATATGCTTCTTGATGTTTACCCAAATAAGTTAAAAACATGTCCACACAAAAACCTGCACATAGACATTTGTAGCAGCTTTATTTATAATTGCCATAATGTGGAAGCAACAAAGATATCCTTCAGTAGGTGAATGAATAAACTGTGGTACATCCAGACAATGGAGTATTACATAATGCTAAAAACAAGTAAGTTATCAAGCCATGAAAAGACATAAGGGAACATTAAATGCATATTGTTACGTGAGAGACAGCAATATGAAAAGACCGCATACTGTATGAATCCAACTATATGACATCCTGGAAAAGGCAAAAACTGTGAAGACAGTAAAAAGATCAATGGTGGGCAGAAATTGCCAGGGATGGAGTTCTGAATAGGTGGAGCATTGAGGACTTTTATGGCAGTGAAAAAAACACCATATAATATAATGATGGGTACATGTCATTATATATTTGTCTAAGCTCATAGAAAGTACAACACCAAGAGTGAACCCCAATATAAACTATGGACTTTGGGTGATAATGATGTGTTCAATGTATATTCATTGCAACAAATGTACCACTCTGATAGAGGATGTTGAAAATGGTAGAGGCTGTGCATGTGTGAGGGTAGGAGGTATATAAGAAATCTCTGTAATTTTGCTATGGACCTAAAACTGCTTTAAAAAATAAAGTCTTAAAAAATAAATATGATCATGATGATGCAGCAGAGAATAATCTGAGTAAATGTAACAAGGCCAGAAACTGCAGTGCATGTAAGTTCAATGGTGCTGGAAATGCAAAATTGAGTCTGGGAGAGGTGAAGGGAGGTGGCTGAGAGTCAGAAAGAAGTTGAACTGTTGAAAACGTATGCGCTCTGCTTAAGAAACTCAGACTTCATGCTATAGTGGATGGGGATCTGATGAAGGTTCTAAAAAAGGAAGTACTATGAATAAATTTGTATTTTAAGTAAATTTCTGAAATAGTTGTGAAGGGGATGGATTTTAAGGGACAAAACCAGGAGCAGAAAGATTAGTACCTAAGTCACGCAATGATCCATGGCAAACAAAGGACCTAGGGCAGAAATAAATGAAAGGGATGGAGAAGACATGCTAGGTTTTAAAATGTATAATTGAATTTGGAGAATGAGGGAGGGGAAAAGTCAATAATGACATACATATTCCTATGACTAGTGGGAACTCCAAAAAGCAGAGGGACTTGAACTTCCTACAAAAGGCTAATGAGTCTACAGTGGGTATCATGGATGCACATCTTTAGCAATTAGTTTGCAAGACAAGATAGGTTTTATTCTCTTTATATAAACTACTTCTCAATTAAGCATCTGAATTTCCGTAAGTATGCATCATACTAAGATAAATTTGAGTCCTTCTCCAGTCATTAATCACTGTGTGACTTTGAGTTAGTTACTTAACTGTTTTAACTTTCATCCCTTTAAATATCAAATAAAAATAAGGAAGATCTATTAAATGAAAGGAGATATATGAAAGAAAGATGCAAAAAGTTAAAACTATAAAAACAAAAATCTTTAACCTTAGCATGGATTTTTCCCAAACATATAGAAATACATATATTAAATATGGATCAATATATCATTGTGGTCAAGAGAATTAGTACTAAAATCAGACTAATAAGGAACAGACCCTGGTTCTGTCACTTTTGATGTGACTTTTAGCAAGTTATAAAACCTCTAAAGCTTTAATTTCCTCTTTTATAAAATGAGGAAAATAATGGCACCAACCTCATAGGTTTGGTGGGAAGACTGTAAAATTCTAAAAGTATTTAAAATATTTTCTTAAATTCGAATATACTAAATAAGCATTGATTATCATGAATTCATAAATTTATTTGTATAAATATATAAAATATATGTATATGTATAGGCATATTTATTAGACTCAATTTTATAAAATTGCCAATATTCAACCATTTTGACTCACAAAAATGGCAACAGCCTATAATCAGGACAAGAACACAAGATAATCAAGTCACCATCTAGATGCACTTGGTGCTTTATTATCTCATTTTTGCTGATTTTCTTAGGCAAGCATTGGCTGCAGGACACAGTTGAACTTATTATCCAGTAAATTATTATTTGTCTACTCTATTTGTTGACAGTCATGAGAGAAGAAATAAAGAGTACAGGTTGAAGCTGACGGTACCATTGGATCCCAGTGCAGAGCTGTGTAACCTTGGACAAGTTACTTAACCTTTCTAAGCCTCAGTCACCTTCTCTCTACAATGAAAAAAATCTATAAAATTGTTACAAGTATTAAATGAGATAATATATGTAGAGCACATAACATATAGGCCAGCAGATAATGAGCACTCAATTATATTACCTATTAGTACACAAATTAGTAATTACTGACTCAAATTTGATTTTCTACAGATTACATGGTATTTTCTGTCCTGCAGCTTTTTCCCTTCCCTCTCCTTCCCTCACCTCCTCTTCCCACTCCTTTTTTCCTCTTCTCTTCCCTGACCTCCTTTCTCTTTCCTTTTGTCTTCCCTTTCTTTTCTTTTCCTTTTTAATGAAGAACCACTGGGACTAATTATGATCTGTATCTGAACTATTCTGGATATATGTATCTATTAAAGAACCTTCCCTGGAAAATGATACATTGTTTTATATATATCTAAATATACATATATTTACATACATAAATTTTTATATATTCATATATGTAAATAAATATATTATACATAAAATTCTACTGTTTTTAGGGATGAAATATTTGTGAATTTATTTTTGTAAGTATGATTTACATGCACAATGTTCCTTCTCATTTTAGAAAGGGAAAATACTAATATTAAACTAATCTGCACCCTATTTGCTTATAAAAATATGTAATAAAATAAGAAAATTTGGAACTGTTGGGATCAATAAGGAGTGTTATACACAATCCCTGAAGAGAGATGGACTTAATTGAAGTCCGAATGTGTTTAAGAGAATATGTAAGTGGCCCCAGAGAGGGTAATATGATTGAATAAGGAGGGATGCACATTTAAAAGGCTAACCTTTTGGAAATAGTCCCTGGTAGCTCCGACTGACGCATCCTTGCCTCCGTATAGTTCACCCATTTGTCATTTGCCCTACCCTGATCCATTGGCACAGCTGTGGCCAGTGTGAAGCACAGTGGCAGATGAACTCACTTGAGCGTCTTTGAGGGTTTGTATCTGCAACTGTGAGGACCATGTTAAGTAAACACTGGGTGTACAATACGTGATGTTAAGTTAATCAAATGACTAGTAGGGAGACTGGGCATAGCTTTGACAGAAATTTTCTCTAGATCTGTCTTTTGACCTCTGATTTTAATGGTGAGAGGATGTTCATGGTTTCAGAGTGTGCAAATGTAGAAAACAGTGGATAAGCCCCAAGGGCAGTCCCCACATGTGGAGAAGGAAGCCCAGTGACATAGAGCTGGGATATGTCTGAAGCAACAGAGGGTGCCCCTAAATGATTGTCTTGCAGCAAAAGAAGGAACTTTTGACTGTGGGCTGCTGCTGTTTCAACACAGTCCCTGTGCTATGTGCTGGAGCAGGGTCACAGAGGAAAGGGACCTGTGAACCTGAACTTTAAGGAAAGGAAAAATAGAGAAAGGAGGAAGAGAAAAAGAAAGAGAAATAAAAAAGAAAGGATACCTGGAGGCAGTAAGAAACTGTTGAGGACATTAGAGTTGCATTTTCTCAAGCGGAAGAGAAAATCAGTTTTTGTTTGGTTCGTTCAGGTTTTGCCTGTTCGTTTCTGTTTTGCCTGGTACAAAAAGGTGAGATGTTTTGCATCAGATGCAGGTAGAAAAATAAGTTAATAAGTGAATGAATGAATGCATATACTAATAAATAAATTGGGTCCATTATAAGAAGGGTGTATTTCATATACAATAAGAATGAGTTTGAGCAAACCTAAAACTTCTGTTCAATCTGGAACAAAAACGGTCCCTATAGACAAGGAAGCCTGGGTAACTTATATGTTTTGCAGGTGCTCCTGATTGAATCTGCTTAGGAATACGGCTTGCCCCAGGGTAGAACAAATCATTATTTGACATTTCTTAGCTCATTGTAAGAGACATTTAGACCAAATTTTTAACAAGATAAATATTGTCAAAATTATGATCAGGCAAATTACGGAAGAACAAAAGTGGTTGATGCTAATTGCCCAAATATATCTTAATTGATGAACCCAACATGTGAGAAATAAGGAGGCCAGTGTTTGGAAAGCTATTGAGTGGTCTACAGTAAATTTAACTAACTGTGATCAGGACCTTGCAGATTCAGTTTATACACCCTGCTTTCCTTTGCTCTTATATTGAAATGAGAGCTTATAGCTTAGAATATATTGTTAATGAGATTGGGCCTATAAGCATATTACTTGGATTTTTTAAATAATTAGGGTATAGAAAAGTACTAATATAGATAATTTAATCTTTGAGGGGAAAATTGTGTATCTAAAGAAGGAAAGGGAGTAAGATGATGAATACTTATTTAAAAAAAATAAACTGCCAAAATAAGGAAATGCTTTGGTGCTTCCTCAGTCATGGGTTCAACTTTAAAGATAGTTCTGAGGTGGGTTCGGGGCCTGCTGAAAAGAACGATCCTCTCCATTTCCATCACTGTCCAAATGAGTCATAAATCAGCTGATTGGGTTCTCATCTATTTCTAGGATGAGAGAGGGATGATGATAGGACGGGTCACTTGGTGTAGTTATTGAGAATCCATTCATTTATATAAAAAAGAACAAGGAAGAGCTGTCATTATGCTTAAGATCCCCCTCTCCTCTGTTTTTAACCTTTTAAGTAATGGAAAGCTATTAGAAGATTTTGTTTGCCTCATCCACTGGTTGAAAAATCACCTCAGTGTGGAAGCTGATCTTTGCCAAATGAATATGGAAAATACCAATGTTATTATAAATTCTGTTTACTCAGAGGTCTTGCCAGTGAGTGAACTCCATACAACCCAGAAAATATACCTTAATATTGGTCGTCTGTAGTGGAATACTACCTAGGGAACTTAAGGAAATGCTCAAGTAACATTATGTTCTAAATAAAAGACAGGTAGATTTAGGCTATGCTGGAATTGATTGTAAGATGCTAATCTAGGTCCTTTCTTATAAATAATCTTGGACGATTGAAATGTAATCCTGTCTTAGATTGATACAAACTCCATTGCTTTCTTCAATGCCATGACTCAGGATATTTCAGATATTAGAGGTGTTTTTGTTTTTTTTTTTTTTTTTTTTTTTTGGAGTCTAACTCTGTTACCCAGGCTGGAATGCAGTGGCATGATCTCAGCTCACTGCAACCTTCGCCTGCCGGGTTCAAGCGATTCTCCTACCGCAGCCTCCTGAGTAGCTGGGATTACAGGCATGTGCCACCACACCCAGCTAATTTTTGTATTTTTAGTAGAGACGGGGTTTCATCATGTTGGTCAGGCTGGTCTCAAACTCCTGGCCTCATGATCTACACACCTTGGCCTCACAAAGTGCTGGGATTACAGGCGTGAGCCAAGGTGGTTTTTAAAATTAACTCGAGTAATCTTTAAAATCCTAGTAGCTGGTCAAAAATAATATGGCTGGAATGCATATGTGCTCACATGTGCAGCTTTTACCTCAGTGCTGTGTGTTGCAGCATTGGCATTAGGGTTTCCAGCACCTTACCATGATACTAGAACAGCAATGACAAAGTTTATTCTATAGAATACTAACTAGTTCCACAAATTGTTAAACAAACTTTCTGTAGAATAAACCATTCTACTGTCAAATAAGTCTGGGAGAACTCTTACGCTCAATTCTTCATTTGTTGTGCCATAATGCACACTGATGTATTAAAGATGCTCTAGGATTCCTGAGCAAGATAGCTGAATAGGAACAGCTCTGGTCTGCAGCTCCCAGCGAGACCAACGCAGAAGGCAGGTGATTTCTGCCTTTCCAACTGAGGTACCAGATTCATTTCATTGAGATTGTTAGACAGTGGATGCAGCCCATGGAGGGCAAGCAGAAGCAGGGTGGGGCATTGCCTCACCCAGGAAGTGCAAGGGGTCAGGGAACTCCTTCCTCTAGCCAAGGGAAGCCGTGAAGGACTGTGCCGTGAGGAATGGTGCTCTCTAACCCATATACTACATTTTTCTATGGTCTTCACAACCTACAGACCAGGGAGGAGATTCCCTTGGGTGCCTACACCACAAGGGCTCTGGGTTTCAAGCACAAAACTGGGCAGCCCTTTGGGCAGACACTGGGCTAGTTGCAGAAGTTTTTTTTTTTCTTACCCCGGTGGTGCCTGGAACGCCAGCGAGACAGAACTGTTCACTTCCCTGGAATGGGGGCTGAAGCCAGGGAGCCAAGTGGTCTTGCTCAGTAAATCCCACACCCACGGAGCCCAGCAAGCTAAGATCCACTGGCTTGAAATTCTCGCTGCCAGCACAGCAGTCTGAAGTCCACCTGGGATGCTCCAGCTTGGTGGGGGGAGGGGCATCCACCATTACTGAGGCTTGAGTAGGCGGCTTTCCCCTCACAGTGCAAACAAAGCCTCTGGGAAGTGTGGACTGGGTGGAGCCCACCACATCACTACCAAACCACTATAGCCAGACTGCCTCTCTAGATTCCTCCTCTCTGGACACAGCATCTCTGAAAGAAAGGCAGCAGCCCCAGTCAGGGGGTTATAGATAAAATTCCCATATCCCTGGGACAGAGAACCTTGGGGGAGGGGCAGCTGTGGGTGCAGCTTCAGCAAACTTAAACATTTCTGCCTGCCAGCTCTGAAGAGAGCAGCGGATCTCCCTGCACAGTGCCCAAGCTCTGCCAAGGGACAGACTACCTCCTCAAGGGTCAAGTCCCTGACCCCTGGGCCTCCTGATGGGGAGACATCTCCCAGCAGGGATTGACAAACACCTCATA
Organism: Homo sapiens; assembly: GCF_000001405.40. Classification (NCBI taxonomy): domain Eukaryota; kingdom Metazoa; phylum Chordata; class Mammalia; order Primates; family Hominidae; genus Homo; species Homo sapiens. Next base: position 136,983,855 of record NC_000007.14, on the reverse strand, counting down.
CAGGAGAGCTCTGACTGGCATCTGGCAGGAGCTCCTCTGGGATGAAGCTTCCAGAGGAAGGAGCAGGCAGCAATCTTTGCTGTTCTGCAGCCTCTGCTGGTGACACCCAGGCAAACAGGGTCTGAAGTGGACCCCCAGCAAACTCCAGCGGACATGCAGAAGAGGGACTTGACTGTTAGAAGGAAAACTCACGAAGAGAAAGCAGTAGCATCAACATAAACAAAAAGTACGTCCACGTAAAACCTCCATCTGAAGGTCACCAACAGCAAAAACCAAAGGTAGATAAATCCATGAAGATGAGGAAAAACCAGTGCAAAAAGGCTGAACATTCCAAAAACCAGCACACTTCTTCTCCTCCACAGGATCACAACTCCTCACCAGCAAGGGAACAAAACTGGACAGAGAATGAGTTTGATGAATAGACAGAAGTAGACCTCAGAAGGTGGGTAATAACAAAGTCCTCCAAGCTAAAGGAGCATGTTCTAACCCCATGCAAGGAAGCTAAGAAACTTGATAAAATTGCTAACTGGAATAACCAGTTTAAAGAAGAACATAAATGATCTGATGGAGATGAAAAACACAGCACGAGAACTTTGTGAAGCATACACAAGTATGAATAGCTGAATTGATCAAGTGGAAGAAAGAATAACAGAGATTGAAGATCAACTTAATAAAAAAAAGCATGAAGACAAGATTAGAGTAAAAAGAATGAAAAGGAATGAATAAAGCCTCCAAGAAATATGAGACTATGTGAAAAGACCAAACCTACGTTTGATTGGTGTACCTAAAAGTGATGGGGAGAACGGAACCAAGTTGGAAAACACTCTTCAGGATATTATCCAAGAGAATTTCCCCAAACTGGTAAGACAGGCCAACATTCAAATTCAGAAAATACAGAGAATACCACAAAGATACTCCTCAAGAAGAGCAATCCCAAGACACATAATCGTCAGATTCACCAAGGTTGAAATGAAGGAAAAAATGTTAAGGGCAGCAGAGAGAAAGGTCACATTACTCACAAAAGGAAGCCCATCAGACTAACAACAGATCTCTCTGCAGAAACCCTACAAGCCAGAAGAGAGTGGGGGCCAATATTCAATATCCTTAAAGAAAAGAATTTTCAACCCAGAATTTCATATCCAGCCAAAATAAGCTTCATAAGTGAAGGAGAAATAAAATCCTTTACATACAAGCAAATGCAAAGGGATTTTGTCACCCCCAGGCCTGCCTTACAAGAGCTCCTGAAGGAAGCATTAAATATGGAAAGGAAAAACCGGTACCAGCCACTGCAAAAACAAACCAAAATGTAAAGACCATTGACTATGAAGAAACAGCACCAACTAATGGGCAAAATAATCAGCTAGCATCATAATGACAGGATCGAATTTACACATAACAATATTAACCTTAAATGTAAATGGGATAAATGCCCCAATTATAATGCACAGACTGGCAAATTGGATAAAGAGTCAACATCCGTTGATGTGCTGTATTCAGGAGACCCATCTCATGGGCAAAGACACACGTAGGCTCAAAATAAAAGGATGGAGGAAGATTTACCAAGCAAATGAAAAGCAAAATAAGTAGGGGTTGCAATCCTAGTCTCTGATAAAACAGACTTTAACGCAACAAAGATCAAAAAAGACGAAGAAGTATATTACATAATGATAAAGGGATCAATGCAAGAAGAAGAGCTAACTATCCTAAATATATATACACCCAATACAGGAGCACCAGGATTCAAAAAGTAAGTTCTTAGAGACATACAAAGAGACTTAGACTCCTAAACAATAGTAGTGGGAGACTTTAACACCCCACTGTCAATATTAGATCAATGAGACAGAAAATTAACAAGGATATTGAAGACTTGAACTCAGCTCTGGACCAAGTCGACCTAATAGACATCTACAGAACTCTCCACCCCAAATCAACAGAATATACTTTCTTCTCCGCACCACATCACACCTATTCTGAAATTGACCACATAACTGGAAGTAAAACACTCCTCAGCAAATGCAAAAGAATGGAAATCTTAACAAACACTCTCTCAGACCACAGTGCAATCAAATTAGAACTCAGGATTAAGAAACTCACTCAAAACCACACGACTACATGGAAACTGAACAACCTACTCCTGAAAAACTACTGGGTAAATAGCGAAATTAAGGTAGAAATAAATAAGTTCTTTGAAACCAATGAGAACAAAGACACAACATACCAGATCTCTGGGACACACCAAAGCAGTGTTTAGAGGGAAATTTATAGCACTAAATGCCCACAGGAGAAAGCAGGAAAGATCTAAAATTGATACCCTAACATCACAATTAAAACAAGTAGAGAAACAAGAGCAAGCAAATTCAAAAGCTAGCAGAAGACAAGAAATAACTAAGATCAGAGCAGATTTCCTTCAGTGAAGGAGATAGAGACATGAAAAGCCCTTCAAAAATTCATTGAATCCAGGAGCTGGTTTTTGAAAAGATTAACAAAATAGATAAACTGCTAGCCAGACTAATAAACAAGAAAAGAAAGAAGAGTCAAATAGACACAATGAAAAATGATAAATGTGATATTACCACTGATCCCACTGCAATACAAACTACCATCAGAGAATCCTATAAACACCTCTGTGCAAATAAATTAAAAAATCTAGAAGAAATGGATAAATTCCTGGACAGATACAACCTCCCAAGACTAAACCAGGAAGAAGTTGAATCCCTGAATAGACCAGTAACAAGTTCTGAAATTGAGGCAGTAATTAATACCCTACCAACCAAAGAAAGCCTAGGAACAGACGGATTCACAGCTGAATTCTACCAGAGTTGCAAACAGCAGCTGATACCATTCCTCCTGAAACTATTCCAAACTATATTAAAAGAGGGAGTCCTCCGTAACTCATTTTATGAGGCCAGCATCATCCTGATACCAAAAGCTGGCAGAGACACACAAAAGAAAGAAAATTTCAAGCCAACATCCCTGATGAACATCGATGCGAAAATCCTCAGTAAAATACTGGCAAATTGAATCCAGCAGCACGTTAAAAAGCTTATCCACTATGATCAAGTCAGCTTCATCCCTGGGATGCAAGGCTGGTTCAACACACACAAATCAATAAACGTAATCCATCTCATAAACAGAACCAATGACAAAACCACATTATTATCTCAATAGATGCAGAAAAGGCATTCCATAAAATTCAACACCCCTTCTTGCTAAAAATACTCATAAACTAGGTATTGATGGAACGCATCTCAAAATAATAAGAGCTATTTATGACAAAACCACAGCTAATATCATACTGAATGGGAAAATGCTGGAAGCATTTCCTTTGAAAACTGGCAGAAGACAAGGATGCCCTCTCTCACCACTCCTATTTAACAAAGTATTGGAAGTTCTGACCAGGGCAATCAGGCAAGAGAAATAAATAAAGGATATTCAAATAGGAAGAGAGGAAGTCAAATTATATTTGTTTGCAGATGACATGATTGGATATTTAGAAAACCCCATTGTCTCACCCCAAATCTCCTTAAGCTCATAAGCAACTTCAGCAAAGTCTCAGGATACAAAATCAATGTGCAAAAATCACAAGATTCCTATACACAAATAATAGACAAACAGAGAGCCAAATCATGAGTGAACTCCCATTCACAACTGCTACAAAGAGAATAAAATACCTAGGAATTCAACTTACAAAGGATGTGAAGAACCTCTTTAAGGAGAACTACAAACCACTGCTCAAGGAGGTAAGAGAGGACACAAACAAATGGAAAAACATTTCATGCTCATGGATAGGAAGAATCAATATCATGAAAATGGCCATACTGACCAAAGAAATTTATAGATTCAATGCTATTCCCATCAAGCTACCATTGACTTTCTTCACAGAATTAGAAAAAACTACTTTAAATTTTATATGGAACCAAAAAAGAGCCCATATAGCCAAGACAATCCTAAACAGAAAGAACTAATCTGGAGGCATCATGCTACTTGACTTCAAACTATACTACAAGGCCACAGTAGCCAAACAGCATGGTACTGGTACCAAAACAGATATATAGACCAATGGAACAGAACAGAGGCCTCAGAAATAACACCACACATCTGCAGTCGTCTGATCTTTGACAAACCTGACAAAAACAAGCAATGGGGAAAGGATTCCCTATTTAATAAATGGTGTTGGGAAAACTGGCTAGCCATATGCAGAAAACTTAAACTGGACCCCTTCTTTACACCTTACACAAAAATTAACTCAAGATGGATTAAAGATTTAAATGTAAGACATAAAACCATAAAAACTCTAGAAGAAAACCTAGGCAATACCATTACGGATATAGGCCTGGGGAAAGGCTTCATGACTGAAATACCAAAAGCAATGGCAACAAAAGCCAAAATTGACAAATGGGATCTAATTAAACTAAAGAGCTTCTACACAGCAAAAGAAACTATCATCAGAGTGAACAGGCAACCTACAGAATAGGAGAAAAATTTTGCAATCTATCCATCTGACAAAGCACTAATATCCAGAATCTCTAAGGAACTTAAACAAATTTACAAGAAATAAACAATTCCATCAGAAAGTGGGCAAAGGATATCAACAGACACTTTTCAAAAGAAGACACTTATGCAGCCAACAAACATGAAAAACAGCTCATCATCACATGTCATTAGAGAAATGCAAATCAAAACCACAATGAGATACCCTGTCATGCCAGCTAGAATGGTGATCATTAAAAAGTCGGGAAACAACAGATGCTGGAGAGGATGTGGAGAAATAGGAATGCTTTTATGCTGTTTGTGGGAGTATAAATTAGTTCAACCATTGTGGAGGGCAGTGTGGCAATTCCTCAAGCATCTAGAACTGGAAATACCATTTGACCCAGCAGTCCCATTATTGGGTATATACCCAAAAGATTATAAATCATTCTACTATACAGACACATGCACACGTATGTTTATTGTAGCACTATTCACAATAGTAAAGACTTGAAACCAACCCAAATGCCCATCAATGCTACACTGGATAAATAAAATGTGGCACATATACACCACGGAATACTATGCAGCCATAAAAAATAATAAGTTCATGTCTTTTGCAGGGATATTGATGAAGCTGGTAACCATCATTCTCAGCAAACTAACACAGAAACAGAAAACCAAACACTGCATGTTCTCACTCATAAGTGGGAGTTGAACAATGAGAACACATGGACACAGGGAGGGGACCATCCATACCGGGGCCTGTCGGGGGGTGTGGGTCAAGGGAAGGGATAGCATTAGGAGAAATACTTCATGTAGAACATGGGTTGATGGGTGCAGCAAACCACCATGGCACATGTATACCTATGTAACAAACCTGCACGTTCTGCCCATGTATCCCAAAACTTAAAGTACAATAAAAAAAAGATGCGCTAATAAATCTCCTGTTTAAAATTCAGCCTTTTCAGTGTTTCTCAAAATTATTTGAGCAGAGAACATTTCCTCTCAAAGCATATGTATTAACATCTTGTAGAAAAAATACACTATAGAACACAGTTTGTGTATGCCATGCTAAATGAATCAAGTAATTGATTAGGCACGTGAATGGAAATAAAGTTTCTTAAACATTCCAATAATTCTTTTTAAAAATAATTGTAAGTTTGATTTTAGATTCAGTGGTTACAAAGGGAGATTTATTGCGTGGGTATGTTGTATGGCTCTATGGTTTGGGATACAGATGATCCCGTCACCCAAGTAGTGACCCTATAGTACCCAATGGGTAGTTTTCCAGCCCGTGTTCCCCCTCCTCCACCCCCTCTCTAGTAGTTCCCAGTGTCTATTTCTTATATTAAGTTTCAACAAAAATAAGTAATGGGTAAAGGGCTCTCTATGCAGTAAATGGTACGGGAATACCATAACTGATTAGCCATATGCAGAAGAATGAAACCGGACCCCTACCTTTCACAGTATATGAAAATTAACTTGAGATGGATTAAAGATTTAAATGTAAGACCTCAAGCTATACAAATTCTGGAAGAAAACCTAGGAAATACCATTCTGGACATTGGCCTTGGTAAAGAATTTATGGGTAGGTCCCCAAAAGCAATTGCAACAAGAAAAATGATTGACAAGTGGAACAAATTAAACCAATGATTCTTTTACCTCCTTGCATTTGTGCATGCCATTTATTCTCCCTGAAATGATAGCCTACCGTTAGCAAACCACCCTTGGCCTTGCCTCATCCTTATGTTGGATAAGACCATTCAAGTCGTAGCTTAAAAGTAATTTCTGTGAGAAACCTTTTCTGATACCTCAAGACTGCGTTGAGTGTCCCTCCTCTGATCTTTTCTAAAACTGTGTACTAGCTTTCTATCAGCACTTGCAACTTATTCATTTCTTTTTACTTGAAGAAATTACAATTTCCATTGTAAACCCACTGTCTATCGTAAGACCTTGTAAATGGATGAGTGGGAAAAGAAAAAAGAAAAAAAAAAGATTCAGGGAAGCATATCCTAAGGTAAGTTCTGCTGATCAGCAAAGGACATAAAATCCTAAGAAGAGAAGTTAGGGGAAATCAGAGAAACCCACAGCTTCCTGTACCATTAGAAATCTGTCCCACAGAGAATAGATATCATGAAACCATTAAAATGACAGAATCAGTTGTAGGGGACATTAAAATCTTAATCATGTGGGTAAGGAAGCTCTTGGGATAATTTATCCACAAGTTGCTTACTAATCTGCTTTAGAGGGAAGCCATGTGGAGAGCTTCTCTTGGATTCCAAAGCAAACAGATGTTCTATCTTTCACAGTGGTGCCAAGTCACTTATATTTTCTTTCTTCTAAAAGCCAATAGTAGTACACACAGTACAATAGGAATGTTATGTGTTTTCATGGAAAAGCAACTACAATGTTTACATAGTCAATAGACTGCAACATTTCCAGAAACAAAACTCAGTGAGTAGAATTAAGAAAATGACTGTCCCTCAGGGAAAGCAAATATCACCAGTGAATTAGTTAGAGCACCGGGGACATTGTTCCATGGACCAAGTTGACTAAGGACTAGTGGTGAGATTAATCCCTGCAGCAGGGAGTAAGAGTTTCTCTCTTCAAATGTTTAAATTTGACCCAAATAGACATCTTGCTCTGAGTAAAATAAAACCAAAGGGTCACCTGCAGACCTTTCCTGTTGTTGCTAATGTCTAGTCCCTCAAAAGCTCAGACCTGATGCACGAGAATAGGCTCCTATGTGGTTTCTCAGCAGGTTTTCCCTTTATTTTGTCCTACAAATAACAAACTCAATGCAGAACTTAAGAACCTAGGCTGTGCCCAGTTCAGAAGCCTGCTCTTTCATGTTCTATTTCTGTTACTTGCACAAGTATCTTAGCCACTTTATTTCTTGGTTTGCAAATCTGGAAAATTGTTATAATAATAATAATATTACATACATCATAGAGTATTGTCAGGACTGAATTAGTTATTAAGTATCTAGCACAATAGGTACCAACTTTCAGCTAATATTAATTTCATTAGTATTAATAATGTTAATATTTTATCACCACAAATCAGTAATGCCACTAACTCCATCTCCTACTCAAAATTTCCTAAGATCATTTCATGTCTAAATTTCTGATTTGGAAGTCTTCTATGTCATGCAATACTTCATAGGCCACAATTCTTTAATATTTAGTTTAAAATCCAGCCTGCAGTTCCCCTAAATATACTCCATGCTTAGCCCGTAGCCCAACCTTGAGGCTTTGTATACATGGCTCATTTTTTATAATATACCATTTCTTCTTTCTAACTAGCCAATTTCTATCCATTCTTCAAGATCTAGTTATAATTTAACTTCTTTGGAAGTATCCCTCTCCTGTCTCTGTAATCATAATACCTTATCTGAACATAGCACTGTGTCACCCACTGACATGGATGTATATTTCACATAGACATATCTGAATACATTCTCCTTGAAAATATGAACGAGAACACCATCATCCTTGAGAGTATTGGAATTATCCTGGTGTAGCCACAGTATGGGTGGAGAAGGTGATAATTTGCCCTACTCTATTTTCTTGTTTGGTTTACATCAGTTGGCTGTTTTATAATGGGCACAATCTTATTGGCTTTGTTCCAAATACTGCACCAACTTGCAAAAGTGAAGGCAATAGGAAGAGATAAAATAAATGGAAATCTTATAGCACTCTTTAATAAAGTGGCAAATATCTGTCCTTTGATATTATAAACCTTGTTTGAAAGCAGTAAAACATGATGTTTGAATATTTAAGAATGGCAATATGATGATTTTATCATTGGGTTTTGTTATGTTTTATTGGGGAAATTGCAGATTAGTATTTCCAACCTAAAAAGTAAAATCTTATTCTATGAATTCTTCCCCATTTTCTGTGAAAATAATTACCAATTAATTCATTTTCTTTCTTCTTTTTCCCTTCCCCTGTCCTTCTCTACTGGGGCCTGTGATAGAAAATTTATGTATTTCTCCAATTAGAAATATAACTTTATTTGGGAAAGGCTATGGACCATGTTTAAATCCATTTACTCCACTTTTTTAGAGTTCATAAGGGGAGGAAAATGTCTTCCCTGTGTGTCAGTTGACTCCAGAACACAAACAGGAAACAAGAAAGTGAATTCTAAGACACTTGGGAAAATTGCTGTTTCTTATAGGCTGATGTATACCTTTTCTCTGATACCCCAGCTTACATCCTGACACTTTCTGCAAAGAGTCATCTTCAATTATTGTCCACTCCTATGAGCTTTAAATTGCTTATTATTGAAATTGCAGTACTTAGCAACTAATTATATACTGTCTTGCACTGTTCCATGCCATGTGGTAAGCCAGTAGCCTGGAAACCCTTGTTAACTCTTCCTATAATTTTTAAACCTTTTTATCCCATAACATACTATTTCTTTTATATTCTATATATTAGTTGCCACCATTGCATTACTACCATCACTATATTAGTTATCAGTTCTCATCAGTTCTCACCTTCAAAGGCCACCCAACAGGTCTCCCTGGCTTTAGTCACATTCGCTCACATTTATCTTGTACTCTGACCTCTCAGTGATGTTTGTAACTTACGGATTTAAATATATAATTCTTCTCTTGAAAATTATTTAACAGAGAATAAAATCCCAATGTAGAATGGCCTACAAGAACTTTCATGCAATGACATCTTCCCAGCTGCCAAGCCTAGTCTCAAATCAGTACTGTATTCTCCCACACTACATTATTCCTTAAATAATATAATACAGCCCCACTGAACTAGCTGCAGCTATTGTAATGAGGTATATGCATTCGAGCCTCTGTGTTTTTGTGTATTCTGTTTCTTCTACTTGGAAAGCCTCACTACTTAAATTTTCCCTCCAAGTCTTTGCTAAAATGCCCTCTTCCCAAGTAAAGCGTCCCCTGACCACCCTGAAACTTAGATGCTATTTCCTCCAATTTTCATACATTTTATGTATTTCCATTGTAACAGATTTCTTCTGTGCAATTGAGTTTGCAGTTCTATGTTGTCAGTTGGCACTTGGGATAAGCACTGTGTCTCCTCTGCTTAGCACAGCATCCAGCACATAGAAGGCATTCAGTAAATATTTATAGGATAAATGAATATCAGATGTTCTCACTTAAACTGTACCAACCTGGAAACAATGATCATGATATCCCTCTCTGTGCCCAAATCAGTAATGAGTGCTTGGTAGAAGCATCGTAAGTACTTTCTGATAAAATTAATTAATTCAGGTGACATAAATCATAAGACACTCTAATTTTATTTATTTTATTTATGATTGCTTCTCACATACAAGAAATACACAAAAAATATGAGACCGCAGCCAAGGCAAAAAGTGTAAGTGACAATATTACAAAATGTTCTATTCTCAAGAAAGGCAATTTCACTATTATCCATTCTTAAGAATCAAATAGTATAATTCTGTCTGTAAATTACTTGCTGTTATTTTAGACTGTTAAATAATCATTACATTTTTCTTTATTATTCTGCAGTGGGATAAAATCATCCCAAGAACCATTTGGCTCTTTAAAAGAAAATGCATTCTGACCAACAAATAGACACCCCTACCATCCCCACCACCATCAACTCCATTACCATCTTCACCACCATCACCATCATTACCGACAACAATTCCTACCATCATCCCTGCCATCATCATCATTACCTACAACCATCCCTAACACCATCACCATCATCACCTACCACCATCCCTAACACCGTCACCGTCATCACCTACCACCATCCCTAACACCATCACCGTCATCACCTACCACCATCCCTAACACCGTCACCGTCATCACCTACCACCATCCCTAACACCGTCACCGTCATCACCTACCACCATCCCTAACACCGTCACCGTCATCACCTACCACCATCCCTAACACCGTCACCGTCATCACCTGCCACCATCCCTAACACCGTCACCGTCATCACCTGCCACCATCCCTAACACCGTCACCGTCATCACCTGCCACCATCCCTAACACCGTCACCGTCATCACCTGCCACCATCCCTAACACCGTCACCATCACCTGCCACCATCCCTAACACCGTCACCATCATCACCTGCCACCATCCCTAACACCGTCACCATCATCACCTGCCACCATCCCTAACACCGTCACCATCATCACCTGCCACCATCCCTAACACCGTCGCCACCATCCCTAACACCGTCACCATCATCACCTGCCACCATCCCTAACACCGTCACCATCATCACCTGCCACCATCCCTAACACCGTCACCATCATCACCTGCCACCATCCCTAACACCGTCACCATCGTCACCTGCCACCATCCCTAACACCGTCACCATCGTCACCTGCCACCATCCCTAACACCGTCACCATCGTCACCTGCCACCATCCCTAACACCGTCACCATCGTCACCTGCCACCATCCCTAACACCGTCACCATCGTCACCTGCCACCATCCCTAACACCGTCACCATCGTCACCTGCCACCATCCCTAACACCGTCACCATCGTCACCTGCCACCATCCCTAACACCGTCACCATCGTCACCTGCCACCATCCCTAACACCGTCACCATCGTCACCTGCCACCATCCCTAACACCGTCACCATCGTCACCTGCCACCATCCCTAACACCGTCACCATCATTACCTGCCAGCATCCCTAACACCATCACCATCATTACTTACCACTGCCATGACCACCACTACCACCTTCATCAACAATGCAGACATTGGTCACAAGCATATTCCAAAATCCAACCTAATTCATTCAAACCTGAGTTCTCATTTGACAGAACTATCAACCATATTTTTTTTTTCTTTCATAAGAAATTAAATCTGAGAAAACGCTAGAGGGAATGGAATCACTGGCCTGGAAAGTAGAGTTCTTGGCAAGCAGCAGACTATATTGTGTCACTGACAGAAGGAGAGAATAAATAATGGAAGTATGACAGGCTATTGATTCTGGAAACAAGATATATAAAGTAATATATGCTGCTATCCTCTAGGTTGGACAAAACAAGACAGAGATTCAAGGAAGGACAGATGAAACAGCCTTAAAATGAACAGAGATACCAGAAATTTCCCTCAAGGTAGAAGGGTCAAAGAGACTTTTAAGAAATAAATAAGGATTTTACTCTCATATAAAGAAAATAAATCCTTTAGTTTTTGTCTGTTGGTAGATTTATGTTATTCTGAAAGATGGCCTTTACTGAACTTTAGGAGAAAATCCACGAAAAAAAAAAAGGCATACTGACATTGCCCAAAACAGCTGCTTTTCTATTCCTCCAAGGCTCAGTATACGTAATGTCCAAATATCAGATCAATCAGTAACAAGACAGTCAGACAGTGAAACCATTTTGCCCTTTATGGAATCAAGTAAACAAAGCAGTAGTTTTCAAATAGTTATTTCAGTTCAACCACAGAGAGCTCAGAGAATTTACTGCTGCCTACTCCCTTTAGAGATTAGCACCAAAAATACAGATGAGAGTAGTGAAGGTGAAAGAATAAGTATCAAAAGATTCTGTAACCTGGAAGGAACACAAGATGCTTTTAAATTTGTCTTTTAGTTCTCATGCAGATTTTTACCAAACTCTTGAAAGAAAGATCAGAATCACCATGTGCTTTTATTATTTTTTAAGTAAATCTATCATCTTTTCCTTAATATATTTTTCTCCCTGCCTGTTTTTATAACTATATTTTTCTGTTACATTTTCACTAAACTCCTCCAGCAAGTCTTTTTTTTTTTTTTTTTTTGTGAAACAGAGTCTTACTCTGTCACCCAGGCTGGAGTGCAGTGGCGTGATCTCAGCTCACTGAAACCTCCGCCTCCTGGGTTCAAGCCATTCTCCCACCTCAGTCTCCCAAGTAGCTTCGATTACAGGCACCCGCCACCACACCTGGCTAATTTTTTGTATTTTTATTAGAGACAGGGTTTCACCGTGTTGGTCAGGCTGGTCTCAAACTCCTGACCTCAGGTGATCCCCCTGCCTCAGCCTCCCAAAGTGCTGGGATTGCAGGCCAGCAAGTCTTTAAACTTACTGAACTAGTGTGGTCTAAATTGTAGGATGGAGTTAAAAGACTGCAGAAATGGGGTACAGTGAAGCTGAGTTCTAGTCCAGGCTGACTGCTTTCTGTGTTACTTGAGGACAACTATTTTAGCTTCTATATGCTTTCATTCCATCATCTAGAAAATGAACAAATTGATCTAGATGATCTCTGAGATCTGAATTCTGGTTCTAATTCTAATGTTTCCAAGTTTCTGTGCTGCCAGATTTCAGCAATTGGCTTGAGAATATTTCATTCAATGTTCAAACTATTTATTCAGTGTTTATTATTGCCAGATAATGGACTAAGAGGATGGAGAAGAGGAGTAATTAATTTATTTTGTTCAATTGTGTCAAGTATTTTCTTCAGATGTTTTGAAATTTGGAAAAGTTAAAAAGGACATTGATTCACCCCATCTCATGGTTTCTCAATGGAACTGAAGGAAAAATGGTGATCTTAGATTTGGGACCCAAGCAAAATCTCTGAGTCACTAGTGAGCCAGGTGAGTGAGACAGAGTTTAACTGTGCAAAGTTACAAAAAGAGAGGTGAAAAGAGAAATGGCCTTTTTTCTCTAAGGTATTGACATGTAAGTTTTAGGAAGAGTAAATAATTTTGAAAAACTTTTTTTTCAGAAGTATTATATTTAACCTGCTAGCACAAAGTAATTGCTCATTAAATGTTGTTGCATGAATGAACTGAAGGTGATTCAAGCAAGCAATTATCTTTTATAGACCTACGTGCTCAGTATAAAGAAGTCCAAGACATGGTCCCTACATTCAGAAAAATTACAATGTGGTTGTAAAAGAATTAACACAGCCACCACCACTTCATGCACTCCTGTGAAAACTCAAGTAAAATATGGGATTACAACAGTTTCAAAGAATAATAGAAGAAATGTAATAAGCTAAAGATGGGTAGTATTTGAATAAATTGGACGGGTATATCTTGGAAGGAAGTCATGAAGGCAAAAAGACTATCATAAATAAAGTGTGAATAAACAGATTTTGTTGAAGAAGAAGGATTAGGTAAGGGAGATAAAAGATAAAGAGATAGAGACAAAAAGAGATAAAGAGATAAGGACCAAGATATAAAGCTAGAAATACAGGTGGAACTAGACCATCATACAGGCACATTTTCTTATGGACTGAATGTTTACATCCACCTCCCAAATTTTTATGTTGAAGCCCTAACACCTAAGAGATGATATCTGAGATGGGGCATTTGGAATGTAATTAGGGTTAGATGAGATCATGAGAGGGAAGCTTCATGATGGGATTAGTGCCCTTATAAGGAGAGACACTAAAGAACTCTTCCATGCAAGTATACAGTGAGAAGCCAGCCTTCTACAAGCCAGGACGAGCCCTCACCAGGAACTGAATTGGCCTAAACCATGATCTTGGACTTCCCAGCTACCGGACTGTGAGAAAGTAAATATATGTTATTGAAACCACCCAGTCTATAGTATTTTGTTATGGCAGTCCCAGCTGACTAATCTGCACTTCATCCCATAGCCAGTGGGAAATATTGGTTTTGAAACAATAATGTTAAAATGATAAGCAATAATGAAAGCAGCATTTTTGGCAGACTAATATGCCGAGAAGGTATATGTTAACCTATGAAAAATGAGGAGGCCTAAAACAGAAGGACGTTGGAAAGGTGGCAGAACCCAGTTAGAAGGCCCTTAGAATAAGGGAGTGTGATAATGAAACACTTGTTGGAACCAAGCATTGATCAGAAGACAAGAATGTGTGCAAGGCCCAGCCAAAACAACACAGAACTTGGAAGGAGATTTGGAGGTGAAGTTTGGGAATTATGTGGAAAATCCTGGGATGCTTTCAGGATCTAGAGGTAAGCAAGATACAGGTGAAATTTGAATAAGCAGTCAAGAATTTGGAGACATAAAAATCAGAGATCAAGGCAAAGTAGTGGGTCAAATCAGGAAGATAACCGGGAATCAGGTGAATCCAAATTTTAAAAAGAGCAAACTTTAATCTAATGCCAGATAGAATATATGGAACCCAAAGAAACAGAAAACTTGGGGTTGGAAATTTATTGGTACCATTATCATTCTAACTTTGTGTAAGTCTAATTATTAACAAGTTATTTTTTTTCCAATATGAATTTCACCATGTTGTCTTTTTAAAAACATTAATCCTAGGTGTGTGTCCTGCAGCTATTTAAGATATGTTTAACTTCTACATAATGCCCCTCAAGTAATTGAAGATGACTATCCTTGCTTCTTTCCAAGCAAAATTTCTCTACTTCCTTAAAGGATTCTTCATGTGATTTAGTTTCTATATTATTATGCATAGAACTGAATACAGTATTCACACAGGCTCTGATGAGTGAAACTATTACTGCTCTTTCCCTGAGCATACTCTTTCTTTTAATGCTCATATGATCACATCACAGATTAGGTGTTAACTGATTTATGTTCATGGATATTGGGACAAGATAGTGCAGTGTTTGTGTTTTTGTGCCTGGCTTATTTCACTCCGCATAATGTCCTCCAGTTTCATCCATATTGCAGCACATGACAAAATGTATTTGTTTTTTAAGGCTAGATAGTGATTTATTGTCTGTATATATATATATATATATATATTTATGATAATACAATATATATAATAAAATATATACATATGGTATATACAATATATATCACATTTTATTTATCCATTCATCTGCCAATAGACCTTTGGGTTGTTACCATGTCTTGGCTGTTGTGAATAATACTAAAATGAACATTGGAGTGCAGATATCTCTTCAACATACTGATATTAGTTCCTTTGGATATACACCCAGAAGTGGGGTTGCTGGATCATATGGTAATTGCATTTTTAGTTTTTTGAGGAACCTCCGTACTGTTTTCTTGAGTGACTGTACTTATTTACACTCCCACCAACAGCATACAAGGGTTCCCTTTGTTCTACACCCTCAGCAGTAGTTGTTATCTTTTTTATTTTATAACAGGCATTCTAGCAAGTATCAGATGATATCTTATTGGGGTTTTAATTTGCATTTCCCTGCTGATTAAGAATGTCGAGCATTTTTTCATATACTTATCAGTCATTTGAGAGGCTGTGGCAGTGGGATGGGGAACAGAGAGATGGTCAAGGGTACAAATTTCCAGTTAGGAGGAATAGTTTTGTAGATCTGTTGCAGAAAAAATAAGTATGTGAGGTGGTGAATACGCTAAGCATTTCACCATATATACGTATATCAGAACAACACATTGTATATGACATAAATACATACAATCATTGTTTTTCAATTAAAATTTAAGTGTTAAAAGATAAAGCAGTGAACACAATGTCCACTTTCTTATTCTCAAATTCCCATCATTTGACCTAATTGTGTGGTTTTGTGTATGAAGTGTGAATGAGTAAAAAAAAAAATCAACACCAGAACTAGAAACCTAACAGTACTTCCAGAATTTTACAGAAATTCTAAAAAGACAGAAATATATGGAATCATATTAGAAGATAAAGAATGTCACAGATTACTCAGACCCTAATTGTAGTTTCAGTGGAGCTGACAACTCATACCATGGACACAGGAATGAAAAGGTGCAAAGTCACAGAAAGGTAGAGGGCTAGAGCAAAAAGTCTAATAGTAATTACAGAAAGAGAGAACAGAAATAATATAAGGAAGGAAATAATAAAAGAAAAAAATGAAAACATTTCTAGATCCAAATAAAATTACAGTCCTCAAGTTGGAAGGGCCTAATGTGTGTTAAGAAGAGTGTATTTGCAATCAACTTAACAAAATACTCAACTTTTCTTTATGAGAATTATTAAGTCAGATCTACTTTCCTCTACTTGGTTAGTCAATATTTTGGACTTCTTTAAGGTTAAATTTTGTTTTAATTTGTTTATTTTTCCATAATGTTAAGATCTTTTTGAATTTTGACTCAAATACAGTAACATTCATTTTCTCTCCCCTATGTAGATTATTCACACATTTGAAAATCACGCCCACTTTATCATCAATGTATTGATAAAATGCTAATTGATAAGCCCTTGCAGCACTCTAATTGGATAGGGCAGCTTTTGAAGTTCCTCTGAGAAGTAACTAATTAATCTTCTCTGGATAAAATTGCTCAATCAGGTTTGAGCTGCCCTTTATCCTCCCTGCCTTCCACAGTGCTATCCATGCAGGAATCCTGAAACACATTATCAGATGGCTAGTTGCAATCAAAATGTACAAGATCCATGACATTCTTCTATTATATTAGTTTGGAGAGCTTGATGAGGTTTGCATTGAATTTTTTTCTTGTGAATCATTATTGTTCCTAGATCATCACATCCTATTTTTCAATATGTCCCTAAACGATCAGTGTAAACAGTTTGCTTGGAATTATACCAAGCTCACCAGTATTTAAGTTTTAAAGCATTCTTTTCCTGCCTTGTAAATATAGTGTCAACATTTTCACCTTTCCTGTATTATGACACCATTTTTATCCTAAAGAATTTCTCAAGAATTTTTGACACTGATTCCATAGACACATCAATACATTATTTTAATATCTAGATTTAATTTCAACTAAAAAGAAAGTTAAAATAATGGTCCCCATGTCCTGGGATATATATAGTACTATGTAAAAAAAAAAAGGCAAGTTATACTTATAGACTCACTGTGTATTACGGTTTGTATTAAAAACACAGATATTTTTAAGTAAATTTCAGAATTTGTATAGAATATTGTACAAAATGATTTACAATGGTTGCCTTTCTGAAGAGAAACGGAGAGGACAAGAGGCTAGGAGACAAGGGCAGGCAAAATACTGTGTGACTTTATGTACCTTTTCTATTTAGTATCATGTTCACCTACTCCTTATTCAAAGGAATCTTAAAAATTGAAAAAGAAAACCTTAGTGACCCTCAGGATTTGGATTTTATGAATCAATAAAACTTAAAAATAGGAACTAACATAACATCATTGACTTTTAAGTTCACCATATAAAGATATTACAATTAATTTACATCTGCCATCACGACAATTTTATTAAAAATGAAGCAAATAAGACAAAGAATATGTGAAACCTATACAAACAAATGAATAAAACAATATCAGAATAAAACGCATTCTTTTAAATTGAAAATGGTTTTGTAAAGTAAACTCACTAATTAAAAAAAAAAATTTGCAGAAGACAAACATTTAGGAGCCAGTGATTGAAATCACCAAGACTCTTCTATGCTAACTTCCCCTTTTTGGGCATCAATTATTACTCTGCCTTTTCTAGTTTACAGTATTCTTCATAGAAAAATGTAGAAGAAAAACAATATTATCAGAGTTCTGTCTCCCTCTGGTACTTGGTTAATATTATAGCATATTCTAAAGGGAAGAGCTCTAGGTTTTCCTTGTGCTCTTTCTTCAAATAAAGGCTTAAGGTTATTTCTGCCACACTCTTGGCTTTCTTTTTTTTTGTCAACACATCATGGCTCATTTAGGTGTATTCCCTTCCAAATACTATTCTAATTATTCCAACATTCCATTCTTTTGTATTATTTTTGTCTGTGTTCTTCCCATCTTGATTTTTATGTGTATCTCTTTAATACATGAATGCATCATAATAATGGCTTTTGCAGCCAACCACTGGGAGGCTGATTTTAGAGGACTGCACTGTGATATCAACTCAGATGAAGCTGTTTTCAAATTAATTTTTGTGTCTGTAGGAGCTTCTTTTTCTTCTTCGTCAAGATTGTTTTTAATTACAGTGTCATTTATTTCTAGACCATTCCATTTATTTTGAGTTATTTTCTCTTTTAGAGTATCTGGACCTGAAATTTTATGTGTGCCTTTTCTGTTTCAAAATTCCTTTGGCAAAATGTAATAATTAATATGCAAAATAAAACAGGCTGCTCATTCTCTCTGACAATTTCTTTTGGCTTTAATTTCACCAATTAATTTGCTCTTGTCCATGAGAAATAAATCCATAATAGCAATTCCATTCATTACTTCCTCAACTACTGAAGTATGGAAGTCACAGTAAAGCAAGACATTTCTTTCAGATTTTAGATTGTCTCTATTTAGGAAAAAAAAATGGACTCCTAACCAATATGCAGATGTTTTAATCCCCTCACCATTAATATATGTTGTTTCTGCATCAGCTTGTATACCTGAATTAAGAGAGCATTTTGACAAGAAGGCTGTAAAAGTTACCATAAACACCATAATCTCTATTATTTTATCATAATTTTAAAGCTCACCACAATATACATGTCTGCATTAATTCATAGATATCTAGACTTTTATATAATTCTTGACATAGAAATTTCACTATTTATACCTGTTTTATTTAAATGAAGTATAATGTCCATGCCTTTATGTCAGTGATGAGTTCTCAACAAAATTTCCAATATTTGTAAGACTTTATAATACCTAGAAGGTCCTTTGTTCAAATTATACTAAAAAGGTTCAGAAAGGAAGGGAAGGAAGCTTAATAACTTTTAAGGCAACCAGAGAGTTGTTAGTTTTGGACACTTTAAATAAACTGCTAGCAATTATTTTATTAGATGTAGTTGTTGGACTGGTCACAAAGAATAGGTAAGAAAACTGAACAGATGTCACAGAGAGAAGAGAGAGTGGGTACTTTGCTTCCTCTGTTACAGACTTTCATGGACTGAATACTCTGATGAACAGACTACATAGGCAGACTACATAGGCAGGGAAATTCTGTCTTAAACTTTGCAGCTTCAGTTTTCCTGTGTGCAAAGGAAAAAGGAGGAAGGAATCCAATATTTCCTTTGGGAGACTAGACAAAGAAAGAAGAAAGAATTTGGCAATGCTGACTGGTCTCGTAATATTTTCTGATATTTTGCAGGCAGGCAATTGAGAAATGTTTTTCTCCCAGCCCTTATACTGCCAAGGCCAACTGAGGACCAAAGACAAAAGTTCCAGGCAGCACTCAAAAGGCTTCCAGAGGTCATAGAAGTTTAAAATTTCAGCTGTATTTTTTATTGACTACAAAATCTGCAGGAGGGTAAAAGTTATCTGCATGAGAACAAGCTGAAATAGTGATCCCCTAAATAGCAATAATATATGGATGTGTTGTATATAAAAGTTATTAATTTTCATTTAAAAACATATATATATATATTTAACCATTTCTTAGGGCAAATAACTAATAATAATTTTTTTTGAAAATTATATTCTAATGAAAATTTTCTACTGTCAGAATTTACTTTTCTTTCACTAGATACACCTGGGAAAGAATTATTTGGCTGAAACCTTTTTGGTGAATTTGTATGGACCGGCAGCAAATAGACAAACTTTCAAAACAGGAATGTTCTGCAAATAAATACAGTTGATTTCATCAGTGACTAAATACCACAAGAACCCAGCCGAACAGTGCAGTACGCAAATGAGAAGTATAAAGAGAGGACATCAGTGCCACCAAAAGACAAGGGTGTCTCTGTTATAACATCTGTAACCAACCTGGAAACCTTTGAGAAACCTTTGCTACAGCAGTATTCAGTGGATCTCAACACTGGAAGCACATTAGAATTGTCTAGAGAAATTTTTTTTTTTAATTAATGCAATTGCCCAGGTTTCACATAAGTGATTTTGATTTAAATGCTCCACAGTGGGACCTGGGCGTCATTTTTTTAAAAGTGATTCTAATGTGAACCCAGGACTGAGACCCCTGGTTGGCTAACCCATATCTCTAGAGGGGAGCAGATGAACTGAAATGTACTGGACTAAATTGTGGGGACGTGCGCCTTGAATAGAGAATAATTAATTTCCAACATTAATTTCAGCATATTCTTCCTTCAGTTTTCATCCTTGAAAACAAACCATCTGAAACCCTAGAGCCCTTAAGTCTTGTCAGTAAATTACGTTCTTCCTGAAATCCTATGAACATCTTTTCTGGCAAAGCATCCTTGACCCATTGCAGTGCAATCAGTGCTTTACTGCTTTGATTTTCTTGAATTGTAAGTTCCTCAAGAGCAGAGATCATGTCTTCTTTAACTCTGTTTCTCCACTGCTCAGCACCATGTCTCGTGCTTACGAGATAAACGCTTTTAAAACAAATGTATTAATTAACGGAAAACAGAAAAGGAATGGACAAGCATTCAGGCACCCTGGTCTTATCTTTTATTTCTTTTTCTTTTCTAGTGTCTGCTTCCTGCTGTCTTACCTTCTGTTTCCTTTTTGTTTTGTTTCTCTTGAACTCTGGGACAATGTTTTGTTTCAAAAGTAATTTTCTCTCTCTTTTTTTCTTCTCTCAGTTCTCCTCTCACTCTTCCATGTAACATCACACATCCAGTTCATTAAATTTGATTTGTATTCTTTTTTCGTAAAAACTAATGTAAGTACTTAACCCTAACTGTATCAAACCTTTATTGCAATTTCAATTATTAATTTTCCTACAAGTGGGTAAGTTCTTTGAAAGCAAGACTGTATCCACCATAATTCCTACTACAGTGTAGAACATATTTTAAGCTGTTAATAAATACTTGTTGACTTTCAGGGCCTTAATTATTTTTCTGTGAGTGAACTCTGAGTCACAATGAGGCGGTTTTTCAGTAGTACAGAGGGTACTTTGCATATTAGACCTTTTCTGGCTCTTTTAACAAGGACGCTGTTGCTTATTCCTAATACAATGTCGTTCTCTGGCAGGTGAAACTTATCTTGCAAGTTTGTACTGGGTTTTTGTTTTTTAAACTGATGCCAAGTAAATGAAACTTACTCCTTCAAAAAATTACATTTCCCCACTAACTTTCAATTAAGTGGACAGTTTCATATTTCAATATGGAAAGCTTAACAAATGCCCTCAGAGAACAGGGCATGACTACCTGTTCTTACTTAGAGTCTACTTAATTCTCCCCTGCCACCACTACCACTCACCCTCTACTATCCTTTCTGGCCTCAGAAGCCACCAGTTGTGGCCGGGCGCAGTGGCTTACACCTGTAATCCCAGCACATTGGGAGGCTGAGACAGGCTGATCACTTGAGGCCAGGAGTTCGAGACTAGCCTGGCCAACACGGCGAAACCCTGTCTCTACTAAAAATACAAAAAATTAGCCCAGCATGGTGGCGCATGCCTGTAAATCCCAGCTACTTGGGAGGCTGAGGCATGAGAATCACTTGAACCTCAGAGACAGAGGTTGCAGTGAGCCAAGATTGCACCACTGCACTCGTTTAGACAAAAGAGCAAGACTCTGTCTAAAAAAAAAAAACAGAATTACCAGTTACCTATTCAGTTGACAGTCATTACTGCAGAGTTATGAAAATGTGGTCATATACCCCACAGTATAGTCTGTCTGAGGCCCTCCAGTCGTTCCTTTTCCCTTTACAGATTCTAGAAAAGGTTGCTGAGAAGCTATTTTTATGTTTGTGCCCTCAAAACACTGAACTCCTTCTGGAACCTGCACTGATTGTCATGTGAACCAAGCAATCCAAGCCATCCTGTCTTCCCTAGGATCCACGCCCCTGTCCTCCCCACGTCTCCTTCTCCTCTACTTTCTTCTCCACATATCCATGACCAGCTCTTCTCCTCTGAGTTCTTGTTTTCTTCCTTCTCTTTCCTTTCCTTCTCCCTTTCTCTCACCTTCCTTTTTTGGACCCCTTTTCCTACCTCTTTTCTCTAATAAAGTTTATCTAGATACATCTTCCAGTTTAAAAAATGTTTGAGAATTTACCTACCAGTAAACCTATATAACTCATATATAAATAAATATCTACACCAACAATTGTCCTAATTTTTAGATTGAAATGTACCCCAAAGTCTACAGTTTAAAGAATGAAAAAAAATTAGAAATTTTGTATTTATTAATTGAACAGAAACTTTTTGCTTTCACTAAAAATAATTAAACATATTTTTAGTGGGAGAAAATTGGTTGAGTATGCCTCATTTAAAAAGTATCTCAGTATAACATTTTACAATATAGTACAGAGGCTCCTCAACTTATGATTATGTTACTTCCTGATAAACCTATTGTAAGTCAAAAATGCATTTAGTCAACATACCAAACATCATAGCTTAGCCTAGCCTACCTTAAACTTGCCCAGAACACTTACATTATTAGCTTCCAGTGGCAAAATCACCTAAAACAGAAATATTTGATAAGAAAGTGCTGAATACCTCATGTAGTTTACTGAATACTGTACTGATAGTAGAAAACAGAATGGTTTTATGGGTCCTTGAAGTATGGTTTCTACTGAATGCATATGGTTTTTTTAATTAATTTTTTTTTTTAATGAAGTCTAGCTCTGTCGTCCAGGCCGGAGTGCAGTGGCGCCATCTTGGCTCGCTGCAATCTCCACCTTCTGGGTTCATGCAGTTCTCCTGCCTCAGCCTCCAAGTAGCTGGTTACAGGCACCTGCCACCACGCCTGGCTAATTTTTTTGTATTTTTAGTAGAGACGGGGTTTCACCCTGTTGGCCAGGCTGGTTTCAAACTCCTGACCTCAAGTGGTCTGCCCACCTCAGTCTCCCAAAGTGCTAGGATTACAGGTGTGAGCTACTGTGCCCTGCCAAATGCATATGGCTTTCATATCCATCACAAAATAATAATAAAAATCACTAAGTTGAACCATTGCAAGTGAAAGAGTTTATGTCTGTACTTATGAGATTGGTTTATTGAGTCTCAACACAATGAGCTATAGAATAGAAAAAAAAGTGTGAATATTTTATTAACCATTGCCTTCAAGCATGTTTTGTCAAATCTCATGTTAGCAGTTACTCTACAACTTATAGTTAAGTTGTTCACTTTAGCAGTTACTCTACAACTTATAGTTAAGCAGTTACTCTACAACTTATAGTTAACTTAGTCTACTCCAGTTTACCTCTGGTTTCTGAGTTGGGAGGTATCGTGATCTATTTGACTCCTTCCTTGTCTGTTGACTGGAGAACCTGGGAATGAGTGAATAGGATGTTCTGGCTTAGCCACGTTTGTTTCTCTCCTTCCCCAGTGTCTAGCTCCTCTGGTGTTAGAAATGGGGAGAAGAAAGAGAGAAGCCAAACATCCCCTTGCAGTTTTTCACATCTATACTATGTGAAGGTAGTACTAGGTCCAAGCCCATTCCATTGGCTGCTAGCAGCCTCTGTTAATATGGAGGTCTTTGTATAGATGATGTGGATGGTTTTCTAGGGCAGCATGCAGCTTCATTCCAGAATTTCCTATCTCCTAAGACCCAGGTACAGAGAAATACATTTGCCTGCCATTGACCACTGGTAAAGAGTTAATTCTTTTAGCCCCCTCTTAGGTTGGGGCGCAGCTTGCTTGGTGCCCAGTTCTAGGACAGCCACACAGCTACTCCCTCCCTCGCTCTCCGTTCTCCCTCACCCAGAGCCCCAGGAACCACAGGGATAGTACTTGCACTGTATGAGGCTGTACTATTTAGAATCAGGGATAGAGTAGCCCCCTACCCTTCACTTTTCCTTCTTTTTGTTTTTGTTTTTGTTTTTTGGACGGAGTTTTGCTCTTGCTGCCCAGGCTGGAGTGCAATGGTGCGATCTCAGCTCACTGCAAACTCTGCCTCCCAGGTTCAAGCGATTCTCCTGCCTTAGCCTCCCGAGTAGCTGGGATTACAGGCATGCACCACCAGGCCCAGCTAATTTTGTATTTTTAGTAGAGATCGTGCTTCTCCATGTTGGTCAGGCTGGTCTCGAACTCCCGACCTCAGGTGATCTGCTGCCTCGGCCTCCCAAAGTATTGGGATTACAGGTGTGAGCCACCGTGGCCTCCCCCTTCACTTCCTTCTTAACATATGCTTTGGTCTTCTGTCACCCACTTCAGAAATCACCATAATGGAAAAATGTAGAGTTTGGTTTCTGTCTTCACATTCAAGCACATCCTCCACATTCTGTGGCTACTTTTAAACTCTACTGATAATTCTTTTACCAACCTCTACATTTACACTCTTATGGAGCCTAGCATGGGCCTAATGGATCTACAATACCGGAACCAGATGTTGGTATCCACATGTCTCAGGCACTCCTATCTCAATAAACGCATTTCTTGTTAGTCCTCCACTCAAATCACTTTGCTTATCTTGGTCAGAAGGGCATAACCTCCTTTAAAATTCATACTCTGAGTTACATTTTAATGTAAAAATTACTATAGCAGAAGATATACATTCATTTGTAAGTATATAGATTTATTGGTGGGTAAATTCTCAAACTATTTTTAATTGAAGGATGTATCTAGAGAGCACTATTAGAGGATAGAAGCTAAGGAGAGGAAGGAGATAAGAGAAAGGTGAAGATGACTTGGGTCACCATTGTTCACATGATATTGGTGCCTATCCCAGAAGAGGTTCAGAGTCTCCAGGGCAGAAACATAAAAATAGCCTCTCAGCCATCTTTTCAGACATCTCTAAAAGCTAAGGAAGAGACAAACTGGTGGGCCTCAGAGAGACCATACCGAGGGGCATATGCTCAAATTTTTCAAACTTGGAATAGTAATATTACTGTCAACTGAAGAGGTAATCACTTGTATTGTGGACAGAGCTGGTGATCCATTTACTTCCTACTGCCATTTAAAAACTAATTTGTGTAATTTGAAGTCTCATTTAATCTCCAGCACTTCCTTACCCATTCTTACTCTCAACAGATGATGCTGGCTAGACATGGTGGCTCACACCTGTAATCCCAGCACTGTGGGAGGCTGAGGCAGGTGGATGGCTTTAGCTCAGGAATTTGAGACTAGCCTGGGCAACATGGTGAAACTCCATCTCTATAGAAAATACAAAAATTACCTGGGCATGGTAGCACACTCCTGTATTCCCAGTTTCTCAGGGGTCTGAGGTGAGAGGATGGCTTTAGCCCCGGGAGGTAGAGGTGGCAGTGAGCTGTAATCGCCCCACTGCACTCCAGCCTGGGCAACAGAATAAAACGCTGTCTCAGAAAAAAAAAAAAAAAAAAAAAAAGATGACACTGCTTCTTCATTTTACAATAGATGTAAGAATTACAATAGATGTAAGAAGTACAATAGAAAATAGAAGTGAATAAAATAAAGTGCCCACAGGCTCCCATCATGGTATTCAAAGAGCTGCAAGTACCAGAGCCCAACCACTCTGCCCTCGCTGCTGCTATCATGGATGAAGTCATTGTGTCTAAGCTAAAGACAATGTCTCTTCTTGTTCACTGGATTCCTTCTTCTCTTACCAACTCTAAGATGTTGCCTTCTTATCTATTCCACCAGCTGTTCTCTTCCCTCTCAACTGGCTCATTTCCGTTAGCATAAAAATGTGCTGGTAATAATTTGCCAAATTCTCATTAGAAAATTAAAAATTTGAAAAATGGCACCAGTGTAATCAGTTTCAAACTATGTTTCCAAATGGAATAGATTACATAATATCAAGCAGCCACTATGAGTCATTGTTATTTTTCAAAATCAGATGATCAAATGGTAAATATTTAGTTTTTAAACTTCTAGCTTAATTTATAAAGTGTCAAATTTCAGTTTGATATTCTTAGTGAATTGATTTAAAAACTTTTGAATTGATAAAACGTTTTGACTAATTATAGATGTGGCTTCAATAAAAAGTTTTATGTTTTATTCTAGATATGAAGATTTTCTATGCAATAGTTACTGAGATGTCATAATATTTAAAATTTGTTTAGAGAACTCTACAGAACATTTAACATGTTCAGGAAAAATAGCAACTTGTAAACTGAGGGGTGAATACACAATAGATATGTTTATACAATATAGAGACACACAGTGCTGGTATGTACCTTGTGGCTTTTTCAGATACATGTCATCCCATAAATACTCTGTTTGTCAGAGATCCCAACTCGTCTCTCGAGTGTCACTGAGTAATAGTCAAAAAGAATAAGCTGGTATTTTTATAATCTTATGGATGTCATTGCACAGCAAATAAATAGACTGTCATTATCTTTTGTGGGTTTATGTGTTTGTCAGCTTGTTTAACATTTCCAGTTTATTTGCACAAGCTTCAAACCAATAAGTCAACAACTTGAAAATCAGAATGCACTGAATATTTTGCCAATAGTTAACAGTTCCTTAGTTGGTTCCTAGTTTCTTCATTAATGGAGCTATTCTAGAAAATACACACATACATGTGTGCATGTGCACACACACACACACACACACACATATACACTATGACACCTGTTATGTTGATAGGAGTGGGCTGCCCCCAAAAGATGTACTGAACAAAGCACAGAAATTGCCATCCAAATCCTTGGCCTCCTGCCGCAGGTTAGTTCCTGACTTACTGTGCTGCCTTTCCAGCACAAAGTGAAGTGGGGTTTTGCCACTTGGTCTGTAGAGTCAGTCATCCAAGAGGATTGTCAATCCAGGCCAAAACACACCTCCATTAGGCATCTCTGAGGGGCCTTGGAGTAGGGGGAGTCCCGCCAGCTTTCTTGAACAGTGAGTCCCAGGGCTAACCTCACATTATGTCACATGTAGCCTTCAAGCGTGTTTGCTAAGGAGTCAGCGGGAAGAGAGGTCCTCACCCTATTGCATTACACTTCCTCTGGTAAATGGGTGTAATAATAAGAGAGAGAGGAAAAAAAAAACCTTCATATGATCCCATTCCCCCTCCCTGTTCCCTGTCTGCATTGATTTGTTGCTTTAGTTGACACTAAAATATCTTCTTGGCAACTGACTATACAGCTACAGACAAAGGGATTTGAGTTGAGGCTAATATGTCAGCAGTCACCATTTATTTATTTAATAATGAAGGATAACATTTGAATGCTCTAACAATAAAAAAGTATACCAGTAATTTTCAAATCCTCTGGGTAGAGGAAGTGTGGAAATGTGGGTAGAGGCTTCCTGTCTTCTTTTGCAACTGATGCCCCATTTGTATCTGTTTTACATATTGATGTTCAGTAATGGAGGATTCAAAAACCAGGTCTATTTTCAATCCAGGCTTCCTGTTGCTATCTATACCCACTAATCTTAGGTCAGAGTGAAGCATTTTTTCTAGATGACTAAGAGTTGACATTTCCCCTTAAACAGTACATTTATATTAAGGCTCATCTAGAAAACAGTTCAAACAGAAAATAAATAGTACATTAAAAAGAATGTATAAAAACCAAGGAGGAATCAAAACAAAAAGACCGCTGACTAACAATTCTTTCTTGCTCTCTCATAAAGTCCATATTTTATATTCCATGCCATTCCAAAGTCCTGAAATAACTCCATCCTTCTGTGAGATCACCTTGTTTGTCTTGTTCAAAATTATTTTTAAATTTTATTCTCTATGTTGTAATATGATACAATTATAGTATCTCTCTTTTCCCCTATTAAAAATATACATCAGAGTGAACTGGAATCTAATATTTTTCCTTCTGAGTTACTTCTAACTCTGGGAGTAGTATAAGGATGAGGGAAGTTACTCAGTAAATATCAGTTGAAACATTACTACCATTTATTCAAGTAGAATAAAATATATTAAAAATAAACAAAAAACCCTCATTATATGTGCAGACAACAAGTAGTTAATGAGCATATGGTGATTTATAACACTTTGCATAAATAATGTATGCTTAAGATGCCAAGTTGAAATTCAGGCATCAAGAGAACAGACCTTTATTACTTTTTATCAACTTCATTTTATGATAATATTTTTCAAAAATTAGTACTAAAGGGCATAGAGAATGCTCCAGACTTAAATGTGTGAAGATAGTTATTCCAAAATTCTGCAAAACCAACTGCCTAGACCAATGACCATACGTCCTAGTATACTCCAACTGCTTGGAAGGGCAAAGGGTGCCTCCTTAAGCACAGAGAGACAAAGGCCAGGACATTCCTTTTGAAATGAATGGCCAAGCTGGACTATGTTCTGTCATGGCCATGGATACAGAGCTCATCCAACTCATGGCTGGAATTTGACGAATAATAGGTGACAGTGCATAAGGTTGAATGTATCCCATCTTATTCTACTATTAGAATTGGCACTTTACCATTGGGAAATAATTAGGAGCCAGGTAGAATGTGAAAACCCGAGGACAAGAGTATTCCAAGGAAGTAAACAAATGCTAAGTTGAAGCCCCAGAGTAATAGTACTAAAGGTGCCATTTTCACTCATAACATTATTATTCAGATCAGCAGCATGCTTCATAAGAATTGAGTTATTTAATGCACTAATATGAATGGATTATAAAATACTTTGGCTAGTAAAGGAAGCAGTCAGGATGCATTTCAAAATCATGAGAAAGAAGGAGGAGAGGTGAATATTTTACTCAAAAGGAGTTGCCCAATGTGAAAGAAAACACGAACTTTTAAAACTCTTTTACGGCTCATTTATCCTACCATCTACAACACAACTATGCGAGAATGTCCTTAAGAAACCAAGAAAGGAAAGTGCAGCACTTAGGGTATAGTACTAGTAGGGGTATTAATACCATTAGGCCCAAAGTGGGAAGAGGAGGGGATTCCTGGAACCAGGAATATAGGTCTGTGTTGAGGAATGTCTGCCAAGAGCTGTGGTCTTTAGCAGAGGGAGGCAACAATCTATAGTGATCTCCCAGAAGGGGTAGTGAGGTTATGAATATCTTAATCCA
Source organism: Homo sapiens (assembly GCF_000001405.40). NCBI lineage: Eukaryota > Metazoa > Chordata > Mammalia > Primates > Hominidae > Homo > Homo sapiens. Next base: position 136,954,835 of record NC_000007.14, on the reverse strand, counting down.
ACTGTCCTCTTGTCTCTTGATCATCTTCTGATGCTTCCCATTGGTTGAACCCAACTGGCAGCTACGAGGATGGAAGAATCCATGGATGTAGTCAAGATCATTCAGCTTCCTGGGCTCCAATCACAGTTAAAGAGTGGAGAATAAAATACATCCAGTGCCCCTACCTTTTCAAAAGTCTTTCATATTTTTTCTGTATTTTGATCTTTCTACATTGTTTATAGTTCCATGAACTCACTGTTCATGAGGGAGAAATAAACAGAAAGGGAGTTCAGGTAGAGAATCCATTGAATATGAAGAGGAGACATGCAAGGTTTGTCAACAGAAATAAAATAAACTATGTTATTAAGTTTAGAAGATAATCTACAATTTAGTAAGATCTTAGAGAAAGACAGGTAATATGGAGGAAGAAATCGACAGAATCATGAAATAACTTACTTTCTTTTGATCCTAAAAATGAGATGAGGATAACATGTGGAGAGAATGGTGAAAGTTTGAGATTTCACACAAAGCTAAACACATGTGTGTACCTACTTTATTTGCTCAGACAACAGACCACCAACTTTTTAAAATAATGGCATTGTGGAGGGGAAAAATACACACATATATAAATGTATAGGTATAGGTATATGCATATGTATATAATGCATATGTATGTGTATAAAGAATGAGGAGAGAAGAATCTAGATGGCCTTGGATCATTTCCTCTTCCCTTTTGGTAGCTTATCAAGGTGTCAGCTCACTCTTACCTCAAAGGAAGAACACAAAGTTCTGGACTGATATAAGCATCTGAGCCCTGGAGGCTCTTCTCATAATAAACAGGCCATTCCTCTACCTAGATTCATAGTCCACCAGTCCAGCTCTGGCCCAAGATCTCCTCTCACCATGGTAAGAGGATGGATAGGAAAATGTCCTAATGCATGTGCCAGTCAGAGGCAGTGCTGTGCTGCTTGGATTAGTCTTCTTGCCTCCATGGTTAGTGTTGCTGGACCTTCTCTGAGGACAAGTGGGGTACAACTAGGAGCCAACAGATACTGCCTTTCTGATGCTGCATTGCCTTCTCCTGTTGTGCTTTGTCCGTCTGAAATATATTTGTTTTTTTTTTTCATTAAATTTTAAGGCATAGGATGCCTGCTCTGCATAAGAAATTTTTGGTTTGCATGTCTGTTTCAGCCACTGTCTATGAGCTCTCGGAGGAAAAAGTCACATCCATCTTTTTCATCTTCACTGCCTGTCAGTAGAATGCACGTAACAGGCATTCAGTGAATGTTTGTTGAATGAGTAATTTGGCATGTGGCATAACTTAATGTCCCATGGCTGTGAAATTTTACTAACTATGGGTTTCTAAGGATAGACAAAATAAATTAAAGTACTCATATGACTTAAGATATTTGTGATTTTGGAAAATCATAGAAAACATAGACCAGAAAAATCTATCTATACACTTAATAGCGTTTTGGTAATTTATAGAGGATCAGGACTCTACTGAGGTCTCTGAAGGGTCCATTTGTCACTACCAGAAATTTACAGTTATTAATATTCACAAGTAACATAGGGGTAGTGGGGCACTTAGATGCTCAGTCTCTAAACAGTCAGACTGTATATTAATTTTACTGATGTGAAACAATACAAAGTGGAACAAAAAACAGAGCCAGTCTACAAGTCTATCAAAAGATGTCTGACAGTGTGGCGATTCCTCAAAGACCTAAAGACAGAAATACGATTCAACCCAAGAATACCATTACTGGGTATATACCCAAAGGAATACAAATAGTTCTATCATAAAGACACATGCACATTTATGCTCATTACAGCATTATTCACCATAGTAAAGACATGGAATCAACCTAAATGCCCATAATGATAGACTGAATAAAGAAAATGCAGTATATATAAACCATGGAATACTATGCAGCCATAAAAAAGAACGAGATCATGTCCTTTGCATGGACATGAATCCAACATGAAACTAGAGGCCATTATCCTTAGCAAACTAACACAGAAACAGAAAACCAAATACCTTATGTTCTTACTCATAAGTGGGAGCTAAGTGATAGGAACACATGAACACATAGAGGGAGCAACATATACGGGGGCCTATTGGAGGGTTCTGGGTCAGAGGAAGAAGAGGATCAGGAAAAACAACTAATGGGTATTAGGCTTAATACCTGGGTGATGAAATAATCTACAGTGAACCCCCGTGACACAAGTTTATCTATGCAAAAAACCTGCACATGTACCCCTGAACTTAAAAAAAAAAGTTTTAAAAAAGATGTCTGAGAGGCAGTTTCCTAAAGTAGAAACTCAGTCATCATGGGTAGAGAACAGCAGTGTAGAAGTCAGACGACCAGAACTTCATGACTGAAGTACATAAACAATTTGAACAATGCCACTGGTTCTCAATTTCTCATTTGTGAATTGACAGAGCTGGATAATAAGATCTTCGATACGCTTTAAATAAGTCTATAAATCAATAAAGCAATTAGAAGAATAATAGAAGAAGAAAGGAGAAAAATGAGGAAATAAGAGGGAAATTAAAATACTGCTTTTAACAGAATGTTTTGCACTCTGTAGTGAGAGAACATGGCATAGTTATAAATATATTTTATGTCATCATATTAGAAACGCATAATTATTTGTCCTGTTCCAAATGTTGGAAAGGTATTGTGGATATCTTCAAAGCTCTTTTCTCTCTCCACGTATGCACAAGCCCTCGAATCTACTTCTGCCCTTGTCGAAGTGGGACCAATAAGTTGTGTTCTGCTCCCACCCTAAAGATCTGGAATTTCAGTTTAGCATTTGAGGGTCTAGGGCGACAAATCCTGTACATATAACAGGGAAGTAATCTAAACCTGCTTGTGGATAAGAGATGCCCCAAAGATACTATTTTCTCCTCAATCTGAAAACAACTGAAGAAAGAAGAGAGAGAAAAGAGCAGGAAGAAAATATGGGTGCCAGGACCTGGAAAACCTATAGCAGGAGGAAAGGCAAAGAATGCATGTAGATTAAAGGTTGCCATTTCAGTAGAAAAACAGGTCTCTTCTCACTAGTCAATTCACCATACCATACAAGGAAAGTGATCCAGTGCTTACAGTGACGAATGTGGAGGGTGGGAAGGAGCCAATGAAAGAATGAATAAATTCACTGAAATATTGTATTTGTGTAAGTTTCTTCTATCCCAGATCCCAAGTTATTCTTTCCGGATATCATTAGGAAAGGACAGCGAATCATCCCTTTTCATCCTCTTCCCATATGCCAACCCCTCACTCCCTCTTTTCTTATTTGCAATCAGAGAGGGAAGAATGCAGATCTGCCAAGTGCGTTATAAATACTGTGAAACAAAAGGGACGTAAGCTGCAGTTATAGAACCTACAGCTGGTCAGCAAAGCCAGGCTCTCTAGCAAGTCATATTTTATTATTTTCTTCGCCAAGTGTCATTTCTCTAGTGCCTATTATATATCTTACACAAGGTTTCACATCAAATCTACATTCACCCCCACCTTTCTCCAGACTGGGAGGTGCTGTGCTGGTGGTTGCTTTACAACAAATTCTATGTATCTTCAAAATTGACAGGGTTTCTTTGTCATCCATGTGCCTGGCACCTTTTGCCTCATTTCTATTAAAAGAATGAAGCTGAAGTAACAAGAACCATTCGAGCTGGATATTCCACATGGTCTTATGCAAGTAGCTTCACCCAGGGGGCCTCCTCTGTTTGAGAATGAGTCTCAGGGAATGGAGGCCATGTCGGGCTGGCTCACCTATGTATTCCCAGTGCTTTTGGAGACTGAGGCAGGAGGATCACTTGAGGCCAGGAGTATAAGATCAGCCTGGACAACCTAGGCAATATGCAAAAAAATAAAAAAAATTAGCCGGACATGGTGGCATGTGCCTGTAGTTCTAGATACTCCAGAGGCTGAGGCAGGAGGATCACTTGAGCCCAGGCTGCAGTGAGCCATGTTTTTGCCACAGTATTGTAACCTGAGATACAGAGCAAGATTCTCTCTCTCGAAACAACAACAACAACAACAACAACAACAACAACAACAACAACAACAGGTTGGGGGTTCATGCTATTCTGTAAAAGCACTGGACTTGTTCAGTCCTGGTTCAGAATCTTCTACCAATTTGCTACGCTACTTTTTGCAACTTCTTCATCTGTTTTTATTTTCTTTTTCTTTTTTTGTTGTTTTTAGCTTGAGGACTGAAATCCAACTTTATTTATTCATTTACATCGTTCACTGGAATTTTTATTGCAATTTCAATTCCTACAGTGGATGGTTTTGAGATTGGGGACTTTCCACAGAATGCTAAATTCCTTCACAGATGTGGGAAAGCCTCAGGCACCATCCATTTCCTGGCAAATAACCCCCACTCCTCTGAACTGAAGACAGGTATCATGGGAGGTTCCATGGAAGCCTGTCATTGCCTCAACTACCCTGATCCCCACTCCCACCCCCATCCCGCAGGGACAGGAGCATCCTGGAGGGGGATCCATCCCCATTATGATTTGTATCTCTATTGTCCTACAGGGACCTTTTGCCTCCCAGAACCCACACTTGTCCTGATGAGGAACGAGGGCACTTCGTCTTCTTGATGCAAACTCTACATTTAATGAGATGATCTTAATAAAAAGAACAATCACCCCAATAGAAAAATGAGCAAAAATCCCCACAAACAGGAGAGAAAATATTTATGACCAATAAAAAAGAGATGTTTAGTTTAATTAGTAATCAGATTATTAGTCAGAAAAATGCAAGTGAAGACCACCATGAGGTATCATTTTACTCCCACTAGAGAGGCAATAACAACAAAATATTATAATACCAGATGATGGAAAGAATGTGAATAAATGTGATCCTGTCTACATTGCTGGAGAAATTTTCCCCTGTGGAAAACAGTTTGGTCTTATCTCATGAAGGTGAATAGTTATAATTTTGTACCTACTAATTCCTTAGAGCGCAGGCTTATGCTATAGAAAAACCATTATGTTTGAATCTAATAAATAAGTAAGGTGGAGCTTGCAGTGAGCCGAGATCGCGCCACTGCACTCCAGCCTGGGCAACACAGCAAGACTCTGTCTCCAAAAAAAAAAAAAATCAAATACTGTTTTAAAAAGTTGATGTTATTGCTACTTTTTCAAGATAAAGAAATATAAATTATTTGACTCATATAGAGCAAGTATACCTCCAGAGCCAGATGGGAATTCTTTTCAATACAGGATCTTGTTCTATCACCCAGGCTGGAATGCAGTGGCACAATCATAACTTATTTCATCCTTGAACTCCTAGGCTCCAGCAATCCTCCCACCTCAGCCTCCAAAGTAGCTAGGACTGCAAGTGCACACCACCATGCCTGGCTGATTTTTTTTTTTTTTTTTTTAGTTTTGCAGAGACAGGGTCTTGTTATGTTGCCCAATCTGGTCTTGAACTCCTGGCCTCAAGTGATCCTCCCACCTCAGCTTCCCAAAGTACTGGGATTACAGGTGTGAATCATAGTGCCCAGCTGGAGTTTTATATTAAGCACTTGCTGACATTAATAATTATGGAAGAAATATTTCGCCTCTCTGAGTTTCTGTGTCTTCATCTTTTAAAAAATGAAGCTACTTATCTCTAAATTTTGGAGTTTGTAATGAAGATTAAATAATTTATCTGTAGTGTATTAAATATTAGTTTCTGATTCCTTTTCCTTCTATATTACAGGCCTCTTTGCAATGAGCCACTAAGAAAACAAAGGCCATCTATCCAAGGACACCGCCTAGTGTCTTTGTGTGACTAGCACAGATACATATTTGGTTTGCTGTTCTAGATAGGTAATAACATCTTGCTGTTTGTTCTTGATGTCCTTCTATCACGCCCCCTTCATTCCACCTTGATTGCCTTCCATAGCTGCACTACCTTCCCTTCTTGTTCTGAAATGTCTGTGGATCCACTCTGAACTGACTTGATGCTATTTCCCATTCCCAAGGATGCTTCCCTCTCAGATGATCAACAGGAGACTGCTTACTGCCTCACTCTCTGTTCACCAGAGGAGCTGTGGTGGAAGAGAAGACTCATTTCTTTTTTATCAACAGGAGACTGCTTACTGCCTCACTCTCTGTTCACCAGAGGAGCTGTGGTGGAAGAAAGGACTCATTTCTTTTTTATTGTTCAAGCTATTTCCTAACCAAATAGAAACAAACCTGACATTCATGCCTATTTAATCCTACCTCCTCTGCCACATAGCCAAATCCGTGGTCACCCAGTCACTTTCACAACATTTTGGCTCTGGACTCATGATACTCTTCCACACTTCTGATTCCGCTAAGTGCTTGGTTGACTTAAATGTCCTCACAGTTAACCCATGAAATGTCCTAAACTAAGATTTTTGTGACCTCTTCAACTTTGCCCTCACTTCCGCTCATTTCCAGTGATCCACTCCCATTGGCACAAGTTTGGCCTACTTACTATAAATCAGAATTATTCTATCCTTGAAATCTTAAACTTTAATATTCTACTTTATGACTTCAATTTAGTTTTCCAGCTCACCACCTTTCTTTCTTCCAACATCTCAACCACCGTAGAAAGACCCCATAATAGGCCCTCTATCTTCCAGTTAATAATGTTTCTCTTAACTGCATTTTCTCATTTTCATTTCTATCTAGATGATAGTTACTCCATAGTCCATTACTTTATGCATTGGTGGATGTGGGCCACTGGCTCTTTGCTGTTGTATAGAATCTGTCCTGTGAACAGAAGCATTGTAGATACTCCAGCAGCACAGTTAACTGTTGCCTACTGCTGCATACAATCCCCCAGCCATGAGGACTGGAACCACAATGAAGAGAAGATCCCAGCCCCACCAGAAGTCATCTCTCCCTCCAAATTCCCTCAATAGCCATTTCAAACCTTCACTGCCATTCTCAAATTTCCCCAATTCTTGCAGTTGTCTCTTGTCACCTATATTATTAGGAATTGAGGCTATTAAGACAGAAAGGCCTAGTTACCCATCCTTGCCAACTATTGACTTATCTCCAGTTGTACCCAAGATTTTCTCCTGACTCTGTGGAAGCCAGCCTCTCTTACCTGCACTGAATATCACTACCAGGTCCCATCAACACTAGCCTTCTCAAGGTCTTTAATCTCTATTTTTTGATCTGTAAATTATAAACATTAATAATAATAAAATTAGGAGTAATCATTTTCTCTAAAGAAGCAGGTTTCTTAGCAGAAATCCAAGACAGGAAGAATTCCTAGCAGGTTATTAGGTCTACAACATAAAGAGGCCTCCTGGGCAGATGGCCAAACCAGCAATGTTGAAAGAGCTCTAATAAGCTTTCCAAGGAAAGATTGTGCTGATAGTTAGATTGATAAAAATCCATAATAATTACTTTACTACATGTCTACATTAACCTTTGTCATCAAAGTAGAAAAACCTAAATACCTCAATTATCAATTACTGTATTGTTTTCCTTCAATTTAACATTTTATTTGTAACATTATTTCTAATATTCCCCATCCCTAGATATTAAGAAAATGAGAAAACTTAAGGAAAAAAAGCATACATATTTTTTTCTAGATCAAATATCTGTCTTTTAATGTTTTTCCTTTCTCTGCTACTTTCCCATGTAAAATAAAATGAAAAAAAGAAAAACAAACAAAAAAACCACGACAGCTTTCACAGTGTTCCAAACTATTTGCTGGCCTTGGACATAGGACCTTCCAAATCTTTCCTTAATCTGCTGAGATGGTGAAGCTTTGGTTGATGTTATCACTGAAGATGAGAAGTGAAAACTATTTGGCTAACATAAAATGGAGGATTTTATCTGGACGAATATTTCAATAGAATGAATCCACTAACTAAACCTTTTGCTCCCCTGGGCATACCATCTACCTGGGAAAGTAACAGCAATAATTCTTCTGATTGCCATTCCCCAGGTCTGTAACTGAAGACCTAGATGCTGACAGTGACCCAGAAGGGCCCCACAGAGTCAGAAAGTGGCCTTTGAGATCCTTTTCTTCCTTCTTGGAGAAAAATTCTTCCATCATAAGTATTTCCATACCTCCCTGCCTTTAATTTGGAGACAGATGGTTATGTGAATATTTTTAAATTATGATGCCTCTGTAGATTCAAGTGATTTACAAATGTATTTACAAATGAGTAGCATTATTCTACTTGTAGGAAGTTTAAATAGAAAGAAGCGCAGAAAATACAGGTATTAAGCTAAAGTATACATTCTGTATTGGGAGTGTATTAAAAATAGAACAAATAAACCCCCACAAAAACAAAAATATGAGTTTTTCCCACTGGACTTTCAGTCACAAGAAATCTATGAAAAGGAGTACGGTTTATTGAGATACAAATGAACATATGCTGGAAATAAAATTACACTTTTCTGAAATATAGCAATAGCACCAGTGAAGTCTTTTTAGATTGTAAAAATGTTGAGGGAAAAGCCCTGTCATGTTTTATGTATCATTGTATCTCCTACTACTCGGCAGAGTGCCTAATTGGCAGGCATTAAATAAATGCTTTGCAAATTAATACACAAATAATTTAATATAATTTTATCAGCTTATATAACCTATTTTGATACTGTTTCCAACATCAAACACCTTGAAGTTAGAATTTCTGATAATATATTCAAATACATTAGGGTAATACAATACTTTTAATTTTCAGAACATTTTTACATACATTATATAACTTAATTTATAGGATAATCCTGAGATATATTGTTATTCCCTTTTGACAGCTGCAGCAATTGAATCTAAGAATTGAATGATTTTCATGATGTGAATTTAGCTAGGAGCAAAGCCGGGACAAGAATCTCTGCCTGGCAGTCCCTAGTCTGGTTCTCTTTCCATTTCAACATACTGCTATTTTTCAATCTACATAACATAAAAATATTATATAGAATTTGCTTCTCCACTAACAAAGAATAAAAGTGTCTGCCTTATCGAGTGGTGCAGATTAACTGAGATTAAATAAGATAGGAATTGCTTAGTGTTTATCCAGCACACAGTCAGTGCCCAGTAAATGATTGCTGAAATGTAATATGTTAATATTAGTACAAATGAAGAAACATATCTTAAAAATTGAGGTGAGAATGCCTCCAGGAAGATTTTTCATGCTATATGTGACTGAACCAAAGAAGAGCCCGCATAGCCAAAGCAAGAGTTAGCAAAAAGAACAAATCTGTACACATTACATTACCCAACTTCAAATTATACTACAAGGCTATAGTCACCAAAACAGCAAGGAACTAGTATAAAAACAGGCCAATGGAACAGAATAGAGAACCCAGAAATAAAGCCAAATACTTACAGTCAACTGATCTTCAAGAAAGCAAACACAAACAAAGTGGGGAAAGGACGCCCTATTCAATAAATGGTGCTGGGATAACTGGCAAGCCACATGTGGAAAAATGAAACTGGATCCTCATCTCTCACCGTACACTAAAAGCAACTCACGATGGATCAAAGACTTAAATCTAAGATCTGAAATCATAAAAATTATAGAAGATAACATTGGAAAAGCCCTTCTAGACATTGGCTTAGGCAAAGACTTCATGACCAAGAACCCAAAAGCAAATGCAACAAAAACAAAGATATATAGATTGGACTTAATTAAACTAAAAAGCTTCTGCACAACAAAAGAAATAATCAGCTGAGTAAACAGACAACCCACAGAGGGGGAGAACATCTTTGCAATCTATGCATCTGAAAAAGGACTAATATCCAGAATCTATAAAGAACTCAAATCAAGAAGAAAAAAAAACAAAAAACAATCCCATCAAAAAGTGGGCTAAGGACAAGATACACAAATGGCCAACGAACATATGGGAAAATGCTCAACTTCACTAATTATCAGGGAAGTGCAAATCGAAATGATAATGCAATACCACCTTACTCCTGCAAGAATGGCCATAATCAAAAAAGGTAAAAAAAAGATGTTGGTATGGATGTGGTGAAAAGAAAACTTTTACACTGCTGGTGGGAATGTAAACTATTAGGCTGATGCAAAAGCAATTGTGGTTTTTGCCATTAAAAGTGATGGCAAAAACTTCAATTGCTTTTGCACCAACCTAATAGTACAACCACTACGGAAAACAATGTGGCGATTCCTTAAAGAACTAAAAGTAGAACTACCATTTGATCCAGTAATCCCACACCTGGGTGTCAACCAGAGGGAAAAAGTCATTTTATGAAAAAGATGCTTGCACATGAAATGTTTATAGCAGCACAATTTTCAATTGCAAAAATATGGAACCAGTCCAGATGCTCATCAATCAACCAGTGGATAAAGAAACTGTGATATATATGTATATATGTACACACACACGTATATATGTACACATATATGTATACATGTACACACACACACACATACATACATACATATATGGAATATGACTCAGCCATCAAAAGGAACAAAATAACAAAATAATGGCATTTGCAGCAACCTGGTTAGAATTGGAGACCATTATTCTAAGTGAAATAACTCGAGAGTGAAAAAACAAACATTGTATGTTCTCACTTATAAGTGGAAGCTAAGCTATGAGGATGCAAAGGCAGAAGAATAATACAATAGACTTTGGGGACTTGGGGGAAAGGATGGGAGGGGGTGAGGAATAAAAGACGACACATTGGGTACAGTGTACACTGCTTGGGTATTGGGTGCACCAAAATCTTAGAAATCACCACTAAAGAAATTATTCATGTAACCAAACATGTTCCCCAAATGACCTGTTCCCCCAAAACCCACTGAAATAAAGAAATGAAAGCCAACTCGAAAGGTCATTTTGGTCCTATTAGTGCAGCTGTGGTCAATAAGTACACATTCACATATCAGAGAGTCCTATCTGCCACAGAGTTGTGAACAATCTTTCAATTTGTTTCTGCATTAGTGCCTTAATGGGTACAGATATGCCCTGTTGTATACATGGGCAGGAGTTATCTATATGTATTAAACTCTCTGAAAGAAGTCTATTAGCCAGTGTTTTGCTTGTATTTATAAATATGCACGTTCCCTTCTTTTGAGGTATTGATTTTGAGATACTTTGTGTCCTCCATAAGTGAGCTATGGACCATCTCAATCTCTGTTCTATTCTCCTGTTGAATTTCTGAGATAATCATTGATACTGCCTTGAAAAACTTGTGAGTTCCTGTTCCCATTTTCTGGTCTTTGGAAGAAGTTCTTTTACTCTTTTCCTAAACCGTTCCCAGAATATAATACCAAATTAAAGAATCACTGATTCTGAAACAGACTTTTGATCAACAAAATATTAGCTTGGCGACCGTTACAAGCATAATAGGAACACCATGTATCATAGATGCATAAATTAACATAATTATATAACTCATATTATAATGCAAAGGGTCTTAGGCTGCATTAGTAAAAGAAACAAAAATGCTATTCCAGTGACAGAAAGTTATGTTCCTATTATTCTGTTTGTTTCCAACATTTTGGAGGAAAACAACAGTTGTAAGCTAAGTTGTTTCCACCAGAGCTTAAAGGCAAAGCAGGAAGCCATACAATATCAGAAATAGTTAAAGGCACAGAATAAAAAGAGCACAGGAGAAGAGCTAACATGTCTAGGAGGTGATAGATTTATTCAGTACGGCTCCAGAGACATTACTAAGACAACCTCTCTAATGATTGGATGTCACCAGGAGGCAGATGACAGCTAAAAATGAGCAAGAATTCTGATGATGGTTGTGCTCCCATAATGAGATGGGCTGCACTGCAAAACAGGGAGCTTCCTGACACTGGAGGTATCCAAAGAAAGGCTAAATGGCTGACTGTTATTTGAGCTGAAGACAGAGCCCCAGTGTGAGCTGGGCTTGTTGACCTCTAATTTCCCTTCCAACCCTTGGAAGCTATGATTAAAATGGAAATGTGAGTCCATACGCAATTCCTAGCACAGAATGAAGACTCTGACAGTAAGGGGTTAGAAAATAATACGAAGGACAAAGAAAAATTTTGAAGAGAAAAGAAAAGAGAGAAGAAAAGAACTAAATTAAAAAAAAATTCTCTTGTGCATTGTCTGTGGCCACCCCAGTGAGTGTCTAGAAACCAGCAAAGCAAGGGAAAAATCAAAGAGGATAAAGAGATATGGGAAAACTAAATTATTTCTCTGCTTTCCTCTTCACCACAGAAGATGATGAGAAGCAGCCTGCCCTGGGGTTATTCTTCCCTGACAGTGAAGGTGAGCCTCTGTCAAGGAGTGATGTGTTAAATGAAAGGGTAAAGGGACAAGAGGAGAACTAAAAATGCCAGACATCACAGAGAAAGAATGCAAGCTCTGAAAGAATGAGAGAACAGCACTCTGGGCCTCCTAACAAAAATGTGTTTTATCTTTCAAAATAGGCACTCTAAAAATTGAGTCCTACAGGGGTGCCCTGCTTGTGATTGGGTTTTAGTAATAGAATGAACACTGGTCCTTGGGAACAGGTGGCCAGAAGCACTTCCTAAGGGAAGGAGGAGGGTGAGCTTCTGGAAGCTGCCAGGACACAAAATCTTGCTTTCTCCAGTATATAAAGAAGTTAAGAAAACATTTGCTGTGGTTTGCTTGACTGGGGGCGTTTTCTTGGAGCTTCACATCTGCTGCAAATGTTGGGGACCTTCAGAGAAATGACAGTGGTTCCCAACGAAAGAAAAACAACAGACCTCAAATATTGCATTTTTCATGTCTTTATCCTACTCTGTTAATGTGCAAAGGCCTATACTGGGTGTTTGACAGTAAGACTGCTACAAAGAATAGCTGGACTCCTTGTACCCCACTTCCTCTTGAGGTGTGGCTGTAACTCTACAGGCTGAACAGGTGTTTCCAGTTCATTATTTTCATAAAACCTCACAAGCATCTAAAAGATAGAAAGTTCCTGTTGAGGCCTAGGAAACAGAGACTCAGAGAGGTGTACTTACTAGCCCCAGGTCATATAGCTAGAACTGGACAGAGCCAAGGTGTTGAAACTGAACTGTCTAACTCCAGACCCTACAATTGTCCCTCTAAACTATCAACCATGAAGATATCCTGGCAATTAAACAGAAGCATCCACTACCACAAGGATACCTCTTCTCCCTTACAACAGTCTCAAAGTTAACAATGACAAATAATAAAACAAAAGCAAAAAGCAAAACAAGCTCAGTGACACTGATATTCTCAGTGGCATTTCACTAGACTTTGCCTGTAGTTACATATATGTGTTTCAGAAGATCAGTCCAGACATATTTATAGGTTCAAAGAAAAATACAGCAACACACTAATAACAGGATAGGAAAAGATAAGCCTCTCTCTCGGCTGCGTGAAAGAAACCCATGTGGGGAGAACACTGAGCTGTGCAGGACAACGCACTTTGCTTCACTTCAATTATTGTTGATTTGAATGTCTTGTTTATAATAATGGTGTAGAGATCTAGCTATTCACCCATGTTCTTCTCTTAACTAGCTGTAGGTTCTTGATAAATCATGTGACATTTTGGAAATTTATTTTCTCATTTGATATTGATGGGATGGGACAGCATTATGTCTGAGGCACCTTTTGGTTCTAAAAGTAATGACTCTGGATTTGGGTTGCAACCAGATCATGAAAGATTTTGCATGCCAAGTTAAGGTATCTGGACTTTGTCCTGCATACCATGGAAGAAGCACTGAAGAGTTTTAAGCTAGAGGCTGATATAACAGCGGTAGTATTTTTGGAAAATTAATCTCATAACAGGATGCAGGATGAATTGTACTAAGAAAAGCTTAGTGGTATGAAGTTCAGATAAGAGGTTAATGCAGTAAACCCAGGCCTCAGCAGATAAGGGGATGAACTAGGACCCTGTTCTAGAATCTTTATGTAGGACTGCATTATTAGCTGGGCAAGGTCAGGCCCCTGTTGTACTTGACAGTCCTTCAAATGTTAGGAGACAGTATGCTTTTACTTGGTCACTGCTCTTCCAAGATAAATGTCCCCAGTTGTGACAGCTGATCCTCAAATAAGCATTACTTAATAGGTAAAGGTATTTCAAAGCCAAGAAAACACCTATACTTAATTGGTTGTGTTATATAACCTATCTAATTCACAGTTTCTTCATATGCAAAAGGAAAATAATAGTACCTAACACCCAGAATTTTTGAAAGGATTAAATACAAATGCTTTTGTTCGTGGTTTGGAGCTTAATCAATGTTCAATAAACAGCAATATATATTATTTTTATGCATCCTACTTACCTTGTCTGTTACTATTTCAGGTTGGAAGTGCTTTTTCTTAGTTTGTGATTCAGAATTAATATTGACAGTTCTACTGGCCACTGACTTTGGGCCATGTCTCATTTTGAGCATTTGGCTATGCTCTTAAATCTCAATAACTCAGTAAGTTATGTACTACTATTGACTCCATTCTACAGTCAAAGACATAAGGTACAAGATGATTGAGTAACTTTCCAAAGTCACACAACTAGAAGACAATCACAAAGGCAGTATTTAACAGGCAAGCAAATTCCAGAGTCTATGTCTTTAATCACTACAGAAGGCTTCCTCTCTGATCTGTTCAACGCGAGTATACTGTACTGCTTCAAATACGGGCAGCTGTCGAAGATTGTATCCATGGCTTTACAGCATCTGAATCACACCACTGATATATCAATTTTACTGTGGCATGAAGTGCTTCTTTCACACAAACTGCTATATTCTTTTCTTGTTTAGTTTGTTGTTTGAAACTTAGCAGGTAATGTACTTGTTAACTTAAATACCACTTAGTTTTGGCTCATTATTTAAACCTACTGATGTTGCTTACATTTATGATTCTAAATTTTAAAACTATCCTGTTCAGCTCTTCTTATCCACAAATATATTGCTTTTTATTAGGATTTCATCAGAATCATTAGGAAATGTATTACAAAGCTGAAGAACCCAGTACAGAATAAAATCGTACCTAGTAAGCTGTTCCTAGACTAAAATTGTTATACAATCAATATTCACTGGATATAATTGTTTAACTGGCAATGAATTTATATAGATAAATCCTCTTGCATTTCACAATATTTAATTTTCATTACAAGCATACTTGCTCCTGTGAAGCTTCATCAAATGTCCATTTTTATGTACTGAAATGTGTGCTTTATTCTATCCACTCTATTAGCTTTGTGACTTTTCCTTAATTTATTTAATTTTCATAAAGCTCTGTCTCTTCACTTGAAAAACAGAGTAAGTCCCACTATACTTATTTTAATTATTTTTTGTTAGAGCCAAATTAAAGAACATCTAAAATTATTAACTTGACATCCCAACCCAGAATCTTATTGTAAAGAGGAAAGTAATAACATATACATAGAATGCTAACATATAAAAAGTCCTTTTGTGTATTTTTTTTAATTCTTTACTCTTTGCAACCACCCATTAGTTGGGCAGAGTAAATAATATTATCCTTACTTTGCAGAAAAAGAAACACTGACGCTTAAGAGGTTAATTTCCCAAATCCCAAAAGGGGCATTAGAACTGGAACTTGAGCTCAAGTCTGTTAATCTCAAGTGCATATTACTGCTGTTAAAACCAGTAAAGCCCTGAATGAAATTTCAAGTTAAATAGCTCCACACCTGTGTAAGCCTAGGAAAGGAGACATAAAATAGTAATTATTTCCAAATCAAAACAAAACTACTTCTCTTAGAGGGAAAAGAGGTGATTGATATTACCTTGGAAGGAGCATCTGTGGCAGTTTCCCTTCTGCTACTGCTTCCTCATGGGGACAAGTAGGTTGATGTCTGCATGGCCCAGTGGAACAGAAATTAGCACATAACTTCTGAATGAAGTTATGAAAGGAGACTAGCAAAGGTTTCCTACACTAAAGTAATCTCTAGTTATCCTGCCTCTTAGAATTGGAATTATATTAATGTTTGATGGCTACACAAGCACTCTTTTTTTTTTTTTTTTTTTTTTTTTTTTTTTTTTTTTTTTTTTTTTTTGGCAGAGCTAGCTGAAGTTTTATTTTGGACCAAAAAAAAAGCAACTTTGTAGCTGGAGGCATCGGCAAGGGGGGTCCCCAGGTAGTAAACTCCCCTGCGGGTGGGCTGAGGGCTAGGGCTGAGCTTCAGGTGGGTCTCCTGTTCCCAGTGCTACACTGCATGGCGGCCTCCCTCCCAGGCTCTGGGGCAGCGCAGGAGGGGTACAGTCCTACAAGGTGTCCACCTCTGGCCCCTGGGCCTTCAGCAGCCGCTCCTGCACGAGTGGGCCCTGTGCCCGCATGAGCTCCTCGAGCTTCTCCCGAGTGGACAGCAGCAGCTTTCGGGGTGGCCTGGGCAGCGGCTATGGTGGGGCCAGCGGCATGGGAGGGATCACTGCAGTCACGGTCAATCAACCAGAGCCTGCTGAGCCCCCTTATCCTAGAGGTGAACCCCAACATCCAGGCCGTGCGCATCCAGGGGAAGGAGCAGATCAAGACCCTCAACAAGAAGTTTGCCTCCTTCATAGACAAGGTACGGTTCCTGGAGCAGCAGAACAAGATGCTGGAGACCAAGTGGAGCCTCCTGCAGCAGCAGACGACGACTCGGAGCAACATGGACAACATGTTCGAGAGCTACATCAACAACCTTAGGCGGCAGCTGAAGCACTCTTCTTTTAAAAGTTTCTGAAGCCATTAGCTAAAGATTCAGTAACAAAGGTACCCTGAGTGAGAAGTAACCTGCTGTGCGATGGACTCTTCCAGAAGAGTGGGCAGAGATAGTATTCAGATCCTGACAAGAAGAGGAGACAAGTGCCAGGTCACATAACTTCATCTCCCCTAGCTGACCAATTCCCAACTCCAGAAATGCCTGCCCTCTCTCATACACCATTACGTTCAGTGATTCAGTTACTTTCAGAGTCCTGTCTGTGCCAGTGTGGTTGCGCTTGCTATCAGCAAAGCCATCAGGCTTCATTGCTCTTTTTTTCTGATACAAACCCTCAATTAGGACCAACCACAGGAGACCCTCTTCCACTAACTCATGCAAAAAATGTCATCATGGACTGTGTGTTTGGTGGTGAAAGAAAATTTGAGTTCTGTTTCCCCTTTCTAAGTGATATGTAATGGTCACGTTCGGTGTCAAAAGCGTGGAAATCTCAAGATGTGATTCTCTATTTTTTTCAAATCTATCTCATATATTTATGTCAATCACAAGAAAATTCTTTATATTTCTCCAGTTGGATAAGTGCACAAGGCTTATTTTCTCATCAACTTACTTGAAAACCTAATTATACTGAACCAGATGTTGTGTTTAACACCAGTAGATGTGACAAGCAGTCGGTTTTTTACAGTGACACAAATATCAATTCAAACTGCTCTGACTCTACTGTGGGAGCTGGATTCTAATGTGATTACAGTCATTGCCTCATATCTTATTTTTAGTTAAATAAAAAAGGGCGATCAAGTGTTGAATGTGCTATAATATACTGAATCTACATGCAATATAGATCTGAGAAAAATAATTAATATTCAAAAAAAACTGAGGAAAAAATAATTTGCATATTAGAATCATTAAATTCTGAAATTAATTCTTACATTCAGTTTGACTTCTTGTTTAAATATAATAATTAGAGTGAGGAAAAAGGAATTTTTGTCAGAGCCCAAATTCTAACTTTGGCTGTTATTCTAACTGTCCTGAACCTGTGTGTTTAAGTCACCAGGAAGGATAACTTAATTTATGCGGCTATTGAAAGCGATGTCATTCTTCCTGTAGATCCCTGAGTAAATCAGAAAAATTATTGAAAACTACCTATTTTTATTCCAGTCAAATTCTCTGTCTTTGGGGCTAGAGACACTCAGATATATTAGTATTCAGCATGTAATGAAGTACAATGTACTCCTAGTTTAAATCACTTTGCTTATAAGAAACTCTATTCATGTTGACTAGTTTGATACAAATGGTTTGATCTTAAGATTTGAAGGCATGGATGACCTTGGTCTGTCTAAAATTCAGCAGATTATTGGAGAACAATAACACAAAGTCTCCAGCTATATCGAGACATCTTAATTTAGAGTCTTTTCAACTAGTGAAGAAAGCAAGTAGAAACATAGAAGGGTAATATAGAAGAAAATTCTAAATGTATTAGAACCTATTAAAATGTTGAAAATATTTGAAAATTATAATTGATTTTGTTTCTGATTACAAAGTAGCACAAGGTAATTAAAGAAAATTTAGAAAATTGGGAGAAGCAAAAACAAAGAAAATGATACTTGTACTTAAGGTCTGTATTACTTTAGTTCTTTATTTCTAAGCATATACAAAACTCAGACAGAGACATGTACATGCACACAGACTCAAACATGGAGTTGGATCTTAAACAATTTATCTGTGACTGATCTGTGATCTGCTGTGATGGATTTATAGTTTCAATCATGTCATTCATTTTAAGACAATTTTTACATTAGTCATTTAACAGACCATTTAGGTGTCTATTAGTCATCTATTCTACCTAGCTACAGTACAATGTGTTGTGACGTTTGTAGTTTTTACCCTTTGTTCCTGAATTTGGGAAATTCAGAGATCAAGGGGAATTTAAAATATTCCTTTTGCTCCATGTGTCTTGATTTGAGTATTTATATATTTTAATCTAAAGTATATCAGAGGCAAAGGCTTTATCCAGACCAGTAACATTAGCGGTGAACCACTTGCTTGATGTTAGGAGAGAACATGGCATTGGAAAACTACATTATTTCATGTATGTTGGTACTTTAGACAATTATTTTGTATCTTGTGCTAGAGTGATGATGAAAAATATCTCCGCTACCCAAACATAGATTGGGTAGATTCAAGTTTTTGAATCTTAAAAATAAATTTTAACAAGAGTTCCAAATGAGATAATCAGTGTGAAGCTGCAATATACATTTAAATTAAACACCACTTTCCCAAAGGTAGAGGAAGGGTTATATCATTGGTAAGGCAGTGACAATGGGAGGAACTGTAGTGTATTTTTAATGTAAGTATCACTGACAGTTAATGGTAGAGGTTCTGACTTTGGTGTAAGTTTTTTCTGTTTTCTCAGGAAAGAAAAGATTTCCAGAGGACTAAGGTTTAGGTGAAAAGGAAATGAGTTGTTCCCTGTTCTAACCTAGACAAGTCTCTCATATTCTCAGAGGATGGGAACACTTCCATGAATACCTGTAACAATCCTAATGGAGTAATGATCCTTTTAAATAAAAATAACAATAGATGTTATGAGTTTAAAGAAGTCTCCGTGCCTCCAGTGTAATTTAACTCAATAAAAATAAGAGAGAATTGCAGAGTGGGGCCACTTAATCAAACAGTATGTTCCAAAACAGCTCCCAATGGAAACAGCTGCTCCCAGCGAGGACAATTTCGAGTTCAAGACAATTTGTAAATATCAGTTCCTGCTGTTGAACGTTTCCTCTTTATTCTTGTTTAAACTTCATCATTAGATTTTTAGTTGTCTAGTCGTACCTACCATTTTAATGAAATCCAGCTTGATTTCAAACGATCGTCTAATCTACTGTTTTGCCTGGGGTACTGTGTACTCACCCAAATTCTGGTACCTTATCTGACCCCTGCCTTACCTGACTTCTTTCATAATTGATGCCGCATGCTTTATATAAGAAAATAATTTTCCATATATGTACAGGTATGTTTCTGAGGCCTCTATTTTATTCTTTTCACCAATGTGTTTACCCCCCTGAACAGGAGTACAGTGCATTAATTAGTGTAACTTCATGGTGAGTCTTAATATATGGTAGAGCAAAAATCTGCAATTTCCCTGGCTCTTCTTATATTTAAATTTTAGACTTTGTTTATTTTAATCAGAATTGCACTGAATCTAAAGTACAACTAAAGAACAATTGATATCTTTAAAATACCATTTCCTTAACCTTGAATGCATCCTCATTTTCATTTATTTAGGTCTTCATTAATGCATCTTACAGTTTTATAATTTTTCCTATTTATGTCTTGCATATTTACTATTTATAGTTTATTGATAATCTTTGATAAGATAACAAATAATGTCCTCTTTGCAATTACATTTTTTTTTTTGGTTATTTTCAGGGCATAGAATGGCAGTTTTCTTTTTGCATATTAATCTTTTGTTTAGCAAGCTTACAGAACTCTTCTATTATTTTTAATATTTTTTCTGGAGATTGTATTTGGTTTTCCATGTTACAAAATTACATTATTTATAAATAATGACAGTTTAATTTATTCCTTTCCAAACCCTATCCTTCCAATATCTTTTTTGGGGGCTTTGGGAAAATGGTAGAATTAGATTTTTTGAGTAGGAAATATTTGGACCTATTTGGCCAGAAAGGAATATTGTTTAAAATAGCTAGCAAAATGTCCAAGAGGGAGTTCTAAAAGGCAAATAAGTGAATTTGGACTTTATTCCAATAAGGAAGTACTAAACAGTTTTGAAAGATGATTAGATGATGGAAGAGTTATTTGGAGTATAGGGCTAATTAAAGAGAGATGGACTACAGAGGCTGGCTAGAAAATAATTTTAGTCATCAAGGCAATAAGTGATAATGGCATGACATGAAGTATCTCTGTGGACATAAGAATAAAAAATAGAAAATAGATGTTAGGTACTATCCAGGAAGAGACTGACTTACCACAGTGTTCAAGAGAAGGAAGAACAAGAGAGGGAAGAATCTAAAAGGACTCAAATTTAAGCTTTGGTGACTAGAAAAATAATGGTATTGACAGAGAAATATAAAATTCCATAGGAGAAATTGCTTGGGGCTTTGGTTTCCTGACTTATTTGCAATTTTTAAAAATTAAGACCATCCTATTCACAAACCATCAAAAACCATCCTATTCACTTGCTTAAATATCTACAACTCATTGATTTCTTAGTACAGTCACAGAGCTATACAATTGTCTCCATAATCAATGTCAGAACATTTTTTACCATCTTCTGAAAAAACAAAACCAAACAAAAACAGAACAAAAATCTCATACTCATTAGCCGTTACTTGCAATTTTCCCAAACTCACAAACCCTACTCAACCACCATTCTACTTTCCATCTCTGTAGATTTGCCTATTCTGGAATTCAGTATAAATAGAACTATATGGTGTGTTGTCCTTTGTGATGGACTTCTTTCACCTAGACTACTGTTGTCAAGAATTACCTCATATATAAGTGCTGTATTCTTTTTTATTGGTGAATAATATTCCATTTTATGGAAATATCACATTTTGTTTATCTATTCATCAGTTAATAAAAATCTGAGTTATTTCCACTTTTTGATTATTATAAAGAGTACTGCTGTGAACATTCATGTACAAACATTTTATAGATGTATATTTTCATTTTACTAGAAGGAGAATTGTTGAGTCATGTTGGTGACTCTATATTTAAATTTTTGAAGAAATACCAAAATATTTTCCAAAGTGGCTGCAACTTTATTCATTCTTATCAACAACGTAAATGGTTCAATTTTCTCCACATCCTTGACAACACTTGATATTATCTTTTTGATTATAGCTCTCCTGGTGTGTATGAAATAATATCTCAGTGTGATTTTCATTAATATTTCCCTAATGGCAAATGATGCTGATCATCATTGTTGCTTATAATTATTCAAATATGCTTAATAACCATTTGTTTATCTCCTTTGGAGAAATGTCTGTTCCGATCATTTGCCCATCTTTTAATTGGATTACTTTTCTTTAGTAAGCTGTAAGAGTTTCTTTAGAAGTTGTGAGATACAGCTTCCTTGAAAGATATATGATTTGCAAATATTTTTGTCCATTGAGCGACTGTTCAATTTGTTTTGAAGTAAAAAATGTTTTTAACTTTGTAGGAGACCAATTTATCTATTTAAAAAAATTATTTATTTATTTATGTATTTATTTATTTATTTTTGAAACAGAGTCTTGCTCTGTCACCCAGACTGAAGTGCAGTGGCACAATCTGGGCCCACTGCAACCTCTGCCTCCCAGGTTTAAGTGATTCTCCTGCCTCAGCCTCCTGAGTAGCTGGGACTACAGGTGCACGCCACCATGCCCAGCTAATTTTGGTATTTTTAGTATAGACCAGGTTTCGCCATGTTGGCCAGGTTGGTCTTGAACTCCTGACCTCAAGTGATCCACCTGCCTCGGCCTCCCAAAGTGCTGCGATTATCGGTATGAGTCACCATACCCAGCCTAAAAATCTATTTAAATGTCATATCCAATAAATCAGACTAACTCAAGGTCAAGAAAATGCATTATCCTGTTTTCCTCTTTATTAATATAATTTTAACTCCCATATTTATATCTATGATCCATTTTAGTTTGTTTTAATGTATAATGTAAGGTAGTTGTATGAATTTATTATTTTGCATGTGGATATCCAGCTGTTGTGGCACAATTGTTGAGAAGATTAATCTTTCCCCAGTGAATTATGATGACATCTTTGTCAAAATCACTTAACCATAAATGTAAGGTTTTATTCTGTCTGACTAGAAAAGATTGGGTAGGGTACGCTCCACTTCTGTTTTGTCAAAGATTTGATATAGGATTGATACAAAGTCTTCTTTTAAGCATTTAGAAGAATTCACCAGTGAAGCCATTTTTGTCCTCATTTGAGCTTTATGAGGGAAGTTTTCAAATTACTAATTCACTCTCTTTACTATGTCTATTTCCATTTTGTTTCCTCCTTAGTCAGTTTCATTAGTTTGTGTGTTTCTAAGATTTTGTCCGTTTTATTTATGTAACCTACCTGGTTGACAAACAGTTGTGCGCTGTATTCCCTTATAGTCCTTTTTATTTCTGTAATATCCATAATGTAAATTTTGAATCAGATTATTATTTTTGTTTTTGTTATTATCATTATCCCACCAAATACAACCTACACAGATCACTAGTAAATAAAATAGGTACAGAGAGAGTTTTCCAAAAATCTCAGAAGTTTGGCCCCCTTGTCCTTTGTGCTGGTTTCTAAGGCAACCTTAATTAAAACCCACGACTACACAGAATATAACTGAAAGTTCCTTGTGTTGCACAAAACATTATACATTTGTTTATCTCTGATCAATCTACTGAATTTTAGGTGTATTCTAGATATTCTTGTTTGGGAAACTGGATATCTGGATTCAAAGTGTATTTTTCAGTCACCTCTCTGGAAGTAAAAATTGAAGCAATACGTGAAGGAGTTAAGAAGAGAAATGCAGTCTTCAAAGGGACAGATCAGGGAGGCAAGTCTGGACAGTGTATGGCAGGTCAGCAAAGCCAAAGGAGAGTACTATACAGGAGTGTCCAGGAGTGGACAACATCACAGAGATAACAGTTCACAATTTTGAAAGGATCTTTGGATTTCATGATGGGGGAGGTGCTGGTAACTGTTTCAGTACATTATGGTGCTTTGTGTGATCTGCAGTCAACTGTCACCAATTGTAAGTATCTGTCCTTTGGAATGTGCATTACGTGGCTTCCTCAGTACCCAAAGGTATCTTCATAGCTCCAGGAGGTTCTTCTCATTTCTATGTGCTGTCTTAAGCTGCTTCTGCCACTTTGAGGCTTGGGGCTCGCCACTTTAGGAATCAAAATCTTTATCACTTAACTGCTATACTTAGGGCATTATCTCTCCCTGGGTTTCAGCTGTTCCTGCTGTGCATTTGCTGGAACACAAATCTCTATCTGTCTTTGTGCCCAAAGTAGTTTCACCAAATAGAACATTAGAGAAATGTTATTTCCCCAACATACCTAAATTATCTTATCAAAAAAGGCATAGTTTTGAACATGTTTCTATCTGTTATTTACACTCACTTCCAAAAAGATTCTGAAGATGTTTATAAACAATAACTGTGCACATATCTAAGCCATTGAAAACTAGAACGAATCAAAATAATCCTAGTAGTAAGGAGATAATCGTACCAGAAAACTTAGGATAGAATAATTCCTGTTCCTGTGACTGACATCCTTTTAAACCCTAAAACTATTACAGATAGAGCAAAGAGGTAATATGTGGTAAGGATCTTTCTATCCTTTTTTTTTTTTTTTTTTTTTTTTTTTTTGAGAGAATGAGTCTGGCTCTGTAGCCCAGGCTGGAGTGCAGTGGCGCAGTCTCGGCTCACTGCAAACTCCGCCTCCCAGGTTCACGCCATTCTCCTGCCTCAGCCTCCTGAGTAGCTGGGACTACAGGTGCCCGCCACCACAACTGGCTGATTTTTTGTATTTTTAGTAGAGACGGGGTTTCACCGTGTTAACCACGATGGTCTCGATTTCCTGACCTCGTGATCCACCCTCCTTGGCCTCCCAAAGTGCTGGGATTACAGGCATGAGCCACCGCGCCTGGCATTTTCTATCCATTTTTTTTTTTCCTATCGTATAAGCACTGATGATTTTAGCTGCAGAATTAATATATCAGCAAAAAATCTCCTAGAGAAAGGTTTCTCAAATTTTAATTTTAAACTTAAATTTTAATTTAATGATTGTGCAAACAAATAAGCTGAGGATTTTATTACACTGAAGATTGTGATTTAGAAGGTCTGGGACCCGAGCATCTGCATTTCCTCCTAGATCCCAGATGAAGTTAAGACATGTAAGATGCTTTTTGAAACCTTTATTGTTGGCCTCAGCCTCCCAAGTAGCTGGGATTACAGGTGTGTGCCACGATGCCTGGCTAATTTGTTTTGTAGTTTTAGTAGAGTTGAGGTTTTGCCATGTAGGCCAGGCTGGTCTCAAACTCCTGACCTCAGGTGATCTGCCCACGTCGGCTTCCCAAAGTGCTGGGATTACTGGTGTGAGCCACCATGCCCGGCCTCTTTCTTTGTTTTAAGTGCTTCTCATACATGCATTTATTGAGCTTCTTCTTTGTTCTTCTTTCTTCTTTCTTCTTTATGTTTCATTAATTGGCAGAGGTTGCATTAAGTGCAATCTGGCAATCTCTGCCAATTAATGAAACATTCAATCCATTCATACTTAATGTGATGACTAACAGACTTGATATTAATCATTTCATTTCATTTGGTTATTATTTATTTTTCTATGTGGTTTCTTTAACTGTTTCCTATTTTTACTGATTGAATTATTTAATTTCATATTTTTCTCTTTGTTAACTTGGAGTTGCATTACCTCTCTCAAACTAGTAACCTTTATTCCTCTTGGATAAATAGGCACATTTTTCTTTACTGTTTGAAAGCAAAATGCAAATACTCCACTCCTCCTCTATTTTCCTGTGTTGCTCAGTTCCACAATTGTTCACGTTCTTTTTATTTTCTTTTCTGTATGATTCAGGGTTTTCTTATTTAACCACGAGGTTATTGTCACCCATCCACTAAGTCCTTCTACTTTATGGTGACATCTGATTGACAGCTCTTATGTGGGAAAGATAAGTCTCAGAGTGGCAAGAAGGAGGGAGAAAATAAAGGGACTAGCAAAAGAAGGAGAGGTGAAAAGGAGGACTCTCTTTTCTTCCTGGGCCCTGAACCTCCCTAAGGAGGTATCCCTGGAACCTAGTAGAGGTAGGAGGCAGCAACTGTGTATATTTTTATATCCTTCAGCTCCCCTGAATTGGCAGTGAAAATTTGGGTGGGCCAAGAGTCAGAACATATAAACTTCTCAGATAAATAGCTGGGTCCACAAAAATTAAGGGGGCAAGAGACACACACTTTCTTTGCTCTGTTCATTAAAAAAAAAAAGAAAGAAAAGAAAAAAATGTGCTTTTAGAGGCAAGGAGAAGGTTCCAAAAGTTTGAATTTGATCCAAAGTTAAGATGTTTGGCTAATTCAATTAGTAAATTTGAAACTGCTTCCAGAAGATAAGTCAATAGGATAAAAAAAAATAAAATGACCAAAAGTTCTAGAGATCTGTCTATTGATCCTGGAAAATCCTTCACGTGATCGCATATCGTCTGCACACAATAGAACCTAAGAGGAGGGGAATGGAAGCCCTTTATTCTGTGATCCTGGATCAACAGCAATAACCAACATCATTTACAGCGCTTTACACCCTCATCAAATGCATCATATAGAGCCTCTTATTTCATCCTCACAGCAACCCTGTGAGATAGCTGCTATTTTTGTTTCCATTTGCATCTCAAGTTACATAATCTTATTCTCAGAGATTAAATAGTGGCCAAAACCTCAATTAGTTTTGCACCAACCTAACACTTTACCCCTGAAAAGAAAGTCAGTAAATGGTTCCATTGGTATTCAAATGAGGTATCTGATTCTAAATCATGGGCTCTTTCCAGTATGCAGCACTGCCAGGAATGGTATAGCTGCAGCTCCTTTGCGCTACGGTCTTGAAATCATAAGTGAATTCTTCTCTGAAGAATATTTACTAAATAATCTCATTTAGAAAGACATAGCAGCTGGAATAGTCACACTGCTAACTCAATCAGTTTCATTATTTACAATGAATACAAGTAAAGTGGATGAGTATTAAAAACATTGTTTCCTCTGATGTTTTGAAGGATCATGAAGCATGTGACCATGTTCCAGGATCAACATAGTATACAATGTGCAAACCTCCACTCTTAACATTCAGAAAATAATCACTACAAATTATTAAACATCTACTACTTTCCAGTCTCTATGCTAGATATTTTACATATTGCATTTACTTTAAAACCAGTAAAGAAATTATTATTATCTCAACCCACTTAGGGGAATCATGAGGCCCAGAGAAGTTAAGTAAATTGTGCAAGATCACACAGGCAGAATTTTTGGATTTGATACCAGGTTTAACCGTTAGAGCAATTTATGGCAACTTTTTTCTTTCTTCTTGTTCTTACTCTTGTGATTCTCCACCAATGCTCCTCCCTCCTTCCTCTGCTTCTTTTTCTTGCTCGTATTTTAATGTTCTTATACATTTAATGTCCCTTTCCCAATCCACTCTGCGCAAAATTCTCTCCAGTAATGCCACAGAGCAAGAAACAGTTCTGTTTCTGGGAAAAGAGCTGATATATGAAAAGTAAAGACAAATCTTGATTCAGATTAATAGAATTTATTTATTACACACACTATAGCATATAAAAAATACTCCAAATTTCATAATTCTGTTTTCAGGGTCCATATCATGAGTCTGCTTCCTAGGAGTAACTAACTTAAATATCCTTATGACATGGTGAAATTTTCTGCACAGAATCTTAAAATTCCCTTCAATACCTATATTTAAATATTTTTTCCTGGTGATGAAAATAATGAAGGTATACCTGATTTTTCTAATAAATAGAATTCTATTGATTCCATTTCCACACCGATCTCAAACAACTTGTCATTTGAATAAAACCATTATTTTGGAAATGTTGCTCATAGGTAGCATGTTACAAGGTAATTCATTTTATAATTTGTCTATCCTGGCATAAATATGCCCCATGGGGCTTAATGCTTCCTTGAGAGATCTGTAAGAGTACAATTTACTTAATAATATTTCTCTTCTTTTTTTTTCAGTTGCATTATCTAGGGTCTAGTCAACTAGTAGTGATGATGATTACTTTTGGTGCCAAAACAAATGTTAGCATTTAAAACCTTGTCACACACACACATACACACACACACCCACACCACCACCACCATTTTACTTACACACAAGGAGTGAGGTTCAGAGAAGCTCAACAATTTATCTAAGGTCACATAGTCACTTGGTTCGCTCCTAGCACACCAGAGACTATAATCCAGAAGATTAGGTTTCTGGGCCCAAGAGCCTTCTGGTGGACCACCCATTCCTCTGTCTGAACTGCAGATAAACTAATAATAATGAGCATAAAAGTAACAACTAATACATATTGAGTGCTTACTGTGTATGTAGGTGCTGTTTTAAGAGCTTTGCATATTATAGCTTATGAAGTAGTTGATAAATTTACTCAAGATCATATTCCTGAAAAGAGTAAAAATGTAAACCCAGGCCATCTGACATCAGGAGCTGACGTCCTGTTACACTATTAGCATATTCTAAGGTATGAAGCAATTGGTGACTTTAAGGCAAATAGAAAATGTGTATTGTAGATGTTGTCACTTGGATGGTAGAGACTGCAACAAGGGGATCCACTGAATATGCTAGTTTAGGCAGCATGGCTTGGTTTTCTAAGTTTATCTTTGGGTATAAATAGAATTTCATCAATTATGTCTCCATACATCTGACAGCTGCAGCAGGAGCACCATCAGGAGGCATTGCAAGCACAATGACTGCCTGTTTCCTGGACGCTCACAGCAGAGTATATAGTACGCAGAGGAGTTGAGACAGATATAATAAACTCCTGGGTCTCAATTCTCTTCCAAAAGTAGCTAATTTCTTCCATATAATTCATTCCTATCACCTCCTTTGCAATGTTTCATGCTACCATTTTCATGAGAAATTTGAACTCCACTGCCTCAGTTATAAGACATGGAATAATAGGACTCCTTTTTTAACTTATTTACCTGAGTACCTAGTTAGAAATAGTCAAATGTTGCAAAGTCCAAGATCTGAGAGTTATAAACATAGATTTATGTGATGGAATAGAATGCATGGATTTCCACACTGGGACAGAGATTGATCAGTTCTTCAACCCAGACAGTGATGCCAAAATGTTTATGATTCTACCTTTCTATGGGCAGCAGTCTATTCCTGCCTGACACGTCATAGGTGCTCAAAAATATGTCAACTAAATTAATTTGAGTTAGATTTATCTTATGTTTTAATTTTAAATTTTTATTTATTTTTATTTTTAATTTTTATCTATTTATTTTATTTTTGAGACAGGGTCTTACTCTGTCTTACTGTCAGTCTGGAGTGCATGATCAGGACTCACTGTAGCCTCGACCTCCCAGGTTTAAGCAATCTCCTGCCTCAGCCCCCAGATAGCTGGGACTGTAGGCATGCACCACCATCCCTGGCTAATTTTTTGTATTTTTAGTAGACGTGGTGTTTCACCATGTTGGCCAGGCTGGTCCCAAACTCCTGGACTCAAGCAATCTGCCCACCTCGGCCTCCCAAAATTCTGGGATTATGGTGTGAGCCACCATGCCTGGCTAGCTAGACTATAAGTAGGGGTTAGGGACACCATATTAAAGCCTGAAACCAGAATCTAATAATTGTAGGCACTTTGCTCCCAGGAGGCAAATAGAAGGTGTATTTACATCTGGCAAGCATTCAGTAAAAGCTTGAAGTCAATGCCAGGAAATATTGAGTGTCAGGCATGAAATCAGCAGAGGAAAAGGAGATGCAGTGAGACAAAGATAAGGAGACTTGAAAGTGAGTCAAGAGCTGTTTTAGCTAAAAAGCCCTGAATATTTCTGCAGAGACAGGAGGTGCCAGGGATTAGTTTCCCACTACCCAGTCAATGGGGTGGGATCCTCTCTTACTTACATGATATTGGAGGGTCATGAATGGCTATCTCAAAACACCCCTTATTTTCTATTGTAGACTTCCCATTTAGAAAAAAAAAAGCTGTTTATAGTTTTACATTGTTCTTTGTTTTTGGACAAAATGAAAGAATAATCAATTAACATACCCTTTGAAAAGTTAGATCTCCTTTTACTTACCACTTAATTGTTCTGTAGTATTAAGTATATGTTATACAACTTTATTGAGCCCCAAATTTCTCTAAGAAATATGGGGTTGATAACACCCAAAGGTCTAGACATGAATTTGACCAGTACCTAGATTAACTAGATAAGATAAAAAAAGATAGAAGTTTCTACTTGGCCAGCAACCGGATATCTGGCATCCGGTTGGATAGCTATGATAAGGCCAACATAAACATAGCCTTCATTAGTAGAAATGGGGAGTTTGGTTTATGAGAAGTAGCGGTCATTTTACAGTCAGCACTGCTCAGAGCACATCTGGAGGGTTATTTCCATTTATTATGTTGCATTTTAAGTGGGACATTAACAGACTACTGCATATTAGCTACTTAAAGGGAAGGATCATAGCTTATATTATTTTATCTTCTATAGCACCACACAATACCTTGTATTCAGTAAAAATTTGATAAGTGCTTTCTGAATGGAGGAGTCAACAAATGATTATAAAACTATGGCAGAGTAGATGTGAGTGTAAGAGCTGAGTTCAAAGAAGAATAAATGAAATATTAATACTCCTTATGAAATACTCTGTGTTACGCCCAGAAGATAGCACCATGAAAAACGGATGAAAGTTATGAAAAGCAAAATGTGGCTCACCATAAGAAGGAGCTTCATGACAATTGGGGCTGCCTGGAGCAGAGTGTTGGCAAGGATGAAACAGTGCTGGAGGTGTTAAGCAGTGTGTCAGTGACCACTGGCAGCAGAGGGGACCACCATGTTGTATGGGGAGTCTGCCTGTGTAGCTGTTTGAATCACTTCCACTGACAAATCTGTGATTTTACATTTACTGATCCCAACATGTGAAAGTGACTATAAACCTACAACCTTTGGGCAAAGTATCAGCGGGGTGGTATTTAATAGGAATATTAGAAATAATGTGTGTATGGATGAAGCTGGAAACCATCATTCTCAGCAAACTATCACAAAGACAAAAAACCAAACAACGCATGTTCTCACTCATAGGTGGGAATTGAACAATGAGAACACTTGGACACAGGAAGGGGAACATCACACATCAGGGCCTGTTGTGGGGTGGGGGAGGGGGGAGGGATAGCATTTGGAGATATACCTAATGTTAAATGACGAGTTACTGGGTGCAGCACACCAACATGGCACATGTATACATATGTAACTAACCTGCACGTTGTGCACATGTACCCTAAAACTTAAAGTATAATAATAAAAAAAATACATACAACTGAAAAAAAAAGAAATAATGTGTGTACATACCACATTTGCACACACATGTTGTTTCTTAGGAAACATATGTATTTGGGTGAACAGACAGGAAGTTATTTTTAACATGCTTATTTGCAGAAGATGAGAATTTAAAAGTGCAGTTTATCTCATTTAAGAATAATTTTATTTTATTTACTTATTGTTATTTTTAGAGGAAGAGTCTCACTCTGTCACCCAGGCTAGAGAACAGTGGCATGATCATAGGTCATTGCAGCCTCAAACTCCTGAACTCAAATGATCCTGCCACCTAAGTCTCCTTGAGTAGATAGGACTATAGGCACACACCGCCACACCTAGCTAATTAAAATAAAAATTTTGTAGAGACAGGGCTCTTGCCTGGTTGCCCAGGCTGGATTTGAACTCTTGACTTCAAACAATCCTCCCACCTAGACCTCCCAATTTGCTGGGATTAAAAGCATGAGACACCATTTTTGTCTTTTAAATTATGAAAGTCTTTTTAAAATAAAAACATAAAAAAGGCACTTGCAACACTAATGAAAATATCATTAGGATACATGGTATATGCACATGCAAGTTGAGATTTTAGTGTGTGGATTCTATTCTGTAGCTTTGGGGGTTCCTTAATGCAGTGTAAGTCTCTTTGTGTCAAGTGACCAATTCTTTCTAAGAAGCTACTCAACTCTCTGTGCTTAACATTGGCTGAATTAGGGTAAAAAAAAAATTGATTGGATTGAAACAGCTCATCAGTTGCTTGGCTAACAAGGAAATTTCATACCTGAATCCTCTGATCCGTTTGTGTAGACAGAGCAGGGAGCACATTCCAGGGAGGGTGTGAGGAATGTACACAGTTCATGACATGACTATTGTGGTCACCAGAACACAAAATCTGGCTTGGGAATTTCACATCTTTACTGACCACAGTAGGAAAAAAAAAAAAAAAAGCTAATAAGTATCAGTTGTATTTTTTTTTAAATCATTTATGACCTCGGCTTTTATAAGATGTAGTAGTACTCTCCTTGTGGCTGCCAGATGTGTGGCTAAATGACTTAAAGAAAATATCTTCCATAAAATCTGGCGTGAGACTTATGACAATGATCTGATAATGCTCTGCCCTATTAAATCTACCAAATGGCATTGTAATTAAGGTTTATTTAAGGGTTGAATTTGCTAAGCATTTAACATGTGATAGTTTATTTAATCATAACAGCACCCCTTTTACACCATTCCTATTATAATCCCCATTTAATAGATAAGTACATTGATACTCAGAGGATTCAGCAAGTATATGAATCACCTTCTACGATCCCTTTGTAAAGTGTATTTTCCTTAGAAAAAACCCAAAATGATCTCTCTCAGGCTAGGTCAGCATAAAAATGCAAAGAAAGAAGAAAAAACAATGCAACATACAGAGCCTTTGGTAATAAGATCAGAGTGTCAGTAAAACTTTCTAATTGCTCCTAGTTGCTCAGGAAAGAGTCCAGGAATGCTTCCCAGAATAATAACCTCCAATTCATCAATTAAAAGATAAGTTGCCATTATCTAGGCCAATTTGAGAGAGTCACAGGCGCCAAGATGCAGAGGAAAGCCAGAATATGATGTGTGGTAGAGCTCAGACAGGGCAGGAAGATGAGGGAACTGTAGATAAATGTGTGTAGACATAGAGTATGGAAAGATATAAATGAATAGTAAGCTATGGCAGAAGATCCCAGAGGATGTTGAATGTTATATAAAGGAGCTTTGGCTTTTTTACTAAGAAGTACAAGAAGCTTTAAGCCAGTGAACAGATTTGCATTTCCAAGCAATAACACTAGTTACTTATGTAGAGAAGAGCAGGGCCAGAGAGGTAGCCTACTTAAAAAAATGTTATTACATGAATCTAGGGGAAATATGATGTTGGACCAAACTAAGGTAGTGCCAGAGCAAATGCAAAGGGATTTGGGAAATGCTTGTACAGTAAAATTGACAGATGAGATGTGTTGCAGGACAGAAAGCAGAGTCAAGGATGACACCAAAGTTGCTGCTTGAGCAAATGAGCTTTGGAAGAGAATAGATATCAATGCTGACTCCTGAGCATCTCCCAGGGGTCAGTTGAGGCTGGAGAGCATGACTTTGCAGTTGTTCTAATTTGCATGAATGGGGTGGGCACAGTGGCTTATGCCTGTAATCCCAGCACTTTGGGAGAATGAGGCAGGCAGATCACTTGAGGTCAGGAGTTTGAGATGAGTCTGGCCAGCATGGCAAAACCCTGTCTGTACTAGAAATACAAAAATTAGCCAGGCATGCGCACCTGTAATCCCAGCTACTCGGGAGGCTGAGGCACTTGAACCTGGGAGGGGAAGGTTGCAGTGAGCAGATATGCCACTGCACTTCAGCCCGGGTGTGAGAGTGAGAATCTGTCTCAAAAAAAAGAAAGAAAGAAAGAAAGAAAGAAAGAAAATTGCATGAATGGTATATTTCTACAGCATCAATTTGGGGGCAAAAAGTAGCATCAGAGAAGGCTGACTTTTTATCCAGAAAAGGTGATTTTCTGAGTAGGGGTGACAAGAAGGCAGTGGGGAAAGTAATGTGAAGTAATAGCAAGAGTATTGCAGTGATGTATCTTAGAATCTAAACCAGTGAGAGGGAGAATTGCAGAAAGAAGGGAACTAGCAATACGGGTAAATTAAAGAGGCCACATGCTGAAAGTCCTCATGCACGAGGGACACATGCAATTGGAATAAGAGAGCTGTAAGAATGGGGAGCTGTCAACTTGAACTTCAGAGAATGGAATGATTTTTTGGGGGATTTTAAGAGATCATGTAAGCTGTTCCAGATGTTGATGGTCTTCCGGGTTTGGATGATTGAAATGGAGTAAAGGCAGACCTCACTGGAGACAATGAAGAGAAGGGATTGAGAGACTAAATTACTATAGGTGTGGACACTTCAGGCACCCAGGATGATGGGAAGACTCAAAGCAGAGTTAAGGAGATTGTGCCAGGTGTAGGAGACAGAACGACCTGGAGGTTAGTAAATGACAGGGGTGAGAAGAAGGAGACAGAACGACCTGGAGGTTAGTAAATGACAGGGGTGAGAAGAGCAAGGTTTGAGCGACAGGAGAGCAGGGTGTTTTCCACCACTGTGTAGAAGAGTCTGGAAGCATTTTCTAGGAAGCTTGGAGGACTCCAATATCCACATCTCATTCCTGAGGTTCTAGGGCATCTTCCATTTGAGATGGCTGCAGAGAAAGTGGTGCCCCTAAGGGAAAGTAACATCAGAAGTTAGAAGGGATATTTAGGAAAACAGCTAAATATCCTCCCTCTCACACGTCTCCTTGGGAAGGAGAATTTTTCGTGATAGTAACAAGAAATGTGAAGGTGATGGTGGAAAGCTTTGGCAGAAGTGAGCTGATGAAGAATTTGAAGAGGAAACACTGAGTGTCATGAGTTTGAGACCACAGAGGAAACTGAGTCACTAGAGGCTTTTTGAGCTTATGCTTTGAGAAACAATGATAGGAATCTAAGGTGTGATGAGCTTAAGGTGGCTATAATTGCTTTTCCCAAAATAATTAACATGCAAATATGGTTTACACATGCTTAGGGTGTAGAGAACAAAAGAAGTGTGGCCCAGCCTGTAAGGGCAAAAGGCAGTAGGGCAACAGACCCCGGGGTCAGTGCCTTCATGATTCCCCCAGAGATGTTCTAAGCTGCAGTTTCAATATGCCATCTAGAGCCTCAAAAATGTGGTCAGTATAAATTCACAATGCAGAGCTGATGAGCTCCACTCATCACTGATGATGAACACAGTATGTTCTCAGACTATGTAAATGAATGTGAGACCTCATTTGAGTTCAGAATCTCAGTCACTTGCAAACATGGGTGGTCAACTACTTAATCACTTCATTATGCACCCTCGATTTGTTTTACTAATAACTATAAAATAAAGGAGCTGAGGTGCAAAATGTTTCACTATCATAACTAAGGGGACACACAGAGTTCATATGTTGACAGCAACAGCTGACAAGAGCCTGAAAAAACAGGAAAAGATGAAAAAACCTGAAAATCAGTCACAAAAATGCACAGCTATCAGAATAGCAGGGGTTATTTCATTAAGGTTGAAATGTCACCATATAAGGTTGAAATGTCACCATATAAGATTGAAATGTCACCATATTTCTGCATCCCCTGGGAGCTTCACTACATTGCATTTTCTAATCCTATAAGCATTTTTGAAGTAGTATGAAATCCTAGTTATTGAGAAACATTGAGGAATACAGGGAAAAAAAAGACCACGTCACCATGAGATAAATATCTAGAGAAATAAACAATCCGAAGGTCAATGACCACTTTGACTGAAGTATACATAAGAACCCAATAGAGCTGAAAGGGCCAAAATAATAAAAGTTAAGGTGGGTAACAAGTCAGAAGAAGCTTAGTGCAGGATGTGAAACAAATAGAATCATGAAAGTTGAGTGGGTGATTGCCCCTAGAAATGGAGAGAAAGGGCTTTCTGGAAAAGTAGAACACCAGAGACATAGACCTGTACAACACCACGGTACATTGGGGGAACTATACATGGGTTTATAGGGTCACAGAATTAAGCATGGTAGGGAGAGAGAGAATAAACTGGAGTGGTAAGTAGAAACATGATTTTGAAGGACTTATTAGAATATGGACTTATCCTATAGGTAACAGAGGTTATTGAAGAATTCTAAACAGGAGAACAACTTGACTAGGTTTGCAAGTTAGTAAGAGCATATTCGCTTCCTTATAACTATGAATGTGAGATTTCAAGTAATTTGAATACTAATTAATATTCTAATATTTATTTTAATTATCAAATTAAGGTAAACCATATTCACTAGAGCTTTAGAATGTATGATAATATCTAACATGTAAAGAAGTACTTCTATCTGATTGAAAAGTTTAGTAAAAGCATCTTGACCTTAGTATGGTCGTATTTAAGAAATTTTAAATTTAAAAGTGCATACCACCACTTTTTGGAAATTCACTTCTATACTGTGAATGTCATTTCTTCCCCAGTAATGCCAGACAAATGATTGTCTTCGTACAGTGTCTTGAACCAAGAACAAGAAAGATAAAATATTATAACATGTCTTAGGGGTCTCCAAAAGTTGTCTATTCAGGATAATATAGAGAAAAATGGCCGATTCTTTTCTGCCACGTTGCACTTTAGAAATAGCTAGCTACACAAAAGTTCCAAATATTAATTGCCTGGACAAAGTATTTATACCATTAATGATAGCTATTTATCCAGTACACTCAGATTTCCACTTTGTTAAGAAACCTTTCAGCAAGATTTTCTCATCTTTATACTTCCTTATGCAATGGCATAGAGGACCTCAGTTTGCAGTTCTCTCCAAGGAGAGAACAGATGAAACCCAGTCTCTATTAAAATATATCAGTGGCTGCTGGAAGTTTCTCTATAACACCAGCCTGGAGAATCAACAGTCTTACTGACAATATCAAATCTGTCACTTCAAGCCTGGCATGGTGGCATGCACCTGTACTCCCATGACTCAGGAAGCTAACAGGGGAGGATCACTTGAGCCCAGGAGTTTGAGACCAACCTGAGCAACGTAGGGACACTGTCTCTAATAAAATAAATAAGTAAATAAATAAATATTTTTTTAAAAAACTGTTACTTCAGGGAAATATTTTCAGCAAATGGTTATGAGCCACTTTACGAGCATGAAATTCTGAGGGTAGCAACAGTGAGATGGGTGAACACAGGAGTATGAATTATAAAAGACTTTATATCTTAGAATTTAAGTATAGTTTTAAGGTAAAATTCAGTCACCTAACTTTTTACTGCTCTTTATTATGAAAAGATGAAACAAAATACTAGTTGTTAGTAACTAGTAATTTTAAGTCACAATTTCATCAAATATCCATATGTTAAATAGAGGACCTTAGGTATGAGCTGAAGTAGAGAATTTCAACTTTCTGTCTCTTTTAAATAATGAGATATAAGGACTCATTATGTAATTCATTAGCTTGAGAAACCCTTCCAAGGCACCTAAAACTTTAAAGTGAACAGCACCGAGTTTCAGTGCTTTATGATCTGGTTGGGAAGACAAGGCGTTATATTCCACATGGACATGGTGGTCCTTTCTGTTTTCTGTTCCTTCATTCATTTTCCCCATTCCTTAAAACCTTTCTCTCTTTCTCAGTAGAAATCAGTTATTTGCTAAAACAAAGGTCTTATGTGTCATGTGTCTACTTTTATTGAGTTTTCAAGTTGATCATGTCTGCTCCATGATGGATTGTTCATTAGGTACATTATGCACATGAGTAAGACCTCAGGAAAACAAAACAAAATATTCATATCCTATCTGACTGTACTTACCTTTTTAGGCTAGATTCCAACTACTCCTTTACCCTAATAAGCCTACCCAATAAGCCTATTGGCCAATCAGTTATGAAGAGAGAAATGTTCTCAATGGGAGGATGTGATGGAAATTTTTAAAAAATCCTGTATCATAGCTTTTCCCAGTCTGGTCTTGTATTTTCTGGGGAGATGGTGATATTGATTCGCAGTTGGGTTTAAATGCTTAAGATTGTACATTAGCGCTGGTGAAAGCTGGCAGCAATCCGGCATCCATCCTTGTTTACCTCATTCTGTCCTTGCAAAAAGTAGTAAATGTGTGCAATATAGTTCTAATGGTTTAGTAATGCAGAGTGGAACCCTGGGAGACATAGCCCGTTGATCTCTCAGGATCCCTTTATGATTCTGGCCCTGTGGACAAGCCAGCAACCATCCTCTCCTTTCAGTGGATCAAGCAGTAATATGTTCTCACACTGTTATGAACCAACAGGAGGCAAAGAGATGCATGTAGCTTATTATCCACACATCACTTCCCCACATCAGACGATAGGAAAGGATAAGAAAATTGAGACTATGGTAATTAATGCTGAACAGAGAAAATATTTGAACATCTAAGGAAGGAAGAGAGGAGAAAGGGGAGGCAAGGAAAGAGGACGGCGAGCAGGTATTAATAGTAAGCGGACAAGCCTACAAATAAAAGAAAGCAAAAAAAAAAAAAGTGAGAAAGCTGAAAATAGTGAATGTCACTGAGTTGTATGTAAAAAATATCATGTTTTCATTTTAAATTCATAACACGCTTATTTGCAAAAAGGAGTTGGTGAAGCTTTAAAATAAAGGCATATATTAGAATCATTAATACAATGGTCAGGAGAGCGGGAGTCAATGAAAAATAGGGAAGAAGTAATAAATAAAAATATATACACAGAATTTTTGTGAAACTGAATTAAAACACTGAGATCTGAGACTAAGTTTCTCGATAACTAAAGAAAGTATACACATATTCATTCACACACACATAGTGACAGAGAGAGAGAGAGAGAGAGAAAGAGAGGGAGAATGATAGAATAAATTGTCAATGTTCCCAATACTAAATTTTAATAAGAATTTAGCTTTTGTATTTTTATATGAAGAACCTAATATAACATAGTACATAGCATTTTTCAGTGGCTGTTTATAAAAACAGGTATATTAATTATATTAATATTAATATATGTAATATTAAAAATGAGGAAACGTTAATAAACAAATTCAAGGATAAAAGAGATAAGCAAATAAAAGGGAACATGTGAGGAGGACAATATAAACTTTGAAGCGGAATGTGGATATAGAGGAAAAATTAGAATACAGAAAAAATCTTGCGAGAACAGAAACAGAGTAGGCATAAAATAATTTTCAATTAAATTAAGTAATATGGTCCTCAGAATTCATATTATGAGGGCATCTTATAGATAAAATGATATTCTTTAAATATGAAAGAAAAATAAAATAGCCTCTTCAATGAAGTCCAAGGCAGACCTGTTATTCTATAATAAATGTTTTTCTGTAGAGGATAGTATATTATTTAAAATGAGGATTAAATGTATTCATCCTTATGTTGAGTTTTTCTTATTTCTAAGACAAGATTTGATTTTAGTTATGCTGCTGCTTTCTGCTGCATTTAATCAGACTGCGTTTAATTGATACACTTATATCACTCCCAATAATAAGAGTTCTCATATGAAAACCAAAATATAGGAAAGTTAGAACAATATTCTCCCTACAAACAGTGCATAGTCCAGCTGAAATGTGGGGAATTATATAGTAATGGTTCCTGTGAATGGGGCCTGCACCATGGGGTTAGATTATTCTTTTCCCTATGAATTCAACAACAATATATAAGTACCCACAATGGGACAGGCTTGGAAATTGACAGAATTTATACAAAGATGAATAGGATAATATAAGCTCCTAATTTATGTAAGAAAATAAGATTCTCCAATACGCACTTTCACTATTTCAAAGAACCAAAAAAAAAAAAAAATGTTTCTTTTCAAAATGCTTCCTGATTTGGAAAACATAACTTGTGCTTGCCATATTTTTTATTGTTTGGAGTCATTATATACTGAATTCACTGAGGTTGGCGCATTGGCAGTGTGGACAAGAGTTCTGTCACAAAGAATAATAGTAGACATTTTTCTGTTAGCCTTCCTTTCTCAGTATTGCTACCAACATAACCCTCTCTCTCAATTTAGTAATTGTGAGTAGGCATTGGAACTAGTTGATATATGTAAGTCTAGAGAAGAAATTCTAGTTGAGAGGTTATAAGATTCTTCAATCTCCCTATAAACTAGAACATGTTCCAATACTTCAAAATTCTTGATTTCTTAATAATATATATAAAACATAAAATGGGATTAATATACCCACATTACTGATCACTTCAATTAAAACCTATCAGTCAATTCAAGGAAGGTAAATTAGTCACATCAATGATTCATTATAGTCTCAGGAATTGGAAATTAAATAGACTTTTCTCAGTGAGTAAATTATGCAGTAACAATCTGATGGTGTGCATGCACAGCCTTAATTAATTAGTTCAGTTGAACCCAAGATTGATAATGTAAGACTGTACTTTATAACTTTAAGAAAATTATTTAACTTTACTAAATCATTTCCCCTAATAGTTGCCTTTCCCTTAAGTATCAAAATGAGACTTGCCGTAGCTACACATTTCTCTTCCTAAATATA
The DNA here is from genome assembly GCF_000001405.40 of Homo sapiens. Taxonomy (NCBI): domain Eukaryota; kingdom Metazoa; phylum Chordata; class Mammalia; order Primates; family Hominidae; genus Homo; species Homo sapiens. The sequence continues at coordinate 136,915,151 of NC_000007.14, read as the reverse complement.
TCCCTTTAATCCTGAAGTACATTTCTTAACCAGAATGATGTCAGCATTACAGTAGAAGCCTGTAATTCATTAATGATGCTAACTCCTAAAAGTCATAATCTAAAACTCCTACATGTCATACTCTTCATATAGGGCTGACACTTTGTTGAGTGCATTATCCCCTCTCTCTAGTTCACTAGCACTGTAGGATCACAATTCTTTTTGTTAGAAATCAGCAATAATCTAAAAGAACCAATGCCCTTCTTATGAAACTAAAAGTATTTAAGAGTTAATTTGCCATTCACTCAGCAGAGTCTACTTCATTATAATAACAAACATTTGTATGTAATTTACAATTTACCAAAACCTGTCATTTGCATTATCTCAGCTATTCCCCTTGAATGGTTCAATATGGGAGATAAGGTAGGTTTGATTAACATCCCTATTTTATAAATGAGAAAGCTGAGGCTCAAAAAAATTGTATTGCTTTTTAGAACTATCCAACATATCATCAAGGTGGCACTTGAATCAGAAAACGTAACATTTTTTCTCTGATATAATACTGCCTTAGTTTCTCTGATATAATACTGCCTTATTTTCTCCTATATAATACTGCCTTATTTTAAAGGGACATATTCTGACTCCATCATGGGCTGCTCCAGGTGCAGGTTATGATGCTCCTGCATGATTCTATTCAGAAGTGAGAAAAGTGAAGCCATTCCCAGGTGGATACCCAATGTGAATGCCTTATAGTACTTTCCAAAGAGCTCTGCTCTGCTTCTCTGAAATAGGCAGGCTGACAGTGCTTATTATTTTACTAACCACTATCATATGCAATAAAGAATGAAAATTGTAATTGTTTTTCTTTCAAAGATAACCTTTCTTTAGATGCTGTTTTATGAACCATTTGCAATCACCTGGAGACTAGATGAGTTTGAGGTTGCCACTTCAGTGATTGCGTAATCAATTGAGAAAAATTGCACAGACTGGGAAAGGAGACTAACAATTGAAACAATAATAAAATGAAATAAAAGGAAGCGGAGGTAAGCAATCACATGTGTATTTTTGGAATCCTGATGCGAGATAGGAGATTGAGTTAGGCAGGAGAGAAAAGAAGTTAAAGTTGGGTTTCAAGGTAGTGTTTATGAATCTTTTGAAATAAGATCAAGATTTTTCATCCGATACATTAAACTGACACTTAATAAATAACCAAATGGGTAAGGCACTGTTCTTGGCACAATGTACTGTCAATCCGAATAGATATAGTGCTGCATTTGAAAATGAGTTTTGAGAAATAAGCCAGAAGTGGGGGTAGTAAACTCTAATGGAAAAAGAAGGATGGTTATAGTCAGAATCCCAGATATGTCCATCTACACCTTTGATCATTTCTCTGGGCTTCAGCTTTATAATTTTTTAAAATAATACCCACTTCACAGCATTGTTTCAAAAAGCAAATGTCATTGAAGTGATAAGCAGTTAGTAGGCACTCAGAAATGGTAGTTCATAAGTTATTAGGGCAACAGAGTGAGACTTCGTCTCAAAAAAAATTACTAGGTTTTGGTTATTTTGGTGATTAGGTTTTGGTTATTTTGGTGATTAGGTATTGGTTATTAGGTCAAAGGTATTGGCAAAGTTACCTTATTACACATCTACAATCTTTGAGAGAAACAGTTCAGATATATTTGCTGTGGATGTAAGCTGAGAAGAAATATCTCCTCAAAACTAGAGGAATGTGTTATAGAGATCTCCTCTAGAAACTGACAGATTACTTCTGTTAGGTTCCCAAGGAATTTTTGTTTCTGAAAATGGATTCTTTTAAATAACTCCTTCCTGTGGAAATAGAAAGCTGGTATTTTGCCACCTTGAATAATAGATAGGCTAATCCATTATTTATTTTATTTTTATTTCAAATCTTTCAATCAGAATAATGCCAGCCACAAAGAAGATGCTCAAAGGCATTTATTATGTAAATTAATGGAATAATCTGTTTTATATTATGAAAGCATTTGGATAGGTATTTAATACTCAATTGTTATACAGTTTGTCAGGAGCTTAATGTATTATAAATGCAGTAGTTATAAATTTATTTACTATGAAATAACATATAAAAATCAGTTTTCCACTTGTATTCTAGGTTTTCTTTCTGTCTTTTCTACATAATAGTGATGGGCTAAATTAAAACAGTAATTATACTAACATAATAACACTTACTGAGGGTTATGTGCCAAGCATCACAGTCAACTCTTCACCAGATTATCTCACTTAGTTGGTATAACAACCCTATGAGATGTGTATCATTACCGCGTTTCATAGAGGATGAAACTAAGGCTTAGATACATTAATGCTGTGTATGTTGTTATTTGTTTATTTAAAATCAAATAGCAGCTTTGTGTTAGGAATGGTAAACATTTATCTGTTTTAATTATCTTTTTGTAATTAATATCTATAGGATGTCTTAGGCTCCAGTCTTATTGTTCATCAAAAATAATAGCACTTTAGGTGGTAAGGTTTTTACCACCTAAGAAGCAATATCAAGAGCTGGAAGTTCTGGGTTCAAACGGTGGCTCTGCTACCCATTGATAAGATAAGAAAGAGGAGGCCTTTTACATGTCCTGACGACTTGTTCCCACCAAATAGAGTGACGGTACTGTTAAGTGTGATGAAGAGACTGCAGTGAAAGGACAGGAAGAGGGCACAGGGTCTGAGTTTTCTCAGGACAGGAAGTGGGATTTATCTTTCTCTCTCTCAAAGAAATATTTTTGTTCTTGCTATGATATACATGGATCAGCAAGAGGACATTCTTTTGGGCATTCTGTTGGAACCACAGCAGATAATTTAAGATAACTCATGATAGGTACTCAATAAATATTTGTTAAATTGACTATTTGTAGAAGGCTGAAAAAAGTCAAATTCCAGTGATTATTTTTTCTTTGACAGCACCCAATATTTAGAAGTAAATATTTAAGCATATCTTGCTCAAAGAGAGCCACAATGCTATTGAAAGAGAAGGGGTTAGAAACTTTCAATTATCTTTATGATATTAAAAAAAATCCTATAAAAAGACAACCATATGAAGATATAAAAATTAAGACCTGTCTTTTAATCACCTTTTTATTGCAAAGACAAAATTGTAATAAAAATTGTTATAAAGAAAATGAGAAATCACCATTAGCCCATTATTCTTAATTTATTTTTTGAAAGTATTATCCATAGAAATAACTTTTTAAATATGGTTATAATATGTAAAAAATGGAAGAATTTTATGGATGATAGTGTGAGAATTCAATGGAATCGATGGAAAAAGCAGATCCTCCTTTACACACAATATCTAATAAGCTGCCTTAAGCCTTGTCGTAATCCACATTTATAAAAATATCATTGTATGAAGGAGAAAAGAAATAAGAAAAACTCAGATTTACCTGAATTACAAATCCTACATAAAAGAGACAAGAAAATTCGACATGTAAACAGGTTTGAAAACGGAAAAATGGATTAAACGGAGACATTTAAAGGACATTTTAATGACCTAGATTGTGACTAGTTGCTGAGTTCTCTCGTCACCAAGTGCAGTCATTGCCACTTGGTGGCTCCTTCTTCCAACCCAGTATGTACGTGAAGATACAGCCCAAGGTTCCAAATACATTAGTCAGCCGAGCATGCTGGTGAGAAGCATGGCTTTGAGTCCCAGCCCTGCCAGAAACTAGTTGTATGACACTGGGCAGGTTACTAAATATGTATTCTGATCCTTAGTTTCCTCAAATGTAAATTGAGAAACATAATGGCATTTAATTTATAGAGTGGTTAGATTTGTCAAATACTTATCCAAGTACTTAATACACAGAAAACACTATATAAATGTTATCTTTGCATTTTTCTTGTTCTTTTTGGTGCTATGATTAAGATGTTATCAATCTAAGATAATATTTTACTGGATACATTACTAGATATTATTAATACATGTTCAGTTATGGTATTATTTGTATGAAGTGATAAAACATTATTTTTTATCCATATCATTGCTGAAACCCAACTCTTAGTTTGCTGAATAAAAAAAATTACTCACTAAATGAATAACTTAGGATCATTATACAGTAAGGCTGTTGGTTCTGTTTCTTCTCTTAAACTAAGCCTATTTGAGTGGAAGAGATCAGAAATAGCTAGTTTTCTCTGTAAGTGACAAAAAACATGAAATGTCAGCTCCACTTCTTAGCAATAGAATTTGTATATGGGGACATATAAAATATGAAGCAACAACGAAATTTAAAATACACCATTTGGAATGACAACTGAGTGACTATAATTTGAATGATTTCATTTGGCACCAAGTTTCTCTCTCTCTCTCACACACACACACACACACACACACACACACTTAATTTTAAATAACCACACCAAACCCCAAGAATGATACAGTCAGGAGTTAGAAACTACTCATCACTAACAAAACAGAAAAGTAGCAACAACGATTTTAAAAAGCCAGATTTCAGTTTTCAAAGACAACATGCTGGTGAAAGGTGGGAGAGGAAAGAATGATGGCAGGTTTAGCTGTGCACAAGTGTGTACACACCTTCAATCATGTTCCTTTTTATGTCCTCCCTTAATAAATATGGAAAACTTTATTCTGTGAATCTCAGTGATGAAAAGAGATCTGCAGTCTTCACATCTTACAAAGGTGACAGGTGTAGTAGCTGAGCCAATAAAGCATTTGGTGCTTTCATATAAGGGCCTTAAAGTTCTGAAAGATTATTCAAAATCCTGTCAGAGAACCCATCTTATTGCTACAATAATGACTTGGCTTCAATTCAAACTCCCTGAAAATAAGGAAACACTAGGGTCATGTAGACATAGAATGTTACTAAAAGAATTAATATGTGTACTGTATGTTTACTATGCTAATCAAATAGTAGGTAATTAATATCAGCCGAGAGTTTATCAAGTAATAACACTTTATATATCAGGAACCTGGCAATGCATTAAATATTAAATATAAGGTGATTAAACAGGCATCTTTTTGTCTGCTTGAATTGCCTAAATTATCCAAATACAATGTTGTCTTTACTCTCTTCCCTAATTACCTGCCTCCCTGGCCCTAGCTCCAGCCCAACCCCTCACCTTGGCTAAAAATCACATTTGCCACTACTCACTCAGTTACTAAACAGCGTTTGGTGTGTGTGTGTGTTGGGGGGGGTGTATGTGTATGTACAGTTTTATCATGGAGGAAAAATGTATCCAACCAATAACACTTTTTCACCCATTGTTTGTTATACTCTGCAAATGAACTAGTACGAGATGATTTTAGTATCTTAAAATCAATCCTTCTCTGACAAAAAGTGGTCTGCTACAAATGTATTTTTATGCATATTTATATAAATTTGTGTTAGTTATATAAGAAATAAGTATACATGTACATGTAAATTGAAGAAGGAAGTGCATCTAAAGGTGTATGGTTAGGTAGGTTTGCATATAAGACTCTATATAAACATGCTTGAAGTGCATGACAGTATGCATATATGTGTGTATGTGTATGCATGTACATATATACATACAGCACGTCTTCTTGGGACATAGTTTGGCATAATAATAAACCTGACATCTGCAGCTGAATTTTTGCATTAAAATCCTAGGACCAATATTCATATGCTGTGACAACCTGAGATAGTTATCTGAACTCTTTTTGCCTTAGTGTCCTCATCTACAAAGTGAACATAAAATTATTACCTAACTCATGAAGTTGTAATGAAGGTTAAATAAAGTAACCCTTTAACAGCCTTAGACCTGGCATATGGTAATCAGTAAATACTATCGTCTGTTACCATCTCTCCAAAAATGCAAGAGCACATGCTTTGATAAATATAACTCTATGTGCCATGTATGTGTCAGAGAACAAGATTGTCTGTGAGTACAAGATTGTGAGTACATGTATTATCTTCTCCTTTTTGTTTATCACAAATATTTCTCACAAATATCCATCATGAGAACAAAATAATAATAAGAGTTGGAAGCAATTATTGAGCCCAGAATAATTCCCATGTCAATGAGATGAAATTCCAGTGGGATTCATGTATGTCCCTGACTGATCAGCATATGAAACATATTATCACATAACTAGCACACAAAAACAGAAAGCATAAAATCACAGCAAAGACTCGTCAACTCATTGAGAAAACAAAACAAAAAACTCATAATTCAAAGGAATGTAAAAATCTCCCTGTCACTCAATGCCAATATTAGTGATTGACTAGGCATTTCAAATTCTGTGCGTAGTAAGGCAATATCACCCATATTTTAGAGATGTCGATTTAGCTTTGGGTCTACAAGTCTATTCTCTAATACTTATTTCATCTCTTTCCTTCACTGACATGGGGGAAACTTGTAGATCGTGAAAATAGATTTTTTTGCTTTTGCAGGATACTCATCAACAAAATAACTAAAATTTATAGATAAATTAATTCCGTCAGAAATTTGGCTTTGAAAATCAGAATGGACTTGCTCATTTTGAATGAGGAGTAATACCTGATCATTCAAAACTTAGTCATTGGCTGTCAGAGGGAAGAGAAGAGATAAAATTATTCAGTGAGTATGAGAATGCTCGATTCTACCTAATGTATAAAGAAAAGTGGCCTCACCTGTGTCAGCCAACGGCTTCAGTTTTCTACTTTATAGGCTGATCAAATCTTCACCACAGTCTATATTTAAAAATCCAATTAACAGAGAGGTATTGCAATAATGTAATCTAACTATAAATTTGTTTATGAGTAAACACAATTACTTATGCCCTGTCTTACTGAGTCTTCAGTCCAAACATGCTAATGCTAAAGTATTGAGGTGGTATTGCACAGTAGTTAAGAATAAGAGCCTCGTAACTATTCATTTCTTAGATGTTTAACCTTGAGCAAATTACTAAAGACTCATTTTACTTAAGAAGGATGACGTAAAACTGTTCTGCTGGACGTACAAGATAGAAGGATGATCTAAAACTGTAATCTCATACAGCTCTTTTGAGGTTTAAATAAGTTAGCAACTAGAAAGGGCTTAGAATTTCAGGCATACTAAGTCCTTAAACATGTAATGGGTATGATTTTTATTATTCTCTATGCTTAGAAGGCTCTTTTTTCCACTTCCCATCAATAAATTGATAGTCATACTTGAAGTATAAATTCAACTTATTTCTTTGCAAATCTTTCATGACATCTCCAAAGAAGTCAAGCCATTATTCCTTAGGGAGGAATGGAGAAGCATCACTTTGGAAAGGCAGAATGATACTGGTCATAGAAACAAAACGAGGTAGGAGACGGAATATCCCCTGCTCTGGATCAGAGAGCGTGGTGAGTTCTACTCTCCCTTTCTTGAATCTCCGTTGGCACCTTCGTAGTCTGGGGAGAGAGAACTTAATGGGTTGCAAAGAAAGTTTTGCAAAACTTGAGAAAATACAGGAATAAGATTTTTTTTGTTGAAACTTCTTTTTATTCTTTGACCTGGTAATGCCTATTTTGTAAGTATGTTTGGCTGAGACAGTGTACAAAACAGAAGCATATTACATAAGCTGCCCCTAGGCTCAAGAGAGAGGCACAATGGGGCACTTTCAATTTCATGATTCCTAGATATGAAAAATTTGGAGATTCAAGAAGAAATTTGGAAATAAAAAATATCACTTGAACTAACTAGAACATTCCTGATTTGGTGCTTCTTGATAATCTGAGTGAGAAAGTGAAGAGCTTAGACTATTTCTCACAAACATCCATTCAGTTGAGTGATGAGTTCTCAGCTTCCATCAAGACGAACCATCCCAGTTCATGGCCAGAGAGAAGGTCAAGCAACTGTTGTTCGTGCCTTCACTTTTATGAACTGGCTAATACACACTTACAGTCTTGAAGTACAGAAAGTTTTGAATTCAAGATTTTTGTAGTCATCTAAAGCAGGGGTCTTCAACCCCAGGCCACAGACCAATACTGGTTTATGGCCTGTTAGGAAACAGGCCACAGAGCAGTAGGTGAGTGACAGCAAGCGAAGCTTCATCTGTATTTACAGCCACTGCCCATCACTTGCATTACTGCCTGAGCTTCACCTCCTGTTAGATCAGCAGCGGCATTAGATTATCATAGAAGCACAAACCCTATTGCGAGCTGCATATGTGAGAGATCTAGGTTGTGTGCTCCTTATGAAAATCTAATGCCTGATGACCTGTCACTGTCTCCCATCACCCCCAGATGGGGCCATCTAGTTGCGGGAAAAGAAGCTCAGGGCTCCCACTGATTCTGCATTATGGTGAGTTTTATAGTTATTTCATTATATATTACAATGTAATATTAAAAAAAAGGGCACAATAAATGTAATGCCGTTGAATCTTCCCAAAACCATCCATCCCCAACCCCGGTTTCTAGAAAAATTATCTTCCGGGAAACTGGTCTCTGGTGGCCAAAAAGGTTGGGGACCACTGACCTTAAAGTGACCACTGACCTTCATATGTGAAGGCAATGGAAATATATACCTAGATATGCATTCGCTCAAAATATTAAGTTTATTAAAACAAAACTAGTATTAAATAATTGTTCAAGAAACTGAATTAGAAAAAAAATTACAAATATATCCTGCTATATAAGGACTCATATAAATCACTGAAACAAAAGTTAGCAAAGTAATAATTCTACAGTATAAGGCAAATGATTTAAAATATTGGAATAAAAACCAAATGTGTGGTTTAAAAAAACCAAATGTGTGGAATAAAAACCAAATGTATACATATACACATACACACACAAACACATATTACATATGTATAATACATACATATATAAATATAATACATACATATATGTATAACATATGCATATATATACAAACCATGTATATGTGTGCGCACACATACATACACACACATTTGTTTTTATTCCAATATTTTTAATTATTTAATCACACATATATATGTATAATATGTACATACATACAAACCATATATATGTGTGCGTATATATATATACGTATATACATACAAACCATATGTGAGTATATATGTATATATGTATACATATATACACACAAAACGTGTGTATATATACACACACATATATACATACATATTGTAAATTTTGTTACATATATAAAAAAATTATACGTAACAAAATTTTTTAAATAGTAGTAATTTGACACTAAGACTCTACATAATATTACCAAAGATCTGAAAATGAGTGTGAAATAAACAAATGCTAATTTGAAAAAAAAATAACATTTTGGTCTTGGCTTTGATAATTTCCAGAAAAACATGGAATGATAAAATACAGTTTTTCAAAGTAAAACTAAGAAGCAATTAAATTTAAAAATATGTATTGATAGATACTCTCGCAATCAATATTTTGAGAAAGTTGAAAAATATGTGGGAGAAAATATTGAAACATAAGGGAAGTAAAAATAATAAAACCACAAAAAAAGAGAAGAGAAAATATGAGAGAATTAAACTACCAATTTAAAAGCAGAGACTGGAAGATCAAAATAAATAAATAAATAAATTCTAATTATAAAATACTTAAAGGGGATTGATCTGAATAAAATGGCACAGATAGTTTAAAATGATGACAAATTCTTTTAGGCAAACTAAAACAGAAGAAATAGGAAGCAGCCATATTAGTTTCAGATAAACTAGAATTACAAGCAAAGTGTACTGAACAGAACAGAGAAAAATAGTTTAGTTATGTATAAAATTCAAAATATGTTTAAAAACCAACAGAATTTGATTCAAACATGATAGGTGCAAAAAATGCAAATACAGCTACAAATCAGGTAGATTTATTTTAAAAAATAAGAACAAAAATAAATGAATAATATAATGAATATGGGAAATAAATACAAATAAAAAACGAGTGCATTTTGTGTGCATGTGTGTGTATATCTTGGCCCTTTTCAACAAAGAAAATGATCTTCAGTTATCCAAACAACTCAAAAACTGAAAAGCTTAGAAAATTCCCAAAATATAGACATTCTAAGACCATATTATTGGGGCAAAATGCAATAAAATTAGAAATTTGTAAGACAATTTGAAATAACAACAAAAGCAACAAACATCTAGCACTTCAGATTTTAAAAATTAAAATTATTATACAAAAAAGAACAACCCAAACTATAATTTTCAACCAATATTAATATTTGTGTTGAACATTTGATTTTGCTATCATCACAGTACTGTACACTTATAAACATATCTCATTTAATCTTACAAAGCACTATAATGTAAATATACTCACTCTAAATTACAAATACAGAAGTGTAGTGAGTTAAAGTCCCTCTCACAACATGTGTGAAACTGTCAGAATTCAAACCTAAGCTCCTTGATTCTAAACCCGTGCTCTTTTTCACCTGGTCTTAGCCAAAAGACTGAAAAGCAGCAAGCCTGTGCTCCCTTAATGTTAACCAGGCTATATTTTAAACATTTAGATGAGACTAAAGCAGTTGTCAGAAACAAATTCATAGCTATAAATGTTCCCAATATTAAAGAAGAAGTATCAAAATTTTATAATGCAGAAGAAACTAAGCTTTAAACTCAAGAAATTATTTTAAAAAGGGAAACAAAAACCTCTACAGAATTAAAAAGAAGTAACTACAAAAGTAAGATAAGTAATAAATTATAAAAATCAAAAGCCACAAAACTCTGGCAAAAAAGCATGAGAAAAACATTTAATATTGGGAAAAAGAAAGGAAAGATAAATTTGGAGAATAATTATTTTAACAGAATCATATGCACAATTATTTGATAAATACTACAAGCATTTTTCTTAAATAGATAATGGTAGCCATCTATAATTTAACAAAATTAATGAGTAGAGATATAGAAAATGTGAATAGGCAAGTGACTTAGAAAAATGTTATAATAATTTTTAAAACTGTTGTAAAAAATGATTTGAGCTTTTTACCAGAAGTTTTCCAGGAAGGGCCATTCAAACATTTAGAGAATTGATCATCGTTCTATGTAAAATTTTCAACAGTATAAGGATGAAGGGGAAGCTACCAATTGGTTTTATATAATCAAGTGATTATGAAATAAATTTCAGCCAAAGATAACTCAAAAATTAAAAAAACAAACTTTTAACTCAGTTTCACTTGCAAATGTAGATGCAAAATGCTTTAGTAAAATGGTAGCAAATGGAATTCAATAGTACATTAAAAGAGTAACATATCATGACAATTAAAGCCATTGGATTTAGAAATGTATTAGTATCAGGAAAACAAATAACATGTCACTTCACATAGTCTGAATAAGAAAATATATATATATGATAATTCCAATACAAGAAAAATAAAACATTTGATAAAGGTCATCTCCTTAATATCATGTACAACACCTACTTTAAACCAAACCCCAAGGCCATATTACTGTTAAAACACTAGTAGAGTTATTAAAACATCACAAGAATGACTGTTTCAGCATTATTAATTAACATTATAAAACATTTAGCCAATTAAAGATATAAATAAAAATGAGAAATATTGTAAAACAGAAGGCGTATTATTTAAGAATAATATGCTGATACACCAACTTTAGAAATCCAATAAATTTAAATTTTAGAAAATTGCAGTCTTAAATGCTAGATTTGCCTGTTACTAAAATTCATTCTGTACATAATTAAAATTCACAAACAAATATTTTACTTATACTTCTATCATTTCTAATCAGCTTTTTAAAAGAGAAATCTTTTAATACTTATTTTCATCCTAGTAGTTTACATTGTGACACCAGCTCTAACAATATCCACAAAAATAACAAATACTTGGATGCTGAGGTGTGAATTTTGTTCCCATTTTTGAAAGCAGGAAGAGTAAGACTTCCTTTTGAAGGAGATTTGCACATACACTATAGAAGACACCCATTTAGTTCTTGGGAAGATGGAGTTGGAAGTGTCCGCTGCTTGTGAACAGCTCAACAGCATGGAGTCCTCCAGGTTGGTGCATCTCTAAACTTGACCCACCTGGAGATCCATGGTGTCGAACAATGAACTTTCCAAACCAGCAAGGCCTCCATAAAGTGAAGGGAGATCCTCTTCACCACCGTTGGTTGAAGAATAAAAAACCTACACCTACACTAGCCCAAATGAGTTTCTGTTGTTTGTCTTCTGTGTCAGAATTTCATTCATTCATTTCCCATCTCTGGCCTATTGTTTAAAGTTGCTGGCCATAATGTATACTTTCCAGACTCCAGGTTAATCCCAGGCTGAGAAGCTTTGTTTGTTTGATAATGAAAAACTGAACAAGGAAACAAGCAAAAACTTGCAAATAATGTGTACCTTATCATAAACATCCAAAGAGTACAAAATTCTGTGCTCTGCAGTTGCTGTATAACAAACATATTAAATTGTACTTGATTGAGCAAATATTTACATCTTACTGTGGAATTTCAAAGTTTAATGTCTACACGTCTTATTAAGGTTGTTATCTATTATTGTATGGTGGAGAAAGGATATCTAGCTGATAGTCATGTTTAAAAACTGACCTGGGTTTGGGACTGCAACCAAATTCTAAGGGCCTAGCTGTTTATGATTTGCCCATTCCATTCAGGGTCGTCCTAATCCCTTCTCAATCTAAGATGCTTCATTCTCACTATAGTTTGCTCGAGAAAGAAAGTGGCTGCTTATGGTATGAGTTCATAAGAGTCATCTAGGATTGTGTTTAATACCCTATCCCACCAGCTTCTAATTTTTACGTGCATTTAATTGGGGCTATATTTGTTAGTTTTCAATTAGAAAGAGACAGATAAAAAGTAAACTGCACACATTATCAGAGGATGCTATAGCTTACCTTCTCACTTATTATGAATTTGCCACCTAAATTCAAACTCTTCTGAAATTTATACCAATTATTAATTCTGAAAGCAATTCTGATTATCTTAATAACTAGCAACTGACTGCAAACATAGAAGGATAGCTAGGTGGATAGATGGATGGATGGATGGATGGATGGATGGATGGATGGATGGATAGATAGATCGATAGATAGATAGATGAGTTTAAAAGGAAGATCACAGAATCAATGTTAGTAGTTAACAATTATTTTTATATTTTGTTTTGAGAGTAGGCTTTGATGGAGCCTAATGAAAGCCATAGAAGAAGCTAAGGGGAGGCTGGACTGTTATAAACAACCCTTCACTTATCTAATACAATTTAACTAAGCTTATCATTTTTTTTTATAGAAAGAGAAATTGATCAGAATCTACTGACAGTTCTTCCTGTCTGGCTGTGTAATGGATTAGCATAGAGACGAGCAGCACACCTCTGTCAGAAAACCTAAATTTAAGTCACATCTCGGGGCTCTAACAATTTACCACCAACAGCGTCTTTGGAGGTCAGCCCCTGAGTCCATGATTCCCCTGTATTATTGGGAAAGAATTAAGAGGTTTTGTGAGTTATGCATGAGATGTGTGTGCAAGTTCTTTGTAAGCTGTAAATCTTACACATTTATGAAATTATCAATGTTGTTATTTTGTAAATGCAACTGATCAAGAGGCTAGGTTCTTACAACAAATGGATCAAAAAGCGTCTGTATGTTCTCAAAAAATAACAATGGAAATGGGGGAAAAAAATGACATCAGGGAATGGCCAAACTGGGTTGCTTAGGGTCCAAAGATCATTGCTATTCAAATCACTGCACTACAAGATCGGGTGAGATCTGCTAATCTGTTTGGGTCACTATAGGTCAGGGCACAGCACATTATAGATGCTAAATAAATGTGTTTTGTATGAATAAATACACATTTTTCTTTTCCTGTAGTCAATATTTAGTGTGTCTATTTTCAAATTTGCCTACGTGGTAAAGCCACAGTGACATTGAAAACTTGCCCTGCAAGTGCCTGTGAATCTGAACTGTCTCAATCTGTTTCTAGCTGGAATGCAGCTAGAACTGCATGCAACCCACTATACCTTTCTATTTTTCCAAGAACCAAAAACCGCAAGTCCACATATTTAATTTCACGTAATTCTCACATGCCTGGATCTTGGAAATGGAATTTTTCCTTTCCCAGGGCACTCGTTTCCACTTTGGGGGTGCCCACACTCCCCGGGCTGTACAGGACAATCTACTGGCTTGCAGGAAGAAAGTATTAGAAACTCCGTTCTCAATTACTGTTATATCATTCTCTAAAAGAGGTTTTTTGTGTATGTACTATGATATACATAATCATGGAAAAATTATTTCTATGTAATTTATAAATAAGAATATATCCATGCCTTGATTGGAGCTCAAAATTCTGTTATGAATAGAGGTGTGTAGCTCACATTCTTGGTACCCTACCCATATCATTCAGATCTTTCAGTGTTCCCCTGCTGACGTCTATATGCCACTGTCTGCTTCTCTGTGTCTGGGGGCTTTTTCAGAAACCTAGGAAGGCCACTCTGCTCACCCTGCACATACGGAAAACCAAAAATGCCTCGGGTGTTTACAGCCTCTAGGAGCAGGCTTTAAATAACAATTCTTTTTTTAAAAAAAAGATTGTTTAGCAGTTGGCAAGATAATTATGAGACGAGCAATTCTGTGCCATTTCTTAGAATGCCTCATGTGTGTAAGCTCCAGTCTCCTCTGAGATGCCCAGCTTAATAGAAACCTTTTTACTGGCAGCCTCTTCTTCCCTTTTCACATCCCCTCCTTCCTAGATGGCTCCTCGCACTTCACAAGTAGAAGTGAGCCTTGTTTCTGGGAGAACCAAACTGAAGTAAGCCTGTGATCAAATCCATCAGATGCTGCTGCTCCAAGCTAAGGCTCCATTCTGTTAGTTTTCAACGCAGCCTCCTGCTCAAAATTACTAACAGGGCAAAATCAGTCTGGTTTTACTTCTCCCTATGGCTAAGTCTAGTAATGTAGTATAATATTAAAAAAAATAGTTAACTTGGCTGCAAAACATTTAGGTTAGTCCTAGGAACTGTTTAAGGGTCTTTGTTTCCTTTCACTAGTATCTTCAGTGTCCACATTGGGCTGCTCTCTGACTCAGAGCCAAGGGTTGGGGAATGTATCACCTGCTGTTGGTGGTGATGATAGTATCAGAAATAAGCCTGTCTTTTGTTCTGACGGAATTTCATTTCTCCTTTTAATTCATGCAAACAAAACCATGGCTCACTAGGTATGTGAGTTTGTTTTTACTTATTTATACAGTCTTCAATGCCTCCCAGTAAATTAAAAAGAAAAATAATAGCAATGAGAAAAACTAAGAACTCTTGTTTAGAGAAGATGATTATTCTAGATAATTTTCAATATTGATTTTTCCCCAGGGATTTGCTAGAGGTATTTGCATGAAACAAGCTTTTTAAACTATGAAGTGTATTCATATCTATGGTTTATCACCTAGCCCATAACTCCTGTTTATATCTTTCCTCCCAAATATTAGCTCTGAAGAAGATCCTGATTTTCTCAAAAACAAGTCATTGAGTTCTACACTGTAAAGCAAGACATGGATTACTACATCCTATATTTTATAATACACATGAACACATTAGGAAGGAGTATGCAGGATTTAATATTCTCTGTATATTTCTGCTACATTGTTTCTAAAGAGAGTAGTGGAATAGTCCTCCTGTATCTTCTATTAATGCCTCCTTACTTCCTTAATTTTGATTGAATTACATATTTTCTGACTCTATGTGACATGAATTACACTTAAACATCATACTTCTTAGCCAACAGATGTGCAAAGTTGTGACATACCTTAGAAAATTTTTCATATTGTTTATCTCATTTGGCTAATAGATGGAAATCATGCAAACTAGTAAGAATTATCTGATAGCTCCTGTATGAAAACTCAAATTTTTCTTAGGAGAAAAACCAATTATTCACATTTTTACTTGGATGAGCATTCACTTGTGGTCAGTGCTATAACAGGAAGATCTCTCAGGGTACCCAATGTGGGATCATTTTTAGTTTGCCAAATGATGAAATTTCCAGACAGAAAGAGCCCTTTTTGAATAATAAATTACTGCAACATATCTACAAGAACACTTCCAAAATAAAAGTGTTCATTTTATTTTAGAGCAAGGGACTTTCCCACTAGCTTAGTATTAAAATTACATGATTGTAATGTATGGGAGATTACTGGGAACATAATCAATATTTTGAAATTTAAAAGTATGTAATATTCCTTTGGGGTAAGTTTCCGAAGAATAACTGTAACACTTTGAATTTGTCTACCACTACAAAGTCATCATAAACCATACATCAACCAACTCAATTTACAGCACCTAAAATTTGCTTCCTATATAAATTAACAGATTAAGTCTTTAGTATAGTCTATTCTTTGGTCAGTGTTGTAAGTATGATCTTATGTTAGAAACCAGATTTAAAACTCCTTGAAATCTCTCACTATTTCATCCATCTTGATAGTGCTTGTTTTCTTCAACAAATAAAAAATAGTGTTTATTTTACTCTTTTGATATACTACTTTGTGTGGCCATTATAGCATCATTTGTTTACTTTCGTGATCAACTTCACTCAGTGTACATTGAGTAAATCTTTTACCCTACTTTCTATTTACTATATACCAGAATATGGCTTGTCCTTTCTGGTCAGCAACTTCTTTCTCTAACCTTGTAAGTGAATTCATCACTAGAACTATTAGTGTCATTCTCTCTCACAGAGCCAAATCAGGTCTCTGCATAATCTGTTAAACACACACAGACACACACACACACACACACACATGCAAACACACATACACACAGGCATGCAATTGAATAGTCAATTCACAGTCTTAGAGACTTAACAATGTGCAGTAATCACCTGTATGAATGATAAATTCCATGTACCAAAAAATGGGTTATTGCTCCAGCCTAAACAATTTCTTCTGCTAGTTGTATTTAGTGCTTGTCATTGGGCATAGCCTATGATCAGATTAAGAGTAGTTTCTAGATTTAACCCTACAATAAGATTGTTTAACAACTGATAAGTTTTTGTTTTTCATTCCCAAAGTACATAAGGCTAACATGAGCTTATCAGATAAGCATTTCAAAAACCATGTATATGGACTATGAGAAATACATAAAACTATTTTATAATTTGCAATGCTAATTGTAAACGAACCCTCTGTTTTTCTGTTAAATTCATTTTCAACTCTTCAGCTAAAGTTTCTAATAACCAGAAGTGAGATTACTTGGGAGGTACATATTGCCATCACTGTGTGGCCATTACTGATATCAGGAGCAATCTCAAAGTGTTTAACAGAGCAATGTGTATCTCAGTGTAAGCTGATCTTTGTGATTACACTACAGAAATGGGCATAGAGATTAGATGTTGATTTGGATAGAGATGACATTTAGAATTTTATTTTCTTTCAGTCAGCATTTTTGTTTTTTTAAGAAACGGCTAAAAATCACATTGAGAGTTGTAAATTATGAACAAAAAATGAAAAGAAATAATGATTAGACTTACACAAAAGCGAAAATGAAGATATGCAGACATGCAAATATGAGCTCTCCCTATGAAATACCACAAAATCCATGTCTGTCTTTTTTTTTTCCCATGACTGTTGTTAATGCTTGCTAAAAATGGCTCGAATAATGGTGCAATCCACCACCCTTTAACTATACTCTGAGTTACACCTATGGTATTCAAAAAGCAAAGGCAGAAAACAAGAAGCAGGGAAATTAATAAAAGATAAACTATTTTCAATTAAGAAAAATGATTAATGCTGCTTTCAGGAGCTCATATATTGCAAATCTGCATCTGTTTGTCACTAGGGACTTTTACCTTCCAAAAGGATACAGCATGAGAACTATTGTGATGGGAACAAGTGTGAGTTGAAAATAAACCGTTTATTTTTAAATGTATATATGCAATAGCAAGTTGTGATTAATATACTGATAACTTCTAAATGAATATTTTTAGTGCAGATCTCTCTAATAAGACTTGCATCTCCAATAGCTTACCCTGATTCTCCTCTTAGATATGCATTGGCTTCCTCAAACACAAATGTTCACAATAAAACTAATCATCCCTCTCATGACACCTGTACCATTTCCATCTGCCTAAGTGCCTACCCTGGAAACCTAACTTCTCTCTATGTCTTCTTTTTTTTTTTTTTTTGGCCAACCTACTACCACCACCACCACACATATTCAACCAACCAGACCAATACATTCTGCTCTTTAATATTTATCTACTCCATCCCCTCCTTGCCTACCACACTGACATTAACTTTGGAAGCCATCACCTTGTACCTCAGTTACTCACCGTGACTCCTTCTTTTCAGTCTTCCCTCTTTCCAGATAATTTTAAATACTTCAAGCAGTGTCATTTTAGAGAAAAACAAATCAATCATATCTCTGTTTTGATGAGCTCTTTAATGACGTTTCACTTTCCTAACCTCAACTTTGTTAAAGTAGTGTCCAAGGCTTTCAAGAATATGTCATTGCCAATGCCTGCAGCCACATCTCCACCACCCTTCCCCTATCTTTCTCTAGTTGAGTCATGATCAACTACTTTAATTTGGCAAACACATCATATTCTCGCTTCTTGTGATTCTTTAGCCTCAGCTGAGATTGCGTGATCCTAAAGGTGTTATTTAGGGTCATGAAAGATGTTTCATTTTTAGTTAGACTCACTCTGAATACACAAATATGAGTGCACATATGAAAACACACACACACACACAATGCAAGGTAGAATTACTATATCCAAAAGCACTGGAGGCTTATTTCTCT
The DNA here is from genome assembly GCF_000001405.40 of Homo sapiens. Taxonomy (NCBI): domain Eukaryota; kingdom Metazoa; phylum Chordata; class Mammalia; order Primates; family Hominidae; genus Homo; species Homo sapiens. The sequence continues at coordinate 136,896,513 of NC_000007.14, read as the reverse complement.
CTGGGTTGAATGGGCTTACAATTTAGTCAATGATCATCCAGCTGGAGATTACTACATTCCACCTAGAAAAAATCCTTCAGAGCGAGGAAAACAATGTCGCCCCAGATACACTGGAAGATTTCGTTTAATGCTGTTCTAGACCCCTGGGAATTCAGGAAAACAGTATTTACTCTAACCTTTCACAGTCCATTGAGAAATCAGAAATTTGTGGGACAGGGCTTTTCTTTGTAACAGAAAACTGATACTGACTTTCCAAATGCCTCTGATGAACTTCATCTCAAAGATTTTTCAAAGGTTATCTACTCCTACCCCCTCATTTTCAGATGAGGAGACTGGAGCGCAGATGAATGGGATGCTCTCTCTGAACAAGTCTACTATTGTTATTATTTTCTTTTAGAAAAAAAAGTAAAGGCAATTGTTCACATTGTTCAAATGCTTTCATTTCCTTTTTGCATTATATGCAAATAAAATTTAAAAACAAGTCTGTATAACACTACCGAAGCCCTTGACTACTAGAAGCTTAAAATATTTAACGTAAATAGTATATTCAAAAACACGAACACAGAAATGTGTTTAGAAGGTCTCCCCAATCCAGCACACACCAAATATATCCCAAGCTCCCAGGCAGAGGAGATGATCAATGTATCAAATTCATTGATCTTGCTGATGGTCTGAAGCATCAAATTTTACATACCTAGAAGCCGAGCTTTGTATTTCTAAACTTTCTGAAATCAAATCCTTATTTTCTATGATGGTAACTATACTGACAACAAAGCGATTGGCCAAAAGAATCATTTTAGAAGCGAGGAGTAGGGTGAGGAGGGTTTAGTAGCAAGAAAGTTTAAATGCTGTAAATCTTGCCATTGCAACCAAAAAAGAGAGAGGAGATGGATAAGCTAAGACTGAAATCCCAATTGGTTGCTACTAATGAATTAATACATTTAGTTTTGGATAAACCATGCTAAGAAATATAAACTGAGTCATAGAAACAGCATGGCCAAAAGAGCAGAAACACCAAAAAAGGTTCATAGAACTTGCCTATCAGTCCTACCTGTTAAATATAACTTCTGGGCTAATGGAGAGATGGGAATGAAATTTAGGAAAACCGCTATAGCCCCAAACATATTTTGAGAAGAAAAATTGGGTAACTGAATTGCTAAAACCTGAGGATTTCAAATTACATTTTATTTTAAGAGGGTTCTACAAAGTTGTTAGGACATAGATTCTCCTTATACATACTCAAATTATACATTATAGGACACACATAAATGTTATCAAATTGGAAATGAGACTTATCTGAAGCACACAGTTTTGTATTTCTACACAGATTAAAGAAAGACTAATATTATGAAAATACTTTGTATAACTATAAAGCATTAAAAATATTTTATTATTTTAAAGACTATTTGAATTCATACAGATAAAATATTCTGCCACATTTTCTTTGTTAACCCTAGAAAAATTTTCTAACTCCAGCATGCAAAGAGATGCATAGGTACTCCAAAATACTGTAGAGTTGTAGAATGCTGACTCGGGGGAAAGAAACAAGAAACAAACAAAAAAACCTCTTAAGCAAGCTGAAGTGCAAACATAAGGCCTATTCAATGATAGCCTCGGTTTGTTAATTTTATGTCCCTACCTGACAACAATGGCAATCAGGACCTGCTGAAGAAATACTATTTTTTGTGAATTCCTGGGGATGGATGGATGGCCATAGCTAAGTGTTGGACACTTACAAAATTTAATAGTATACATATTATTTATATTTTTAAAAACCATTAAGAACATTTTTTTCTGATTGAAAAATAAATGTATGTAGACTTTAAAAATGTTTAAAATAGAGGCTGGGCATGGTGGCTCACACCTGTAATCCCAGCACTTTGGGAGGCCGAGGCGGGTGGATCACCTGAGGTCAGGAGTTCGAGACCAGCCTGGCCAACATGGCGAAACCCCGTCTCCACTAAAAATACAAAAATTAGTCAGGCGTGGTGGCATGTGTCTGTAATCTCACCTACTCGGGAGGCTGAGGCAGGAGAATTGCTTGAACCTGGGAGGCAGAAGTTGCAGTGAGCCGAGATCGCACCACTGCAGTCCAGCCTGGGTAACAAAGCGAGACTCCTGTCTCAAAAAAAATCTAAAAATAGATCTAGCATTCTAGAAATTATAAAGTGACAATTTGCCATATTTTCTTCAAAATGATAACTAAGATTATATTTTCTATGTAGAATTTGGGATCGGTTTTGTTCATATGTTACCCTTTATATATCCATTATGATAGTGATGATTTCTCATTTGTGCATAGAGTGGTCTGAGAGGACATTTTGAGATCAGACGCTTCTGTTTTTATCATTCTAAAGTACTTTACAATCTCCTATGATTTTATATGATGATTAATATGCAGTGATGTCACCTCCAAGCTGAGGATAGTCTGATGATGATAGGATTAAGAAGAGTCAAAAAGGATTTTGGTGAATAATACTAGGACTCTAGGGTGAGAAAACATGCATAATGTTTTGACCAAAAGCCAAGAGAAGAGGAAGCATAAAGCTAGAAAAAGAAATTGAAGACGTAGAACAAAGGGCAAAATAAAATATGAGGATTATTTGTGGAGATGAATGTTTTAGGCCCAGTGTTCATTTATAATCATTTTATGTATTCCTTTGCTCCCCATCTATCATCTTTTTTTCAGAGAGGATAGAGCTTCCATGTCTTCACAGCCCCTCAACACATCTCCTGTTTTGCTCATGTAAAAAGGTGGTATATCAGCATAATAACACTTAGAAATTAAGCTGAGCTGGTTACATAATCAGGTAAAAGGCTTCCTTGAAATGTCAACACCTTCTTCTATGGAAGACTGAAGGACGGCAGAGGTCCACCAACCTGGCTTCAAGGTTGAAGCCAGGAACCATGATCTTCAGTGGCCTTGGAGATTTGGGCTATGAGGTACAACGTCTTAATGAAGTCAAAATCCTATCAGAGGGCAATCTAGTGAGGAGGAAGTTATCTTAGATAACCATCAGAGGCTGATTCAGTGGCCTCAGTGGTGTGCCAATGGTAAAAGGAAAGAAAGAATTTGTACCATTTATCTCGACTATGTCATTATTATCAACCACTGCTAAGATTATTTTAATTTAGGCCATTGACTGTTCTAGCGAGTCTTTCCAGATTTGCTAGGGCATAATGGAAGGGTGACACTTCCTGCCCTCTCAGATAAATCTTGCTGTTCCCCTCCCCAAACTAAAAGGAAGCAGGCCCACAAAGACCACCGGATTAGGGAAAATTTGGGTACCACGGCCAGTAGAGTAGGGAAGGATGGAGCTAAGACAGGAAGCGGGTAGTGTGGAAAGGAGCAGTCTATTCCCAGAAGTCTGCTGGCAACTTCAAATCAGTTAGTGGAATGGCAGCCTTAAGAAGCGAGAAGAACAAGAGAGAGAGACATGTCTCTTTAGGAAGAGAGAACAAGAGAGAGAAGAACAAGAGAGAGAGAACAAGAGAAGAGAGGATACAGAAAAGAAGAGACATGCACTCTTAATCTAACCTCACTGTAAAGAACTTTAGTAGGGCTGGATGTGGTGGCTCATGCCTGTAATCCCAGCACTTTGGGAGACCTGAGGTCAGGAGTTCGAGACCAGCTTGGCCAACATGGTGAAATCCCGTCTCTCCTAAAAATACAAAAATTAGCCAGGCGTGGTGGCATGTGCCTGTAATCCCAGCTGCCCAGGAGGCTGAGGCAGGAGAATCGATGGAACCCAGGGGGCAGAGGTTGCAGTGAGCTGTGATTGTGCCACTGCACTCCAGCTTGGGCAACAGAGCAAGACCCTGTATCAAAAAAAAAAAAAAAAGAACTTTTAATAAGAGCACTTTATCATTTTTTCTTCCTTGGTATCATTTTTAGATATCTTTCAATATGTGTAACCTTTCTTTGTCTTTGTACTTAGGCCTTTATCAAACTTGGGCCCAAATGAACTCATTAACACCTGTTTGTTTGCTTTGGTTGTTTTTAGACTTAGACTCAACATCATTCTGCTCGTCCCATGAATCATTTTTTTTTTCTTGTCCTTGAGCTTTGTATACTGGTTTGCACTATCTATCTAGATGTTCAGAGACCGCCAAGTATGATAACCCAGAGAAGGTAACTTGGGACCAATGCAATCTCATTGAAGAATTATAGAATGGCTTTCCTTTGTGTGTCACAGAAAATAAATTTTGTTCTTTCTGTCTTCTTAAAGTTTATTCTCAATTCATGTATCAAGCAAAACAAGAAAAATAACTGATGTTAAATAAATTAAAGGAAGCACAATTCACCAACTGTCAAGAATTTTGGCAAAAAGGATTTCCCTAAATAGAAATTATCATCATAAGTATCCAGTGCAAGCACCTCTTTCCTTGTCTTTCAAATTCGAGCTTGCTTTGTATCTGAGACACTGTGATTGGTCCATCCACTCAACCAGTGTTAATACCTGCTGTGTAACAGATACTATTCTAGGCCCCAGGGGTAAATTAGACAGCTGTTGTTTCTGCCTTCTCCTGAGTTATCAAAAACATGAAGTAAAAGTTAGATAAATTACTGCATTAAATTCTAGGAGGGAAACAGACAAGGTGCTGAGATGGCTCCTAAATCAAAGCCACTATTTCAGACTGGATTCACAGGGAAAGGACTTCTGAGGAGCGGCAGATAATCAGACTGAACAATAATAATATGCTGGCTATGCTTAGCATGGGGAAGTGGCTGGATTAAATGCTAATATAAAAGGAAAAATATAGGGCATATACTCTAAGCAGAAGCCTTAAGGCAGAAAAGGGCATGTTATGTCCAAGAAACATAAAGGCAAACAAGTGTAGCTAAACGCTGATTGAAGCACACAGCAGTTCAAGATGAGACTGGGGAGGTGAGAAGTTGCAGATTATGCATTGAAGGCCATGAAAAGGGTGTGATAAAGAGAGGGACAAATCAAATGTGAGTCACAGCAAATGCTATCTTGGCCAGGTGATCAAGCTTAACATCATCAGTAATAAGTCATGTTGATAGCATGTACTTTTGATCTTCTGTGGTCCTCATCCCCCAAACCCCATCACCCCATTCTAACCAGAGAAAAACATCAGACAAACCAACAGTTAAGAATATTCTTCAAAACCTCTGGCCAGAACTCTTCAAAGCTGTCAAAGTCACTGAAAACAAGGAAAGTCTGAGAAATTGTCACAGTATCCAGGAGCCTCAGGAAAGAGACATGGCGACTAAATTCACTGTGGCATCTGGATGGGACACCAATCAGAAAGAGGACATTGGGTAGAAACTAAGGAAATCTGATTAAAGTTTGAACTTTAGTTAATGTTTCAGTATTGGTTTGTTGTGTCAAATATATCATATGAATGCAAGATCTTAGTAACAGAGAAAACTAGGTGATGGGTATATGGGAATTCTCTGAAATATCTTTGCAATATTTCTGTAACTCTAAAACTATGTTAAGATTAAAAGTGTATTTTGAAAGACATAAATGCAAAGTTTCTGAACTTAGCAATTAGTGGATCGTTTATAAGGTGAGAAAGAAAGGAGACACAGTAGGGATGAATGTAACAGAAGGAAGCAACAAATTTAAGAATTCCCTCCCTGCCACACACATATACACACACATACACATATATACAAACATACACATACACATATCCACACATACACACACATATATAAACACATACACCCATATACACAAATTCACACATACACATACACAAACACTTGGACTTTAATATGTATTTAATAAAGTCAGTTTTAATCACTAACAACAGTCTTTGGATAGAACCATCAATCATATAGCCTCCCTCACTTGGGCAAACCACACTGCATCCTCTTCAGGCTAGAAGCCTCCACGATAGGGTTTTAGTACTCACTGGAGCTCAGCGGGTGGTTTCTGGCTGTCAGGATAAAGGCAGTCTTTTGGGTTTTCTCCCTAGAACACTCCTGATAGACTGTGTCTGCTCATATTTCTGCCTCTGAGTCACAAGGTTCACTACTGCAGAACATGGCAATTTTCTTTTGAGTGCTAAATATTCTTTTGAAATTCGGCAAAGGAAAACTACTTAATTTGAAAGGTAGCCAGTGGTCACAGAACCCTCTCTATTCAGATAGCTTTTCCCTCAGAATATACGATCAACACATCAGTTTTTCTTAGCAGTACACACACAGCGGTGCAATGCTTTGGGTTAGTGACATGAAAAAGTGTTAATGGTGACGTTATAGTTCGGAGTCCATGTGCCCACGCCTTTCCTTAGATTACATTTTAGTTACCTTCAGGATACAAGTCACAACTGTCAGAAATCATATTTAAGTGCAAACTACTAGACATTTCTTAACTCTTCCCAAGATTAGAAATGTATTGTCTCAGTTTTGAAGCAGCTGTCTTGATAATTTGGCAATAACCTTGACATAGGATCCCAGGTTAGAAAAAAATATATGTAGGATAATTAATTGTAAAGTTCATGCTGGAGATGGATAGAAAATAATAACAGCTGAATGTGGTAAGGTGTGCTATAGCAGGGAGAAGTCTATTCCTCCCTGGAAAATCCTAGTCAACAGAGGAGGCAGCTGAGGTCGCCTGTCTGTGCTTTATATTTGTGAAATATCTCTGAGTCCAACAGGAATAACTAAGTCTAACGAATTTAAACATAATTTTAAAATATACTCAACATAGAGAAAAAAACAACATTCCCGCAACAGTCCGCAATAGCTAAACAAACCAAATGAATAGAGTTGGAGGTTCTATCTGAATCTAAATCATTGCAAATAGTGATTATCATTTTAGTACACCGCATATGTATAGCATTTATGTGTTTACAAAATGTTTCCAAATTTATTTCTTTTTATTCTTGAGTAATTTTTCAAAGTAATTGCAGGCATTGGTATTACACATTTTAGAAATGAAGAAACCTCAGGATTGGGTTATGTCCTGAGAATCACCCTTTGTGGAAAGGTGTGGTGCATCTGAGTTGGAAAAGTTGATTTGTGTCCTGGTTCTGTCTTATACTTTCAGTTAAGATTGGGAAACCCTTAAATACTTTTGTTCCTCATTTGGATATCAGTAATAATGCCCACCTCACCCAGATTGTAGAGGGATCAATAGATGAAAAAAATGTGAAAGCAGTAAATGTTAACCAGTATAAAGGGATTGTTCTCTTCCTTAGCTCAAGAGGAGCTCAAAGTCAAATGACCCTTACATAAGAAGTGGTTCCCCCAGTGCTCTTAGAGCCACTCACCAAGCACCAGCCATCCAGTGAAGGCTGAGCAAGCAACCTCACAATGCCAGCCCTTCTCTCAGAAATCACCTATCCACCAATACTGAATTTTGCACCAACACTCAAGAACAATAATTCTGGAAGAAATGGAGACAGTACAAATTGAGCTACATGATTGATAGAAAAGTTCTTTTTTGAAATGGTAATTACTTTTTTTTTTTTTTTTTTTTTTTTTTGAGATGTAGTCTCGCTCTGTCGCCCAGGCTGGAGTGCAGTGGCGCGATCTCGGCTCACTGCAAGCTCCGCCTCCCGGGTTCATGCCATTCTCCTGCCTCAGCCTCCCAAGAAGCTGGGACTACAGGTGCCCGCCACCACGCCCGGCTAATTTTTTTGTATTTTTTAGTAGAGAAGGGGTTTCACCGTGTTAGCCAGGATGGTCTCGATCTCCTGACTTCGTGATCCGCCTGCCTTGGCCTCCCAAAGTGCTGGGATTACAGGCGTGATTGAATTGGTAATTACTTTTAATTGGAACAAGCACGCCAATATTCTTTTTGCAGTTCCTGACTCGTTTTATTAACAAGAATAACTCTTCTTAGGGTTTCCCACTGAAAGACATAAAATAGATCATCCTCCATGTTAAATTAAGGGGAATCATGAGGCACAGGGCTCATCAACACACAGCCTGAGCTGAAAATGCCAATCCCTCATTTCTTAAACTCACTCCCCACCACAGAGACCTTTTGCCCAACAGGGTGAATGCTGATGATTGGTGTGACTTGAAAAATGTTATTCCTATTCACATATGTAATTCCTTTCTGAAAACCTGCTAAAATATTTCTCGCTGAATTCTCACAGCTTCCAACAACAACAGGTCAACTGCTTCCCATAGGCTGAAGCAAGGATTAAATCAGAAAGGTGCTTAGAAGTATGGTATCTCTCCTTTCCCCAGCGCAGCAATGGGCAGGGACATGTACGTTTAGCAGACATCACAGGGAAGAGGGGAATTTGGCTCCTATCTATTTTAAGACAATAAGGCCTTTCTTAGGTTTCATGATAGGGGTCCATGGACTAAGCTACGACTCGATGGGCATGGCAGCTCCCAGGTAAAATTCTCCTGCTTAAATATTGCAGGGCAAAGTAACACATCTGGCAGAGCCAGGGGAAAGAAGCAAAAAGAATGGGAATTGTTAATTCAGCCCTGAGGAAAGTGGAGTCTGTCAGGAAATCCCAGAGAGCTCCCCTCAGGGCTCACAGGAGAAAGCTGATGTTCAACCCTCAGGATTTGAAAATCCTAGAGAGAGTTTTCCTCCAGTTCTGCCTTCCCAAAGATTCCCGAGCTGAGGTTTTCTCGGTAATCAAAGGTAGCCATCAAAGTGCCTCCCAGGAGAGAGAACTTTTTCTCTTCACATCTGTTTCTTCAAATGTAAAATGGGGACACATTTGATCACAAGACATTTTCAAGTAAAATTTAAAAAATATATAAAACCCTAAGTTTCCCAAAAGGGGGAACTGCTTCACAGAGATCCAGCAGCAGAAATTTCTTTATCTCCTTTTCTGAGAGAACGCTTGGTTTCCTTAGGAGGGAGATGGAATAATTCTTCTGAGGCATGGTCAGTGAGGTTTTGAGTTTCACAATGAATTATCTGTTCTTTGAGGGTGAGTTGATTCAAGAGACAAGTTTAGACTCATCACTCTTAACTCACTTCTCTGGAGAATTAATTGTGGGTGAGGTGCCAGTTAACTTTTGTCAGACACTCAGGGTATTTCAGGCAATGGCACAGTGAGATTTCATCCTTATCACTGTAAGGAAGGATGAAAAACCCAAGAGTATAAGAGTTGGGCCATCTGGATTCTCATTCAAGCTGTGTCACCTTGGACAAGTCACCAGAGATTGACAATTCTAAATTTCCTCAATGTGTTGTTACTATCCTGTGGGATTTTTTTTTTGTGAAAAGCGAATAAGGTGATGGATACATTAATCCTTTGCAAATTGTAAAGGTTTTTTAAGCAAAGCATTTTTAAAATACATTTTATTGTGTATATTTAAGATATACAACATGATGTTATAAGATATATACATATAATAAAATGGTTAGTATAGTAGAATAAATTAACATAGCCATCATCTCACAGAGTTATGCAGTCTCACTGCCCCTATGGCAAGAGCAGCTATAATCTACTCATAAAAAGCCTGAATACAATACACTGTTAATAACCATAGTCCTCATGCTGTACATTAGATCTTTTGACTTGTTCAACTACATATTTGCTACATTGTATCCTTTGGCCTACATCTTACAGAAAGATGAAGTGGTGGACATACATTCTGAAACCCCAACTGAGACACCTAATCCACTAGGTATGTTTGAGGCATGATGGGCTATAGAATTATTATTTTCTTTTTTCTTTTTGAGACAGGGTCTCACTCTGTTGCTCAGGGTAGTGTGCAGTGGTGCAATCACAGCTCACTGCAGCCTCGACCTGCTGGGGGCTCAAATGATCCTCCCCCTCAGCCTCCCAGGTAGCTAGGACTACAAGTGTGCACCACCACACCTGGCTAGATTTTTTTTTTGTATTTTTTGTAGAGAAGAGTTTTCCTATGTTGCCCAGACTGGTCTTGAACTCCTGGGCTTAAATACTCCACCTGCCTTGGCCTCCCAAAGTGCTGGGATTACAGACATGAGCCACTGTGCCTGGCTCAGAATTTTTCAATTAGAACCGCTACATAAAATCAAGTTTCCTAAATCCATACCAGATGATGTCCAGGCACTGTGTTTCACACACCTTGCCTTAGATCGACAAGAAATTACACTTTGAAGTACACTAGTGGCAAGAATCTGAGTCTTCTTCTCAAAGAGGAGTCAGAAAGCAATGGTGTAAATTTTTGGCTTCTTTCAGTGCTTTGGGTACTTGCTTTACTGTACACATATGAATGAGCCTACTGTTTACCCAAAGCCCAGACCATTTGAAGTTATGAATGGGGAGAAGTCACATAAAACTAGAGAACTATCACTCGGTGTTTTCATGGACCCACTTCCTTACCACAAGGTACTATGATTTTGGCAGACATCATAAGCTAGATGTTGCCATTTGACCAATCTAACAATCTACCTGTGATTCTACCCAGATTTTTTACTACCTTTTTAGGTAAATGTCAAATGAAATAGGATGGTGTAGGGCATATGATTTAAACATAAAATGTTTCCCTTCGATGACAGATTTTGCTCATGCTAGCCAACAGGATAGGTATAGACCTTTGGATGCCATACTGACTCTTTCATAGTCTGGCCTAATCTATGTTTCAGCCTTCCTTTCCATTTCCCCAAAACCACCCTAGGCTGTAGCTACTGAGAATAACGTACGGGACTCTGAATGTTCCATTCCTATGTGTTGGTACATGCTCTACCCTCTTCTGCTAAGTTCTTCCTCTTCCCCCCTCAATCCAGTAAGACCCCATTGACTCTCTAGTGCTTTATTAAACCAAGATCCAGCTGGGTTAGTCTAATTTTTCCCTGTGATTCAAGGAGTTTTAATGTCTCTGATTTATCACCTGTGTATTGTATATCATTGTTTTTTCCTCATCTAATCTCTCAGGACAGACTGTAAAGGCTAGAATTATGATGAATCACCTTTGTATCCTAGATGTCTAGTATAGTACCTGTATGTAACTAAGTCTGCAGAAATAAATGTTGAAGAATAAATAAATAACCATTTCTAGTGCATTAATATCTGTCACTTATAAAGCACTTACACGATCTTGGTATACAACTGACTGAATACTGCAGGGGGACAGAAATGTAAGTTTAAAAAGCAGAATAATAAGATGAAAATGTTACTGATATGAATGATGGATATTTCTCAGTTTTAAATATGGACAATGTCCTCTTTATGTGGCTATACAGATGATACCCCTGAAATTTAAATTACTTTTTAGGAGATGGAGTTGAAGGGAGTATGTGAGACCTGCTCACTTTTGCAAGCAAGCTATTCTCCAACTCTCTTTGGAATCTTTGGGGTTGTCACAGACCAGGAAACGAGGAAATTTTTGACTTCCTATTTGTTTCTCTCTTTGGTCCATTGCTAAGGAGGGATGATAAACTGTCACAGAATTGCCATCCCTGTCCAAATTATTTTTCCTTTGGGTCTCTATGAAGATGAATAAAACATTTTCTAAAAAGATTGAAGCAAGTTAGCTTTCAGCTTTATCAAATACAGTTTCTCTTACAAAGTTTCATCTGTCTTCTGATGGATTACTGGTACCAACTAGTAGCATCAGCTCATCTGTAAGCTTGGGGAGCTCACACCAGGAAAGACACAAAACCAACAACCAAACAAACAGAAAAACTGATTTTCTGTGATTCATTAAAATGTTTTCATTGTAAGTTTTGATCTTCACTGAGTGTGGAATTCTCTTAGGAAGTAAAGATGAGCTGCTTTATTGTCTGGCAAAATATCTGTTTGATTTTGCCACTGAGTAGCCCCTAAAGAGAATACAGTATTTACAAACAAGGCTTCTGGCATGTTCTCCTATACTTCCCTGTCCTCTCACAGTTCCAAACGCCTCTTAAAATAGCTTTGCAAGTGCCTTCCCAACATTCCCCAGGAGGACATCACATTCCCAGTGTAAGTGACAGTGGTCTGGGAGCACATTCTATCACCTAATTGTGAATTTCTCTGGACTATGAAATGCTCAGTGTCTCAGAAAACACCAGTTCCTCAACTCACCACCAATTGCTTCTCCTCTCCACTTTCCCCTGATAAAAAAACAAAGCAAAAAAGACAACCAAAAAAAAAAAAAGGCATTTCATTTTGAAAACATTTGTGGCAAAGCTGATTACATTTATGGTTATCAAGCCTTTAGGATGAAGTAATCTGCTATTTGGAAGAAAAACACTTTGACAGAATTAGGAGAGATGACATCAAAATACAGCTTTCTAATTTGTCTTTTTTTCTTACTCTAAAGACATTGCACAGACAATTTTTGCAAATTTGGCACTCAACGTGACAACAGTTTCCTAATGACCTTATGAATTGGGGAAGCAAAAGAAAGAAGCAGATTTTGATGTCGTTTTATAAAAGAGTTCATCCATCATACTTTCTTCAGCTTTTGAAGTTGTCATACATCTCCAGGGAACAAACTCATTGTGTAATTAATTTTTAACTATTCTCAATCATGTAAAGTTGCAAGATTAAGTTGATATATTTTTATGAGCATCACCATTATTTTTTAAAAATACATTACTCCAAGTAGATACTGCAATGATTAATGAAAACCCTAATCATTTACAGGCAATTCAGTAGGAAAAATGACTAGATTATATTTCCAGAATATCTGGAAAGCAAGAAAGTAGATGCTTTCAAGATTAGAGTAACTCATTGAACCAGGACTGATTCTCAGCAGGGACCCAAAGAACAATACAATGGCCAACACATGTTCTGATAGGTTGGCGTCATTTCATACCTGTCATTAAAGTTTTGACAGTCGCTCATGTTTGAATCCAGCCTTTCCAACAAAATCTTACCACTAAATTGTAAGATCCCTTTGTAAAACATCAGGGAAACAGAAGAGGAGAGGTGAAAAACAGAATCAAAAGTCCCACACAAACCAGAAAGAATAACAAAGAAAGAGTTTTTATAGCCTCATATCTTTCTTAGAAGGAATACAAGTCTAAGATTGAAAATAATCATGTGGAACCTTCCATAGAAGTATTCATTGTAGGTTGATGAAACTGATAATGGGTTGTCAAGGTGTTCAGACTCAAAGTCTTGTTTCTGTCACCTCTGATCACTGTCACCCACATAATAAGCTACGACTGTTTTTACCCTTAGTAAGTCTCCTCACTATAAAATAAAGGCATCAGACTAGATGATGTTGGACACCCCACTAAATCTTTAAATTCATGAAGGTGAAGATATTAAGGGTAAACTAACAATGACACAACTGTCTCCAAACTGAATATACTTATCCACTACTTTGTACTGCCTGAAACTGTAGTACCCTTTGGGAGACACCGGAGGCTGAAGACAGGGAAAGATGCCAAAACCTTCTCTTTCTAAGCTCCCTAGAAGGTGGTAAAAACAAGTGGAAGATCCCCACTGCTAGGGAGCTTAGGTCCACTGTAACTGTTAAGGCAGAAGTAGTGCTATTAGGAGGGAACGCTAAGCCCTACGTAAGAGAGCAGATGAAAGTGGGCACCTAAGTGTAGTACTTCTCCTTCCTCTTTTGAGTAAGGCTAAGGCTATTGCATGGCAAATTATCCAGAATGTTACTTAGTTTCATGAGGTATATTATTCTTCATCTTTGTTCATTTATCTTTTACATTGGGTCAAGTAAAAAGAGGAAACTGTACTAAATCCATCCCTAATATGGAAAAAATATACTGTTTAAATCATATGCAATGTTTAGCTGGCTAAAATTTCTTTTAACATATATAATATGCATAAACAAAAAAGTCTGGTCTCTTTAAAAGTTCATGTGTTTCAGATTAATTAGATTCAGCTTAAACAAAATAATATTACTATATACCTATAAGCATGGCCTAGAGGAAATTTTGCTCAGGCTTAGATAAAATATTGGTTTCGAAAGTGGAAACATTTATCAGAAAGGAAGTTTTATTTTCAAAGAAAAATTTTACCTAGAAAGAGTTTCTTTGAGCTATTTCAGAAAGGAATAACTCAGTATTATGAAACCAACAGAAGAAGCAGATTGGGGTAGTAGGAAACTTGGAACTCTTAGCAGACTACTAGCATAAAGTATCATTAAATAAACATTTATTGAGCTCTGCTATGTGCCAAGAATAGAGGCAGGCATCAAATTAAATGCTGAGAAGAAGGAGGGGGAAGGAGGAGGAGAAAGGAAGAGGAGAAGGAAGGTGAAGAGGGGGAGGAGGAGAAAGGGGAGAAGAAAGGGGAGGAGGAGGAAAGGAGGGAATACAAGTCCCATCCTTATGGAGCAGGTTTCTTTTAATGAAACCGGAGAATATCAAAAGAATTTTGTTGTATAAAGGAGTTGAATATAACGTATGAGTGTAAGAAAAACAGTAGGTCCATGTGAAGAGGTTAAATTGTCAAGTTAAATAAGTGGGTTCCATTAGCTTCCGTGTGTAAAGCCGGTGTCTAAATAGCTGGAGGGACTAGACCAATATTCAAACAGTATCAGTTTCCTAAAGGCAGAGGATAGAGAAAACACCTCAGAGGAGTACTAAATAACCTCTTAGGACTTCCCTTACTTCTCAAATAGGAACAAGAATACTCTGTCTGCTATTGGTAAAACAAAAAAGATTTATGGTGTTTCATTTAAAGGTTATTTAGGGGTCAGTATGGTCTTGTATAAAATGGTCTTTCAACTAGGTTTTCAGTTTTTTAACTTAGCTTCGTCATGGCCATGGCTGCTGAAGATTGGAAGATGATGTGAGAAAGAGAAGTGGAAAGTAAACAGCCCTGTGATATTTTTTCCTCTCCTCTTCTTGAATTTACACACTCAGAGAAATGGAAGACTTGTCCA